>NC_000007.14:59509317-60250911 GCF_000001405.40 Homo sapiens | reverse complement strand
TCTGTCTGGTTATTATACGAAGATATTTCCTTTTCTGCAATTGTCCTCAAATCGCTTGAAATCTCCACCTGAAAATGCCACAGCAAGAGTGTTTCAAATCTGCTCTCTCTAAAGCAAGGTTCAACTCTGTGAGTTGAATACACACAACACAAAAAAGTTACTGAGAACTCTTCTTAGTCTAGCATGAAAGGAAGAAACCCCGTTTGCAACGAAGGCCTCAAAGAGGTCCAAATATCCACTTGCAGACATAACAAGCAGAGTGTTTCTAAACTGCTCTAAGAAAAGAAAGGTTAAAGTCTGTGAGTTGAAGGCACACATCACAAAGTAGTTTCTGAGAATGATTCTGTCTAGTTTTTATTTGAAGATATTTCCTTTTCTACTGTTGGCATCAAATCGCTTGAAATCTCCACTTGCAAACTCCACAAAAAGAGTGTTTAAAATCTGCTCTGTGCAAAGGGACGTTCCACTCTGTGAGTTGAATACACACAGCACAAAGAAGTTACTGAGAATTCTTCTGTCTAGCATGAAATGAAGAAATCCCGTTTCCAACGAAGGCCTCAATGCGGTCCATATATCCACTTGCAGACTTTACAAACAGAGTGTTTCCAAACTGCTCTATGAAAAGAAAGGTTAAACTATGTGAGTTGAACGCACACATCACAAAGAATTTTCTGAGAATGATTCTGTCTGGTTTTTATTTGAAGATATTTCCCTTTCTACTGTTGGCATCAAATGGCTAGAAATCTCCACTTGCAAATTCCGCAAAAAGAGTGTTTCAAATCTGCTCTGTCTAAAGGGACGTTCCACTCTGTGAGTTGAATGCACACCACACAAAGAATTTACTGAGAATTCTTCCGTCTAGCATTATATGATAAAATCCCGTTTCCAACGAAGGCCTCAAACAGGTCCATATATCCACTTGCAGACTTTACAAACAGTGTGTTTCCAAACTCCTCTATGAAAAGAAAGGTTAAACTCTGTGATTTGAACGCACACATCAGAAAGCACTTTCTGAGAATGATTCTGTCTGGTTATTATACGAAGATATTCCCTTTTCTGCAATTTTCCTCAAATCGCTTGAAATCTCCACCTGAAAATGCCACAGCAAGAGTGTTTCAAATCTGCTCTCTCTAAAGCAAGGTTCAACTCTGTGATTTGAATACACACAGCACAAAGAAGTTACTGAGAATTCTTCTTAGTCTAGCATTAAAGGAAGAAACCCCGTTTGCAACGAAGGCCTAAAAGAGGTCCAAATATCCACTTGCAGACATAACAAGCAGAGTGTTTCTAAAGTGCTCTAAGAAAAGAAAGTTTAAACTCTGTGAGTTGAAGGCACACATCACAAAGTAGTTTCTGAGAATGATTCTGTCTAGTTTTTATTTGAAGATATTTCCTTTTCTACTGTTGGCATCAAATCGCTTGAAATCTCCACTTGCAAATTCCACAAAAAGAGTGTTTCAAATCTGCTCTGTGCAAATGGACGTTCCACTCTGTGAGTTGAATACACACAGCACAAAGAAGTTACTGAGAATTCTTCTGTCTAGCATGAAATGAAGAAATCCCGTTTCCAACGAAGGCCTCAATGCGGTCCATAGATCCACTTGCAGACTTTACAAACAGAGTGTTTCCAAACTGCTCTATGAAAAGAAAGGTTAAACTATGTGAGTTGAACGCACACATCACAAAGAATTTTCTGAGAATGATTCTGTCTGGTTTTTATTTGAAGATATTTCCCTTTCTACTGTTGGCATCAAATGGCTAGAAATCTCCACTTGGAAATTCCGCAAAAAGAGTGTTTCAAATCTGCTCTGTCTAAAGGGACGTTCCACTCTGTGAGTTGAATGCACACAACACAAAGAATTTACTGAGAATTCTTCGGTCTAGCATTCAATGAAGAAATCCCGTTTCCAACGAAGGCCTCAATGCGGTCCATATATCCACTTGCAGTCATTACAAACAGTGTGTTTCCAAACTCCTCTATGAAAAGAAAGGTTAAACTCTGTGAGTTGAACGCACACATCACAAAGCACTTTCTGAGAATGATTCTGTCTGGTTATTATACGAAGATATTTCCTTTTCTGCAATTGTCCTCAAATCGCTTGAAATCTCCACCTGAAAATGCCACAGCAAGAGTGTTTCAAATCTGCTCTCTCTAAAGCAAGGTTCAACTCTGTGAGTTGAATACACACAACACAAAAAAGTTACTGAGAACTCTTCTTAGTCTAGCATGAAAGGAAGAAACCCCGTTTGCAACGAAGGCCTCAAAGAGGTCCAAATATCCACTTGCAGACATAACAAGCAGAGTGTTTCTAAACTGCTCTAAGAAAAGAAAGGTTAAACTATGTGAGTTGAACGCACACATCACAAAGAATTTTCTGAGAATGATTCTGTCTGGTTTTTATTTGAAGATATTTCCCTTTCTACTGTTGGCATCAAATGGCTAGAAATCTCCACTTGCAAATTCCGCAAAAAGAGTGTTTCAAATCTGCTCTGTCTAAAGGGACGTTCCACTCTGTGAGTTGAATGCACACAACACAAAGAATTTACTGAGAATTCTTCCGTCTAGCATTCAATGAAGAAATCCCGTTTCCAACGAAGGCCTCAAACTGGTCCATATATCCACTTGCAGACTTTACAAACAGTGTGTTTCCAAACTCCTCTATGAAAAGAAAGGTTAAACTCTGTGAGTTGAACGCACACATCACAAAGCACTTTCTGAGAATGATTCTGTCTGGTTATTATACGAAGATATTTCCTTTTCTGCAATTGTCCTCAAATCGCTTGAAATCTCCACCTGAAAATGCCACAGCAAGAGTGTTTCAAATCTGCTCTCTCTAAAGCAAGGTTCAACTCTGTGAGTTGAATACACACAACACAAAAAAGTTACTGAGAACTCTTCTTAGTCTAGCATGAAAGGAAGAAACCCCGTTTGCAACGAAGGCCTCAAAGAGGTCCAAATATCCACTTGCAGACATCACAAGCAGAGTGTTTCTAAACTGCTCTAAGAAAAGAAAGGTTAAACTCTGTGAGTTGAAGGCACACATCACAAAGTAGTTTCTGAGAATGATTCTGTCTAGTTTTTATTTGAAGATATTTCCTTTTCTACTGTTGGCATCAAATCGCTTGAAATCTCCACTTGCAAATTCCACAAAAAGAGTGTTTCAAATCTGCTCTGTGCAAAGGGACGTTCCACTCTCTGAGTTGAATACACACAGCACAAAGAAGTTGCTGAGAGTTCTTCTGTCTAGCATGAAATGAAGAAATCCCGTTTCCAACGAAGGCCTCAATGCGGTCCATATATCCACTTGCAGACTTTACAAACAGAGTGTTTCCAAACTGCTCTATGAAAAGAAAGGTTAAACTATGTGAGTTGAACGCACACATCACAAAGTATTTTCTGAGAATGATTCTGTCTGGTTTTTATTTGAAGATATTTCCCTTTCTACTGTTGGCATCAAATGGCTAGAAATCTCCACTTGCAAATTCCGCAAAAAGAGTGTTTCAAATCTGCTCTGTCTAAAGGGACGTTCCACTCTGTGAGTTGAATGCACACAACACAAAGAATTTACTGAGAATTCTTCCGTCTAGCATTCAATGAAGAAATCCCGTTTCCAACGAAGGCCTCAAACAGGTCCATATATCCACTTGCAGAGTTTACAAACAGTGTGTTTCCAAACTCCTCTATGAAAAGAAAGGTTAAACTCTGTGAGTGGAACGCACACATCACAAAGCACTTTCTGAGAATGATTCTGTCTGGTTATTATACGAAGATATTTCCTTTTCTGCAATTGTCCTCAAATCGCTTGAAATCTCCACCTGAAAATGCCACAGCAAGAGTGTTTCAAATCTGCTCTCTCTAAAGCAAGGTTCAACTCTGTGAGTTGAATACACACAACACAAAAAAGTTACTGAGAACTCTTCTTAGTCTAGCATGAAAGGAAGAAACCCCGTTTGCAACGAAGGCCTCAAAGAGGTCCAAATATCCACTTGCAGACATAACAAGCAGAGTGTTTCTAAACTGCTCTAAGAAAAGAAAGGTTAAACTCTGTGAGTTGAACGCACACATCACAAAGTAGTTTCTGAGAATGATTCTGTCTAGTTTTTATTTGAAGATATTTCCTTTCCTACTGTTGGCATCAAATCGCTTGAAATCTCCACTTGCAAACTCCACAAAAAGAGTGTTTCAAATCTGCTCTGTGCAAAGGGACGTTCCACTCTGTGAGTTGAATACACACAGCACAAGGAAGTTACTGAGAATTCTTCTGTCTAGCATGAAATGAAGAAATCCCGTTTCCAACGAAGGCCTCAATGCGGTCCATATATCCACTTGCAGACTTTACAAACAGAGTGTTTCCAAACTGCTCTATGAAAAGAAAGGTTAAACTATGTGAGCTGAACGCACACATCACAAAGAATTTTCTGAGAATGATTCTGTCTGGTTTTTATTTGAAGATATTTCCCTTTCTACTGTTGGCATCAAATGGCTAGAAATCTCCACTTGCAAATTCCGCAAAAAGAGTGTTTCAAATCTGCTCTGTCTAAAGAGACGTTCCACTCTGTCAGTTGAATGCACACAACACAAAGAATTTACTGAGAATTCTTCCGTCTAGCATGCAATGAAGAAATCCCGTTTCCAACGAAGGCCTCAAACAGGTCCATATATCCAATTGCAGACTTTACAAACAGTGTGTTTCCAAACTCCTCTATGAAAAGAAAGGTTAAACTCTGTGAGTTGAACGCACACATCACAAAGCACTTTCTGAGAATGATTCTGTCAGGTTATTATACGAAGATATTTCCTTTTCTGCAATTGTCCTCAAATCGCTTGAAATCTCCACCTGAAAATGCCACAGCAAGAGTGTTTCAAATCTGCTCTCTCTAAAGCAAGGTTCAACTCTGTGAGTTGAATACACACAACACAAAAAAGTTACTGAGAACTCTTCTTAGTCTAGCATTAAAGGAAGAAACCCCGTTTGCAACGAAGGCCTCAAAGAGGTCCAAATATCCACTTGCAGACATAACAAGCAGAGTGTTTCTAAACTGCTCTAAGAAAAGAAAGGTTAAACTCTGTGAGTTGAAGGCACACATCACAAAGTAGTTTCTGAGAATGATTCTGTCTAGTTTTTATTTGAAGATATTTCCTTTTCTACTGTTGGCATCAAATCGCTTGAAATCTCCACTTGCAAACTCCACAAAAAGAGTGTTTCAAATCTGCTCTGTGCAAAGGGACGTTCCACTCTGTGAGTTGAATACACACAGCACAAAGAAGTTACTGAGAATTCTTCTGTCTAGCAGGAAATGAAGAAATCCCGTTTCCAACGAAGGCCTCAATGCGGTCCATATATCCACTTGCAGACTTTACAAACAGAGTGTTTCCAAACTGCTCTATGAAAAGAAAGGTAAAACTATGTGAGTTGAACGCACACATCACAAAGAATTTTCTGAGAATGATTCTGTCTGGTTTTTATTTGAAGATATTTCCCTTTCTACTGTTGGCATCAAATGGCTAGAAATCTCCACTTGCAAATTCCGCAAAAAGAGTGTTTCAAATCTGCTCTGTCTAAAGGGACGTTCCACTCTGTGAGTTGAATGCACACAACACAAAGAATTTACTGAGAATTCTTCTGTCTAGCAGTCAATGAAGAAATCCCGTTTCCAACGAAGGCCTCAAACAGGTCCATATATCCAATTGCAGACTTTACAAACAGTGTGTTTCCAAACTCCTCTATGAAAAGAAAGGTTAAACTCTGTGAGTTGAACCCACACATCACAAAGCACTTTCTGAGAATGATTCTGTCTGGTTATTATACGAAGATATTTCTTTTTCTGCAATTGTCCTCAAATCGCTTGAAATCTCCACCTGAAAATGCCACAGCAAGAGTGTTTCAAATCTGCTCTCTCTAAAGCAAGGTTCAACTCTGTGAGTTGAATACACACAACACAAAAAAGTTACTGAGAACTCTTCTTAGTCTAGCATGAAAGGAAGAAACCCCGTTTGCAACGAAGGCCTCAAAGAGGTCCAAATATCCACTTGCAGACATAACAAGCAGAGTGTTTCTAAACTGCTCTAAGAAAAGAAAGGTTAAACTCTGTGAGTTGAAGGCACACATCACAAAGCAGTTTCTGAGAATGATTCTGTCTAATTTTTATTTGAAGATATTCCCTTTCCAACTTTTGGCATCAAATCGCTTGAATTCTCCACTTTTAAATTCCACAAAAAGAGTGTTTCAAAACTGCTCTGTGTAATGGGACATTCCAATCTGTCAGTTGAATACACACAACACAAAGAAGTTACTGAGAATTCTTCTGTCTAGCATGAAATGAAGAAATCCCGTTTCCAACGAAGGCCTCAATACGGTCCATATATCCACTTGCAGACTTTACAAACAGAGTGTTTCCAAACTGCTCTATGAAAAGAAAGGTTAAACTATGTGAGTTGAACGCACACATCACAAAGAATTTTCTGAGAATGATTCTGTCTGGTTTTTATTTGAAGATATTTCCCTTTCTACTGTTGGCATCAAATGGCTAGAAATCTCCACTTGCAAATTCCGCAAAAAGAGTGTTTCAAATCTGCTCTGTCTAAAGGGACGTTCCACTCTGTGAGTTGAATGCACACAACACAAAGAATTTACTGAGAATTCTTCCGTCTAGCATTCAATGAAGAAATCCCGTTTCCAACGAAGGCCTCAAACAGGTCCATATATCCACTTGCAGACTTTACAAACAGTGTGTTTCCAAACTCCTCTATGAAAAGAAAGGTTAAACTCTGTGAGTGGAACGCACACATCACAAAGCACTTTCTGAGAATGATTCTGTCTGGTTATTATACGAAGATATTTCTTTTTCTGCAATTGTCCTCAAATCGCTTGAAATCTCCACCTGAAAATGCCACAGCAAGAGTGTTTCAAATCTGCTCTCTCTAAAGCAAGGTTCAACTCTGTCAGTTGAATACACACAACACAAAAAAGTTACTGAGAACTCTTCTTAGTCTAGCATGAAAGGAAGAAACCCCGTTTGCAACGAAGGCCTCAAAGAGGTCCAAATATCCACTTGCAGACATAACAAGCAGAGTGTTTCTAAACTGCTCTAAGAAAAGAAAGGTTAAACTCTGTGAGTTGAAGGCACACATCACAAAGTAGTTTCTGAGAATGATTCTGTCTAGTTTTTATTTGAAGATATTTCCTTTTCTACTGTTGGCATCAAATCGCTTGAAATCTCCACTTGCAAATTCCACAAAAAGAGTGTTTCAAATCTGCTCTGTGCAAAGGGACGTTCCACTCTCTGAGTTGAATACACACAGCACAAAGAAGTTACTGAGAATTCTTCTGTCTAGCATGAAATGAAGAAATCCCGTTTCCAACGAAGGCCTCAATGCGGTCCATATATCCACTTGCAGACTTTACAAACAGAGTGTTTCCAAACTGCTCTATGAAAAGAAAGGTTAAACTATGTGAGTTGAACGCACACATCACAAAGAATTTTCTGAGAATGATTCTGTCTGGTTTTTATTTGAAGATATTTCCCTTTCTACTGTTGGCATCAAATGGCTAGAAATCTCCACTTGCAAATTCCGCAAAAAGAGTGTTTCAAATCTGCTCTGTCTAAAGGGACGTTCCACTCTGTGAGTTCAATGCACACAACACAAAGAATTTACTGAGATTTCTTCCGCCTAGCATTCAATGAAGAAATCCCGTTTCCAACGAAGGCCTCAAACAGGTCCATATATCCACTTGCAGACATTACAAACAGTGTGTTTCCAAACTCCTCTATGAAAAGAAAGGTTAAACTCTGTGAGTTGAACGCACACATCACAAAGCACTTTCTGAGAATGATTCTGTCTGGTTATTATACGAAGATATTTCCTTTTCTGCAATTGTCCTCAAATCGCTTGAAATCTCCACCTGAAAATGCCACAGCAAGAGTGTTTCAAATCTGCTCTCTCTAAAGCAAGGTTCAACTCTGTGAGTTGAATACACACAACACAAAAAAGTTACTGAGAACTCTTCTTAGTCTAGCATGAAAGGAAGAAACCCCGTTTGCAACGAAGGCCTCAAAGAGGTCCAAATATCCACTTGCAGACATAACAAGCAGAGTGTTTCTAAACTGCTCTAAGAAAAGAAAGGTTAAACTCTGTGAGTTGAAGGCACACATCACAAAGTAGTTTCTGAGAATGATTCTGTCTAGTTTTTATTTGAAGATATTTCCTTTTCTACTGTTGGCATCAAATCGCTTGAAATCTCCACTTGCAAACTCCACAAAAAGAGTGTTTCAAATCTGCTCTGTGCAAAGGGACGTTCCACTCTGTGAGTTGAATACACACAGCACAAAGAAGTTACTGAGAATTCTTCTGTCTAGCATGAAATGAAGAAATCCCGTTTCCAACGAAGGCCTCAATGCGGTCCATATATCCACTTGCAGACTTTACAAACAGAGTGTTTCCAAACTGCTCTATGAAAAGAAAGGTTAAACTATGTGAGTTGAACGCACACATCACAAAGAATTTTTTGAGAATGATTCTGTCTGGTTTTTATTTGAAGATATTTCCCTTTCTACTGTTGGCATCAAATGGCTAGAAATCTCCACTTGCAAATTCCGCAAAAAGAGTGTTTCAAATCTGCTCTGTCTAAAGGGACGTTCCACTCTGTGAGTTGAATGCACACAACACAAAGAATTTACTGAGAATTCTTCCGTCTAGGATTATATGATAAAATCCCGTTTCCAACGAAGGCCTCAAACAGGTCCATATATCCAATTGCAGACTTTACAAACAGTGTGTTTCCAAACTCCTCTATGAAAAGAAAGGTTAAACTCTGTGAGTTGAACGCACACATCACAAAGCACTTTCTGAGAATGATTCTGTCTGGTTATTATACGAAGATATTTCCTTTTCTGCAATTGTCCTCAAATCGCTTGAAATCTCCACCTGAAAATGCCACAGCAAGAGTGTTTCAAATCTGCTCTCTCTAAAGCAAGGTTCAACTCTGTGAGTTGAATACACACAACACAAAAAAGTTACTGAGAACTCTTCTTAGTCTAGCATGAAAGGAAGAAACCCCGTTTGCAACGAAGGCCTCAAAGAGGTCCAAATATCCACTTGCAGACATAACAAGCAGAGTGTTTCTAAACTGCTCTAAGAAAAGAAAGGTTAAACTCTGTGAGTTGAAGGCACACATCACAAAGTAGATTCTGAGAATGATTCTGTCTAGTTTTTATTTGAAGATATTTCCTTTTCTACTGTTGGCATCAAATCGCTTGAAATCTCCACTTGCAAACTCCACAAAAAGAGTGTTTCAAATCTGCTCTGTGCAAAGGGACGTTCCACTCTGTGAGTTGAATACACACAGCACAAAGAAGTTACTGAGAATTCTTCTGTCTAGCATGAAATGAAGAAATCCCGTTTCCAACGAAGGCCTCAATGCGGTCCATATATCCACTTGCAGACTTTACAAACAGAGTGTTTCCAAACTGCTCTATGAAAAGAAAGGTTAAACTATGTGAGTTGAACGCACACATCACAAAGAATTTTCTGAGAATGATTCTGTCTGGTTTTTATTTGAAGATATTTCCCTTTCTACTGTTGGCATCAAATGGCTAGAAATCTCCACTTGCAAATTCCGCAAAAAGAGTGTTTCAAATCTGCTCTGTCTAAAGGGACGTTCCACTCTGTGAGTTGAATGCACACAACACAAAGAATTTACTGAGAATTCTTCCGCCTTGCATTCAATGAAGAAATCCCGTTTCCAAAGAAGGCCTCAAACAGGTCCATATATCCAATTGCAGACTTTACAAACAGTGTGTTTCCAAACTCCTCTATGAAAAGAAAGGTTAAACTCTGTGAGTTGAACGCACACATCACAAAGCACTTTCTGAGAATGATTCTGTCTGGTTATTATACGAAGATATTTCCTTTTCTGCAATTGTCCTCAAATCGCTTGAAATCTCCACCTGAAAATGCCACAGCAAGAGTGTTTCAAATCTGCTCTCTCTAAAGCAAGGTTCAACTCTGTGAGTTGAATACACACAACACAAAAAAGTTACTGAGAACTCTTCTTAGTCTAGCATGAAAGGAAGAAACCCCGTTTGCAACGAAGGCCTCAAAGAGGTCCAAATATCCACTTGCAGACATAACAAGCAGAGTGTTTCTAAACTGCTCTAAGAAAAGAAAGGTTAAACTCTGTGAGTTGAAGGCACACATCACAAAGTAGTTTCTGAGAATGATTCTGTCTAGTTTTTATTTGAAGATATTTCCTTTTCTACTGTTGGCATCAAATCGCTTGAAATCTCCACTTGCAAATTCCACAAAAAGAGTGTTTCAAATCTGCTCTGTGTAAAGGGACGTTCCACTCTGTGAGTTGAATACACACAGCACAAAGAAGTTACTGAGAATTCTTCTGTCTAGCATGAAATGAAGAAATCCAGTTTCCAACGAAGGCCTCAATGCGGTCCGTATATCCACTTGCAGACTTTACAAACAGAGTGTTTCCAAACTGCACTATGAAAAGAAAGGTTTAAACTATGTGAGTTGAACGCACACATCACAAAGAATTTTCTGAGAATGATTCTGTCTGGTTTTTATTTGAAGATATGTCCCTTTCTACTGTTGGCATCAAATGGCTTGAAATCTCCACTTCCAAATTTCGCAAAAAGAGTGTTTCAAATCTGCTCTGTCTAAAGGGACGTTCCACTCGGTGAGTTGAAGGCACACAACACAAAGAATTTACTGAGAATTCTTCCGTCTAGCATTATATGATAAAATCCCGTTTGCAACGAAGGCCTCAAACAGGTCCATATATCCACTTGCAGACATTAGAAACAGTGTGTTTCCAAACTCCTCTATGAAAAGAAAGGTTAAACTCTGTGAGTTGAACGCACACATCACAAAGCATTTTCTGAGAATGATTCTGTCTAGTTTTTGTTTGCAGATATTTCCTTTTCTACTGTTGGCATCAAATCGCTTGAAATCTCCACTTGCAAATTCCACAAAAAGAGTGTTTCAAATCTGCTCTGTGTAAAGGGACGTTCCAATCTGTGAGTTGAATACACACAACACAAAGAAGTTACTGAGAATTCTTCTGTCTAGCATGAAATGAAGAAATCCCGTTTCCAACGAAGGCCTCAAAGCGGTCCATATATCCACTTGCAGACATTACCAACAGAGTGTTCCCAAACTGCTCTATGAAAAGAAAGGTTAAACTATGTGAGTTGAACGCACACATCACAAAGAATTTTCTGAGAATGATTTCTGTCTGGTTTTTATTTGAAGATATTTCCCTTTCTACTGTTGGCATCAAATGGCTAGAAATCTCCACTTGCAAATTCCGCAAAAAGAGTGTTTCAAATCTGCTCTGTCTAAAGGGACGTTCCACTCTGTGAGTTGAATGCACACAACACAAAGAATTTACTGAGAATTCTTCTGTCTAGCAGTCAATGAAGAAATCCCGTTTCCAACGAAGGCCTCAAACAGGTCCATATATCCAATTGCAGACTTTACAAACAGTGTGTTTCCAAACTCCTCTATGAAAAGAAAGGTTAAACTCTGTGAGTTGAACCCACACATCACAAAGCACTTTCTGAGAATGATTCTGTCTGGTTATTATACGAAGATATTTCCTTTTCTGCAATTGTCCTCAAATCGCTTGAAATCTCCACCTGAAAATGCCACAGCAAGAGTGTTTCAAATCTGCTCTCTCTAAAGCAAGGTTCAACTCTGTGAGTTGAATACACACAACACAAAAAAGTTACTGAGAACTCTTCTTAGTCTAGCATGAAAGGAAGAAACCCCGTTTGCAACGAAGGCCTCAAAGAGGTCCAAATATCCACTTGCAGACATAACAAGCAGAGTGTTTCTAAACTGCTCTAAGAAAAGAAAGGTTAAACTCTGTGAGTTAAAGGCACACATCACAAAGTAGTTTCTGAGAATGATTCTGTCTAGTTTTTATTTGAAGATATTTCCTTTTCTACTGTTGGCATCAAATCGCTTGAAATCTCCACTTGCAAACTCCACAAAAAGAGTGTTTCAAATCTGCTCTGTGTAAAGGGACGTTCCACTCTGTGAGTTGAATACACACAGCACAAAGAAGTTACTGAGAATTCTTCCGTCTAGCATTCAATGAAGAAATCCCGTTTCCAACGAAGGCCTCAAAGAGGTCCATATATCCACTTGCAGACTTTACAAACAGAGTGTTTCCAAACTGCTCTATGAAAAGAAAGGTTAAACTATGTGAGTTGAACGCACACATCACAAAGAATTTTCTGAGAATGATTCTGTCTGGTTTTTATTTGAAGATATTTCCCTTTCTAGTGTTGGCATCAAATGGCTAGAAATCTCCACTTGCAAATTCCGCAAAAAGAGTGTTTCAAATCTGCTCTGTCTAAAGGGACGTTCCACTCTGTGAGTTGAATGCACACAACACAAAGAATTTACTGAGAATTCTTCCGTCTAGCATTCAATGAAGAAATCCCGTTTCCAACGAAGGCCTCAAACAGGTCCATATATCCACTTACAGACTTTACAAACAGTGTGTTTCCAAACTCCTCTATGAAAAGAAAGGTTAAACTCTGTGAGTGGAACGCACACATCACAAAGCACTTTCTGAGAATGATTCTGTCTGGTTATTATACGAAGATATTTCTTTTTCTGCAATTGTCCACAAATCGCTTGAAATCTCCACCTGAAAATGTCACAGCAAGAGTGTTTCAAATCTGCTCTCTCTAAAGCAAGGTTCAACTCTGTGAGTTGAATACACACAACATAAAAAAGTTACTGAGAACTCTTCTTAGTCTAGCATGAACGGAAGAAACCCCGTTTGCAACGAAGGCCTCAAAGAGGTCCAAATATCCACTTGCAGACATAACAAGCAGAGTGTTTCTAAACTGCTCTAAGAAAAGAAAGGTTAAACTCTGTGAGTTGAAGGCACACATCACAAAGTAGTTTCTGAGAATGATTCTGTCTAGTTTTTATTTGAAGATATTTCCTTTTCTACTGTTGGCATCAAATCGCTTGAAATCTCCACTTGCAAACTCCACAAAAAGAGTGTTTCACATCTGCTCTGTGTAAAGGGACGTTCCACTCTGTGAGTTGAATACACACAGCACAAAGAAGTTACTGAGAATTCTTCTGTCTAGCATGAAATGAAGAAATCCCGTTTCCAACGAAGGCCTCAATGCGGTCCATATATCCACTTGCAGACTTTACAAACAGAGTGTTTCCAAACTGCTCTATGAAAAGAAAGGTTAAACTATGTGAGTTGAACGCACACATCACAAAGAATTTTCTGAGAATGATTCTGTCTGGTTTTTATTTGAAGATATTTCCCTTTCTACTGTTGGCATCAAATGGCTAGAAATCTCCACTTGCAAATTCCGCAAAAAGAGTGTTTCAAATCTGCTCTGTCTAAAGGGACGTTCCACTCTGTGAGTTGAATGCACACAACACGAAGAATTTACTGAGAATTCTTCCGTCTAGCATTCAATGAAGAAATCCCGTTTCCAACGAAGGCCTCAAACAGGTCCATATATCCAATTGCAGACTTTACAAACAGTGTGTTTCCAAACTCCTCTATGAAAAGAAAGGTTAAACTCTGTGAGTTGAACGCACACATCACAAAGCACTTTCTGAGAATGATTCTGTCTGGTTTTTATTTGAAGATATTTCCCTTTCTACTGTTGGCATCAAATGGCTAGAAATCTCCACTTGCAAATTCCGCAAAAAGAGTGTTTCAAATCTGCTCTGTCTAAAGGGACGTTCCACTCTGTGAGTTGAATGCACACAACACAAAGAATTTACTGAGAATTCTTCCGTCTAGCATTCAATGAAGAAATCCCGTTTCCAACGAAGGCCTCAAACAGGTCCATAAATCCACTTGCAGACTTTACAAACAGTGTGTTTCCAAACTCCTCTATGAAAAAAAAGGTTAAACTCTGTGAGTGGAACGCACACATCACAAAGCACTTTCTGAGAATGATTCTGTCTGTTTGTTATACGAAGATATTTCCTTTTCTGCAATTGTCCTCAAATCGCTTGAAATCTCCACCTTAAAATGCCACAGCAAGAGTGTTTCAAATCTGCTCTCTCTAAAGCAAGGTTCAACTCTGTGAGTTGAATACACACAACACAAAAAAGTTACTGAGAACTCTTCTTAGTCTAGCATTAAAGGAAGAAACCCCGTTTGCAACGAAGGCCTCAAAGAGGTCCAAATATCCACTTGCAGACATAACAAGCAGAGTGTTTCTAAACTGCTCTAAGAAAAGAAAGGTTAAACTCTGTGAGTTGAAGGCACACATCACAAAGTAGTTTCTGAGAATGATTCTGTCTAGTTTTTATTTGAAGATATTTCCTTTTCTACTGTTGGCATCAAATCGCTTGAAATCTCCACTTGCAAACTCCACAAAAAGAGTGTTTCAAATCTGCTCTGTGTAAAGGGACGTTCCACTCTGTGAGTTGAATACACACAGCACAAAGAAGTTGCTGAGAATTCTTCTGTCTAGCATGAAATGAAGAAATCCCGTTTCCAACGAAGGCCTCAATGCGGTCCATATATCCACTTGCAGACTTTACAAACACAGTGTTTCCAAACTGCTCTATGAAAAGAAAGGTTAAACTATGTGAGTTGAACGCACACATCACAAAGAATTTTCTGAGAATGATTCTGTCTGGTTTTTATTTGAAGATATTTCCCTTTCTACTGTTGGCATCAAATGGCTAGAAATCTCCACTTGCAAATTCCGCAAAAAGAGTGTTTCAAATCTGCTCTGTCTAAAGGGACGTTCCACTCTGTGAGTTGAATGCACACAACACAAAGAATTTACTGAGAATTCTTCCGTCTAGCATTCAATGAAGAAATCCCGTTTCCAACGAAGGCCTCAAACAGGTCCATATATCCAATTGCAGACTTTACAAACAGTGTGTTTCCAAACTCCTCTATGAAAAGAAAGGTTAAACTCTGTGAGTTGAACGCACACATCACAAAGCACTTTCTGAGAATGATTCTGTCTGGTTATTATACGAAGATATTTCCTTTTCTGCAATTGTCCTCAAATCGCTTGAAATCTCCACCTGAAAATGCCACAGCAAGAGTGTTTCAAATCTGCTCTCTCTAAAGCAAGGTTCAACTCTGTGAGTTGAATACACACAACACAAAAAAGTTACTGAGAACTCTTCTTAGTCTAGCATTAAAGGAAGAAATCCCGTTTGCAACGAAGGCCTCAAAGAGGTCCAAATATCCACTTGCAGACATAACAAGCAGAGTGTTTCTAAACTGCTCTAAGAAAAGAAAGGTTAAACTCTGCGAGTTGAAGGCACACATCACAAAGTAGTTTCTGAGAATGATTCTGTCTAGTTTTTATTTGAAGATATTTCCTTTTCTACTGTTGGCATCAAATCGCTTGAAATCTCCACTTGCAAATTCCACAAAAAGAGTGTTTCAAATCTGCTCTGTGTAAAGGGACGTTGCACTCTGTGAGTTGAATACACACAGCACAAAGAAGTTACTGAGAATTCTTCTGTCTAGCATGAAATGAAGAAATCCCGTTTCCAACGAAGGCCTCAATGCGGTCCATATATCCACTTGCAGACTTTACAAACAGAGTGTTTCCAAACTTCTCTATGAAAAGAAAGGTTAAACTATGTGAGTTGAACGCACACATCACAAAGAATTTTGCTGAGAATGATTATCTGTCTGGTTTTTATTTGAAGATATTTCCCTTTCTACTGTTGGCATCAAATGGCTAGAAATCTCCACTTGCAAATTCCGCAAAAAGAGTGTTTCAAATCTGCTCTGTCTAAAGGGACAGTTCCACTCTGTCAGTTGAATGCACACAACACAAAGAATTTACTGAGAATTCTTCCGTCTAGCATTCAATGAAGAAATCCCGTTTCCAACGAAGGCCTCAAACAGGTCCATATATCCACTTGCAGACTTTACAAACAGTGTGTTTCCAAACTCCTCTATGAAAAGAAAGGTTAAACTCTGTGAGTTGAACGCACACATCACAAAGCACTTTCTGAGAATGATTCTGTCTGGTTATTATACGAAGATATTTCCTTTTCTGCAATTGTCCTCAAATCGCTTGAAATCTCCACCTGAAAATGCCACAGCAAGAGTGTTTCAAATCTGCTCTCTCTAAAGCAAGGTTCAACTCTGTGAGTTGAATACACACAACACAAAAAAGTTACTGAGAACTCTTCTTAGTCTAGCATGAAAGGAAGAAACCCCGTTTGCAACGAAGGCCTCAAAGAGGTCCAAATATCCACTTGCAGACATAACAAGCAGAGTGTTTCTAAACTGCTCTAAGAAAAGAAAGGTTAAACTCTGTGAGTTGAAGGCAGACATCACAAAGTAGTTTCTGAGAATGATTCTGTCTAGTTTTTATTTGAAGATATTTCCTTTTCTACTGTTGGCATCAAATCGCTTGAAATCTCCACTTGCAAACTCCACAAAAAGAGTGTTTCAAATCTGCTCTGTGCAAAGGGACGTTCCACTCTGTGAGTTGAATACACACAGCACAAAGAAGTTACTGAGAATTCTTCTGTCTAGCATGAAATGAAGAAATCCCGTTTCCAACGAAGGCCTCAATGCGGTCCATATATCCACTTGCAGACTTTACAAACAGAGTGTTTCCAAACTGCTCTATGAAAAGAAAGGTTAAACTATGAGAGTTGAACGCACACATCACAAAGAATTTTCTGAGAATGATTCTGTCTGGTTTTTATTTGAAGATATTTCCCTTTCTACTGTTGGCATCAAATGGCTAGAAATCTCCACTTGCAAATTCCGCAAAAAGAGTGTTTCAAATCTGCTCTGTCTAAAGGGACGTTCCACTCTGTGAGTTGAATGCACACAACACAAAGAATTTACTGAGAATTCTTCCGTCTAGCATTCAATGAAGAAATCCCGTTTCCAACGAAGGCCTCAAACAGGTCCATATATCCAATTGCAGACTTTACAAACAGTGTGTTTCCAAACTCCTCTATGAAAAGAAAGGTTAAACTCTGTGAGTTGAACGCACACATCACAAAGCACTTTCTGAGAATGATTCTGTCTGGTTATTATACGAAGATATTTCCTTTTCTGCAATTGTCCTCAAATCGCTTGAAATCTCCACCTGAAAATGCCACAGCAAGAGTGTTTCAAATCTGCTCTCTCTAAAGCAAGGTTCAACTCTGTGAGTTGAATACACACAACACAAAAAAGTTACTGAGAACTCTTCTTAGTCTAGCATGAAAGGAAGAAATCCCGTTTGCAACGAAGGCCTCAAAGAGGTCCAAATATCCACTTGCAGACATAACAAGCAGAGTGTTTCTAAACTGCTCTAAGAAAAGAAAGGTTAAACTCTGTGAGTTGAAGGCACACATCACAAAGTAGTTTCTGAGAATGATTCTGTCTAGTTTTTATTTGAAGATATTTCCTTTTCTACTGTTGGCATCAAATCGCTTGAAATCTCCACTTGCAAACTCCACAAAAAGTGTGTTTCAAATCTGCTCTGTGTAAAGGGACGTTCCACTCTGTGAGTTGAATACACACAGCACAAAGAAGTTACTGAGAATTCTTCTGTCTAGCATGAAATGAAGAAATCCCGTTTACAACGAAGGCCTCAATGCGGTCCATATATCCACTTGCAGACTTTACAAACAGAGTGTTTCCAAACTGCTCTATGAAAAGAAAGGTTAAACTATGTGAGTTGAACGCACACATCACAAAGAATTTTCTGAGAATGATTCTGTCTGGTTTTTATTTGAAGATATTTCCCTTTCTACTGTTGGCATCAAATGGCTAGAAATCTCCACTTGCAAATTCCGCAAAAAGAGTGTTTCAAATCTGCTCTGTCTAAAGGGACGTTCCACTCTGTGAGTTGAATGCACACAACACAAAGAATTTACTGAGAATTCTTCCGTCTAGCATTCAATGAAGAAATCCCGTTTCCAACGAAGGCCTCAAACAGGTCCATATATCCAATTGCAGACTTTACAAACAGTGTGTTTCCAAACTCCTCTATGAAAAGAAAGGTTAAACTCTGTGAGTTGAACGCACACATCACAAAGCACTTTCTGAGAATGATTCTGTCTGGTTATTATACGAAGATATTTCCTTTTCTGCAATTGTCCTCAAATCGCTTGAAATCTCCACCTGAAAATGCCACAGCAAGAGTGTTTCAAATCTGCTCTCTCTAAAGCAAGGTTCAACTCTGTGAGTTGAATACACACAACACAAAAAAGTTACTGAGAACTCTTCTTAGTCTAGCATGAAAGGAAGAAACCCCGTTTGCAACGAAGGCCTCAAAGAGGTCCAAATATCCACTTGCAGACATAACAAGCAGAGTGTTTCTAAACTGCTCTAAGAAAAGAAAGGTTAAACTCTGTGAGTTGAAGGCACACATCACAAAGTAGTTTCTGAGAATGATTCTGTCTAGTTTTTATTTGAAGATATTTCCTTTTCTACTGTTGGCATCAAATCGCTTGAAATCTCCACTTGCAAACTCCACAAAAAGAGTGTTTCAAATCTGCTCTGTGCAAAGGGACGTTCCACTCTGTGAGTTGAATACACACAGCACAAAGAAGTTACTGAGAATTCTTCTGTCTAGCATGAAATGAAGAAATCCCGTTTCCAACGAAGGCCTCAATGCGGTCCATATATCCACTTGCAGACTTTACAAACAGAGTGTTTCCAAACTGCTCTATGAAAAGAAAGGTTAAACTATGTGAGTTGAACGCACACATCACAAAGAATTTTCTGAGAATGATTCTGTCTGGTTTTTATTTGAAGATATTTCCCTTTCTACTGTTGGCATCAAATGGCTAGAAATCTCCACTTGCAAATTCCGCAAAAAGAGTGTTTCAAATCTGCTCTGTCTAAAGGGACGTTCCACTCTGTGAGTTGAATGCACACAACACAAAGAATTTACTGAGAATTCTTCCGTCTAGCATTCAATGAAGAAATCCCGTTTCCAACGAAGGCCTCAAACAGGTCCATATATCCAATTGCAGACTTTACAAACAGTGTGTTTCCAAACTCCTCTATGAAAAGAAAGGTTAAACTCTGTGAGTTGAACGCACACATCACAAAGCACTTTCTGAGAATGATTCTGTCTGGTTATTATACGAAGATATTTCCTTTTCTGCAATTGTCCTCAAATCGCTTGAAATCTCCACCTGAAAATGCCACAGCAAGAGTGTTTCAAATCTGCTCTCTCTAAAGCAAGGTTCAACTCTGTGAGTTGAATACACACAACACAAAAAAGTTACTGAGAACTCTTCTTAGTCTAGCATGAAAGGAAGAAACCCCGTTTGCAACGAAGGCCTCAAAGAGGTCCAAATATCCACTTGCAGACATAACAAGCAGAGTGTTTCTAAACTGCTCTAAGAAAAGAAAGGTTAAACTCTGTGAGTTGAAGGCACACATCACAAAGTAGTTTCTGAGAATGATTCTGTCTAGTTTTTATTTGAAGATATTTCCTTTTCTACTGTTGGCATCAAATCGCTTGAAATCTCAACTTGCAAACTCCACAAAAAGAGTGTTTCAAATCTGCTCTGTGCAAAGGGACGTTCCACTCTGTGAGTTGAATACACACAGCACAAAGAAGTTACTGAGAATTCTTCTGTCTAGCATGAAATGAAGAAATCCCGTTTCCAACGAAGGCCTCAATGCGGTCCATATATCCACTTGCAGACTTTACAAACAGAGTGTTTCCAAACTGCTCTATGAAAAGAAAGGTTAAACTATGTGAGTTGAACGCACACATCACAAAGAATTTTCTGAGAATGATTCTGTCTAGTTTTTATTTGAAGATATTTCCTTTTCTACTGTTGGCATCAAATGGCTAGAAATCTCCACTTGCAAATTCCGCAAAAAGAGTGTTTCAAATCTGCTCTGTCTAAAGGGACGTTCCACTCTGTCAGTTGAATGCACACAACACAAAGAATTTACTGAGAATTCTTCCGTCTAGCATTCAATGAAGAAATCCCGTTTCCAATGAAGGCCTCAAACAGGTCCATATATCCACTTGCAGACTTTACAAACAGTGTGTTTCCAAACTCCTCTATGAAAAGAAAGGTTAAACTCTGTGAGTTGAACGCACACATCACAAAGCACTTTCTGAGAATGATTCTGTCTGGTTATTATACGAAGATATTTCCTTTTCTGCAATTGTCTTCAAATCGCTTGAAATCTCCACCTGAAAATGCCACAGCAAGAGTGTTTCAAATCTGCTCTCTCTAAAGCAAGGTTCAACTCTGTGAGTTGAATACACACAACACAAAAAAGTTACTGAGAACTCTTCTTAGTCTAGCATGAAAGGAAGAAACCCCGTTTGCAACGAAGGCCTCAAAGAGGTCCAAATATCCACTTGCAGACATAACAAGCAGAGTGTTTCTAAACTGCTCTAAGAAAAGAAAGGTTAAACTCTGTGAGTTGAAGGCACACATCACAAAGTAGTTTCTGAGAATGATTCTGTCTAGTTTTTTTTTGCAGATATTTCCTTTTCTACTGTTGGCATCAAATCGCTTGAAATCTCCACTTGCAAATTCCACAAAAAGAGTGTTTCAAATCTGCTCTGTGTAAAGGGACGTTCCACTCTGTGAGTTGAATACACACAGCACAAAGAAGTTACTGAGAATTCTTCTGTCTAGCATGAAATGAAGAAATCCCATTTCCAACGAAGGCCTCAATGCGGTCCATATATCCACTTGCAGACTTTACCAACAGAGTGTTTCCAAACTGCTCTATGAAAAGAAAGGTTAAACTATGTGAGTTGAACGCACACATAAGAAAGAATTTTTTGAGAATGATTCTGTCTGGTTTTTATTTGAAGATATTTCCCTTTCTACTGTTGGCATCAAATGGCTAGAAATCTCCACTTGCAAATTCCGCAAAAAGAGTGTTTCAAATCTGCTCTGTCTAAAGGGACGTTCCACTCTGTGAGTTGAATGCACACCACACAAAGAATTTACTGAGAATTCTTCCGTCTAGCATTCAATGAAGAAATCCCGTTTCCAACGAAGGCCTCAAACAGGTCCATATATCCAATTGCAGACTTTACAAACAGTGTGTTTCCAAACTCCTCTATGAAAAGAAAGGTTAAACTCTGTGAGTTGAACGCACACATCACAAAGCACTTTCTGAGAATGATTCTGTCTGGTTGTTATACGAAGATATTTCCTTTTCTGCAATTGTCCTCAAATCGCTTGAAATCTCCACCTGAAAATGCCACAGCAAGAGTGTTTCAAATCTGCTCTCTCTAAAGCAAGGTTCAACTCTGTGAGTTGAATACACACAACACAAAAAAGTTACTGAGAACTCTTCTTAGTCTAGCATGAAAGGAAGAAACCCCGTTTGCAACGAAGGCCTCAAAGAGGTCCAA
This sequence comes from Homo sapiens, assembly GCF_000001405.40. Classification (NCBI taxonomy): domain Eukaryota; kingdom Metazoa; phylum Chordata; class Mammalia; order Primates; family Hominidae; genus Homo; species Homo sapiens. The sequence continues at coordinate 60,229,554 of NC_000007.14, read as the reverse complement.
ATATCCACTTGCAGACATAACAAGCAGAGTGTTTCTAAACTGCTCTAAGAAAAGAAAGGTTAAACTCTGTGAGTTGAAGGCACACATCACAAAGTAGTTTCTGAGAATGATTCTGTCTAGTTTTTATTTGAAGATATTTCCTTTTCTACTGTTGGCATCAAATCGCTTGAAATCTCCACTTGCAGACTCCACAAAAAGAGTGTTTCAAATCTGCTCTGTGTAAAGGGACGTTCCACTCTGTGAGTTGAATACACACAGCACAAAGAAGTTACTGAGAATTCTTCTGTCTAGCATGAATGAAGAAATCCCGTTTCCAACGAAGGCCTCAATGCGGTCCATATATCCACTTGCAGACTTTACAAACAGAGTGTTTCCAAACTGCTCTATGAAAAGAAAGGTTAAACTATGTGAGTTGAACGCACACATCACAAAGAATTTTCTGAGAATGATTCTGTCTGGTTTTTATTTGAAGATATTTCCCTTTCTACTGTTGGCATCAAATGGCTAGAAATCTCCACTTGCAAATTCCGCAAAAAGAGTGTTTCAAATCTGCTCTGTCTAAAGGGACGTTCCACTCTGTGAGTTGAATGCACACAACACAAAGAATTTACTGAGAATTCTTCCGTCTAGCATTCAATGAAGAAATCCCGTTTCCAACGAAGGCCTCAAACAGGTCCATATATCCAATTGCAGACTTTACAAACAGTGTGTTTCCAAACTCCTTTATGAAAAGAAAGGTTAACTCTGTGAGTTGAATGCACACATCACAAAGCACTTTCTGATAATGATTCTGTCTAGTTTTTATTTGAAGATATTTCCTTTTCTACTGTTGGCATCAAATCGCTTGAAATCTCCACTTGCAAACTCCACAAAAAGAGTGTTTCAAATCTGCTCTGTGCAAAGGGACGTTCCACTCTGTGAGTTGAATACACACAGCACAAAGAAGTTACTGAGAATTCTTCTGTCTAGCATGAAATGAAGAAATCCCGTTTCCAACGAAGGCCTCAATGCGGTCCATATATCCACTTGCAGACTTTACAAACAGAGTGTTTCCAAACTGCTCTATGAAAAGAAAGGTTAAACTATGTGAGTTGAACGCACACATCACAAAGAATTTTCTGAGAATGATTCTGTCTGGTTTTTATTTGAAGATATTTCCCTTTCTACTGTTGGCATCAAATGGCTAGAAATCTCCACTTGCAAATTCCGCAAAAAGAGTGTTTCAAATCTGCTCTGTCTAAAGGGACGTTCCACTCTGTGAGTTGAATGCACACAACACAAAGAATTTACTGAGAATTCTTCCGTCTAGCATTCAATGAAGAAATCCCGTTTCCAACGAAGGCCTCAAACAGGTCCATATATCCAATTGCAGACTTTACAAACAGTGTGTTTCCAAACTCCTCTATGAAAAGAAAGGTTAAACTCTGTGAGTTGAACGCACACATCACAAAGCACTTTCTGAGAATGATTCTGTCTGGTTATTATACGAAGATATTTCCTTTTCTGCAATTGTCCTCAAATCGCTTGAAATCTCCACCTGAAAATGCCACAGCAAGAGTGTTTCAAATCTGCTCTCTCTAAAGCAAGGTTCAACTCTGTGAGTTGAATACACACAACACAAAAAAGTTACTGAGAACTCTTCTTAGTCTAGCATGAAAGGAAGAAACCCCGTTTGCAACGAAGGCCTCAAAGAGGTCCAAATATCCACTTGCAGACATAACAAGCAGAGTGTTTCTAAACTGCTCTAAGAAAAGAAAGGTTAAACTCTGTGAGTTGAAGGCACACATCACAAAGTAGTTTCTGAGAATGATTCTGTCTAGTTTTTATTTGAAGATATTTCCTTTTCTACTGTTGGCATCAAATCGCTTGAAATCTCCACTTGCAAACTCCACAAAAAGAGTGTTTCAATTCTGCTCTGTGTAAAGGGACGTTCCACTCTGTGAGTTGAATACACACAGCACAAAGAAGTTACTGAGAATTCTTCTGTCTAGCATGAAATGAAGAAATCCCGTTTCCAACGAAGGCCTCAATGCGGTCCATATATCCACTTGCAGACTTTACAAACAGAGTGTTTCCAAACTGCTCTATGAAAAGAAAGGTTAAACTATGTGAGTTGAACGCACACATCACAAAGAATTTTCTGAGAATGATTCTGTCTGGTTTTTATTTGAAGATATTTCCCTTTCTACTGTTGGCATCAAATGGCTAGAAATCTCCACTTGCAAATTCCGCAAAAAGAGTGTTTCAAATCTGCTCTGTCTAAAGGGACGTTCCACTCTGTCAGTTGAATGCACACAACACAAAGAATTTACTGAGAATTCTTCCGTCTAGCATTCAATGAAGAAATCCCGTTTCCAAAGAAGGCCTCAAACAGGTCCATATATCCAATTGCAGACTTTACAAACAGTGTGTTTCCAAACTCCTCTATGAAAAGAAAGGTTAAACTCTGTGAGTTGAACGCACACATCACAAAGCACTTTCTGAGAATGATTCTGTCTGGTTATTATACGAAGATATTTCCTTTTCTGCAATTGTCCTCAAATCGCTTGAAATCTCCACCTGAAAATGCCACAGCAAGAGTGTTTCAAATCTGCTCTCTCTAAAGCAAGGTTCAACTCTGTGAGTTGAATACACACAACACAAAAAAGTTACTGAGAACTCTTCTTAGTCTAGCATGAAAGGAAGAAACCCCGTTTGCAACGAAGGCCTCAAAGAGGTCCAAATATCCACTTGCAGACATAACAAGCAGAGTGTTTCTAAACTGCTCTAAGAAAAGAAAGGTTAAACTCTGTGAGTTGAAGGCACACATCACAAAGTAGTTTCTGAGAATGATTCTGTCTAGTTTTTATTTGAAGATATTTCCTTTTCTACTGTTGGCATCAAATCGCTTGAAATCTCCACTTGCAAACTCCACAAAAAGAGTGTTTCAAATCTGCTCTGTGCAAAGGGACGTTCCACTCTGTGAGTTGAGTACACACAGCACAAAGAAGTTACTGAGAATTCTTCTGTCTAGCATGAAATGAAGAAATCCCGTTTCCAACGAAGGCCTCAATGCGGTCCATATATCCACTTGCAGACTTTACAAACAGAGTGTTTCCAAACTGCTCTATGAAAAGAAAGGTTAAACTATGTGAGTTGAACGCACACATCACAAAGAATTTTCTGAGAATGATTCTGTCTGGTTTTTATTTGAAGATATTTCCCTTTCTACTGTTGGCATCAAATGGCTAGAAATCTCCACTTGCAAATTCCGCAAAAAGAGTGTTTCAAATCTGCTCTGTCTAAAGGGACGTTCCAGTCTGTGAGTTGAATGCACACAACACAAAGAATTTACTGAGAATTCTTCCGTCTAGCATTCAATGAAGAAATCCCGTTTCCAAAGAAGTCCTCAAACAGGTCCATATATCCAATTGCAGACTTTACAAACAGTGTGTTTCCAAACTCCTCTATGAAAAGAAAGGTTAAACTCTGTGAGTTGAACGCACACATCACAAAGCACTTTCTGAGAATGATTCTGTCTGGTTGTTATACGAAGATATTTCCTTTTCTGCAATTGTCCTCAAATCGCTTGAAATCTCCACCTGAAAATGCCACAGCAAGAGTGTTTCAAATCTGTTCTCTCTAAAGCAAGGTTCAACTCTGTGAGTTGAATACACACAACACAAAAAAGTTACTGAGAACTCTTCTTAGTCTAGCATGAAAGGAAGAAACCCCGTTTGCAACGAAGGCCTCAAAGAGGTCCAAATATCCACTTGCAGACATAACAAGCAGAGTGTTTCTAAACTGCTCTAAGAAAAGAAAGGTTAAACTCTGTGAGTTGAAGGCACACATCACAAAGTAGTTTCTGAGAATGATTCTGTCTAGTTTTTATTTGAAGATATTTCCTTTTCTACTGTTGGCATCAAATCGCTTGAAATCTCCACTTGCAAATTCCACAAAAAGAGTGTTTCAAATCTGCTCTGTGCAAAGGGACGTTCCACTCTGTGAGTTGAATACACACAGCACAAAGAAGTTACTGAGAATTCTTCTGTCTAGCATGAAATGAAGAAATCCCGTTTCCAACGAAGGCCTCAATGCGGTCCATATATCCACTTGCAGACTTTACAAACAGAGTGTTTCCAAACTGCTCTATGAAAAGAAAGGTTAAACTATGTGAGTTGAACGCACACATCACAAAGAATTTTCTGAGAATGATTCTGTCTGGTTTTTATTTGAAGATATTTCCCTTTCTACTGTTGGCATCAAATGGCTAGAAATCTCCACTTGCAAATTCCGCAAAAAGAGTGTTTCAAATCTGCTATGTCTAAAGGGACGTTCCACTCTGTGAGTTGAATGCACACAACACAAAGAATTTACTGAGAATTCTTCCGTCTAGCATTCAATGAAGAAATCCCGTTTCCAACGAAGGCCTCAAACAGGTCCATATATCCACTTGCAGACTTTACAAACAGTGTGTTTCCAAACTCCTCTATGAAAAGAAAGGTTAAACTCTGTGAGTGGAACGCACACATCACAAAGCACTTTCTGAGAATGATTCTGTCTGGTTATTATACGAAGATATTTCCTTTTCTGCAATTGTCCTCAAATCGCTTGAAATCTCCACCTGAAAATGCCACAGCAAGAGTGTTTCAAATCTGCTCTCTCTAAAGCAAGGTTCAACTCTGTGAGTTGAATACACACAACACAAAAAAGTTACTGAGAACTCTTCTTAGTCTAGCATGAAAGGAAGAAACCCCGTTTGCAACGAAGGCCTCAAAGAGGTCCAAATATCCACTTGCAGACATAACAAGCAGAGTGTTTCTAAACTGCTCTAAGAAAAGAAAGGTTAAACTGTGTGAGTTGAACGCACACATCACAAAGAATTTTCTGAGAATGATTCTGTCTGGTTTTTATTTGAAGATATTTCCCTTTCTACTGTTGGCATCAAATGGCTAGAAATCTCCACTTGCAAATTCCGCAAAAAGAGTGTTTCAAATCTGCTCTGTCTAAAGGGACGTTCCACTCTGTGAGTTGAATGCACACAACACAAAGAATTTACTGAGAATTCTTCCGTCTAGCATTCAATGAAGAAATCCCGTTTCCAACGAAGGCCTCAAACAGGTCCATATATCCACTTGCAGAGTTTACAAACAGTGTGTTTCCAAACTCCTCTATGAAAAGAAAGGTTAAACTCTGTGAGTGGAACGCACACATCACAAAGCACTTTCTGAGAATGATTCTGTCTGGTTATTATACGAAGATATTCCCTTTTCTGCAATTTTCCTCAAATCGCTTGAAATCTCCACCTGAAAATGCCACAGCAAGAGTGTTTCAAATCTGCTCTCTCTAAAGCAAGGTTCAACTCTGTGAGTTGAATACACACAGCACAAAGAAGTTACTGAGAATTCTTCTGTCTAGCATGAAATGAAGAAATCCCGTTTCCAACGAAGGCCTCAATGCGGTCCATATATCCACTTGCAGACTTTACAAACAGAGTGTTTCCAAACTGCTCTATGAAAAGAAAGGTTAAACTATGTGAGTTGAACGCACACATCACAAAGAATTTTCTGAGAATGATTCTGTCTGGTTTTTATTTGAAGATATTTCCCTTTCTACTGTTGGCATCAAATGGCTAGAAATCTCCACTTGCAAATTCCGCAAAAAGAGTGTTTCAAATCTGCTCTGTCTAAAGGGACGTTCCACTCTGTGAGTTGAATGCACACCACACAAAGAATTTACTGAGAATTCTTCCCGTCTAGCATTCAATGAAGAAATCCCGTTTCCAACGAAGGCCTCAAACAGGTCCATATATCCACTTGCAGACTTTACAAACAGTGTGTTTCCAAACTCCTCTATGAAAAGAAAGGTTAAACTCTGTGAGTTGAACGCACACATCACAAAGCACTTTCTGAGAATGATTCTGTCTGGTTGTTATACGAAGATATTTCCTTTTCTGCAATTGTCCTCAAATCGCTTGAAATCTCCACCTGAAAATGCCACAGCAAGAGTGTTTCAAATCTGCTCTCTCTAAAGCAAGGTTCAGCTCTGTGAGTTGAATACACACAACACAAAAAAGTTACTGAGAACTCTTCTTAGTCTAGCATGAAAGGAAGAAACCCCGTTTGCAACGAAGGCCTCAAAGAGGTCCAAATATCCACTTGCAGACATAACAAGCAGAGTGTTTCTAAACTGCTCTAAGAAAAGAAAGGTTAAACTCTGTGAGTTGAAGGCACACATCACAAAGTAGTTTCTGAGAATGATTCTGTCTAGTTTTTATTTGAAGATATTTCCTTTTCTACTGTTGGCATCAAATCGCTTGAAATCTCCACTTGCAAATTCCACAAAAAGAGTGTTTCAAATCTGCTCTGTGCAAAGGGACGTTCCACTCTGTGAGTTGAATACACACAGCACAAAGAAGTTACTGAGAATTCTTCTGTCTAGCATGAAATGAAGAAATCCCGTTTCCAACGAAGGCCTCAATGCGGTCCATATATCCACTTGCAGACTTTACAAACAGAGTGTTTCCAAACTGCTCTATGAAAAGAAAGGTTAAACTATGTGAGTTGAACGCACACATCACAAAGAATTTTCTGAGAATGATTCTGTCTGGTTTTTATTTGAAGATATTTCCCTTTCTACTGTTGGCATCAAATGGCTAGAAATCTCCACTTGCAAATTCCGCAAAAAGAGTGTTTCAAATCTGCTCTGTCTAAAGGGACGTTCCACTCTGTGAGTTGAATGCACACAACACAAAGAATTTACTGAGAATTCTTCCGTCTAGCATTCAATGAAGAAATCCCGTTTCCAACGAAGGCCTCAAACAGGTCCATATATCCACTTGCAGAGTTTACAAACAGTGTGTTTCCAAACTCCTCTATGAAAAGAAAGGTTAAACTCTGTGAGTGGAACGCACACATCACAAAGCACTTTCTGAGAATGATTCTGTCTGGTTATTATACGAAGATATTCCCTTTTCTGCAATTGTCCTCAAAACGCTTGAAATCTCCACCTGAAAATGCCACAGCAAGAGTGTTTCAAATCTGCTCTCTCTAAAGCAAGGTTCAACTCTGTGAGTTGAATACACACAACACAAAAAAGTTACTGAGAACTCTTCTTAGTCTAGCATGAAAGGAAGAAACCCCGTTTGCAACGAAGGCCTCAAAGAGGTCCAAATATCCACTTGCAGACATAACAAGCAGAGTGTTTCTAAACTGCTCTAAGAAAAGAAAGGTTAAACTCTGTGAGTTGAAGGCACACATCACAAAGTAGTTTCTGAGAATGATTCCTGTCTAGTTTTTATTTGAAGATATTTCCTTTTCTACTGTTGGCATCAAATCGCTTGAAATCTCCAATTGCAAACTCCACAAAAAGAGTGTTTCAAATCTGCTCTGTGCAAAGGGACGTTCCACTCTGTGAGTTGAATACACACAGCACAAAGAAGTTACTGAGAATTCTTCTGTCTAGCATGAAATGAAGAAATCCCGTTTCCAACGAAGGCCTCAATGCGGTCCATATATCCACTTGCAGACTTTACAAACAGAGTGTTTCCAAACTGCTCTATGAAAAGAAAGGTTAAACTATGTGAGTTGAACGCACACATCACAAAGAATTTTCTGAGAATGATTCTGTCTGGTTTTTATTTGAAGATATTTCCCTTTCTACTGTTGGCATCAAATGGCTAGAAATCTCCACTTGCAAATTCCGCAAAAAGAGTGTTTCAAATCTGCTCTGTCTAAAGGGACGTTCCACTCTGTGAGTTGAATGCACACCACACAAAGAATTTACTGAGAATTCTTCCGTCTAGCATTCAATGAAGAAATCCCGTTTCCAACGAAGGCCTCAAACAGGTCCATATATCCACTTGCAGACTTTACAAACAGTGTGTTTCCAAACTCCTCTATGAAAAGAAAGGTTAAACTCTGTGAGTTGAACGCACACATCACAAAGCACTTTCTGAGAATGATTCTGTCTGGTTATTATACGAAGATATTTCCTTTTCTGCAATTGTCCTCAAATCGCTTGAAATCTCCACCTGAAAATGCCACAGCAAGAGTGTTTCAAATCTGCTCTCTCTAAAGCAAGGTTCAACTCTGTGAGTTGAATACACACAACACAAAAAAGTTACTGAGAACTCTTCTTAGTCTAGCATGAAAGGAAGAAACCCCGTTTGCAACGAAGGCCTCAAAGAGGTCCAAATATCCACTTGCAGACATAACAAGCAGAGTGTTTCTAAACTGCTCTAAGAAAAGAAAGGTTAAACTCTGTGAGTTGAAGGCACACATCACAAAGTAGTTTCTGAGAATGATTCTGTCTAGTTTTTTGTTGAAGATATTTCCTTTTCTACTGTTGGCATCAAATCGCTTGAAATCTCCACTTTCAAATTCCACAAAAAGAGTGTTTCAAATCTGCTCTGTGCAAAGGGACGATCCACTCTGTGAGTTGAATACACACAGCACAAAGAAGTTACTGAGAATTCTTCTGTCTCGCATGAAATGAAGAAATCCCGTTTCCAACGAAGGCCTCAATGCGGTCCATATATCCACTTGCAGACTTTACAAACAGAGTGTTTCCAAACTGCTCTATGAAAAGAAAGGTTAAACTATGTGAGTTGAACCCACACATCACAAAGAATTTTCTGAGAATGATTCTGTCTGGTTTTTATTTGAAGATATTTCCCTTTCTACTGTTGGCATCAAATGGCTAGAAATCTCCACTTGCAAATTCCGCAAAAAGAGTGTTTCAAATCTGCTCTGTCTAAAGGGACGTTCCACTCTGTGAGTTGAATGCACACAACACAAAGAATTTACTGAGAATTCTTCCGTCTAGCATTCAATGAAGAAATCCCGTTTCCAACGAAGGCCTCAAACAGGTCCATATATCCACTTGCAGACTTTACAAACAGTGTGTTTCCAAACTCCTCTATGAAAAGAAAGGTTAAACTCTGTGAGTGGAACGCACACATCACAAAGCACTTTCTGAGAATGATTCTGTCTGGTTATTATACGAAGATATTTCCTTTTCTGCAATTGTCCTCAAAACGCTTGAAATCTCCACCTGAAAATGCCACAGCAAGAGTGTTTCAAATCTGCTCTCTCTAAAGCAAGGTTCAACTCTGTGAGTTGAATACACACAACACGGAAAAGTTACTGAGAACTCTTCTTAGTCTAGCATGAAAGGAAGAAACCCCGTTTGCAACGAAGGCCTCAAAGAGGTCCAAATATCCACTTGCAGACATAACAAGCAGAGTGTTTCTAAACTGCTCTAAGAAAAGAAAGGTTAAACTCTGTGAGTTGAAGGCACACATCACAAAGTAGTTTCTGAGAATGATTCTGTCTAGTTTTTATTTGAAGATATTTCCTTTTCTACTGTTGGCATCAAATCGCTTGAAATCTCCACTTGCAAACTCCACAAAAAGAGTGTTTCAAATCTGCTCTGTGTAAAGGGACGTTCCACTCTGTGAGTTGAATACACACAGCACAAAGAAGTTACTGAGTATTCTTCTGTCTAGCATGAAATGAAGAAATCCCGTTTCCAACGAAGGCCTCAATGCGGTCCATATATCCACTTGCAGACTTTACAAACAGAGTGTTTCCAAACTGCTCTATGAAAAGAAAGGTTAAACTATGTGAGTTGAACGCACACATCACAAAGAATTTTCTGAGAATGATTCTGTCTGGTTTTTATTTGAAGATATTTCCCTTTCTACTGTTGGCATCAAATGGCTAGAAATCTCCACTTGCAAATTCCGCAAAAAGAGTGTTTCAAATCTGCTCTGTCTAAAGGGACGTTCCACTCTGTCAGTTGAATGCACACAACACAAAGAATTTACTGAGAATTCTTCCGTCTAGCATTCAATGAAGAAATCCCGTTTCCAACGAAGGCCTCAAACAGGTCCATATATCCAATTGCAGACTTTACAAACAGTGTGTTTCCAAACTCCTCTATGGAAAGAAAGGTTAAACTCTGTGAGTTGAACGCACACATCACAAAGCACTTTCTGAGAATGATTCTGTCTGGTTATTATACGAAGATATTTCCTTTTCTGCAATTGTCCTCAAAACGCTTGAAATCTCCACCTGAAAATGCCACAGCAAGAGTGTTTCAAATCTGCTCTCTCTAAAGCAAGGTTCAACTCTGTGAGTTGAATACACACAACACAAAAAAGTTACTGAGAACTCTTCTTAGTCTAGCATGAAAGGAAGAAACCCCGTTTGCAACGAAGGCCTCAAAGAGGTCCAAATATCCACTTGCAGACATAACAAGCAGAGTGTTTCTAAACTGCTCTAAGAAAAGAAAGGTTAAACTCTGTGAGTTAAAGGCACACATCACAAAGTAGTTTCTGAGAATGATTCTGTCTAGTTTTTATTTGAAGATATTTCCTTTTCTACTGTTGGCATCAAATCGCTTGAAATCTCCAATTGCAAACTCCACAAAAAGAGTGTTTCAAATCTGCTCTGTGTAAAGGGACGTTCCACTCTGTGAGTTGAATACACACAGCACAAAGAAGTTACTGAGAATTCTTCTGTCTAGCATGAAATGAAGAAATCCCGTTTCCAACGAAGGCCTCAATGCGGTCCATATATCCACTTGCAGACTTTACAAACAGAGTGTTTCCAAACTGCTCTATGAAAAGAAAGGTTAAACTATGTGAGTTGAACGCACACATCACAAAGAATTTTCTGAGAATGATTCTGTCTGGTTTTTATTTGAAGATATTTCCCTTTCTACTGTTGGCATCAAATGGCTAGAAATCTCCACTTGCAAATTCCGCAAAAAGAGTGTTTCAAATCTGCTCTGTCTAAAGGGACGTTCCACTCTGTGAGTTGAATGCACACCACACAAAGAATTTACTGAGAATTCTTCCGTCTAGCATTCAATGAAGAAATCCCGTTTCCAACGAAGGCCTCAAACAGGTCCATATATCCACTTGCAGACTTTACAAACAGTGTGTTTCCAAACTCCTCTATGAAAAGAAAGGTTAAACTCTGTGAGTGGAACGCACACATCACAAAGCACTTTCTGAGAATGATTCTGTCTGGTTATTATACGAAGATATTCCCTTTTCTGCAATTTTCCTCAAATCGCTTGAAATCTCCACCTGAAAATGCCACAGCAAGAGTGTTTCAAATCTGCTCTCTCTAAAGCAAGGTTCAACTCTGTGAGTTGAATACACACAGCACAAAGAAGTTACTGAGAATTCTTCTGTCTAGCATGAAATGAAGAAATCCCGTTTCCAACGAAGGCCTCAATGCGGTCCATATATCCACTTGCAGACTTTACAAACAGAGTGTTTCCAAACTGCTCTATGAAAAGAAAGGTTAAACTATGTGAGTTGAACGCACACATCACAAAGAAATTTCTGAGAATGATTCTGTCTGGTTTTTATTTGAAGATATTTCCCTTTCTACTGTTGGCATCAAATGGCTAGAAATCTCCACTTGCAAATTCCGCAAAAAGAGTGTTTCAAATCTGCTCTGTCTAAAGGGACGTTCCACTCTGTGAGTTGAATGCACACAACACAAAGAATTTACTGAGAATTCTTCCGTCTAGCATTCAATGAAGAAATCCCGTTTCCAACGAAGGCCTCAAACAGGTCCATATATCCAATTGCAGACTTTACAAACAGTGTGTTTCCAAACTCCTCTATGAAAAGAAAGGTTAAACTCTGTGAGTTGAACGCACACATCACAAAGCACTTTCTGAGAATGATTCTTTCTGGTTATTATATGAAGATATTTCCTTTTCTGCAATTGTCCTCAAATCGCTTGAAATCTCCACCTGAAAATGCCACAGCAAGAGTGTTTCAAATCTGCTCTCTCTAAAGCAAGGTCTTCAACTCTGTGAGTTGAATACACACAACACAAAAAAGTTACTGAGAACTCTTCTTAGTCTAGCATGAAAGGAAGAAACCCCGTTTGCAACGAAGGCCTCAAAGAGGTCCAAATATCCACTTGCAGACATAACAAGCAGAGTGTTTCTAAACTGCTCTAAGAAAAGAAAGGTTAAACTCTGTGAGTTGAAGGCACACATCACAAAGTAGTTTCTGAGAATGATTCTGTCTAGTTTTTATTTGAAGATATTTCCTTTTCTACTGTTGGCATCAAATCGCTTGAAATCTCCACTTGCAAATTCCACAAAAAGAGTGTTTCAAATCTGCTCTGTGCAAAGGGACGTTCCACTCTGTGAGTTGAATACACACAGCACAAAGAAGTTACTGAGAATTCTTCTGTCTAGCATGAAATGAAGAAATCCCGTTTCCAACGAAGGCCTCAATGCGGTCCATATATCCACTTGCAGACTTTACAAACAGAGTGTTTCCAAACTGCTCTATGAAAAGAAAGGTTAAACTATGTGAGTTGAACGCACACATCACAAAGAATTTTCTGAGAATGATTCTGTCTGGTTTTTATTTGAAGATATTTCCCTTTCTACTGTTGGCATCAAATGGCTAGAAATCTCCACTTGCAAATTCCGCAAAAAGAGTGTTTCAAATCTGCTCTGTCTAAAGGGACGTTCCACTCTGTGAGTTGAATGCACACAACACAAAGAATTTACTGAGAATTCTTCCGTCTAGCATTCAATGAAGAAATCCCGTTTCCAACGAAGGCCTCAAACAGGTCCATATATCCAATTGCAGACTTTACAAACAGTGTGTTTCCAAACTCCTCTATGGAAAGAAAGGTTAAACTGTGTGAGTTGAACGCACACATCACAAAGCACTTTCTGAGAATGATTCTGTCTGGTTATTATACGAAGATATTTCCTTTTCTGCAATTGTCCTCAAATCGCTTGAAATCTCCACCTGAAAATGCCACAGCAAGAGTGTTTCAAATCTGCTCTCTCTAAAGCAAGGTTCAACTCTGTGAGTTGAATAAACACAACACAAAAAAGTTACTGAGAACTCTTCTTAGTCTAGCATGAAAGGAAGAAACCCCGTTTGCAACGAAGGCCTCAAAGAGGTCCAAATATCCACTTGCAGACATAACAAGCAGAGTGTTTCTAAACTGCTCTAAGAAAAGAAAGGTTGAACTCTGTGAGTTGAAGGCACACATCACAAAGTAGTTTCTGAGAATGATTCTGTCTAGTTTTTATTTGAAGATATTTCCTTTTCTACTGTTGGCAACAAATCGCTTGAAATCTCCACTTGCAAATTCCACAAAAAGAGTGTTTCAAATCTGCTCTGTGCAAAGGGACGTTCCACTCTGTGAGTTGAATACACACAGCACAAAGAAGTTACTGAGAATTCTTCTGTCTAGCATGAAATGAAGAAATCCCGTTTCCAACGAAGGCCTCAATGCGGTCCATATATCCACTTGCAGACTTTACAAACAGAGTGTTTCCAAACTGCTCTATGAAAAGAAAGGTTAAACTATGTGAGTTGAACGCACACATCACAAAGAATTTTCTGAGAATGATTCTGTCTGGTTTTTATTTGAAGATATTTCCCTTTCTACTGTTGGCATCAAATGGCTAGAAATCTCCACTTGCAAATTCCGCAAAAAGAGTGTTTCAAATCTGCTCTGTCTAAAGGGACGTTCCACTCTGTGAGTTGAATGCACACAACACAAAGAATTTACTGAGAATTCTTCCGTCTAGCATTCAATGAAGAAATCCCGTTTCCAACGAAGGCCTCAAACAGGTCCATATATCCAATTGCAGACTTTACAAACAGTGTGTTTCCAAACTCCTCTATGAAAAGAAAGGTTAAACTCTGTGAGTTGAACGCACACATCACAAAGCACTTTCTGAGAATGATTCTGTCTGGTTGTTATACGAAGATATTTCCTTTTCTGCAATTGTCCTCAAATCGCTTGAAATCTCCACCTGAAAATGCCACAGCAAGAGTGTTTCAAATCTGCTCTCTCTAAAGCAAGGTTCAACTCTGTGAGTTGAATACACACAACACAAAAAAGTTACTGAGAACTCTTCTTAGTCTAGCATGAAAGGAAGAAACCCCGTTTGCAACGAAGGCCTCAAAGAGGTCCAAATATCCACTTGCAGACATAACAAGCAGAGTGTTTCTAAACTGCTCTATGAAAAGAAAGGTTAAACTCTGTGAGTTGAAGGCACACATCACAAAGTAGTTTCTGAGAATGATTCTGTCTAGTTTTTATTTGAAGATATTTCCTTTTCTACTGTTGGCATCAAATCGCTTGAAATCTCCACTTGCAAACTCCACAAAAAGAGTGTTTCAAATCTGCTCTGTGTAGAGGGACGTTCCACTCTGTGAGTTGAATACACACAGCACAAAGAAGTTACTGAGAATTCTTCTGTCTAGCATGAAATGAAGAAATCCCGTTTCCAACGAAGGCCTCAATGCGGTCCATATATCCACTTGCAGACTTTACAAACAGAGTGTTTCCAAACTGCTCTATGAAAAGAAAGGTTAAATTATGTGAGTTGAACGCACACATCACAAAGAATTTTCTGAGAATGATTCTGTCTGGTTTTTATTTGAAGATATTTCCCTTTCTACTGTTGGCATCAAATTGCTAGAAATCTCCACTTGCAAATTCCGTAAAAAGAGTGTTTCAAATCTGCTCTGTCTAAAGGGACGTTCCACTCTGTGAGTTGAATGCACACAACACAAAGAATTTACTGAGAATTCTTCCGTCTAGCATTCAATGAAGAAATCCCGTTTCCAACGAAGGCCTCAAAGAGGTCCATATATCCACTTGCAGACTTTACAAACAGTGTGTTTCCAAACTCCTCTATGAAAAGAAAGGTTATACTCTGTGAGTGGAACGCACACATCACAAAGCACTTTCTGAGAATGATTCTGTCTGGTTATTATACGAAGATATTTCCTTTTCTGTAATTGTCTTCAAATCGCTTGAAATCTCCACCTGAAAATGCCACAGCAAGAGTGTTTCAAATCTGCTCTCTCTAAAGCAAGGTTCAACTCTGTGAGTTGAATACACACAACACAAAAAAGTTACTGAGAACTCTTCTTAGTCTAGCATGAAAGGAAGAAACCCCGTTTGCAACGAAGGCCTCAAAGAGGTCCAAATATCCACTTGCAGACATAACAAGCAGAGTGTTTCTAAACTGCTCTAAGAAAAGAAAGGTTAAACTCTGTGAGTTGAAGGCACACATCACAAAGTAGTTTCTGAGAATGATTCTGTCTAGTTTTTATTTGAAGATATTTCCTTTTCTACTGTTGGCATCAGATCGCTTGAAATCTCCACTTGCAAATTCCACAAAAAGAGTGTTTCAAATCTGCTCTGTGCAAAGGGACGTTCCACTCTGTGAGTTCAATACACACAGCACAAAGAAGTTACTGAGAATTCTTCTGTCTAGCATGAAATGAAGAAATCCCGTTTCCAACGAAGGCCTCAATGCGGTCCATATATCCACTTGCAGACTTTACAAACAGAGTGTTTCCAAACTGCTCTATGAAAAGAAAGGTTAAACTATGTGAGTTGAACGCACACATCACAAAGAATTTTCTGAGAATGATTCTGTCTGGTTTTTATTTGAAGATATTTCCCTTTCTACTGTTGGCATCAAATGGCTAGAAATCTCCACTTGCAAATTCCGCAAAAAGAGTGTTTCAAATCTGCTCTGTCTAAAGGGAGGTTCCACTCTGTGAGTTGAATGTACACAACACAAAGAATTTACTGAGAATTCTTCCGTCTAGCATTCAATGAAGAAATCCCGTTTCCAACGAAGGCCTCAAACAGGTCCATATATCCACTTGCAGACTTTACAAACAGTGTGTTTCCAAACTCCTCTATGAAAAGAAAGGTTAAACTCTGTGAGTGGAACGCACACATCACAAAGCACTTTCTGAGAATGATTCTGTCTGGTTATTATACGAAGATATTTCCTTTTCTGCAATTGTCCTCAAATCGCTTGAAATCTCCACCTGAAAATGCCACAGCAAGAGTGTTTCAAATCTGCTCTCTCTAAAGCAAGGTTCAACTCTGTGAGTTGAATACACACAACACAAAAAAGTTACTGAGAACTCTTCTTAGTCTAGCATGAAAGGAAGAAACCCCGTTTGCAACGAAGGCCTCAAAGAGGTCCAAATATCCACTTGCAGACATAACAAGCAGAGTGTTTCTAAACTGCTCTAAGAAAAGAAAGGTTAAACTCTGTGAGTTGAAGGCACACATCACAAAGTAGTTTCTGAGAATGATTCTGTCTAGTTTTTATTTGAAGATATTTCCTTTTCTACTGTTGGCATCAAATCGCTTGAAATCTCCACTTGCAAACTCCACAAAAAGAGTGTTTCAAATCTGCTCTGTGTAAAGGGACGTTCCACTCTGTGAGTTGAATACACACAGCACAAAGAAGTTACTGAGAATTCTTCTGTCTAGCATGAAATGAAGAAATCCCGTTTCCAACGAAGGCCTCAATGCGGTCCATATATCCACTTGCAGACTTTACAAACAGAGTGTTTCCAAACTGCTCTATGAAAAGAAAGGTTAAACTATGTGAGTTGAACGCACACATCACAAAGAATTTTCTGAGAATGATTCTGTCTGGTTTTTATTTGAAGATATTTCCCTTTCTACTGTTGGCATCAAATGGCTAGAAATCTCCACTTGCAAATTCCGCAAAAAGAGTGTTTCAAATCTGCTCTGTCTAAAGGGACGTTCCACTCTGTCAGTTGAATGCACACAATACAAAGAATTTACTGAGAATTCTTCCGTCTAGCATTCAATGAAGAAATCCCGTTTCCAACGAAGGCCTCAAACAGGTCCATATATCCAATTGCAGACTTTACAAACAGTGTGTTTCCAAACTCCTCTATGAAAAGAAAGGTTAAACTCTGTGAGTTGAACGCACACATCACAAAGCACTTTCTGAGAATGATTGTCTGTCTGGTTATTATACGAAGATATTTCTTTTTCTGCAATTGTCCTCAAATCGCTTGAAATCTCCACCTGAAAATTCCACAGCAAGAGTGTTTCAAATCTGCTCTCTCTAAAGCAAGGTTCAACTCTTTGAGTTGAATACACACAACACAAAAAAGTTGCTGAGAACTCTTCTTAGTCTAGCATTAAAGGAAGAAACCCCGTTTGCAACGAAGGCCTCAAAGAGGTCCAAATATCCACTTGCAGACATAACAAGCAGAGTGTTTCTAAACTGCTCTAGGAAAAGAAAGGTTAAACTCTGTGAGTTGAAGGCACACATCACAAAGTAGTTTCTGAGAATGATTCTGTCTAGTTTTTATTTGAAGATATTTCCTTTTCTACTGTTGGCATCAAATCGCTTGAAATCTCCACTTGCAAACTCCACAAAAAGAGTGTTTCAAATCTGCTCTGTGCAAAGGGACGTTCCACTCTGTGAGTTGAATACACACAGCACAAAGAAGTTACTGAGAATTCTTCTGTCTAGCATGAAATGAAGAAATCCCGTTTCCAACGAAGGCCTCAAAGCGGTCCATATATCCACTTGCAGACATTACCAACAGAGTGTTCCCAAACTGCTCTATGAAAAGAAAGGTTAAACTATGTGAGTTGAACGCACACATCACAAAGAATTTTGCTGAGAATGATTCTGTCTGGTTTTTATTTGAAGATATTTCCCTTTCTACTGTTGGCCATCAAATGGCTAGAAATCTCCACTTGCAAATTCCGCAAAAAGAGTGTTTCAAATCTGCTCTGTCTAAAGGGACGTTCCACTCTGTGAGTTGAATGCACACAACACAAAGAATTTACTGAGAATTCTTCCGTCTAGCATTATATGATAAAATCCCGTTTCCAACGAAGGCCTCAAACAGGTCCATATATCCACTTGCAGACTTTACAAACAGTGTGTTTCCAAACTCCTCTATGAAAAGAAAGGTTAAACTCTGTGAGTTGAACGCACACATCACAAAGCAGTTTCTGAGAATGATTCTGTCTGGTTATTATACGAAGATATTTCCTTTTCTGCAATTGTCCTCAAATCGCTTGAAATCTCAACCTGAAAATGCCACAGCAAGAGTGTCTCAAATCTTCTCTCTCTAAAGCAAGGTTCAACTCTGTGAGTTGAATACACACAACACAAAAAAGTTACTGAGAACTCTTCTTAGTCTAGCATGAAAGGAAGAAACCCCGTTTGCAACGAAGGCCTCAAAGAGGTCCAAATATCCACTTGCAGACATAACAAGCAGAGTGTTTCTAAACTGCTCTAAGAAAAGAAAGGTTAAACTCTGTGAGTTGAAGGCACACATCACAAAGTAGTTTCTGAGAATGATTCTGTCTAGTTTTTATTTGAAGATATTTCCTTTTCTACTGTTGGCATCAAATCGCTTGAATTCTCCACTTGCAAACTCCACAAAAAGAGTGTTTCAAATCTGCTCTGTGTAAAGGGACGTTCCACTCTGTGAGTTGAATACACACAGCACAAAGAAGTTACTGAGAATTCTTCTGTCTAGCATGAAATGAAGAAATCCCGTTTCCAACGAAGGCCTCAAAGCGGTCCATATATCCACTTGCAGACATTACCAACAGAGTGTTCCCAAACTGCTCTATGAAAAGAAAGGTTAAACTATGTGAGTTGAACGCACACATCACAAAGAATTTTCTGAGAATGATTCTGTCTGGTTTTTATTTGAAGATATTTCCCTTTCTACTGTTGGCATCAAATGGCTAGAAATCTCCACTTGCAAATTCCGCAAAAAGAGTGTTTCAAATCTGCTCTGTCTAAAGGGACGTTCCACTCTGTGAGTTGAATGCACACAACACAAAGAATTTACTGAGAATTCTTCCGTCTAGCATTCAATGAAGAAATCCCGTTTCCAACGAAGGCCTCAAACAGGTCCATATATCCAATTGCAGACTTTACAAACAGTGTGTTTCCAAACTCCTCTATGAAAAGAAATGTTAAACTCTGTGAGTTGAACGCACACATCACAAAGCACTTTCTGAGAATGATTCTGTCTGGTTATTATACGAAGATATTTCCTTTTCTGCAATTGTCCTCAAATCGCTTGAAATCTCCACCTGAAAATGCCACAGCAAGAGTGTTTCAAATCTGCTCTCTCTAAAGCAAGGTTCAACGCTGTGAGTTGAATACACACAACACAAGAAAGTTACTGAGAACTCTTCTTAGTCTAGCATTAAAGGAAGAAACCCCGTTTGCAACGAAGGCCTCAAAGAGGTCCAAATATCCACTTGCAGACATAACAAACAGAGTGTTTCTAAACTGCTCTAAGAAAAGAAAGGTTAAACTCTGTGAGTTGAAGGCACACATCACAAAGTAGTTTCTGAGAATTATTCTGTCTAGTTTTTATTTGAAGATATTTCCTTTTCTACTGTTGGCATCAAATCGCTTGAAATCTCCACTTGCAAACTCCACAAAAAGAGTGTTTCAAATCTGCTCTGTGTAAAGGGACGTTCCACTCTGTGAGTTGAATACACACAGCACAAAGAAGTTACTGAGAATTCTTCTGTCTAGCATGAAATGAAGAAATCCCGTTTCCAACGAAGGCCTCAATGCGGTCCATATATCCACTTGCAGACTTTACAAACAGAGTGTTTCCAAACTTCTCTATGAAAAGAAAGGTTAAACTATGTGAGTTGAACGCACACATCACAAAGAATTTTCTGAGAATGATTCTGTCTGGTTTTTATTTGAAGATATTTCCCTTTCTACTGTTGGCATCAAATGGCTAGAAATCTCCACTTGCAAATTCCGCAAAAAGAGTGTTTCAAATCTGCTCTGTCTAAAGGGACGTTCCACTCTGTGAGTTGAATGCACACAACACAAAGAATTTACTGAGAATTCTTCCGTCTAGCATTCAATGAAGAAATCCCGTTTCCAACGAAGGCCTCAAACAGGTCCATATATCCAATTGCAGACTTTACAAACAGTGTGTTTCCAAACTCCTCTATGAAAAGAAAGGTTAAACTCTGTGAGTTGAACGCACACATCACAAAGCACTTTCTGAGAATGATTCTGTCTGGTTTTTATTTGAAGATATTTCCCTTTCTACTGTTGGCATCAAATGGCTAGAAATCTCCACTTGCAAATTCCGCAAAAAGAGTGTTTCAAATCTGCTCTGTCTAAAGGGACGTTCCACTCTGTGAGTTGAATGCACACAACACAAAGAATTTACTGAGAATTCTTCCGTCTAGCATTCAATGAAGAAATCCCGTTTCCAACGAAGGCCTCAAACAGGTCCATATATCCAATTGCAGACTTTACAAACAGTGTGTTTCCAAACTCCTCTATGAAAAGAAAGGTTAAACTCTGTGAGTTGAACGCACACATCACAAAGCACTTTCTGAGAATGATTCTGTCTGGTTATTATACGAAGATATTTCCTTTTCTGCAATTGTCCTCAAATCGCTTGAAATCTCCACCTGAAAATGCCACAGCAAGAGTGTTTCAAATCTGCTCTCTCTAAAGCAAGGTTCAACTCTGTGAGTTGAATACACACAACACAAAAAAGTTACTGAGAACTCTTCTTAGTCTAGCATGAAAGGAAGAAACCCCGTTTGCAACGAAGGCCTCAAAGAGGTCCAAATATCCACTTGCAGACATAACAAGCAGAGTGTTTCTAAACTGCTCTAAGAAAAGAAAGGTTAAACTCTGTGAGTTGAAGGCACACATCACAAAGTAGTTTCTGAGAATGATTCTGTCTAGTTTTTATTTGAAGATATTTCCTTTTCTACTGTTGGCATCAAATCACTTGAAATCTCCACTTGCAAATTCCACAAAAAGAGTGTTTCAAATCTGCTCTGTGCAAAGGGACGTTCCACTCTGTGAGTTGAATACACACAGCACAAAGAAGTTACTGAGAATTACTCTGTCTAGCATGAAATGAAGAAATCCCGTTTCCAACGAAGGCCTCAATGCGGTCCATATATCCACTTGCAGACTTTACAAACAGAGTGTTTCCAAACTGCTCTATGAAAAGAAAGGTTAAACTATGTGAGTTGAACGCACACATCACAAAGAATTTTCTGAGAATGATTCTGTCTGGTTTTTATTTGAAGATATTTCCCTTTCTACTGTTGGCATCAAATGGCTAGAAATCTCCACTTGCAAATTCCGCAAAAAGAGTGTTTCAAATCTGCTCTGTCTGAAGGGACGTTCCACTCTGTGAGTTAAATGCACACAACACAAAGAATTTACTGAGAATTCTTCCGTCTAGCATTCAATGAAGAAATCCCGTTTCCAACGAAGGCCTCAAACAGGTCCATATATCCAATTGCAGACTTTAGAAACAGTGTGTTTCCAAACTCCTCTATGAAAAGAAAGGTTAAACTCTGTGAGTTGAACGGCACACATCACAAAGCACTTTCTGAGAATGATTCTGTCTGGTTGTTATACGAAGATATTTCCTTTTCTGCAATTGTCCTCAAATCGCTTGAAATCTCCACCTGAAAATGCCACAGCAAGAGTGTTTCAAATCTGCTCTCTCTAAAGCAAGGTTCAACTCTGTGAGTTGAATACACACAACACAAAAAAGTTACTGAGAACTCTTCTTAGTCTAGCATGAAAGGAAGAAACCCCGTTTGCAACGAAGGCCTCAAAGAGGTCCAAATATCCACTTGCAGACATAACAAGCAGAGTGTTTCTAAACTGCTCTAAGAAAAGAAAGGTTAAACTCTGTGAGTTGAAGGCACACATCACAAGGTAGTTTCTGAGAATGATTCTGTCTAGTTTTTATTTGAAGATATTTCCTTTTCTACTGTTGGCATCAAATCGCTTGAAATCTCCACTTGCAAACTCCACAAAAAGAGTGTTTCAAATCTGCTCTGTGTAAAGGGACGTTCCACTCTGTGAGTTGAATACACACAGCACAAAGAAGTTACTGAGAATTCTTCTGTCTAGCATGAAATGAAAGAAATCCCGTTTCCAACGAAGGCCTCAATGCGGTCCATATATCCACTTGCAGACTTTACAAACAGAGTGTTTCCAAACTGCTCTATGAAAAGAAAGGTTAAACTATGTGAGTTGAACGCACACATCACAAAGAATTTTCTGAGAATGATTCTGTCTGGTTTTTATTTGAAGATATTTCCCTTTCTACTGTTGGCATCAAATGGCTAGAAATCTCCACTTGCAAATTCCGCAAAAAGAGTGTTTCAAATCTGCTCTGTCTAAAGGGACGTTCCACTCTGTGAGTTGAATGCACACAACACAAAGAATTTACTGAGAATTCTTCCGTCTAGCATTCAATGAAGAAATCCCGTTTCCAACGAAGGCCTCAAACAGGTCCATATATCCAATTGCAGACTTTACAAACAGTGTGTTTCCACACTCCTCTATGAAAAGAAAGGTTAAACTCTGTGAGTTGAACGCACACATCACAAAGCACTTTCTGAGAATGATTCTGTCTGGTTATTATACGAAGATATTTCCTTTTCTGCAATTGTCCTCAAATCGCTTGAAATCTCCACCTGAAAATGCCACAGCAAGAGTGTTTCAAATCTGCTCTCTCTAAAGCAAGGTTCAACTCTGTGAGTTGAATACACACAACACAAAAAAGTTACTGAGAACTCTTCTTAGTCTAGCATGAAAGGAAGAAACCCCGTTTGCAACGAAGGCCTCAAAGAGGTCCAAATATCCACTTGCAGACATAACAAGCAGAGTGTTTCTAAACTGCTCTAAGAAAAGAAAGGTTAAACTCTGTGAGTTGAAGGCACACATCACAAAGTAGTTTCTGAGAATGATTCTGTCTAGTTTTTATTTGAAGATATTTCCTTTTCTACTGTTGGCATCAAATCGCTTGAAATCTCCACTTGCAAACTCCACAAAAAGAGTGTTTCAAATCTTCTCTGTGTAAAGGGACGTTCCACTCTGTGAGTTGAATACACACAGCACAAAGAAGTTACTGAGAATTCTTCTGTCTAGCATGAAATGAAGAAATCCCGTTTCCAACGAAGGCCTCAATGCGGTCCATATATCCACTTGCAGACTTTACAAACAGAGTGTTTCCAAACTGCTCTATGAAAAGAAAGGTAAAACTATGTGAGTTGAACGCACACATCACAAAGAATTTTCTGAGAATGATTCTGTCTGGTTTTTATTTGAAGATATTTCCCTTTCTACTGTTGGAATCAAATGGCTAGAAATCTCCACTTGCAAATTCCGCAAAAAGAGTGTTTCAAATCTGCTCTGTCTAAAGGGACGTTCCACTCTGTCAGTTGAATGCACACAACACAAAGAATTTACTGAGAATTCTTCCGTCTAGCATTCAATGAAGAAATCCCGTTTCCAAAGAAGGCCTCAAACAGGTCCATATATCCAATTGCAGACTTTACAAACAGTGTGTTTCCAAACTCCTCTATGAAAAGAAAGGTTAAACTCTGTGAGTTGAACGCACACATCACAAAGCACTTTCTGAGAATGATTCTGTCTGGTTATTATACGAAGATATTTCCTTTTCTGCAATTGTCCTCAAATCGCTTGAAATCTCCACCTGAAAATGCCACAGCAAGAGGGTTTCAAATCTGCTCTCTCTAAAGCAAGGTTCAACTCTGTGAGTTGAATACACACAACACAAAAAAGTTACTGAGAACTCTTCTTAGTCTAGCATGAAAGGAAGAAACCCCGTTTGCAACGAAGGCCTCAAAGAGGTCCAAATATCCACTTGCAGACATAACAAGCAGAGTGTTTCTAAACTGCTCTAAGAAAAGAAAGGTTAAACTCTGTGAGTTGAAGGCACACATCACAAAGTAGTTTCTGAGAATGATTCTGTCTAGTTTTTATTTGAAGATATTTCCTTTTCTACTGTTGGCATCAAATCGCTTGAAATCTTCACTTGCAAACTCCACAAAAAGAGTGTTTCAAATCTGCTCTGTGTAAAGGGACGTTCCACTCTGTGAGTTGAATACACACAGCACAAAGAAGTTGCTGAGAGTTCTCCTGTCTAGCATGAAATGAAGAAATCCCGTTTCCAACGAAGGCCTCAATGCGGTCCATATATCCACTTGCAGACTTTACAAACAGAGTGTTTCCAAACTGCTCTATGAAAAGAAAGGTTAAACTATGTGAGTTGAACGCACACATCACAAAGTATTTTCTGAGAATGATTCTGTCTGGTTTTTATTTGAAGATATTTCCCTTTCTACTGTTGGCATCAAATGGCTAGAAATCTCCACTTGCAAATTCCGCAAAAAGAGTGTTTCAAATCTGCTCTGTCTAAAGGGACGTTCCACTCTGTGAGTTGAATGCACACAACACAAAGAATTTACTGAGAATTCTTCCGTCTAGCATTCAATGAAGAAATCCCGTTTCCAACGAAGGCCTCAAACTGGTCCATATATCCACTTGCAGACTTTACAAACAGTGTGTTTCCAAACTCCTCTATGAAAGGAAAGGTTAAACTCTGTGAGTTGAACGCACACATCACAAAGCACTTTCTGAGAATGATTCTGTCTGGTTATTATACGAAGATATTTCCTTTTCTGCAATTGTCCTCAAATCGCTTGAAATCTCCACCTGAAAATGCCACAGCAAGAGTGTTTCAAATCTGCTCTCTCTAAAGCAAGGTTCAACTCTGTGAGTTGAATACACACAACACAAAAAAGTTACTGAGAACTCTTCTTAGTCTAGCATGAAAGGAAGAAACCCCGTTTGCAACGAAGGCCTCAAAGAGGTCCAAATATCCACTTGCAGACATAACAAGCAGAGTGTTTCTAAACTGCTCTAAGAAAAGAAAGGTTAAACTCTGTGAGTTGAAGGCACACATCACAAAGTAGTTTCTGAGAATGATTCTGTCTAGTTTTTATTTGAAGATATTTCCTTTTCTACTGTTGGCATCAAATCGCTTGAAATCTCCACTTGCAAACTCCACAAAAAGAGTGTTTCAAATCTGCTCTGTGTAAAGGGACGTTCCACTCTGTGAGTTGAATACACACAGCACAAAGAAGTTACTGAGAATTCTTCTGTCTAGCATGAAATGAAGAAATCCCGTTTCCAACGAAGGCCTCAATGCGGTCCATATATCCACTTGCAGACTTTACAAACAGAGTGTTTCCAAACTGCTCTATGAAAAGAAAGGTTAAACTATGTGAGTTGAACGCACACATCACAAAGAATTTTCTGAGAATGATTCTGTCTGGTTTTTATTTGAAGATATTTCCCTTTCTACTGTTGGCATCAAATGGCTAGAAATCTCCACTTGCAAATTCCGCAAAAAGAGTGTTTCAAATCTGCTCTGTCTAAAGGGACGTTCCACTCTGTGAGTTGAATGCACACAACACAAAGAATTTACTGAGAATTCTTCCGTCTAGCATTCAATGAAGAAATCCCGTTTCCAACGAAGGCCTCAAACAGGTCCATATATCCACTTGCAGACTTTACAAACAGTGTGTTTCCAAACTCCTCTATGGAAAGAAAAGTTAAACTCTGTGAGTTGAACGCACACATCACAAAGCACTTTCTGAGAATGATTCTGTCTGGTTATTATACGAAGATATTTCCTTTTCTGCAATTGTCCTCAAAACGCTTGAAATCTCCACCTGAAAATGCCACAGCAAGAGTGTTTCAAATCTGCTCTCTCTAAAGCAAGGTTCAACTCTGTGAGTTGAATACACACAACACAAAAAAGTTACTGAGAACTCTTCTTAGTCTAGCATGAAAGGAAGAAACCCCGTTTGCAACGAAGGCCTCAAAGAAGGTCCAAATATCCACTTGCAGACATAACAAGCAGAGTGTTTCTAAACTGCTCTAAGAAAAGAAAGGTTAAACTCTGTGAGTTGAAGGCACACATCACAAAGTAGTTTCTGAGAATGACTCTGTCTAGTTTTTATTTGAAGATATTTCCTTTTCTACTGTTGGCATCAAATCGCTTGAAATCTCCACTTGCAAATTCCACAAAAAGAGTGTTTCAAATCTGCTCTGTGCAAAGGGACGTTCCACTCTGTGAGTTGAATACACACAGCACAAAGAAGTTACTGAGAATTCTTCTGTCTAGCATGAAATGAAGAAATCCCGTTTCCAACGAAGGCCTCAATGCGGTCCATATATCCACTTGCAGACTTTACAAACAGAGTGTTTCCAAACTGCTCTATGAAAAGAAAGGTTAAACTATGTGAGTTGAACGCACACATCACAAAGAATTTTCTGAGAATGATTCTGTCTGGTTTTTATTTGAAGATATTTCCCTTTCTACTGTTGGCATCAAATGGCTAGAAATCTCCACTTGCAAATTCCGCAAAAAGAGTGTTTCAAATCTGCTCTGTCTAAAGGGACGTTCCACTCTGTGAGTTGAATGCACACAACACAAAGAATTTACTGAGAATTCTTCCGTCTAGCATTCAATGAAAGAAATCCCGTTTCCAACGAAGGCCTCAAACAGGTCCATATATCCAATTGCAGACTTTACAAACAGTGTGTTTCCAAACTCCTCTATGAAAAGAAAGGTTAAACTCTGTGAGTTGAACGCACACATCACAAAGCACTTTCTGAGAATGATTCTGTCTGGTTATTATACGAAGATATTTCCTTTTCTGCAATTGTCCTCAAATCGCTTGAAATCTCCACCTGAAAATGCCACAGCAAGAGTGTTTCAAATCTGCTCTCTCTAAAGCAAGGTTCAACTCTGTGAGTTGAATACACACAACACAAAAAAGTTACTGAGAACTCTTCTTATTCTAGCATGAAAGGAAGAAACCCCGTTTGCAACGAAGGCCTCAAAGAGGTCCAAATATCCACTTGCAGACATAACAAGCAGAGTGTTTCTAAACTGCTCTAAGAAAAGAAAGGTTAAACTCTGTGAGTTGAAGGCACACATCACAAAGTAGTTTCTGAGAATGATTCTGTCTAGTTTTTATTTGAAGATACTTCCTTTTCTACTGTTGGCATCAAATCGCTTGAAATCTCCACTTGCAAACTCCACAAAAAGAGTGTTTCAAATCTGCTCTGTGCAAAGGGACGTTCCACTCTGTGAGTTGAATACACACAGCACAAAGAAGTTACTGAGAATTCTTCTGTCTAGCATGAAATGAAGAAATCCCGTTTCCAACGAAGGCCTCAATGCGGTCCATATATCCACTTGCAGACTTTACAAACAGAGTGTTTCCAAACTGCTCTATGAAAAGAAAGGTTAAACTATGTGAGTTGAACGCACACATCACAAACAATTTTCTGAGAATGATTCTGTCTGGTTTTTATTTGAAGATATTTCCCTTTCTACTGTTGGCATCAAATGGCTAGAAATCTCCACTTGCAAATTCCGCAAAAAGAGTGTTTCAAATCTGCTCTGTCTAAAGGGACGTTCCACTCTGTGAGTTGAATGCACACAACACAAAGAATTTACTGAGAATTCTTCCGTCTAGCATTCAATGAAGAAATCCCGTTTCCAATGAAGGCCTCAAACAGGTCCATATATCCAATTGCAGACTTTACAAACAGTGTGTTTCCAAACTCCTCTATGAAAAGAAAGGTTAAACTCTGTGAGTTGAACGCACACATCACAAAGCACTTTCTGAGAATGATTCTGTCTGGTTGTTATACGAAGATATTTCCTTTTCTGCAATTGTCCTCAAATCGCTTGAAATCTCCACCTGAAAATGCCACAGCAAGAGTGTTTCAAATCTGCTCTCTCTAAAGCAAGGTTCAACTCTGTGAGTTGAATACACACAACACAAAAAAGTTACTGAGAACTCTTCTTAGTCTAGCATGAAAGGAAGAAACCCCGTTTGCAACGACGCCTCAAAGAGGTCCAAATATCCACTTGCAGACATAACAAGCAGAGTGTTTCTAAACTGCTCTAAGAAAAGAAAGGTTAAACTCTGTGAGTTGAAGGCACACATCACAAAGTAGTTTCTGAGAATGATTCTGTCTAGTTTTTATTTGAAGATATTTCCTTTTCTACTGTTGGCATCAAATCGCTTGAAATCTCCACTTGCAAATTCCACAAAAAGTGTGTTTCAAATCTGCTCTGTGCAAAGGGACGTTCCACTCTGTGAGTTGAATACACACAGCACAAAGAAGTTACTCAGAATTCTTCTGTCTAGCATGAAATGAAGAAATCCCGTTTCCAACGAAGGCCTCAATGCGGTCCATATATCCACTTGCAGACTTTACAAACAGAGTGTTTCCAAACTGCTCTATGAAAAGAAAGGTTAAACTATGTGAGTTCAACGCACACATCACAAAGAATTTTCTGAGAATGATTCTGTCTGGTTTTTATTTGAAGATATTTCCCTTTCTACTGTTGGCATCAAATGGCTAGAAATCTCCACTTGCAAATTCCGCAAAAAGAGTGTTTCAAATCTGCTCTGTCTAAAGGGACGTTCCACTCTGTGAGTTGAATGCACACAACACAAAGAATTTACTGAGAATTCTTCCGTCTAGCATTCAATGAAGAAATCCCGTTTCCAACGAAGGCCTCAAACAGGTCCATATATCCAAATGCAGACTTTACAAACAGTGTGTTTCCAAACTCCTCTATGAAAAGAAAGGTTAAACTCTGTGAGTTGAACGCACACATCACAAAGCACTTTCTGAGAATGATTCTGTCTGGTTATTATACGAAGATATTTCCTTTTCTGCAATTGTCCTCAAATCGCTTGAAATCTCCACCTGAAAATGCCACAGCAAGAGGGTTTCAAATCTGCTCTCTCTAAAGCAAGGTTCAACTCTGTGATTTGAATACACACAACACAAAAAAGTTACTGAGAACTCTTCTTAGTCTAGCATGAAAGGAAGAAACCCCGTTTGCAACGAAGGCCTCAAAGAGGTCCAAATATCCACTTGCAGACATAACAAGCAGAGTGTTTCTAAACTGCTCTAAGAAAAGAAAGGTTAAACTCTGTGAGTTGAAGGCACACATCACAAAGTAGTTTCTGAGAATGATTCTGTCTAGTTTTTATTTGAAGATATTTCCTTTTCTACTGTTGGCATCAAATCGCTTGAAATCTCCACTTGCAAATTCAACAAAAAGAGTGTTTCAAATCTTCTCTGTGTAAAGGGACGTTCCACTCTGTGAGTTGAATACACACAGCACAAAGAAGTTACTGAGAATTCTTCTGTCTAGCATGAAATGAAGAAATCCCGTTTCCAACGAAGGCCTCAATGCGGTCCATATATCCACTTGCAGACTTTACAAACAGAGTGTTTCCAAACTGCTCTATGAAAAGAAAGGTTAAACTATGTGAGTTGAACGCACACATCACAAAGAATTTTCTGAGAATGATTCTGTCTGGTTTTTATTTGAAGATATTTCCCTTTCTACTGTTGGCATCAAATGGTTAGAAATCTCCACTTGCAAATTCCGCAAAAAGAGTGTTTCAAATCTGCTCTGTCTAAAGGGACGTTCCACTCTGTGAGTTGAATGCACACAACACAAAGAATTTACTGAGAATTCTTCCGTCTAGCATTATATGACAAAATCCCGTTTCCAACGAAGGCCTCAAAAAGGTCCAAGTATCCACTTGCAGACTTTACAAACAGAGTATTTCCAAACTGCTCTATAAAAAGAAAGGTTAAACTCCGTGAGTTGAACACACACATCACAAAGCACTTTCTGAGTATGATTCTGTCTGGTTATTATACGAAGATATTTCCTTTTCTGCAATTGTCCTCAAATCGCTTGAAATCTCCACCTGAAAATGCCACAGCAAGAGTGTTTCAAATCTGCTCTCTCTAAAGCAAGGTTCAACTCTGTGAGTTGAATACACACAACACAAAAAAGTTACTGAGAACTCTTCTTAGTCTAGCATTAAAGGAAGAAACCCCGTTTGCAACGAAGGCCTCAAAGAGGTCCAAATATCCACTTGCAGACATAACAAGCAGAGTGTTTCTAAACTGCTCTAAGAAAAGAAAGGTTAAACTCTGTGAGTTGAAGGCACACATCACAAAGTAGTTTCTGAGAATGATTCTGTCTAGTTTTTATTTGAAGATATTTCCTTTTCTACTGTTGGCATCAAATCGCTTGAAATCTCCACTTGCAAATTCCACAAAAAGAGTGTTTCAAATCTGCTCTGTGCAAACGGACGTTCCAGTCTGTGAGTTGAATACACACAGCACAGAGAAGTTACTGAGAATTCTTCTGTCTAGCATGAAATGAAGAAATCCCGTTTCCAACGAAAGCCTCAATGCGGTCCATATATCCACTTGCAGACTTTACAAACAGAGTGTTTCCAAACTGCTCTATGAAAAGAAAGGTTAAACTATGTGAGTTGAACGCACACATCACAAAGAATTTTCTGAGAATGATTCTGCCTGGTTTTTATTTGAAGATATTTCCCTTTCTACTGTTGGCATCAAATGGCTAGAAATCTCCACTTGCAAATTCCGCAAAAAGAGTGTTTCAAATCTGCTCTGTCTAAAGGGACGTTCCACTCTGTGAGTTGAATGCACACAACACAAAGAATTTACTGAGAATTCTTCCGTCTAGCATTCAATGAAGAAATCCCGTTTCCAACGAAGGCCTCAAACAGGTCCATATATCCACTTGCAGACTTTACAAACAGTGTGTTTCCAAACTCCTCTATGAAAAGAAAGGTTAAACTCTGTGAGTGGAACGCACACATCACAAAGCACTTTCTGAGAATGATTCTGTCTGGTTATTATACGAAGATATTTCCTTTTCTGCAATTGTCCTCAAATCGCTTGAAATCTCCACCTGAAAATGCCACAGCAAGAGTGTTTCAAATCTGCTCTCTCTAAAGCAAGGTTCAACTCTGTGAGTTGAATACACACAACACAAAAAAGTTACTGAGAACTCTTCTTAGTCTAGCATGAAAGGAAGAAACCCCGTTTGCAACGAAGGCCTCAAAGAGGTCCAAATATCCACTTGCAGACATAACAAGCAGAGTGTTTCTAAACTGCTCTAAGAAAAGAAAGGTTAAACTCTGTGAGTTGAAGGCACACATCACAAAGTAGTTTCTGAGAATGATTCTGTCTAGTTTTTATTTGAAGATATTTCCTTTTCTACTGTTGGCATCAAATCGCTTGAAATCTCCACTTGCAAACTCCACAAAAAGAGTGTTTCAAATCTGCTCTGTGCAAAGGGACGTTCCACTCTGTGAGTTGAATACACACAGCACAAAGAAGTTACTGAGAATTCTTCTGTCTAGCATGAAATGAAGAAATCCCGTTTCCAACGAAGGCCTCAATGCGGTCCATATATCCACTTGCAGACTTTACAAACAGAGTGTTTCCAAACTGCTCTATGAAAAGAAAGGTTAAACTATGTGAGTTGAACGCACACATCAAAAAGAATTTTCTGAGAATGATTCTGTCTGGTTTTTATTTGAAGATATTTCCCTTTCTACTGTTGGCATCAAATGGCTAGAAATCTCCACTTGCAAATTCCGCAAAAAGAGTGTTTCAAATCTGCTCTGTCTAAAGGGACGTTCCACTCTGTGAGTTGAATGCACACAACACAAAGAATTTACTGAGAATTCTTCCGTCTAGCATTCAATGAAGAAATCCCGTTTCCAACGAAGGCCTCAAACAGGTCCATATATCCAATTGCAGACTTTACAAACAGTGTGTTTCCAAACTCCTCTATGAAAAGAAAGGTTAAACTCTGTGAGTTGAACGCACACATCACAAAGCACTTTCTGAGAATGATTCTGTCTGGTTATTATACGAAGATATTTCCTTTTCTGCAATTGTCCTCAAATCGCTTGAAATCTCCACCTGAAAATGCCACAGCAAGAGTGTTTCAAATCTGCTCTCTCTAAAGCAAGGTTCAACTCTGTGAGTTGAATACACACAACACAAAAAAGTTACTGAGAACTCTTCTTAGTCTAGCATGAAAGGAAGAAACCCCGTTTGCAACGAAGGCCTCAAAGAGGTCCAAATATCCACTTGCAGACATAACAAGCAGAGTGTTTCTAAACTGCTCTAAGAAAAGAAAGGTTAAACTCTGTGAGTTGAAGGCACACATCACAAAGTAGTTTCTGAGAATGATTCTGTCTAGTTTTTATTTGAAAATATTTCCTTTTCTACTGTTGGCATCAAATCGCTTGAAATCTCCACTTGCAAATTCCACAAAAAGAGTGTTTCAAATCTGCTCTGTGCAAAGGGACGTTCCACTCTGTGAGTTGAATACACACAGCACAAAGAAGTTACTGAGAATTCTTCTGTCTAGCATGAAATGAAGAAATCCCGTTTCCAACGAAGGCCTCAATGCGGTCCATATATCCACTTGCAGACTTTACAAACAGAGTGTTTCCAAACTGCTCTATGAAAAGAAAGGTTAAACTATGTGAGTTGAACGCACACATCACAAAGAATTTTCTGAGAATGATTCTGTCTGGTTTTTATTTGAAGATATTTCCCTTTCTACTGTTGGCATCAAATGGCTAGAAATCTCCACTTGCAAATTCCGCAAAAAGAGTGTTTCAAATCTGCTCTGTCTAAAGGGACGTTCCACTCTGTCAGTTGAATGCACACAACACAAAGAATTTACTGAGAATTCTTCCGTCTAGCATTCAATGAAGAAATCCCGTTTCCAACGAAGGCCTCAAACAGGTCCATATATCCAATTGCAGACTTCACAAACAGTGTGTTTCCAAACTCCTCTATGAAAAGAAAGGTTAAACTCTGTGAGTTGAACGCACACATCACAAAGCACTTTCTGAGAATGATTCTGTCTGGTTATTATACGAAGATATTTCCTTTTCTGCAATTGTCCTCAAATCGCTTGAAATCTCCACCTGAAAATGCCACAGCAAGAGTGTTTCAAATCTGCTCTCTCTAAAGCAAGGTTCAACTCTGTGAGTTGAATACACACAACACAAAAAAGTTACTGAGAACTCTTCTTAGTCTAGCATGAAAGGAAGAAACCCCGTTTGCAACGAAGGCCTCAAAGAGGTCCAAATATCCACTTGCAGACATAACAAGCAGAGTGTTTCTAAACTGCTCTAAGAAAAGAAAGGTTAAACTCTGTGAGTTGAAGGCACACATCACAAAGTAGTTTCTGAGAATGATTCTGTCTAGTTTTTATTTGAAGATATTTCCTTTTCTACTGTTGGCATCAAATCGCTTGAAATCTCCACTTGCAAATTCCACAAAAAGAGTGTTTCAAATCTGCTCTGTGCAAAGGGACGTTCCACTCTGTGAGTTGAATACACACAGCACAAAGAAGTTACTGAGAATTCTTCTGTCTAGCATGAAATGAAGAAATCCCGTTTCCAACGAAGGCCTCAATGCGGTCCATATATCCACTTGCAGACTTTACAAACAGAGTGTTTCCAAACTGCTCTATGAAAAGAAAGGTTAAACTATGTGAGTTGAATGCACACATCACAAAGAATTTTCTGAGAATGATTCTGTCTGGTTTTTATTTGAAAATATTTCCCTTTCTACTGTTGGCATCAAATGGCTAGAAATCTCCACTTGCAAATTCCGCAAAAAGAGTGTTTCAAATCTGCTCTGTCTAAAGGGACGTTCCACTCTGTGAGTTGAATGCACACAACACAAAGAATTTACTGAGAATTCTTCCGTCTAGCATTCAATGAAGAAATCCCGTTTCCAACGAAGGCCTCAAACAGGTCCATATATCCACTTGCAGACTTTACAAACAGTGTGTTTCCAAACTCCTCTATGAAAAGAAAGGTTAAACTCTGTGAGTGGAACGCACACATCACAAAGCACTTTCTGAGAATGATTCTGTCTGGTTATTATACGAAGATATTTCCTTTTCTGCAATTGTCCTCAAATCGCTTGAAATCTCCACCTGAAAATGCCACAGCAAGAGTGTTTCAAATCTGCTCTCTCTAAAGCAAGGTTCAACTCTGTGAGTTGAATACACACAACACAAAAAAGTTACTGAGAACTCTTCTTAGTCTAGCATGAAAGGAAGAAACCCCGTTTGCAACGAAGGCCTCAAAGAGGTCCAAATATCCACTTGCAGACATAACAAGCAGAGTGTTTCTAAACTGCTCTAAGAAAAGAAAGGTTAAACTCTGTGAGTTGAAGGCACACATCACAAAGTAGTTTCTGAGAATGATTCTGTCTAGTTTTTATTTGAAGATATTTCCTTTTCTACTGTTGGCATCAAATCGCTTGAAATCTCCACTTGCAAACTCCACAAAAAGAGTGTTTCAAATCTGCTCTGTGTAAAGGGACGTTCCACTCTGTGAGTTGAATACACACAGCACAAAGAAGTTACTGAGAATTCTTCTGTCTAGCATGAAATGAAGAAATCCCGTTTCCAACGAAGGCCTCAATGCGGTCCATAGATCCACTTGCAGACTTTACAAACAGAGTGTTTCCAAACTGCTCTATGAAAAGAAAGGTTAAACTATGTGAGTTGAACGCACACATCACAAAGAATTTTCTGAGAATGATTCTGTCTAGTTTTTATTTGAAGATATTTCCCTTTCCACTGTTGGCATCAAATGGCTAGAAATCTCCACTTGCAACTTCCGCAAAAAGAGTGTTTCAAATCTGCTCTGTCTAAAGGGACGTTCCACTGTGTGAGTTGAATGCACACAACACAAAGAATTTACTGAGAATTCTTCCGTCTAGCATTCAATGAAGAAATCCCGTTTCCAACGAAGGCCTCAAACAGGTCCATATATCCACTTGCAGACGTTACAAACAGTGTGTTTCCAAACTCCTCTATGAAAAGAAAGGTTAAACTCTGTGAGTTGAACGCACACATCACAAAGCACTTTCTGTGAATGATTCTGTCTGGTTATTATACGAAGATATTTCCTTTTCTGCAATTGTCCTCAAATCGCTTGAAATCTCCACCTGAAAATGCCACAGCAAGAGTGTTTCAAATCTGCTCTCTCTAAAGCAAGGTTCAACTCTGTGAGTTGAATACACACAACACAAAAAAGTTACTGAGAACTCTTCTTAGTCTAGCATGAACGGAAGAAACCCCGTTTGCAACGAAGGCCTCAAAGAGGTCCAAATATCCACTTGCAGACATAACAAGCAGAGTGTTTCTAAACTGCTCTAAGAAAAGAAAGGTTAAACTCTGTGAGTTGAAGGCACACATCACAAAGTAGTTTCTGAGAATGATTATCTGTCTAGTTTTTATTTGAAGATATTTCCTTTTCTACTGTTGGCATCAAATCGCTTGAAATCTCCACTTGCAAACTCCACAAATAGAGTGTTTCAAATCTGCTCTGTGTAAAGGGACGTTCCACTCTGTGAGTTGAATACACACAGCACAAAGAAGTTACTGAGAATTCTTCCGTCTAGCATTCAATGAAGAAATCCCGTTTCCAACGAAGGCCTCAAAGAGGTCCATATATCCACTTGCAGACTTTACAAACAGAGTGTTTCCAAACTGCTCTATGAAAAGAAAGGTTAAACTATGTGAGTTGAACGCACACATCACAAAGAATTTTCTGAGAATGATTCTGTCTGGTTTTTATTTGAAGATATTTCCCTTTCTACTGTTGGCATCAAATGGCTAGAAATCTCCACTTGCAAATTCCGCAAAAAGAGTGTTTCAAATCTGCTCTGTCTAAAGGGACGTTCCACTCTGTGAGTTGAATGCACACAACACAAAGAATTTACTGAGAATTCTTCCGTCTAGCATGCAATGAAGAAATCCCGTTTCCAACGAAGGCCTCAAACAGGTCCATATATCCAATTGCAGACTTTACAAACAGTGTGTTTCCAAACTCCTCTATGAAAAGAAAGGTTAAACTCTGTGAGTTGAACGCACACATCACAAAGCACTTTCTGAGAATGATTCTGTCTGGTTATTATACGAAGATATTTCCTTTTCTGCAATTGTCCTCAAATCGCTTGAAATCTCCACCTGAAAATGCCACAGCAAGAGTGTTTCAAATCTGCTCTCTCTAAAGCAAGGTTCAACTCTGTGAGTTGAATACACACAACACAAAAAAGTTACTGAGAACTCTTCTTAGTCTAGCATGAAAGGAAGAAACCCCGTTTGCAACGAAGGCCTCAAAGAGGTCCAAATATCCACTTGCAGACATAACAAGCAGAGTGTTTCTAAACTGCTCTAAGAAAAGAAAGGTTAAACTCTGTGAGTTGAAGGCACACATCACAAAGTAGTTTCTGAGAATGATTCTGTCTAGTTTTTATTTGAAGATATTTCCTTTTCTACTGTTGGCATCAAATCGCTTGAAATCTCCACTTGCAAACTCCACAAAAAGAGTGTTTCAAATCTGCTCTGTGCAAAGGGACGTTCCACTCTGTGAGTTGAATACACATAGCACAAAGAAGTTACTGAGAATTCTTCTGTCTAGCATGAAATGAAGAAATCCCGTTTCCAACGAAGGCCTCAATGCGGTCCATATATCCACTTGCAGACTTTACAAACAGAGTGTTTCCAAACTGCTCTATGAAAAGAAAGGTTAAACTATGTGAGTTGAACGCACACATCACAAAGAATTTTCTGAGAATGATTCTGTCTGGTTTTTATTTGAAGATGTTTCCCTGTCTACTGTTGGCATCAAATGGCTAGAAATCTCCACTTGCAAATTCCGCAAAAAGAGTGTTTCAAATCTGCTCTGTCTAAAGGGACGTTCCACTCTGTGAGTTGAATGCACACAACACAAAGAATTTACTGAGAATCCTTCCGTCTAGCATTCAATGAAGAAATCCCGTTTCCAACGAAGGCCTCAAACAGGTCCATATATCCAATTGCAGACTTTACAAACAGTGTGTTTCCAAACTCCTCTATGAAAAGAAAGGTTAAACTCTGTGAGTTGAACGCACACAACACAAAGCACTTTCTGAGAATGATTCTGTCTGGTTATTATACGAAGATATTTCTTTTTCTGCAATTGTCCACAAATCGCTTGAAATCTCCACCTGAAAATGTCACAGCAAGAGTGTTTCAAATCTGCTCTCTCTAAAGCAAGGTTCAACTCTGTGAGTTGAATACACACAACATAAAAAAGTTACTGAGAACTCTTCTTAGTCTAGCATGAAAGGAAGAAACCCCGTTTGCAACGAAGGCCTCAAAGAGGTCCAAATATCCACTTGCAGACATAACAAGCAGAGTGTTTCTAAACTGC
This sequence comes from Homo sapiens, assembly GCF_000001405.40. Lineage (NCBI taxonomy): Eukaryota > Metazoa > Chordata > Mammalia > Primates > Hominidae > Homo > Homo sapiens. The sequence goes on along the minus strand of NC_000007.14, from coordinate 60,192,712 downwards.
TCTAAGAAAAGAAAGGTTAAACTCTGTGAGTTGAAGGCACACATCACAAAGTAGTTTCTGAGAATGATTCTGTCTAGTTTTTATTTGAAGATATTTCCTGTTCTACTGTTGGCATCAAATCGCTTGAAATCTCCACTTGGAAACTCCACAAAAAGAGTGTTTCAAATCTGCTCTGTGTAAAGGGACGTTCCACTCTGTGAGTTGAATACACACAGCACAAAGAAGTTACTGAGAATTCTTCTGTCTAGCATGAAATGAAGAAATCCCGTTTCCAACGAAGGCCTCAATGCGGTCCATATATCCACTTGCAGACTTTACAAACAGAGTGTTTCCAAACTGCTCTATGAAAAGAAAGGTTAAACTATGTGAGTTGAACGCACACATCACAAAGAATTTTCTGAGAATGATTCTGTCTGGTTTTTATTTGAAGATATTTCCCTTTCTACTGTTGGCATCAAATGGCTAGAAATCTCCACTTGCAAATTCCGCAAAAAGAGTGTTTCAAATCTGCTCTGTCTAAAGGGACGTTCCACTCTGTCAGTTGAATGCACACAACACAAAGAATTTACTGAGAATTCTTCCGTCTAGCATTCAATGAAGAAATCCCGTTTCCAACGAAGGCCTCAAACAGGTCCATATATCCAATTGCAGACTTTACAAACAGTGTGTTTCCAAACTCCTCTATGAAAAGAAAGGTTAAACTCTGTGAGTTGAACACACACATCACAAAGCACTTTCTGAGAATGATTCTGTCTGGTTATTATACGGAAGATATTTCCTTTTCTGCAATTGTCCTCAAATCGCTTGAAATCTCCACCTGAAAATGCCACAGCAAGAGTGTTTCAAATCTGCTCTCTCTAAAGCAAGGTTCAACTCTGTGAGTTGAATACACACAACACAAAAAAGTTACTGAGAACTCTTCTTAGTCTAGCATTAAACGAAGAAACCCCGTTTGCAACGAAGGCCTCAAAGAGGTCCAAATATCCACTTGCAGACATAACAAGCAGAGTGTTTCTAAACTGCTCTAAGAAAAGAAAGGTTAAACTCTGTGAGTTGAAGGCACACATCACAAAGTAGTTTCTGAGAATGATTTCTGTCTAGTTTTTATTTGAAGATATTTCCTTTTCTACTGCTGGCATCAAATCGCTTGAAATCTCCACTTGCAAACTCCACAAAAAGAGTGTTTCAAATCTGCTCTGTGTAAAGGGACGTTCCACTCTGTGAGTTGAATACACACAGCACAAAGAAGTTTCTGAGAATTCTTCTGTCTAGCACGAAATGAAGAAATCCCGTTTCCAACGAAGGCCTCAATGCGGTCTATATATCCACTTGCAGACTTTACAAACAGAGTGTTTCCAAACTGCTCTATGAAAAGAAAGGTTAAACTATGTGAGTTGAACGCACACATCACTAAGAATTTTCTGAGAATGATTCTGTCTGGTTTTTATTTGAAGATATTTCCCTTTCTACTGTTGGCATCAAATGGCTAGAAATCTCCACTTGCAAATTCCGCAAAAAGAGTGTTTCAAATCTGCTCTGTCTAAAGGGACGTTCCACTCTGTGAGTTGAATGCACACAACACAAAGAATTTACTGAGAATTCTTCCGTCTAGCATTCAATGAAGAAATCCCGTTTCCAACGAAGGCCTCAAACAGGTCCATATATCCACTTGCAGACTTTACAAACAGTGTGTTTCCAAACTCCTCTATGGAAAGAAAAGTTAAACTCTGTGAGTTGAACGCACACATCACAAAGCACTTTCTGAGAATGATTCTGTCTGGTTATTATACGAAGATATTTCCTTTTCTGCAATTGTCCTCAAATCGCTTGAAATCTCCACCTGAAAATGCCACAGCAAGAGTGTTTCAAATCTGCTCTCTCTAAAGCAAGGTTCAACTCTGTGAGTTGAATACACACAACACAAAAAAGTTACTGAGAACTCTTCTTAGTCTAGCATTAAAGGAAGAAACCCCGTTTGCAACGAAGGCCTCAAAGAGGTCCAAATATCCACTTGCAGACATAACAAGCAGAGTGTTTCTAAACTGCTCTAAGAAAAGAAAGGTTAAACTCTGTGAGTTGAAGGCACACATCACAAAGTAGTTTCTGAGAATGATTCTGTCTAGTTTTTATTTGAAGATATTTCCTTTTCTACTGTTGGCATCAAATCGCTTGAAATCTCCACTTGCAAACTCCACAAAAAGAGTGTTTCAAATCTGCTCTGTGTAAAGGGACGTTCCACTCTGTGAGTTGAATACACACAGCACAAAGAAGTTACTGAGAATTCTTCTGTCTAGCATGAAATGAAGAAATCCCGTTTCCAACGAAGGCCTCAATGCGGTCCATATATCCACTTGCAGACTTTGCAAACAGAGTGTTTCCAAACTGCTCTATGAAAAGAAAGGTTAAACTATGTGAGTTTGAATGCACACATCACAAAGAATTTTATGAGAATGATTCTGTCTGGTTTTTATTTGAAGATATTTCCCTTTCTACTGTTGGCATCAAATGGCTAGAAATCTCCACTTGCAAATTCCGCAAAAAGAGTGTTTCAAATCTGCTCTGTCTAAAGGGACGTTCCACTCTGTCAGTTGAATGCGCACAACACAAAGTATTTACTGAGAATTCTTCCGTCTAGCATGCAATGAAGAAATCCCGTTTCCAACGAAGGCCTCAAACAGGTCCATATATCCAATTGCAGACTTTACAAACAGTGTGTTTCCAAACTCCTCTATGAAAAGAAAGGTTAAACTCTGTGAGTTGAACGCACACATCACAAAGCACTTTCTGAGAATGATTCTGTCTGGTTGTTATACGAAGATATTTCCTTTTCTGTAATTGTCCTCAAATCGCTTGAAATCTCCACCTGAAAATGCCACAGCAAGAGTGTTTCAAATCTGCTCTCTCTAAAGCAAGGTTCAACTCTGTGAGTTGAATACACACAACACAAAAAAGTTACTGAGAACTCTTCTTAGTCTAGCATGAAAGGAAGAAACCCCGTTTGCAACGAAGGCCTCAAAGAGGTCCAAATATCCACTTGCAGACATAACAAGCAGAGTGTTTCTAAACTGCTCTAAGAAAAGAAAGGTTAAACTCTGTGAGTTGAAGGCACACATCACAAAGTAGTTTCTGAGAATGATTCTGTCTAGTTTTTATTTGAAGATATTTCCTTTTCTACTGTTGGCATCAAATCGCTTGAAATCTCCACTTGCAAATTCCACAAAAAGAGTGTTTCAAATCTGCTCTGTGCAAAGGGACGTTCCACTCTGTGAGTTGAATACACACAGCACAAAGAAGTTACTGAGAATTCTTCTGTCTAGCATGAAATGAAGAAATCCCGTTTCCAACGAAGGCCTCAATGCGGTCCATATATCCACTTGCAGACTTTACAAACAGAGTGTTTCCAAACTGCTCTATGAAAAGAAAGGTTAAACTATGTGAGTTGAACGCACACATCACAAAGAATTTTCTGAGAATGATTCTGTCTGGTTATTTGAAGATATTTCCCTTTCTACTGTTGGCATCAAATGGCTAGAAATCTCCACTTGCAAATTCCGCAAAAAGAGTGTTTCAAATCTGCTCTGTCTAAAGGGACGTTCCACTCTGTCAGTTGAATGCACACAACACAAAGAATTTACTGAGAATTCTTCCGTCTAGCATTCAATGAAGAAATCCCGTTTCCAACGAAGGCCTCAAACAGGTCCATATATCCACTTGCAGACTTTACAAACAGTGTGTTTCCAAACTCCTCTATGAAAAGAAAGGTTAAACTCTGTGAGTTGAACGCACACATCACAAAGCACTTTCTGAGAATGATTCTGTCTGGTTATTATACGAAGATATTTCTTTTTCTGCAATTGTCCTCAAATCGCTTGAAATCTCCACCTGAAAATGCCACAGCAAGAGTGTTTCAAATCTGCTCTCTCTAAAGCAAGGTTCAACTCTGTGAGTTGAATACACACAACACAAAAAAGTTACTGAGAACTCTTCTTAGTCTAGCATGAAAGGAAGAAACCCCGTTTGCAACGAAGGCCTCAAAGAGGTCCAAATATCCACTTGCAGACATAACAAGCAGAGTGTTTCTAAACTGCTCTAAGAAAAGAAAGGTTAAACTCTGTGAGTTGAAGGCACACATCACAAAGTAGTTTCTGAGAATGATTCTGTCTAGTTTTTAGTTTTTATTTGAAGATATTTCCTTTTCTACTGTTGGCATCAAATCGCTTGAAATCTCCACTTGCAAACTCCACAAAAAGAGTGTTTCAAATCTGCTCTGTGTAAAGGGACGTTCCACTCTGTGAGTTGAATACACACAGCACAAAGAAGTTACTGAGAATTCTTCTGTCTAGCATGAAATGAAGAAATCCCGTTTCCAACGAAGGCCTCAATGCGGTCCATATATCCACTTGCAGACTTTACAAACAGAGTGTTTCCAAACTGCTCTATGAAAAGAAAGGTTAAACTATGTGAGTTGAACGCACACATCACAAAGAATTTTCTGAGAATGATTCTGTCTGGTTTTTATTTGAAGATATTTCCCTTTCTACTGTTGGCATCAAATGGCTAGAAATCTCCACTTGCAAATTCCGCAAAAAGAGTGTTTCAAATCTGCTCTGTCTAAAGGGACGTTCCACTCTGTCAGTTGAATGCACACAACACAAAGAATTTACTGAGAATTCTTCCGTCTAGCATTCAATGAAGAAATCCCGTTTCCAACGAAGGCCTCAAACAGGTCCATATATCCACTTGCAGACTTTACAAACAGTGTGTTTCCAAACTCCTCTATGAAAAGAAAGGTTAAACTCTGTGAGTTGAACGCACACATCACAAAGCACTTTCTGAGAATGATTCTGTCTGGTTGTTATACGAAGATATTTCCTTTTCTGCAATTGTCCTCAAATCGCTTGAAATCTCCACCTGAAAATGCCACAGCAAGAGTGTTTCAAATCTGCTCTCTCTAAAGCAACGTTCAACTCTGTGAGTTGAATACACACAACACAAAAAAGTTACTGAGAACTCTTCTTAGTCTAGCATGAAAGGAAGAAACCCCGTTTGCAACGAAGGCCTCAAAGAGGTCCAAATATCCACTTGCAGACATAACAAGCAGAGTGTTTCTAAACTGCTCTAAGAAAAGAAAGGTTAAACTCTGTGAGTTGAAGGCACACATCACAAAGTAGTTTCTGAGAATGATTCTGTCTAGTTTTTATTTGAAGATATTTCCTTTTCTACTGTTGGCATCAAATCGCTTGAAATCTCCACTTGCAAACTCCACAAAAAGAGTGTTTCAAATCTGCTCTGTGTAAAGGGACGTTCCACTCTGTGAGTTGAATACACACAGCACAAAGAAGTTGCTGAGAATTCTTCTGTCTAGCATGAAATGAAGAAATCCCGTTTCCAACGAAGGCCTCAATGCGGTCCATATATCCACTTGCAGACTTTACAAACACAGTGTTTCCAAACTGCTCTATGAAAAGAAAGGTTAAACTATGTGAGTTGAACGCACACATCACAAAGAATTTTCTGAGAATGATTCTGTCTGGTTTTTATTTGAAGATATTTCCCTTTCTACTGTTGGCATCAAATGGCTAGAAATCTCCACTTGCAAATTCCGCAAAAAGAGTGTTTCAAATCTGCTCTGTCTAAAGGGACGTTCCACTCTGTGAGTTGAATGCACACAACACAAAGAATTTACTGAGAATTCTTCCGTCTAGCATTCAATGAAGAAATCCCGTTTCCAACGAAGGCCTCAAACAGGTCCATATATCCACTTGCAGAGTTTACAAACAGTTTGTTTCCAAACTCCTCTATGAAAAGAAAGGTTAAACTCTGTGAGTGGAACGCACACATCACAAAGCACTTTCTGAGAATGATTCTGTCTGGTTATTATACGAAGATATTTCCTTTTCTGCAATTGTCCTCAAATCGCTTGAAATCTCCACCTGAAAATGCCACAGCAAGAGTGTTTCAAATCTGCTCTCTCTAAAGCAAGGTTCAACTCTGTGAGTTGAATACACACAACACAAAAAAGTTACTGAGAACTCTTTAGTCTAGCATGAAAGGAAGAAACCCCGTTTGCAACGAAGGCCTCAAAGAGGTCCAAATATCCACTTGCAGACATAACAAGCAGAGTGTTTCTAAACTGCTCTAAGAAAAGAAAGGTTAAACTCTGTGAGTTGAAGGCACACATCACAAAGTAGTTTCTGAGAATGATTCTGTCTAGTTTTTATTTGAAGATATTTCCTTTTCTACTGTTGGCATCAAATCGCTTGAAATCTCCACTTGCAAACTCCACAAAAAGAGTGTTTCAAATCTGCTCTGTGCAAAGGGACGTTCCACTCTGTGAGTTGAATACACACAGCACAAAGAAGTTACTGAGAATTCTTCTGTCTAGCATGAAATGAAGAAATCCCGTTTCCAACGAAGGCCTCAATGCGGTCCATATATCCACTTGCAGACTTTACAAACACAGTGTTTCCAAACTGCTCTATGAAAAGAAAGGTTAAACTATGTGAGTTGAACGCACACATCACAAAGAATTTTCTGAGAATGATTCTGTCTGGTTTTTATTTGAAAATATTTCCCTTTCTACTGTTGGCATCAAATGGCTAGAAATCTCCACTTGCAAATTCCGCAAAAAGAGTGTTTCAAATCTGCTCTGTCTAAAGGGACGTTCCACTCTGTCAGTTGAATGCACACAACACAAAGAATTTACTGAGAATTCTTCCGTCTAGCATTCAATGAAGAAATCCCGTTTCCAACGAAGGCCTCAAAGAGGTCCATATATCCACTTGCAGACTTTACAAACAGTGTGTTTCCAAACTCCTCTATGAAAAGAAAGGTTAAACTCTGTGAGTGGAACGCACACATCACAAAGCACTTTCTGAGAATGATTCTGTCTGGTTATTATACGAAGATATTTCCTTTTCTGCAATTGTCCTCAAATCGCTTGAAATCTCCACCTGAAAATGCCACAGCAAGAGTGTTTCAAATCTGCTCCCTCTAAAGCAAGGTTCAACTCTGTGAGTTGAATACACACAACACAAAAAAGTTACTGAGAACTCTTCTTAGTCTAGCATTAAAGGAAGAAACCCCGTTTGCAACGAAGGCCTCAAAGAGGTCCAAATATCCACTTGCAGACATAACAAGCAGAGTGTTTCTAAACTGCTCTAAGAAAAGAAAGGTTAAACTCTGTGAGTTGAAGGCCCACATCACAAAGTAGTTTCTGAGAATGATTCTGTCTAGTTTTTATTTGAAGATATTTCCTTTTTCTACTGTTGGCATCAAATCGCTTGAAATCTCCACTTGCAAACTCCACAAAAAGAGTGTTTCAAATCTGCTCTGTGTAAAGGGACGTTCCACTCTGTGAGTTGAATACACACAGCACAAAGAAGTTACTGAGAATTCTTCTGTCTAGCATGAAATGAAGAAATCCCGTTTCCAACGAAGGCCTCAATGCGGTCCATATATCCACTTGCAGACTTTACAAACAGAGTGTTTCCAAACTGCTCTATGAAAAGAAAGGTTAAACTATGTGAGTTGAACGCACACATCACAAAGAATTTTCTGAGAATGATTCTGTCTGGTTTTTATTTGAAGATATTTCCCTTTCTACTGTTGGCATCAAATGGCTAGAAATCTCCACTTGCAAATTCCGCAAAAAGAGTGTTTCAAATCTGCTCTGTCTAAAGGGACGTTCCACTCTGTGAGTTGAATGCACACACCACAAAGAATTTACTGAGAATTCTTCCGCCTAGCATTCAATGAAGAAATCCCGTTTCCAACGAAGGCCTCAAACAGGTCCATATATCCAATTGCAGACTTTACAAACAGTGTGTTTCCAAACTCCTCTATGAAAAGAAAGGTTAAACTCTGTGAGTTGAACGCACACATCACAAAGCACTTTCTGAGAATGATTCTGTCTGGTTGTTATACGAAGATATTTCCTTTTCTGCAATTGTCCTCAAATCGCTTGAAATCTCCAACTGAAAATGCCACAGCAAGAGTGTTTCAAATCTGCTCTCTCTAAAGCATGGTTCAACTCTGTGAGTTGAATACACACAACACAAAAAAGTTACTGAGAACTCTTCTTAGTCTAGCATGAAAGGAAGAAACCCCGTTTGCAACGAAGGCCTCAAAGAGGTCCAAATATCCACTTGCAGACATAACAAGCAGAGTGTTTCTAAACTGCTCTAAGAAAAGAAAGGTTAAACTCTGTGAGTTGAAGGCACACATCACAAAGTAGTTTCTGAGAATGATTCTGTCTAGTTTTTATTTGAAGATATTTCCTTTTCTACTGTTGGCATCAAATCGCTTGAAATCTCCACTTGCAAATTCCACAAAAAGAGTGTTTCAAATCTGCTCTGTGCAACGGGACGTTCCACTCTGTGAGTTGAATACACACAGCACAAAGAAGTTACTGAGAATTCTTCTGTCTAGCGTGAAATGAAGAAATCCCGTTTCCAACGAAGGCCTCAATGCGGTCCATATATCCACTTGCAGACTTTACAAACAGAGTGTTTCCAAACTGCTCTATGAAAAGAAAGGTTAAACTATGTGAGTTGAACGCACACATCACAAAGAATTTTCTGAGAATGATTCTGTCTGGTTTTTATTTGAAGATATTTCCCTTTCTACTGTTGGCATCAAATGGCTAGAAATCTCCACTTGCAAATTCCGCAAAAAGAGTGTTTCAAATCTGCTCTGTCTAAAGGGACGTTCCACTCTGTGAGTTGAATGCACACAACACAAAGAATTTACTGAGAATTCTTCCGTCTAGCATTCAATGAAGAAATCCCGTTTCCAACGAAGGCCTCAAACAGGTCCATATATCCACTTGCAGAGTTTACAAACAGTGTGTTTCCAAACTCCTCTATGAAAAGAAAGGTTAAACTCTGTGAGTGGAACGCACACATCACAAAGCACTTTCTGAGAATGATTCTGTCTGGTTGTTATACGAAGATATTTCCTTTTCTGCAATTGTCCTCAAATCGCTTGAAATCTCCACCTGAAAATGCCACAGCAAGAGTGTTTCAAATCTGCTCTCTCTAAAGCAAGGTTCAACTCTGTGAGTTGAATACACACAACACAAAAAAGTTACTGAGAACTCTTCTTAGTCTAGCATGAAAGGAAGAAACCCCGTTTGCAACGAAGGCCTCAAAGAGGTCCAAATATCCAGTTGCAGACATAACAAGCAGAGTGTTTCTAAACTGCTCTAAGAAAAGAAAGGTTAAACTCTGTGAGTTGAAGGCACACATCACAAAGTAGTTTCTGAGAATGGTTCTGTCTAGTTTTTATTTGAAGATATTTCCTTTTCTACTGTTGGCATCAAATCGCTTGAAATCTCCACTTGCAAATTCCACAAAAAGAGTGTTTCAAATCTGCTCTGTGCAAACGGACGTTCCAGTCTGTGAGTTGAATACACACAGCACAGAGAAGTTACTGAGAATTCTTCTGTCTAGCATGAAATGAAGAAATCCCGTTTCCAACGAAGGCCTCAATGCGGTCCATATATCCACTTGCAGACTTTACAAACAGAGTGTTTCCAAACTGCTCTATGAAAAGAAAGGTTAAACTATGTGAGTTGAACGCACACATCACAAAGAATTTTCTGAGAATGATTCTGTCTGGTTTTTATTTGAAGATGTTTCCCTTTCTACTGTTGGCATCAAATGGCTAGAAATCTCCACTTGCAAATTCCGCAAAAAGAGTGTTTCAAATCTGCTCTGTCTAAAGGGACGTTCCACTCTGTGAGTTGAATGCACACAACACAAAGAATTTACTGAGAATTCTTCCGTCTAGCATTCAATGAAGAAATCCCGTTTCCAACGAAGGCCTCAAACAGGTCCATATATCCACTTGCAGAGTTTACAAACAGTGTGTTTCCAAACTCCTCTATGAAAAGAAAGGTTAAACTCTGTGAGTGGAACGCACACATCACAAAGCACTTTCTGAGAATGATTCTGTCTTGTTATTATACGAAGATATTTCCTTTTCTGCAATTGTCCTCAAATCGCTTGAAATCTCCACCTGAAAATGCCACAGCAAGAGTGTTTCAAATCTGCTCTCTCTAAAGCAAGGTTCAACTCTGTGAGTTGAATACACACAACACAAAAAAGTTACTGAGAACTCTTCTTAGTCTAGCATGAAAGGAAGAAACCCCGTTTGCAACGAAGGCCTCAAAGAGGTCCAAATATCCACTTGCAGACATAACAAGCAGAGTGTTTCTAAACTGCTCTAAGAAAAGAAAGGTTAAACTCTGTGAGTTGAAGGCACACATCACAAAGTAGTTTCTGAGAATGATTCTGTCTAGTTTTTATTTGAAGATATTTCCTTTTCTACTGTTGGCATCAAATCGCTTGAAATCTCCACTTGCAAACTCCACAAAAAGAGTGTTTCAAATCTGCTCTGTGCAAAGGGACGTTCCACTCTGTGAGTTGAATACACACAGCACAAAGAAGTTACTGAGAATTCTTCTGTCTAGCATGAAATGAAGAAATCCCGTTTCCAACGAAGGCCTCAATGCGGTCCATATATCCACTTGCAGACTTTACAAACAGAGTGTTTCCAAACTGCTCTATGAAAAGAAAGGTTAAACTATGTGAGTTGAACGCACACATCACAAAGAATTTTCTGAGAATGATTCTGTCTGGTTTTTATTTGAAGATATTTCCCTTTCTACTGTTGGCATCAAATGGCTAGAAATCTCCACTTGCAAATTCCGCAAAAAGAGTGTTTCAAATCTGCTCTGTCTAAAGGGACGTTCCACTCTGTGAGTTGAATGCACACAACACAAAGAATTTACTGAGAATTCTTCCGTCTAGCATTATATGATAAAATCCCGTTTCCAACGAAGGCCTCAAACAGGTCCATATATCCACTTGCAGACTTTGCAAATAGTGTGTTTCCAAACTCCCCTATGAAAAGAAAGGTTAAGCTCTGTGAGTTGAACGCACGCATCACAAAGCACTTTCTGAGAATGATTCTGTCTGGTTATTATACGAAGATATTTCCTTTTCTGCAATTGTCCTCAAATCGCTTGAAATCTCCACCTGAAAATGCCACAGCAAGAGTGTTTCAAATCTGCTCTCTCTAAAGCAAGGTTCAACTCTGTGAGTTGAATACACACAACACAAAAAAGTTACTGAGAACTCTTCTTAGTCTAGCATTAAAGGAAAAAACCCCGTTTGCAACGAAGGCCTCAAAGAGGTCCAAATATCCACTTGCAGACATAACAAGCAGAGTGTTTCTAAACTGCTCTAAGAAAAGAAAGGTTAAACTCTGTGAGTTGAAGGCACACATCACAAAGAATTTTCTGAGAATGATTCTGTCTGGTTTTTATTTGAAGATATTTCCCTTTCTACTGTTGGCATCAAATGGCTAGAAATCTCCACTTGCAAATTCCGCAAAAAGAGTGTTTCAAATCTGCTCTGTGTAAAGGGACGTTCCACTCTGTGAGTTCAATGCACACAACACAAAGAATTTACTGAGAATTCTTCCGTCTAGCATTCAATGAAGAAATCCCGTTTCCAACGAAGGCCTCAAACAGGTCCATATATCCAATTGCAGACTTTACAAACAGTGTGTTTCCAAACTCCTCTATGGAAAGAAAGGTTGAACTCTGTGAGTTGAACGCACACATCACAAAGCACTTTCTGAGAATGATTCTGTCTGGTTATTATACGAAGATATTTCCTTTTCTGCAATTGTCCTCAAATCGCTTGAAATCTCCACCTGAAAATGCCACAGCAAGAGTGTTTCAAATCTGCTCTCTCTAAAGCAAGGTTCAACTCTGTGAGTTGAATACACACAACACAAAAAAGTTACTGAGAACTCTTCTTAGTCTAGCATGAAAGGAAGAAACCCCGTTTGCAACGAAGGCCTCAAAGAGGTCCAAATATCCACTTGCAGACATAACAAGCAGAGTGTTTCTAAACTGCTCTAAGAAAAGAAAGGTTAAACTCTGTGAGTTGAAGGCACACATCACAAAGTAGTTTCTGAGAATGATTCTGTCTAGTTTTTATTTGAAGATATTTCCTTTTCTACTGTTGGCATCAAATCGCTTGAAATCTCCACTTGCAAACTCCACAAAAAGAGTGTTTCAAATCTGCTCTGTGTAAAGGGACGTTCCACTCTGTGAGTTGAATACACCCAGCACAAAGAAGTTACTGAGAATTCTTCTGTCTAGCATGAAATGAAGAAATCCCGTTTCCAACGAAGGCCTCAATGCGGTCCATATATCCACTTGCAGACTTTACAAACAGAGTGTTTCCAAACTGCTCTATGAAAAGAAAGGTTAAACTATGTGAGTTGAACGCACACATCACAAAGAATTTTCTGAGAATGATTCTGTCTGGTTTTTATTTGAAGATATTTCCCTTTCTACTGTTGACATCAAATGGCTAGAAATCTCCACTTGGAAATTCCGCAAAAAGAGTGTTTCAAATCTGCTCTGTCTAAAGGGACGTTCCACTCTGTGAGTTCAATGCACACAACACAAAGAATTTACTGAGAATTCTTCCGTCTAGCATTCAATGAAGAAATCCCGTTTCCAACGGAGGCCTCAAACAGGTCCATATATCCAATTGCAGACTTTACAAACAGTGTGTTTCCAAGCTCCTCTATGAAAAGAATGGTTAAACTCTGTGAGTTGAACGCACACATCACAAAGCACTTTCTGAGAATGATTCTGTCTGGTTATTATACGAAGTATATTTCCTTTTCTGCAATTGTCCTCAAATCGCTTGAAATCTCCACCTGAAAATTCCACAGCAAGAGTGTTTCAAATCTGCTCTCTCTAAAGCAAGGTTCAACTCTGTGAGTTGAATACACACAACACAAAAAAGTTGCTGAGAACTCTTCTTAGTCTAGCATTAAAGGAAGAAACCCCGTTTGCAACGAAGGCCTCAAAGAGGTCCAAATATCCACTTGCAGACATAACAAGCAGAGTGTTTCTAAACTGCTTTAAGAAAAGAAAGGTTAAACTCTGTGAGTTGAAGGCACACATCACAAAGTAGTTTCTGAGAATGATTCTGTCTAGTTTTTATTTGAAGATATTTCCTTTTCTACTGTTGGCATCAAATCGCTTGAAATCTCCACTTTCAAACTCCACAAAAAGAGTGTTTCAAATCTGCTCTGTGCAAAGGGACGTTCCACTCTGTGAGTTGAGTACACACAGCACAAAGAAGCTACTGAGAATTCTTCTGTCTAGCATGAAATGAAGAAATCCCGTTTCCAACGAAGGCCTCAATGCGGTCCATATATCCACTTGCAGACTTTACAAACAGAGTGTTTCCAAACTGCTCTATGAAAAGAAAGGTTAAACTATGTGAGTTGAACGCACACATCACAAAGAATTTTCTGAGAATGATTCTGTCTGGTTTTTATTTGAAGATATTTCCCTTTCTACTGTTGGCATCAAATGGCTAGAAATCTCCACTTGCAAATTCCGCAAAAAGAGTGTTTCAAATCTGCTCTGTCTAAAGGGACGTTCCACTCTGTGAGTTGAATGCACACAACACAAAGAATTTACTGAGAATTCTTCCGTCTAGCATTCAATGAAGAAATCCCGTTTCCAACGAAGGCCTCAAACAGGTCCATATATCCAATTGCAGACTTTACAAACAGTGTGTTTCCAAACTCCTCTATGAAAAGAAAGGTTAAACTCTGTGAGTTGAACGCACACATCATAAAGCACTTTCTGAGAATGATTCTGTCTGGTTGTTATACGAAGATATTTCCTTTTCTGCAATTGTCCTCAAATCGCTTGAAATCTCCACCTGAAAATGCCACAGCAAGAGTGTTTCAAATCTGCTCTCTCTAAAGCAAGGTTCAACTCTGTGAGTTGAATACACACAGCACAAAAAAGTTACTGAGAACTCTTCTTAGTCTAGCATGAAAGGAAGAAACCCCGTTTGCAACGAAGGCCTCAAAGAGGTCCAAATATCCACTTGCAGACATAACAAGCAGAGTGTTTCTAAACTGCTCTAAGAAAAGAAAGGTTAAACTCTGTGAGTTGAAGGCACACATCACAAAGTAGTTTCTGAGAATGGTTCTGTCTAGTTTTTATTTGAAGATATTTCCTTTTCTACTGTTGGCATCAAATCGCTTGAAATCTCCACTTGCAAATTCCACAAAAAGAGTGTTTCAAATCTGCTCTGTGCAAACGGACGTTCCAGTCTGTGAGTTGAATACACACAGCACAGAGAAGTTACTGAGAATTCTTCTGTCTAGCATGAAATGAAGAAATCCCGTTTCCAACGAAGGCCTCAATGCGGTCCATAGATCCACTTGCAGACTTTACAAACAGAGTGTTTCCAAACTGCTCTATGAAAAGAAAGGTTAAACTATGTGAGTTGAACGCACACATCACAAAGAATTTTCTGAGAATGATTCTGTCTGGTTTTTATTTGAAGATATTTCCCTTTCTACTGTTGGCATCAAATGGCTAGAAATCTCCACTTGCAAATTCCGCAAAAAGAGTGTTTCAAATCTGCTCTGTCTAAAGGGACGTTCCACTCTGTCAGTTGAATGCACACAACACAAAGTATTTACTGAGAATTCTTCCGTCTAGCATTCAATGAAGAAATCCCGTTTCCAACGAAGGCCTCAAACAGGTCCATATATCCAATTGCAGACTTTACAAACAGTGTGTTTCCAAACTCCTCTATGAAAAGAAAGGTTAAACTCTGTGAGTTGAACGCACACATCACAAAGCACTTTCTGAGAATGATTCTGTCTGGTTGTTATACGAAGATATTTCCTTTTCTGCAATTGTCCTCAAATCGCTTGAAATCTCCACCTGAAAATGCCACAGCAAGAGTGTTTCAAATCTGCTCTCTCTAAAGCAAGGTTCAGCTCTGTGAGTTGAATACACACAACACAAAAAAGTTACTGAGAACTCTTCTTAGTCTAGCATTAAAGGAAGAAACCCCTTTTGCAACGAAGGCCTCAAAGAGGTCCAAATATCCACTTGCAGACATAACAAGCAGAGTGTTTCTAAACTGCTCTAAGAAAAGAAAGGTTAAACTCTGTGAGTTGAAGGCACACATCACAAAGTAGTTTCTGAGAATGATTCTGTCTAGTTTTTATTTGAAGATATTTCATTTTCTACTGTTGGCATCAAATCGCTTGAAATCTCCACTTGCAAACTCCACAAAAAGAGTGTTTCAAATCTGCTCTGTGTAAAGGGACGTTCCACTCTGTGAGTTCAATACACACAGCACAAAGAAGTTACTGAGAATTCTTCTGTCTAGCATGAAATGAAGAAATCCCGTTTCCAACGAAGGCCTCAATGCGGTCCATAGATCCACTTGCAGACTTTACAAACAGAGTGTTTCCAAACTGCTCTATGAAAAGAAAGGTTAAACTATGTGAGTTGAACGCACACATCACAAAGAATTTTCTGAGAATGATTCTGTCTGGTTTTTATTTGAAGATATTTCCCTTTCTACTGTTGGCATCAAATGGCTAGAAATCTCCACTTGCAAATTCCGCAAAAAGAGTGTTTCAAATCTGCTCTGTCTAAAGGGACGTTCCACTCTGTGAGTTGAATGCACACCACACAAAGAATTTACTGAGAATTCTTCCGTCTAGCATTCAATGAAGAAATCCCGTTTCCAACGAAGGCCTCAAACAGGTCCATATATCCAATTGCAGACTTTACAAACAGTGTGTTTCCAAACTCCTCTATGAAAAGAAAGGTTAAACTCTGTGAGTTGAACGCACACATCACAAAGCACTTTCTGAGAATGATTCTGTCTGGTTGTTATACGAAGATATTTCCTTTTCTGCAATTGTCCTCAAATCGCTTGAAATCTCCACCTGAAAATGCCACAGCAAGAGTGTTTCAAATCTGCTCTCTCTAAAGCAAGGTTCAACTCTGTGAGTTGAATACACACAACACAAAAAAGTTACTGAGAACTCTTCTTAGTGTAGCATTAAAGGAAGAAACCCCGTTTGCAACGAAGGCCTCAAAGAGGTCCAAATATCCACTTGCAGACATAACAAGCAGAGTGTTTCTAAACTGCTCTAAGAAAAGAAAGGTTAAACTCTGTGAGTTGAAGGCACACATCACAAAGTAGTTCCTGAGAATGATTCTGTCTAGTTTTTATTTGAAGATATTTCCTTTTCTACTGTTGGCATCAAATCGCTTGAAATCTCCACTTGCAAATTCCACAAAAAGAGTGTTTCAAATCTGCTCTGCGCAAAGGGACGTTCCACTCTGTGAGTTGAATACACACAGCACAAAGAAGTTACTGAGAATTCTTCTGTCTAGCATGAAATGGAGAAATCCCGTTTCCAACGAAGGCCTCAATGCGGTCCATATATCCACTTGCAGACTTTACAAACAGAGTGTTTCCAAACTGCTCTATGAAAAGAAAGGTTAAACTATGTGATTTGAACGCACACATCACAAAGAATTTTCTGAGAATGATTCTGTCTGGTTTTTATTTGAAGATATTTCCCTTTCTACTGTTGGCATCAAATGGCTAGAAATCTCCACTTGCAAATTCCGCAAAAAGAGTGTTTCAAATCTGCTCTGTCTAAAGGGACGTTCCACTCTGTGAGTTGAATGCACACAACACAAAGAATTTACTGAGAATTCTTCCGTCTAGCATTCAATGAAGAAATCCCGTTTCCAACGAAGGCCTCAAACAGGTCCATATATCCAATTGCAGACTTTACAAACAGTGTGTTTCCAAACTCCTCTATGAAAAGAAAGGTTAAACTCTGTGAGTTGAACGCACACATCACAAAGCACTTTCTGAGAATGATTCTGTCTGGTTATTATACGAAGATATTTCCTTTTCTGCAATTGTCCTCAAATCGCTTGAAATCTCCACCTGAAAATGCCACAGCAAGAGTGTTTCAAATCTGCTCTCTCTAAAGCAAGGTTCAACTCTGTGAGTTGAATACACACAACACAAAAAAGTTACTGAGAACTCTTCTTAGTCTAGCATGAAAGGAAGAAACCCCGTTTGCAACGAAGGCCTCAAAGAGGTCCAAATATCCACTTGCAGACATAACAAGCAGAGTGTTTCTAAACTGCTCTAAGAAAAGAAAGGTTAAACTCTGTGAGTTGAAGGCACACATCACAAAGTAGTTTCTGAGAATGATTCTGTCTAGTTTTTATTTGAAGATATTTCCTTTTCTACTGTTGGCATCAAATCGCTTGAAATCTCCACTTGCAAACTCCACAAAAAGAGTGTTTCAAATCTGCTCTGTGCAAAGGGACGTTCCACTCTGTGAGTTGAATACACACAGCACAAAGAAGTTACTGAGAATTCTTCTGTCTAGCATGAAATGAAGAAATCCCGTTTCCAACGAAGGCCTCAATGCGGTCCATATATCCACTTGCAGACTTTACAAACAGAGTGTTTCCAAACTGCTCTATGAAAAGAAAGGTTAAACTATGTGAGTTGAACGCACACATCACAAAGAATTTTCTGAGAATGATTCTGTCTAGTTTTTATTTGAAGATATTTCCCTTTCTACTGTTGGCATCAAATGGCTAGAAATCTCCACTTGCAACTTCCGCAAAAAGAGTGTTTCAAATCTGCTCTGTCTAAAGGGACGTTCCACTGTGTGAGTTGAATGCACACAACACAAAGAATTTACTGAGAATTCTTCCGTCTAGCATTCAATGAAGAAATCTCGTTTCCAACGAAGAACTCAAACAGGTCCATATATCCACTTGCAGACTTTACAAACAGTGTGTTTCCAAACTCCTCTATGAAAAGAAAGGTTAAACTCTGTGAGTTGAACGCACACATCACAAAGCACTTTCTGAGAATGATTCTGTCTGGTTATTATACGAAGATATTTCCTTTTCTGAAATTGTCCTCAAATCGCTTGAAATCTCCACCTGAAAATGCCACAGCAAGAGTGTTTCAAATCTGCTCTCTCTAAAGCAAGGTTCAACTCTGTGAGTTGAATACACACAACACAAAAAAGTTACTGAGAACTCTTCTTAGTCTAGCATGAAAGGAAGAAACCCCGTTTGCAACGAAGGCCTCAAAGAGGTCCAAATATCCACTTGCAGACATAACAAGCAGAGTGTTTCTAAACTGCTCTAAGAAAAGAAAGGTTAAACTCTGTGAGTTGAAGGCACACATCACAAAGTAGTTTCTGAGAATGATTCTGTCTAGTTTTTATTTGAAGATATTACCTTTTCTACTGTTGGCATCAAATCGCTTGAAATCTCCACTTGCAAACTCCACAAAAAGAGTGTTTCAAATCTGCTCTGTGCAAAGGGACGTTCCACTCTGTGAGTTGAATACACACAGCACAAAGAAGTTACTGAGAATTCTTCTGTCTAGCATGAAATGAAGAAATCCCGTTTCCAACGAAGGCCTCAATGCGGTCCATATATCCACTTGCAGACTTTACAAACAGAGTGTTTCCAAACTGCTCTATGAAAAGAAAGGTTAAACTATGTGAGTTGAACGCACACATCACAAAGAATTTTCTGAGAATGATTCTGCCTGGTTTTTATTTGAAGATATTTCCCTTTCTACTGTTGGCATCAAATGGCTAGAAATCTCCACTTGCAAATTCCGCAAAAAGAGTGTTTCAAATCTGCTCTGTCTGAAGGGACGTTCCACTCTGTGAGTTGAATGCACACAACACAAAGAATTTACTGAGAATTCTTCCGTCTAGCATTCAATGAAGAAATCCCGTTTCCAACGAAGGCCTCAAACAGGTCCATATATCCAATTGCAGACTTTACAAACAGTGTGTTTCCAAACTCCTCTATGAAAAGAAAGGTTAAACTCTGTGAGTTGAACGCACACATCACAAAGTACTTTCTGAGAATGATTCTGTCTGGTTATTATACGAAGATATTTCCTTTTCTGCAATTGTCCTCAAATCGCTTGAAATCTCCACCTGAAAATTCCACAGCGAGAGTGTTTCAAATCTGCTCTCTCTAAAGCAAGGTTGAACTCTGTGAGTTGAATACACACAACACAAAAAAGTTACTGAGAACTCTTCTTAGTCTAGCATGAAAGGAAGAAACCCCGTTTGCAACGAAGGCCTCAAAGAGGTCCAAATATCCACTTGCAGACATAACAAGCAGAGTGTTTCTAAACTGCTCTAAGAAAAGAAAGGTTAAACTCTGTGAGTTGAAGGCACACATCACAAAGTAGTTTCTGAGAATGATTCTGTCTAGTTTTTATTTGAAGATATTTCCTTTTCTACTGTTGGCATCAAATCGTTTGAAATCTCCACTTGCAAATTCCACAAAAAGAGTGTTTCAAATCTGCTCTGTGCAAAGGGACGTTCCACTCTGTGAGTTGAATACACACAGCACAAAGAAGTTACTGAGAATTCTTCTGTCTAGCATGAAATGAAGAAATCCCGTTTCCAACGAAGGCCTCAATGCGGTCCATATATCCACTTGCAGACTTTACAAACAGAGTGTTTCCAAACTGCTCTATGAAAAGAAAGGTTAAACTATGTGAGTTGAACGCACACATCACAAAGAATTTTCTGAGAATGATTCTGTCTGGTTTTTATTTGAAGATATTTCCCTTTCTACTGTTGGCCATCAAATGGCTAGAAATCTCCACTTGCAAATTCCGCAAAAAGAGTGTTTCAAATCTGCTCTGTCTAAAGGGACGTTCCACTCTGTGAGTTGAATGCACACAACACAAAGAATTTACTGAGAATTCTTCCGTCTAGCATGCAATGAAGAAATCCCGTTTCCAACGAAGGCCTCAAACAGGTCCATATATCCAATTGCAGACTTTACAAACAGTGTGTTTCCAAACTCCTCTATGAAAAGAAAGGTTAAACTCTGTGAGTTGAACGCACACATCACAAAGCACTTTCTGAGAATGATTCTGTCTGGTTGTTATACGAAGATATTTCCTTTTCTGCAATTGTCCTCAAATCGCTTGAAATCTCCACCTGAAAATGTCACAGCAAGAGTGTTTCAAATCTGCTCTCTCTAAAGCAAGGTTCAACTCTGTGAGTTGAATACACACAACACAGAAAAGTTACTGAGAACTCTTCTTAGTCTAGCATGAAAGGAAGAAACCCCGTTTGCAACGAAGGCCTCAAAGAGGTCCAAATATCCACTTGCAGACATAACAAGCAGAGTGTTTCTAAACTGCTCTAAGAAAAGAAAGGTTAAACTCTGTGAGTTGAAGGCACACATCACAAAGTAGTTTCTGAGAATGATTCTGTCTAGTTTTTATTTGAAGATATTTCCTTTTCTACTGTTGGCATCAAATCGCTTGAAATCTCCACTTGCAAACTCCACAAAAAGAGTGTTTCAAATCTGCTCTGTGCAAAGGGACGTTCCACTCTGTGAGTTGAATACACACAGCACAAAGAAGTTACTGAGAATTCTTCTGTCTAGCATGAAATGAAGAAATCCCGTTTCCAACGAAGGCCTCAATGCGGTCCATATATCCACTTGCAGACTTTACAAACAGAGTGTTTCCAAACTGCTCTATGAAAAGAAAGGTTAAACTATGTGAGTTGAACGCACACATCACAAAGAATTTTCTGAGAACGATTCTGTCTGGTTTTTATTTGAAGATATTTCCCTTTCTACTGTTGGCATCAAATGGCTAGAAATCTCCACTTGCAAATTCCGCAAAAAGAGTGTTTCAAATCTGCTCTGTCTAAAGGGACGTTCCACTCTGTGAGTTGAATGCACACAACACAAAGAATTTACTGAGAATTCTTCCGTCTAGCAGTCAATGAAGAAATCCCGTTTCCAACGAAGGCCTCAAAGAGGTCCATATATCCAATTGCAGACTTTACAAACAGTGTGTTTCCAAACTCCTCTATGAAAAGAAAGGTTAAACTCTGTGAGTGGAACGCACACATCACAAAGCACTTTCTGAGAATGATTCTGTCTGGTTATTATACGAAGATATTTCCTTTTCTGCAATTGTCCTCAAATCGCTTGAAATCTCCACCTGAAAATGCCACAGCAAGAGTGTTTCAAATCTGCTCTCTCTAAAGCAAGGTTCAACTCTGTGAGTTGAATACACACAACACAAAAAAGTTACTGAGAACTCTTCTTAGTCTAGCATGAAAGGAAGAAACCCCGTTTGCAACGAAGGCCTCAAAGAGGTCCAAATATCCACTTGCAGACATAACAAGCAGAGTGTTTCTAAACTGCTCTAAGAAAAGAAAGGTTAAACTCTGTGAGTTGAAGGCAGACATCACAAAGTAGTTTCTGAGAATGATTCTGTCTAGTTTTTATTTGAAGATATTTCCTTTTCTACTGTTGGCATCAAATCGCTTGAAATCTCCACTTGCAAACTCCACAAAAAGAGTGTTTCAAATCTGCTCTGTGTAAAGGGACGTTCCACTCTGTGAGTTGAATACACACAGCACAAAGAAGTTACTGAGTATTCTTCTGTCTAGCATGAAATGAAGAAATCCCGTTTCCAACGAAGGCCTCAATGCGGTCCATATATCCACTTGCAGACTTTACAAACAGAGTGTTTCCAAACTGCTCTATGAAAAGAAAGGTTAAACTATGTGAGTTGAACGCACACATCACAAAGAATTTTCTGAGAATGATTCTGTCTGGTTTTTATTTGAAGATATTTCCCTTTCTACTGTTGGCATCAAATGGCTAGAAATCTCCACTTGCAAATTCCGCAAAAAGAGTGTTTCAAATCTGCTCTGTCTAAAGGGACGTTCCACTCTGTGAGTTGAATGCACACAACACAAAGAATTTACTGAGAATTCTTCCGTCTAGCATGCAATGAAGAAATCCCGTTTCCAACGAAGGCCTCAAACAGGTCCATATATCCAATTGCAGACTTTACAAACAGTGTGTTTCCAAACTCCTCTATGAAAAGAAAGGTTAAACTCTGTGAGTTGAACGCACACATCACAAAGCACTTTCTGAGAATGATTCTGTCTGGTTATTATACGAAGATATTTCCTTTTCTGCAATTGTCCTCAAATCGCTTGAAATCTCCACCTGAAAATGCCACAGCAAGAGTGTTTCAAATCTGCTCTCTCTAAAGCAAGGTTCAACTCTGTGAGTTGAATACACACAACACAAAAAAGTTACTGAGAACACTTCTTAGTCTAGCATGAAAGGAAGAAACCCCGTTTGCAACGAAGGCCTCAAAGAGGTCCAAATATCCACTTGCAGACATAACAAGCAGAGTGTTTCTAAACTGCTCTAAGAAAAGAAAGGTTAAACTCTGTGAGTTAAAGGCACACATCACAAAGTAGTTTCTGAGAATGATTCTGTCTAGTTTTTATTTGAAGATATTTCCTTTTCTACTGTTGGCATAAAATCGCTTGAAATCTCCACTTGCAAACTCCACAAAAAGAGTGTTTCAAATCTGCTCTGTGTAAAGGGACGTTCCACTCTGTGAGTTGAATACACACAGCACAAAGAAGTTACTGAGAATTCTTCTGTCTAGCATGAAATGAAGAAATCCCGTTTCCAACGAAGGGCCTCAATGCGGTCCATATATCCACTTGCAGACTTTACAAACAGAGTGTTTCCAAACTGCTCTATGAAAAGAAAGGTTAAACTATGTGAGTTGAACGCACACATCACAAAGAATTTTCTGAGAATGATTCTGTCTGGTTTTTATTTGAAGATATTTCCCTTTCTACTGTTGGCATCAAATGGCTAGAAATCTCCACTTGCAAATTCCGCAAAAAGAGTGTTTCAAATCTGCTCTGTCTAAAGGGACGTTCCACTCTGTGAGTTGAATGCACACAACACAAAGAATTTACTGAGAATTCTTCCGTCTAGCATTCAATGAAGAAATCCCGTTTCCAACGAAGGCCTCAAACAGGTCCATATATCCAATTGCAGACTTTACAAACAGTGTGTTTCCAAACTCCTTTATGAAAAGAAAGGTTAACTCTGTGAGTTGAATGCACACATCACAAAGCACTTTCTGATAATGATTCTGTCTGGTTATTATACGAAGATATTTCCTTTTCTGCAATTGTCCTCAAATCGCTTGAAATCTCCACCTGAAAATGCCACAGCAAGAGTGTTTCAAATCTGCTCTCTGTAAAGCAAGGTTCAACTCTGTGAGTTGAATACACACAACACAAAAAAGTTACTGAGAACTCTTCTTAGTCTAGCATGAAAGGAAGAAACCCCGTTTGCAACGAAGGCCTCAAAGAGGTCCAAATATCCACTTGCAGACATAACAAGCAGAGTGTTTCTAAACTGCTCTAAGAAAAGAAAGGTTAAACTCTGTGAGTTGAAGGCACACATCACAAAGTAGTTTCTGAGAATGATTCTGTCTAGTTTTTATTTGAAGATATTTCCTTTTCTACTGTTGGCATCAAATCGCTTGAAATCTCCACTTGCAAACTCCACAAAAAGAGTGTTTCAAATCTGCTCTGTGTAAAGGGACGTTCCACTCTGTGAGTTGAATACACACAGCACAAAGAAGTTACTGAGAATTCTTCTGTCTAGCATGAAATGAAGAAATCCCGTTTCCAACGAAGGCCTCAATGCGGTCCATATATCCACTTGCAGACTTTACAAACAGAGTGTTTCCAAACTGCTCTATGAAAAGAAAGGTTAAACTATGTGAGTTGAACGCACACATCACAAAGAATTTTCTGAGAATGATTCTGTCTGGTTTTTATTTGAAGATATTTCCCTTTCTACTGTTGGCATCAAATGGCTAGAAATCTCCACTTGCAAATTCCGCAAAAAGAGTGTTTCAAATCTGCTCTGTCTAAAGGGACGTTCCACTCCGTCAGTTGAATGCACACAACACAAAGAATTTACTGAGAATTCTTCCGTCTAGCATTCAATGAAGAAATCCCGTTTCCAACGAAGGATTCAAACAGGTCCATATATCCAATTGCAGACTTTAGAAACAGTGTGTTTCCAAACTCCTCTATGAAAAGAAAGGTTAAACTCTGTGAGTTGAACGCACACATCACAAAGCACTTTCTGAGAATGATTCTGTCTGGTTATTATACGAAGATATTTCCTTTTCTGCAATTGTCCTCAAATCGCTTGAAATCTCCACCTGAAAATGCCACAGCAAGAGTGTTTCAAATCTGCTCTCTCTAAAGCAAGGTTCAACTCTGTGAGTTGAATACACACAACACAAAAAAGTTACTGAGAACTCTTCTTAGTCTAGCATGAAAGGAAGAAACCCCGTTTGCAACGAAGGCCTCAAAGAGGTCCAAATATCCACTTGCAGACATAACAAGCAGAGTGTTTCTAAACTGCTCTAAGAAAAGAAAGGTTAAACTCTGTGAGTTGAAGGCACACATCACAAAGTAGTTTCTGAGAATGATTCTGTCTAGTTTTTATTTGAAGATATTTCCTTTTCTACTGTTGGCATCAAATCGCTTGAAATCTCCACTTGCAAACTCCACAAAAAGAGTGTTTCAAATCTGCTCTGTGCAAAGGGACGTTCCACTCTGTGAGTTGAATACACACAGCACAAAGAAGTTACTGAGAATTCTTCTGTCTAGCATGAAATGAAGAAATCCCGTTTCCAACGAAGGCCTCAATGCGGTCTATATATCCACTTGCAGACATCACAAACAGAGTGTTTCCAAACTGCTCTATGAAAAGAAAGGTTAAACTATGTGAGTTGAACGCACACATCACAAAGAATTTTCTGAGAATGATTCTGTCTGGTTTTTATTTGAAGATATTTCCCTTTCTACTGTTGGCATCAAATGGCTAGAAATCTCCACTTGCAAATTCCGCAAAAAGAGTGTTTCAAATCTGCTCTGTCTAAAGGGACGTTCCACTCTGTGAGTTGAATGCACACAACACAAAGAATTTACTGAGAATTCTTCCGCCTAGCATTCAATGAAGAAATCCCGTTTCCAACGAAGGCCTCAAACAGGTCCATATATCCACTTGCAGACTTTACAAACAGTGTGTTTCCAAACTCCTCTATGAAAAGAAAGGTTAAACTCTGTGAGTGGAACGCACACATCACAAAGCACTTTCTGAGAATGATTCTGTCTGGTTATTATACGAAGATATTTCCTTTTCTGCAATTGTCCTCAAATCGCTTGAAATCTCCACCTGAAAATGCCACAGCAAGAGTGTTTCAAATCTGCTCTCTCTAAAGCAAGGTTCAACTCTGTGAGTTGAATACACACAACACAAAAAAGTTACTGAGAACTCTTCTTAGTCTAGCATGAAAGGAAGAAACCCCGTTTGCAACGAAGGCCTCAAAGAGGTCCAAATATCCACTTGCAGACATAACAAGCAGAGTGTTTCTAAACTGCTCTAAGAAAAGAAAGGTTAAACTCTGAGTTGAAGGCACACATCACAAAGTAGTTTCTGAGAATGATTCTGTCTAGTTTTTATTTGAAGATATTTCCTTTTCTACTGTTGGCATCAAATCGCTTGAAATCTCCACTTGCAAACTCCACAAAAAGAGTGTTTCAAATCTGCTCTGTGTAAAGGGACGTTCCACTCTGTGAGTTGAATACACACAGCACAAAGAAGTTACTGAGAATTCTTCTGTCTAGCACGAAATGAAGAAATCCCGTTTCCAACGAAGGCCTCAATGCGGTCTATATATCCACTTGCAGACTTTACAAACAGAGTGTTTCCAAACTGCTCTATGAAAAGAAAGGTTAAACTATGTGAGTTGAACGCACACATCACAAAGAATTTTCTGAGAATGATTCTGTCTGGTTTTTATTTGAAGATATTTCCCTTTCTACTGTTGGCATCAAATGGCTAGAAATCTCCACTTGCAAATTCCGCAAAAAGAGTGTTTCAAATCTGCTCTGTCTAAAGGGACGTTCCACTCTGTGAGTTGAATGCACACAACACAAAGAATTTACTGAGAATTCTTCCGTCTAGCATTCAATGAAGAAATCCCGTTTCCAACGAAGGCCTCAAACAGGTCCATATATCCAATTGCAGACTTTACAAACAGTGTGTTTCCAAACTCCTCTATGAAAAGAAAGGTTAAACTCTGTGAGTGGAACGCACACATCACAAAGCACTTTCTGAGAATGATTCTGTCTGGTTATTATACGAAGATATTTCCTTTTCTGCAATTGTCCTCAAATCGCTTGAAATCTCCACCTGAAAATGCCACAGCAAGAGTGTTTCAAATCTGCTCTCTCTAAAGCAAGGTTCAACTCTGTGAGTTGAATACACACAACACAAAAAAGTTACTGAGAACTCTTCTTAGTCTAGCATGAAAGGAAGAAACCCCGTTTGCAACGAAGGCCTCAAAGAGGTCCAAATATCCACTTGCAGACATAACAAGCAGAGTGTTTCTAAACTGCTCTAAGAAAAGAAAGGTTAAACTCTGTGAGTTGAAGGCACACATCACAAAGTAGTTTCTGAGAATGATTCTGTGTAGTTTTTATTTGACGATATTACCTTTTCTACTGTTGGCATCAAATCGCTTGAAATCTCCACTTGCAAATTCCACAAAAAGACTTTTTCCATATGCTCTGTGTAAAGGGATGTTCCACTCTGTGAGTTGAATACACACAACACAAAGAAGTTACTGAGAATTCTTCTGTCTAGCATGAAATGAAGAAATCCCGTTTCCAAAGAAGGCCTCAAAGCGATCCATATATCCACTTGCAGACATTTCAAACAGAGTGTTTCCAAACTGCTCTATGAAAGGAAAGGTAAAACTATGTGAGTTGAACGCACACATCACAAAGAATTTTCTGAGAATGATTCTGTCTGGTTTTTATTTGAAGATATTTCCCTTTCTACTGTTGGCATCAAATGGCTAGAAATCTCCACTTGCAAATTCCGCAAAAAGAGTGTTTCAAATCTGCTCTGTCTAAAGGGACGTTCCACTCTGTGAGTTGAATGCACACAACACAAAGAATTTACTGAGAATTCTTCCGTCTAGCATTCAATGAAGAAATCCCGTTTCCAACGAAGGCCTCAAACAGGTCCATATATCCAATTGCAGACTTTACAAACAGTGTGTTTCCAAACTCCTCTATGGAAAGAAAGGTTGAACTCTGTGAGTTGAACGCACACATCACAAAGCACTTTCTGAGAATGATTCTGTCTGGTTATTATACGAAGATATTTCCTTTTCTGCAATTGTCCTCAAATCGCTTGAAATCTCCACCTGAAAATGCCACAGCAAGAGTGTTTCAAATCTGCTCTCTCTAAAGCAAGGTTCAACTCTGTGAGTTGAATACACACAACACAAAAAAGTTACTGAGAACTCTTCTTAGTCTAGCATTAAAGGAAGAAACCCCATTTGCAACGAAGGCCTCAAAGAGGTCCAAATATCCACTTGCAGACATAACAAGCAGAGTGTTTCTAAACTGCTCTAAGAAAAGAAAGGTTAAACTCTGTGAGTTGAAGGCACACATCACAAAGTAGTTTCTAAATGATTCTGTCTAGTTTTTATTTGAAGATATTTCCTTTTCTACTGTTGGCATCAAATCGCTTGAAATCTCCACTTGCAAATTCCACAAAAAGAGTGTTTCAAATCTGCTCTGTGCAAAGGGACGTTCCACTCTGTGAGTTGAATACACACAGCACAAAAGAAGTTACTGAGAATTCTTCTGTCTAGCATGAAATGAAGAAATCCCGTTTCCAACGAAGGCCTCAATGCGGTCCATATATCCACTTGCAGACTTTACAAACAGAGTGTTTCCAAACTGCTCTATGAAAAGAAAGGTTAAACTATGTGAGTTGAACGCACACATCACAAAGAATTTTCTGAGAATGATTCTGTCTGGTTTTTATTTGAAGATATTTCCCTTTCTACTGTTGGCATCAAATGGCTAGAAATCTCCACTTGCAAATTCCGCAAAAAGAGTGTTTCAAATCTGCTCTGTCTAAAGGGACGTTCCACTCTGTCAGTTGAATGCGCACAACACAAAGTATTTACTGAGAATTCTTCCGTCTAGCATGCAATGAAGAAATCCCGTTTCCAACGAAGGCCTCAAACAGGTCCATATATCCAATTGCAGACTTTACAAACAGTGTGTTTCCAAACTCCTCTATGAAAAGAAAGGTTAAACTCTGTGAGTTGAACAGCACACATCACAAAGCACTTTCTGAGAATGATTCTGTCTGGTTGTTATACGAAGATATTTCCTTTTCTGTAATTGTCCTCAAATCGCTTGAAATCTCCACCTGAAAATGCCACAGCAAGAGTGTTTCAAATCTGCTCTCTCTAAAGCAAGGTTCAACTCTGTGAGTTGAATACACACAACACAAAAAAGTTACTGAGAACTCTTCTTAGTCTAGCATTAAAGGAAGAAACCCCGTTTGCAACGAAGGCCTCAAAGAGGTCCAAATATCCACTTGCAGACATAACAAGCAGAGTGTTTCTAAACTGCTCTAAGAAAAGAAAGGTTAACTCTGTGAGTTGAAGGCACACATCACAAAGTAGTTTCTGAGAATGATTCTGTCTAGTTTTTATTTGAAGATATTTCCTTTTCTACTGTTGGCATCAAATCGCTTGAAATCTCCACTTGCAAATTCCACAAAAAGAGTGTTTCAAATCTGCTCTGTGCAAAGGGACGTTCCACTCTGTGAGTTGAATACACACAGCACAAAGAAGTTACTGAGAATTCTTCTGTCTAGCATGAAATGAAGAAATCCCGTTTCCAACGAAGCCTCAATGCGGTCCATATATCCACTTGCAGACTTTACAAACAGAGTGTTTCCAAACTGCTCTATGAAAAGAAAGGTTAAACTATGTGAGTTGAACGCACACATCACAAAGAATTTTCTGAGAATGATTCTGTCTGGTTTTTATTTGAAGATATTTCCCTTTCTACTGTTGGCATCAAATGGCTAGAAATCTCCACTTGCAAATTCCGCAAAAAGAGTGTTTCAAATCTGCTCTGTCTAAAGGGACGTTCCACTCTGTGAGTTGAATGCACACAACACAAAGAATTTACTGAGAATTCTTCCGTCTAGCATTATATGATAAAATCCCGTTTCCAATGAAGGCCTCAAACAGGTCCGTATATCCACTTGCAGACTTTACAAACAGTGTGTTTCCAAACTCCTCTATGAAAAGAAAGGTTAAACTCTGTGAGTTGCACGCACACATCACAAAGCACTTTCTGAGAATGATTCTGTCTGGTTATTATACGAAGATATTTCCTTTTCTGCAATTGTCCTCAAATCGCTTGAAATCTACACCTGAAAATGCCACAGCAAGAGTGTTTCAAATCTGCTCTCTCTAAAGCAAGGTTCAACTCTGTGAGTTGAATACATACAACACAAAAAAGTTATTGAGAACTCTTCTTAGTCTAGCATTAAAGGAAGAAACCCCGTTTGCAACAAAGGCCTCAAAGAGGTCCAAATATCCACTTGCAGACATAACAAGCAGAGTGTTTCTAAACTGCTCTAAGAAAAGAAAGGTTAAACTCTGTGAGTTGAAGGCACACATCACAAAGTAGTTTCTGAGAATGATTCTGTCTAGTTTTTATTTGAAGATATTTCCTTTTCTACTGTTGGCATCAAATTGCTTGAAATCTCCACTTGCAAATTCCACAAAAAGAGTGTTTCAAATCTGCTCTGTGTAAAGGGACGTTCCACTCTGTGAGTTGAATACACACAGCACAAAGAAGTTACTGAGAATTCTTCTGTCTAGCATGAAATGAAGAAATCCCGTTTCCAACGAAGGCCTCAATGCGGTCCATATATCCACTTGCAGACTTTACAAACAGAGTGTTTCCAAACTGCTGTATGAAAAGAAAAGTTAAACTATGTGAGTTGAACGCACACATCACAAAGAATTTTCTGAGAATGATTCTGTCTGGTTTTTATTTGAAGATATTTCCCTTTCTACTGTTGGCATCTAATGGCTAGAAATCTCCACTTGCAAATTCCGCAAAAAGAGTGTTTCAAATCTGCTCTGTCTAAAGGGACGTTCCACTCTGTCAGTTGAATGCACACAACACAAAGAATTTACTGAGAATTCTTCCGTCTAGCATTCAATGAAGAAATCCCGTTTCCAACGAAGGCCTCAAACAGGTCCATATATCCAATTGCAGACTTTACAAACAGTGTGTTTCCAAACTCCTCTATGAAAAGAAAGGTTAAACTCTGTGAGTTGAACGCACACAACACAAAGCACTTTCTGAGAATGATTCTGTCTGGTTATTATACGAAGATATTTCCTTTTCTGCAATTGTCCTCAAAACGCTTGAAATCTCCACCTGAAAATGCCACAGCAAGAGTGTTTCAAATCTGCTCTCTCTAAAGCAAGGTTCAACTCTGTGAGTTGAATATACACAACACAGAAAAGTTACTGAGAACTCTTCTTAGTCTAGCATGAAAGGAAGAAACCCCGTTTGCAACGAAGGCCTCAAAGAGGTCCAAATATCCACTTGCAGACATAACAAGCAGAGTGTTTCTAAACTGCTCTAAGAAAAGAAAGGTTAAACTCTGTGAGTTGAAGGCACACATCACAAAGTAGTTTCTGAGAATGATTCTGTCTAGTTTTTATTTGAAGATATTTCCTTTTCTACTGTTGGCATCAAATCGCTTGAAATCTCCACTTGCAAATTCCACAAAAAGAGTGTTTCAAATCTGCTCTGTGCAAAGGGACGTTCCACTCTGTGAGTTGAATACACACAGCACAAAGAAGTTACTGAGAATTCTTCTGTCTAGCATGAAATGAAGAAATCCCGTTTCCAACGAAGGCCTCAATGCGGTCCATATATCCACTTGCAGACTTTACAAACAGAGTGTTTCCAAACTGCTCTATGAAAAGAAAGGTTAAACTATGTGAGTTGAACGCACACATCACAAAGAATTTTCTGAGAATGATTCTGTCTGGTTTTTATTTGAAGATATTTCCCTTTCTACTGTTGGCATCAAATGGCTAGAAATCTCCACTTGCAAATTCCGCAAAAAGAGTGTTTCGAATCTGCTCTGTCTAAAGGGACGTTCCACTCTGTGAGTTGAATGCACACAACACAAAGAATTTACTGAGAATTCTTCCGTCTAGCATTCAATGAAGAAATCCCGTTTCCAACGAAGGCCTCAAACAGGTCCATATATCCACTTGCAGACTTTACAAACAGTGTGTTTCCAAACTCCTCTATGAAAAGAAAGGTTAAACTCTGTGAGTGGAACGCACACATCACAAAGCACTTTCTGAGAATGATTCTGTCTGGTTGTTATACGAAGATATTTCTTTTTCTGCAATTGTCCTCAAATCGCTTGAAATCTCCACCTGAAAATGCCACAGCAAGAGTGTTTCAAATCTGCTCTCTCTAAAGCAAGGTTCAACTCTGTGAGTTGAATACACACAACACAAAAAAGTTACTGAGAACTCTTCTTACTCTAGCATGAACGGAAGAAACCCCGTTTGCAACGAAGGCCTCAAAGAGGTCCAAATATCCACTTGCAGACATAACAAGCAGAGTGTTTCTGAACTGCTCTAAGAAAGGAAAGGTTAAACTCTGTGAGTTGAAGGCACACATCACAAAGTAGTTTCTGAGAATGATTCTGTCTAGTTTTTATTTGAAGATATTTCCTTTTCTACTGTTGGCATCAAATCGCTTGAAATCTCCACTTGCAAATTCCACAAAAAGAGTGTTTCAAATCTGCTCTGTGCAAAGGGACGTTCCACTCTGTGAGTTGAATACACACAGCACAAAGAAGTTGCTGAGAATTCTTCTGTCTAGCATGAAATGAAGAAATCCCGTTTCCAACGAAGGCCTCAATGCGGTCCATATATCCACTTGCAGACTTTACAAACAGAGTGTTTCCAAACTGCTCTATGAAAAGAAAGGTTAAACTATGTGAGTTGAACGCACACATCACAAAGAATTTTCTGAGAATGATTCTGTCTGGTTTTTATTTGAAGATGTTTCCCTTTCTACTGTTGGCATCAAATGGCTAGAAATCTCCACTTGCAAATTCCGCAAAAAGAGTGTTTCAAATCTGCTCTGTCTAAAGGGACGTTCCACTCTGTGAGTTGAATGCACACAACACAAAGAATTTACTGAGAATTCTTCCGTCTAGCATTCAATGAAGAAATCCCGTTTCCAACGAAGGCCTCAAACAGGTCCATATATCCACTTGCAGACTTTACAAACAGTGTGTTTCCAAACTCCTCTATGAAAAGAAAGGTTAAACTCTGTGAGTGGAACGCACACATCACAAAGCACTTTCTGAGAATGATTCTGTCTGGTTATTATACGAAGATATTTCCTTTTCTGCAATTGTCCTAAAATCGCTTGAAATCTCCACCTGAAAATGCCACAGCAAGAGTGTTTCAAATCTGCTCTCTCTAAAGCAAGGTTCAACTCTGTGAGTTGAATACACACAACACAAAAAAGTTACTGAGAACTCTTCTTAGTCTAGCATGAAAGGAAGAAACCCCGTTTGCAACGAAGGCCTCAAAGAGGTCCAAATATCCACTTGCAGACATAACAAGCAGAGTGTTTCTAAACTGCTCTAAGAAAAGAAAGGTTAAACTCTGTGAGTTGAAGGCACACATCACAAAGTAGTTTCTGAGAATGATTCTGTCTAGTTTTTATTTGAAGATATTTCCTTTTCTACTGTTGGCATCAAATCGCTTGAAATCTCCACTTGCAAACTCCACAAAAAGAGTGTTTCAAATCTGCTCTGTGTAAAGGGACGTTCCACTCTGTAAGTTGAATACACACAGCACAAAGAAGTTACTGAGAATTCTTCTGTCTAGCATGAAATGAAGAAATCCCGTTTCCAACGAAGGCCTCAATGCGGTCCATATATCCACTTGCAGACTTTACAAACAGAGTGTTTCCAAACTGCTCTATGAAAAGAAAGGTTAAACTATGTGAGTTGAACGCACACATCACAAAGAATTTTCTGAGAATGATTCTGTCTGGTTTTTATTTGAAGATATTTCCCTTTCTACTGTTGGCATCAAATGGCTAGAAATCTCCACTTGCAAATTCCGCAAAAAGAGTGTTTCAAATCTGCTCTGTCTAAAGGGACGTTCCACTCTGTGAGTTGAATGCACACCACACAAAGAATTTACTGAGAATTCTTCCGTCTAGCATTCAATGAAGAAATCCCGTTTCCAACGAAGGCCTCAAACAGGTCCATATATCCAATTGCAGACTTTACAAACAGTGTGTTTCCAAACTCCTCTATGGAAAGAAAGGTTAAACTCTGTGAGTTGAACGCACACATCACAAAGCACTTTCTGAGAGTGATTCTGTCTGGTTATTATACGAAGATATTTCCTTTTCTGCAATTGTCCTCAAATCGCTTGAAATCTCCACCTGAAAATGCCACAGCAAGAGTGTTTCAAATCTGCTCTCTCTAAAGCAAGGTTCAACTCTGTGAGTTGAATACACACAACACAAAAAAGTTACTGAGAACTCTTCTTAGTCTAGCATGAAAGGAAGAAACCCCGTTTGCAACGAAGGCCTCAAAGAGGTCCAAATATCCACTTGCAGACATAACAAGCAGAGTGTTTCTAAACTGCTCTAAGAAAAGAAAGGTTAAACTCTGTGAGTTGAAGGCACACATCACAAAGTAGTTTCTGAGAATGATTCTGTCTAGTTTTTATTTGAAGATATTTCCTTTTCTACTGTTGGCATCAAATCGCTTGAAATCTCCACTTGCAAACTCCACAAAAAGAGTGTTTCAAATCTGCTCTGTGCAAAGGGACGTTCCACTCTGTGAGTTGAATACACACAGCACAAAGAAGTTACTGAGAATTCTTCTGTCTAGCATGAAATGAAGAAATCCCGTTTCCAACGAAGGCCTCAATGCGGTCCATATATCCACTTGCAGACTTTACAAACAGAGTGTTTCCAAACTGCTCTATGAAAAGAAAGGTTAAACTATGTGAGTTGAACGCACACATCACAAAGAATTTTCTGAGAATGATTCTGTCTGGTTTTTATTTGAAGATATTTCCCTTTCTACTGTTGGCATCAAATGGCTAGAAATCTCCACTTGCAAATTCCGCAAAAAGAGTGTTTCAAATCTGCTCTGTCTAAAGGGACGTTCCACTCTGTGAGTTGAATGCACACAACACAAAGAATTTACTGAGAATTCTTCCGTCTAGCATTCAATGAAGAAATCCCGTTTCCAACGAAGGCCTCAAACAGGTCCATATATCCACTTGCAGAGTTTACAAACAGTGTGTTTCCAAACTCCTCTATGAAAAGAAAGGTTAAACTCTGTGAGTGGAACGCACACATCACAAAGCACTTTCTGAGAATGATTCTGTCTGGTTATTATACGAAGATATTTCCTTTTCTGCAATTGTCCTCAAAACGCTTGAAATCTCCACCTGAAAATGCCACAGCAAGAGTGTTTCAAATCTGCTCTCTCTAAAGCAAGGTTCAACTCTGTGAGTTGAATATACACAACACAGAAAAGTTACTGAGAACTCTTCTTAGTCTAGCATGAAAGGAAGAAACCCCGTTTGCAACGAAGGCCTCAAAGAGGTCCAAATATCCACTTGCAGACATAACAAGCAGAGTGTTTCTAAACTGCTCTAAGAAAAGAAAGGTTAAACTCTGTGAGTTGAAGGCACACATCACAAAGTAGTTTCTGAGAATGATTCTGTCTAGTTTTTATTTGAAGATATTTCCTTTTCTACTGTTGGCATCAAATCGCTTGAAATCTCCACTTGCAAATTCCACAAAAAGAGTGTTTCAAATCTGCTCTGTGCAAACGGACGTTCCAGTATGTGAGTTGAATACACACAGCACAGAGAAGTTACTGAGAATTCTTCTGTCTAGCATGAAATGAAGAAATCCCGTTTCCAACGAAGGCCTCAATGCGGTCCATATATCCACTTGCAGACTTTACAAACAGAGTGTTTCCAAACTGCTCTATGAAAAGAAAGGTTAAACTATGTGAGTTAAACGCACACATCACAAAGAATTTTCTGAGAATGATTCTGTCTGGTTTTTATTTGAAGATATTTCCCTTTCTACTGTTGGCATCAAATGGCTAGAAATCTCCACTTGCAAATTCCGCAAAAAGAGTGTTTCAAATCTGCTCTGTCTAAAGGGACGTTCCACTCTGTGAGTTGAATGCACACAACACAAAGAATTTACTGAGAATTCTTCCGTCTAGCATTCAATGAAGAAATCCCGTTTCCAACGAAGGCCTCAAACAGGTCCATATATCCAATTGCAGACTTTACAAACAGTGTGTTTCCAAACTCCTCTATGAAAAGAAAGGTTAAACTCTGTGAGTTGAACGCACACATCACAAAGCACTTTCTGAGAATGATTCTGTCTGGTTATTATACGAAGATATTTCCTTTTCTGCAATTGTCCTCAAATCGCTTGAAATCTCCACCTGAAAATGCCACAGCGAGAGTGTTTCAAATCTGCTCTCTCTAAAGCAAGGTTCAACTCTGTGAGTTGAATACACACAACACAAAAAAGTTACTGAGAACTCTTCTTAGTCTAGCATTAAAGGAAGAAACCCCGTTTGCAACGAAGGCCTCAAAGAGGTCCAAATATCCACTTGCAGACATAACAAGCAGAGTGTTTCTAAACTGCTCTAAGAAAAGAAAGGTTAAACTCTGTGAGTTGAAGGCACACATCACAAAGTAGTTTCTGAGAATGATTCTGTCTAGTTTTTATTTGAAGATATTTCCTTTTCTACTGTTGGCATCAAATCGCTTGAAATCTCCACTTGCAAATTCCACAAAAAGAGTGTTTCTAATCTGCTCTGTGCAAAGGGACGTTCCACTCTGTGAGTTGAATACACACAGCACAAAGAAGTTACTGAGAATTCTTCTGTCTAGCATGAAATGAAGAAATCCCGTTTCCAACGAAGGCCTCAATGCGGTCCATATATCCACTTGCAGACTTTACAAACAGAGTGTTTCCAAACTGCTCTATGAAAAGAAAGGTTAAACTATGTGAGTTGAACGCACACATCACAAAGAATTTTCTGAGAATGATTCTGTCTGGTTTTTATTTGAAGATATTTCCCTTTCTACTGTTGGCATCAAATGGCTTGAAATCTCCACTTCCAAATTTCGCAAAAAGAGTGTTTCAAATCTGCTCTGTCTACAAGGACGTTCCTCTCGGTGAGATGAATGCACACAACACAAAGAATTTACTGAGAATTCTTCCGTCTAGCATTCAATGAAGAAATCCCGTTTCCAACGAAGGTCTCAAACAGGTCAATATATCCACTTGCAGACTTTACAAACAGTGTGTTTCCAAACTCCTCTATGAAAAGAAAGGTTAAACTCTGTGAGTTGAACGCACACATCACAAAGCACTTTCTGAGAATGATTCTGTCTGGTTATTATACGAAGATATTTCCTTTTCTGCAATTGTCCTCAAATCGCTTGAAATCTCCACCTGAAAATGCCACAGCAAGAGTGTTTCAAATCTGCTCTCTCTAAAGCAAGGTTCAACTCTGTGAGTTGAATCCACACAACACAAAAAAGTTACTGAGAACTCTTCTTAGTCTAGCATTAAAGGAAGAAACCCCGTTTGCAACGAAGGCCTCAAAGAGGTCCAAATATCCACTTGCAGACATAACAAGCAGAGTGTTTCTAAACTGCTCTAAGAAAAGAAAGGTTAAACTCTGTGAGTTCAAGGCACACATCACAAAGTAGTTTCTGAGAATGATTCTGTCTAGTTTTTATTTGAAGATATTTCCTTTTCTACTGTTGGCATCAAATCGCTTGAAATCTCCACTTGCAAACTCCACAAAAAGAGTGTTTCAAATCTGCTCTGTGTAAAGGGACGTTCCACTCTGTGAGTTGAATACACACAGCACAAAGAAGTTACTGAGAATTCTTCTGTCTAGCATGAAATGAAGAAATCCCGTTTCCAACGAAGGCCTCAATGCGGTCCATATATCCACTTGCAGACTTTACAAACAGAGTGTTTCCAAACTGCTCTATGAAAAGAAAGGTTAAACTATGTGAGTTGAACGCACACATCACAAAGAATTTTCTGAGAATGATTCTGTCTGGTTTTTATTTGAAGATATTTCCCTTTCTACTGTTGGCATCAATGGCTAGAAATCTCCACTTGCAAATTCCGCAAAAAGAGTGTTTCAAATCTGCTCTGTCTAAAGGGACGTTCCACTCTGTCAGTTGAATGCACACAACACAAAGAATTTACTGAGAATTCTTCCGTCTAGCATGCAATGAAGAAATCCCGTTTCCAACGAAGGCCTCAAACAGGTCCATATATCCAATTGCAGACTTTACAAACAGTGTGTTTCCAAACTCCTCTATGAAAAGAAAGGTTAAACTCTGTGAGTTGAACGCACACATCACAAAGCACTTTCTGAGAATGATTCTGTCTGGTTGTTATACGAAGATATTTCCTTTTCTGCAATTGTCCTCAAATCGCTTGAAATCTCCACCTGAAAATGCCACAGCAAGAGTGTTTCAAATCTGCTCTCTCTAAAGCAGGGTTCAACTCTGTGAGTTGAATACACACAACACAAAAATGTTACTGAGAACTCTTCTTAGTCTAGCATGAAAGGAAGAAACCCCGTTTGCAACGAAGGCCTCAAAGAGGTCCAAATATCCACTTGCAGACATAACAAGCAGAGTGTTTCTAAACTGCTCTAAGAAAAGAAAGGTTAAACTCTGTGAGTTGAAGGCACACATCACAAAGTAGTTTCTGAGAATGATTCTGTCTAGTTTTTATTTGAAGATATTTCCTTTTCTACTGTTGGCATCAAATCGCTTGAAATCTCCACTTGCAAACTCCACAAAAAGAGTGTTTCAAATCTGCTCTGTGTAAAGGGACGTTCCACTCTGTGAGTTGAATACACACAGCACAAAGAAGTTACTGAGAATTCCTCTGTCTAGCATGAAATGAAGAAATCCCGTTTCCAACGAAGGCCTCAATGCGGTCCATATATCCACTTGCAGACTTTACAAACAGAGTGTTTCCAAACTGCTCTATGAAAAGAAAGGTTAAACTATGTGAGTTGAACGCACACATCACAAAGAATTTTCTGAGAATGATTCTGTCTGGTTTTTATTTGAAGATATTTCCCTTTCTACTGTTGGCATCAAATGGCTAGAAATCTCCACTTGCAAATTCCGCAAAAAGAGTGTTTCAAATCTGCTCTGTCTAAAGGGACGTTCCACTCTGTGAGTTGAATGCACACAACACAAAGAATTTACTGAGAATTCTTCCGTCTAGCATTCAATGAAGAAATCCCGTTTCCAACGGAGGCCTCAAACAGGTCCATATATCCAATTGCAGACTTTACAAACAGTGTGTTTCCAAACTCCTCTATGAAAAGAAAGGTTAAACTCTGTGAGTTGAACGCACACAACCCAAAGCACTTTCTGAGAATGATTCTGTCTGGTAATTATACGAAGATATTTCCTTTTCTGCAATTGTCCTCAAATCGCTTGAAATCTCCACCTGAAAATTCCACAGCGAGAGTGTTTCAAATCTGCTCTCTCTAAAGCAAGGTTCAACTCTGTGAGTTGAATACACACAACACAAAAAAGTTACTGAGAACTCTTCTTAGTCTAGCATTAAAGGAAGAAACCCCGTTTGCAACGAAGGCCTCAAAGAGGTCCAAATATCCACTTGCAGACATAAGAAGCAGAGTGTTTCTAAACTGCTCTAAGAAAAGAAAGGTTGAACTCTGTGAGTTGAAGGCACACATCACAAAGTAGTTTCTGAGAATGATTCTGTCTAGTTTTTATTTGAAGATATTTCCTTTTCTACTGTTGGCATCAAATCGCTTGAAATCTCCACTTGCAAACTCCACAAAAAGAGTGTTTCAAATCTGCTCTGTGTAAAGGGACGTTCCACTCTGTGAGTTGAATACACACAGCACAAAGAAGTTACTGAGAATTCTTCTGTCTAGCATGAAATGAAGAAATCCCGTTTCCAACGAAGGCCTCAATGCGGTCCATATATCCACTTGCAGACTTTACAAACAGAGTGTTTCCAAACTGCTCTATGAAAAGAAAGGTTAAACTATGTGAGTTGAACGCACACATCACAAAGAATTTTCTGAGAATGATTCTGTCTGGTTTTTATTTGAAGATATTTCCCTTTCTACTGTTGGCATCAAATGGCTAGAAATCTCCACTTGCAAATTCCGCAAAAAGAGTGTTTCAAATCTGCTCTGTCTAAAGGGACGTTCCACACTGTGAGTTGAATGCACACAACACAAAGAATTTACTGAGAATTCTTCCGTCTAGCATTCAATGAAGAAATCCCGTTTCCAACGAAGGCCTCAAACAGGTCCATATATCCAATTGCAGACTTTACAAACAGTGTGTTTCCAAACTCCTCTATGAAAAGAAAGGTTAAACTCTGTGAGTTGAACGCACACATCACAAAGCACTTTCTGAGAATGATTCTGTCTGGTTATTATACGAAGATATTTCCTTTTCTGCAATTGTCCTCAATTCGCTTGAAATCTCCACCTGAAAATGCCACAGCAAGAGTGTTTCAAATCTGCTCTCTCTAAAGCAAGGTTCAACTCTGTGAGTTGAATACACACAACACAAAAAAGTTACTGAGAACTCTTCTTAGTCTAGCATGAAAGGAAGAAACCCCGTTTGCAACGAAGGCCTCAAAGAGGTCCAAATATCCACTTGCAGACATAACAAGCAGAGTGTTTCTAAACTGCTCTAAGAAAAGAAAGGTTAAACTCTGTGAGTTGAAGGCACACATCACAAAGTAGTTTCTGAGAATGATTCTGTCTAGTTTTTATTTGAAGATATTTCCTTTTCTACTGTTGGCATCAAATCGCTTGAAATTTCCACTTGCAAATTCCACAAAAAGAGTGTTTCAAATCTGCTCTGTGCAAAGGGACGTTCCACTCTGTGAGTTGAATACACACAGCACAAAGAAGTTACTGAGAATTCTTCTGTCTAGCATGAAATGAAGAAATCCCGTTTCCAACGAAGGCCTCAATGCGGTCCATATATCCACTTGCAGACTTTACAAACAGAGTGTTTCCAAACTGCTCTATGAAAAGAAAGGTTAAACTATGTGAGTTGAACGCACACATCACAAAGAATTTTCTGAGAATGATTCTGTCTGGTTTTTATTTGAAGATATTTCCCTTTCTACTGTTGGCATCAAATGGCTAGAAATCTCCACTTGCAAATTCCGCAAAAAGAGTGTTTCAAATCTGCTCTGTCTAAAGGGACGTTCCACTCTGTGAGTTGAATGCACACAACACAAAGAATTTACTGAGAATTCTTCCGTCTAGCATGCAATGAAGAAATCCCGTTTCCAACGAAGGCCTCAAACAGGTCCATATATCCAATTGCAGACTTTACAAACAGTGTGTTTCCAAACTCCTCTATGAAAAGAAAGGTTAAACTCTGTGAGTTGAACGCACACATCACAAAGCACTTTCTGAGAATGATTCTGTCTGGTTGTTATACGAAGATATTTCCTTTTCTGTAATTGTCCTCAAATCGCTTGAAATCTCCACCTGAAAATGCCACAGCAAGAGTGTTTCAAATCTGCTCTCTCTAAAGCAAGGTTCAACTCTGTGAGTTGAATACACACAACACAAAAAAGTTACTGAGAACTCTTCCGTCTAGCATTCAATGAAGAAATCCCGTTTCCAAAGAAGGCCTCAAAGAGGTCCAAATATCCACTTGCAGACATAACAAGCAGAGTGTTTCTAAACTGCTCTAAGAAAAGAAAGGTTAAACTCTGTGAGTTGAAGGCACACATCACAAAGTAGTTTCTAAATGATTCTGTCTAGTTTTTATTTGAAGATATTTCCTTTTCTACTGTTGGCATCAAATCGCTTGAAATCTCCACTTGCAAATTCCACAAAGAGTGTTTCAAATCTGCTCTGTGCAAAGGGACGTTCCACTCTGTGAGTTGAATACACACAGCACAAAGAAGTTACTGAGAATTCTTCTGTCTAGCATGAAATGAAGAAATCCCGTTTCCAACGAAGGCCTCAATGCGGTCCATATATCCACTTGCAGACTTTACAAACAGAGTGTTTCCAAACTGCTCTATGAAAAGAAAGGTTAAACTATGTGAGTTGAACGCACACATCACAAAGAATTTTCTGAGAATGATTCTGTCTGGTTTTTATTTGAAGATATTTCCCTTTCTACTGTTGGCATCAAATGGCTAGAAATCTCCACTTGCAAATTCCGCAAAAAGAGTGTTTCAAATCTGCTCTGTCTAAAGGGACGTTCCACTCTGTGAGTTGAATGCACACAACACAAAGAATTTACTGAGAATTCTTCCGTCTAGCATTCAATGAAGAAATCCCGTTTCCAACGAAGGCCTCAAACAGGTCCATATATCCACTTGCAGAGTTTACAAACAGTTTGTTTCCAAACTCCTCTATGAAAAGAAAGGTCAAACTCTGTGAGTGGAACGCACACATCACAAAGCACTTTGCTGAGAATGATTCTGTCTGGTTATTATACGAAGATATTTCCTTTTCTGCAATTGTCCTCAAAACGCTTGAAATCTCCACCTGAAAATGCCACCGCAAGAGTGTTTCAAATCTGCTCTCTCTAAAGCAAGGTTCAACTCTGTGAGTTGAATACACACAACACAAAAAAGTTACTGAGAACTCTTCTTAGTCTAGCATGAAAGGAAGAAACCCCGTTTGCAACGAAGGCCTCAAAGAGGTCCAAATATCCACTTGCAGACATAACAAACAGAGTGTTTCTAAACTGCTCTAAGAAAAGAAAGGTTAAACTCTGTGAGTTGAAGGCACACATCACAAAGTAGTTTCTGAGAATGATTCTGTCTAGTTTTTATTTGAAGATATTTCCTTTTCTACTGTTGGCATCAAATCGCTTAAAATCTCCACTTGCAAATTCCACAAAAAGAGTGTTTCAAATCTGCTCTGTGCAAAGGGACGTTCCACTCTGTGAGTTGAATACACACAGCACAAAGAAGTTACTGAGAATTCTTCTGTCTAGCATGAAATGAAGAAATCCCGTTTCCAACGAAGGCCTCAATGCGGTCCATATATCCACTTGCAGACTTTACAAACAGAGTGTTTCCAAACTGCTCTATGAAAAGAAAGGTTAAACTATGTGAGTTGAACGCACACATCACAAAGAATTTTCTGAGAATGATTCTGTCTGGTTTTTATTTGAAGATATTTCCCTTTCTACTGTTGACATCAAATGGCTAGAAATCTCCACTTGCAAATTCCGCAAAAAGAGTGTTTC
Source organism: Homo sapiens (assembly GCF_000001405.40). Lineage (NCBI taxonomy): Eukaryota > Metazoa > Chordata > Mammalia > Primates > Hominidae > Homo > Homo sapiens. The sequence goes on along the minus strand of NC_000007.14, from coordinate 60,150,650 downwards.
AAATCTGCTCTGTCTAAAGGGACGTTCCACTCTGTGAGTTCAATGCACACAACACAAAGAATTTACTGAGAATTCTTCCGTCTAGCATTCAATGAAGAAATGCCGTTTCCAACGAAGGCCTCAAACAGGTCCATATATCCACTTGCAGACTTTACAAACAGTGTGTTTCCAAACTCCTCTATGAAAAGAAAGGTTCAACTCTGTGAGTTGAACCGAACACATCACAAAGCACTTTCTGAGAATGATTCTGTCTGGTTATTATACGGAAGATATTTCCTTTTCTGCAATTGTCCTCAAATCGCTTGAAATCTCCACCTGAAAATGCCACAGCAAGAGTGTTTCAAATCTGCTCTCTCTAAAGCAAGGTTCAACTCTGTGAGTTGAATACACACAACACAAAAAAGTTACTGAGAACTCTTCTTAGTCTAGCATTAAAGGAAGAAACCCCGTTTGCAACGAAGGCCTCAAAGAGGTCCAAATATCCACTTGCAGACATAACAAGCAGAGTGTTTCTAAACTGCTCTAAGAAAAGAAAGGTTAAACTCTGTGAGTTGAAGGCACACATCACAAAGTAGTTTCTGAGAATGATTCTGTCTAGTTTTTATTTGAAGATATTTCCTTTTCTACTGTTGGCATCAAATCGCTTGAAATCTCCACTTGCAAACTCCACAAAAAGAGTGTTTCAAATCTGCTCTGTGCAAAGGGACGTTCCACTCTGTGAGTTGAATACACACAGCACAAAGAAGTTACTGAGAATTCTTCTGTCTAGCATGAAATGAAGAAATCCCGTTTCCAACGAAGGCCTCAATGCGGTCCATATATCCACTTGCAGACTTTACAAACAGAGTGTTTCCAAACTGCTCTATGAAAAGAAAGGTTAAACTATGTGAGTTGAACGCACACATCACAAAGAATTTTCTGAGAATGATTCTGTCTGGTTTTTATTTGAAGATATTTCCCTTTCTACTGTTGGCATCAAATGGCTAGAAATCTCCACTTGCAAATTCCGCAAAAAGAGTGTTTCAAATCTGCTCTGTCTAAAGGGACGTTCCACTCTGTGAGTTGAATGCACACAACACAAAGAATTTACTGAGAATTCTTCCGTCTAGCATTCAATGAAGAAATCCCGTTTCCAACGAAGGCCTCAAACAGGTCCATATATCCACTTGCAGACTTTACAAACAGTGTGTTTCCAAACTCCTCTATGAAAAGAAAGGTTAAACTCTGTGAGTGGAACGCACACATCACAAAGCACTTTCTGAGAATGATTCTGTCTTGTTATTATACGAAGATATTTCCTTTTCTGCAATTGTCCTCAAATCGCTTGAAATCTCCACCTGAAAATGCCACAGCAAGAGTGTTTCAAATCTGCTCTCTCTAAAGCAAGGTTCAACTCTGTGAGTTGAATACACACAACACAAAAAAGTTACTGAGAACTCTTCTTAGTCTAGCATGAAAGGAAGAAACCCCGTTTGCAACGAAGGCCTCAAAGAGGTCCAAATATCCACTTGCAGACATAACAAGCAGAGTGTTTCTAAACTGCTCTAAGAAAAGAAAGGTTAAACTCTGTGAGTTGAAGGCACACATCACAAAGTAGTTTCTGAGAATGATTCTGTCTACTTTTTATTTGAAGATATTTCCTTTTCTACTGTTGGCATCAAATCGCTTGAAATCTCCACTTGCAAACTCCACAAAAAGAGTGTTTCAAATCTGCTCTGTGCAAAGGGACGTTCCACTCTGTGAGTTGAATACACACAGCACAAAGAAGTTACTGAGAATTCTTCTGTCTAGCATGAAATGAAGAAATCCCGTTTCCAACGAAGGCCTCAATGCGGTCCATATATCCACTTGCAGACTTTACAAACAGAGTGTTTCCAAACTGCTCTATGAAAAGAAAGGTTAAACTATGTGAGTTGAACGCACACATCACAAAGAATTTTCTGAGAATGATTCTGTCTGGTTTTTATTTGAAGATGTTTCCCTTTCTACTGTTGGCATCAAATGGCTAGAAATCTCCACTTGCAAATTCCGCAAAAAGAGTGTTTCAAATCTGCTATGTCCAAAGGGACGTTCCACTCTGTCAGTTGAATGCACACAACACAAAGAATTTACTGAGAATTCTTCGGTCTAGCATTCAATGAAGAAATCCCGTTTCCAACGAAGGCCTCAAACAGGTCCATATATCCAATTGCAGACTTTACAAACACTGTGTTTCCAAACTCCTCTATGGAAAGAAAGGTTAAACTCTGTGAGTTGAACGCACACATCACAAAGCACTTTCTGAGAATGAATCTGTCTGGTTATTATACGAAGATATTTCCTTTTCTGCAATTGTCCTCAAATCGCTTGAAATCTCCACCTGAAAATGCCACAGCAAGAGTGTTTCAAATCTGCTCTCTCTAAAGCAAGGTTCAACTCTGTGAGTTGAATACACACAACACAAAAAAGTTACTGAGAACTCTTCTTAGTCTAGCATGAAAGGAAGAAACCCCGTTTGCAACGAAGGCCTCAAAGAGGTCCAAATATCCACTTGCAGGCATAACAAGCAGAGTGTTTCTAAACTGCTCTAAGAAAAGAAAGGTTAAACTCTGTGAGTTGAAGGCACACATCACAAAGTAGTTTCTGAGAATGATTCTGTCTAGTTTTTATTTGAAGATATTTCCTTTTCTACTGTTGGCATCAAATCGCTTGAAATCTCCACTTGCAAACTCCACAAAAAGAGTGTTTCAAATCTGCTCTGTGTAAAGAGACGTTCCACTCTGTGAGTTGAATACACACAGCACAAAGAAGTTACTGAGAATTCTTCTGTCTAGCATGAAATGAAGAAATCCCGTTTCCAACGAAGGCCTCAATGCGGTCCATATATCCACTTGCAGACTTTACAAACAGAGTGTTTCCAAACTGCTCTATGAAAAGAAAGGTTAAACTATGTGAGTTGAACGCACACATCACAAAGAATTTTCTGAGAATGATTCTGTCTGGTTTTTATTTGAAGATATTTCCCTTTCTACTGTTGGCATCAAATGGCTAGAAATCTCCACTTGCAAATTCCGCAAAAAGAGTGTTTCAAATCTGCTCTGTCTAAAGGGACGTTCCACTCTGTGAGTTGAATGCACACAACACAAAGAATTTACTGAGAATTCTTCCGTCTAGCATTCAATGAAGAAATCCCGTTTCCAACGAAGGCCTCAAACAGGTCCATATATCCACTTGCAGAGTTTACAAACAGTGTGTTTCCAAACTCCTCTATGAAAAGAAAGGTTAAACTCTGTGAGTGGAACGCACACATCACAAAGCACTTTCTGAGAATGATTCTGTCTGGTTGTTATACGAAGATATTTCCTTTTCTGCAATTGTCCTCAAATCGCTTGAAATCTCCACCTGAAAATGCCACAGCAAGAGTGTTTCAAATCTGCTCTCTCTAAAGCAAGGTTCAGCTCTGTGAGTTGAATACACACAACACAAAAAAGTTACTGAGAACTCTTCTTAGTCTAGCATGAAAGGAAGAAACCCCGTTTGCAACGAAGGCCTCAAAGAGGTCCAAATATCCACTTGCAGACATAACAAGCAGAGTGTTTCTAAACTGCTCTAAGAAAAGAAAGGTTAAACTCTGTGAGTTGAAGGCACACATCACAAAGAATTTTCTGAGAATGATTCTGTCTAGTTTTTATTTGAAGATATTTCCTTTTCTACTGTTGGCATCAAATCGCTTGAAATCTCCACTTGCAAACTCCACAAAAAGAGTGTTTCAAATCTGCTCTGTGCAAAGGGACGTTCCACTCTGTGAGTTGAATACACACAGCACAAAGAAGTTACTGAGAATTCTTCTGTCTAGCATGAAATGAAGAAATCCCGTTTCCAACGAAGGTCTCAATGCGGTCCATATATCCACTTGCAGACTTTACAAACAGAGTGTTTCCAAACTGCTCTATGAAAAGAAAGGTTAAACTATGTGAGTTGAACGCACACATCACAAAGAATTTTCTGAGAATGATTCTGTCTGGTTTTTATTTGAAGATATTTCCCTTTCTACTGTTGGCATCAAATGGCTAGAAATCTCCACTTGCAAATTCCGCAAAAAGAGTGTTTCAAATCTGCTCTGTCTAAAGGGACGTTCCACTCTGTGAGTTGAATGCACACAACACAAAGAATTTACTGAGAATTCTTCCGTCTAGCATTCAATGAAGAAATCCCGTTTCCAACGAAGGGCCTCAAAGAGGTCCATATATCCACTTGCAGACTTTACAAACAGTGTGTTTCCAAACTCCTCTATGAAAAGAAAGGTTAAACTCTGTGAGTGGAATGCACACATCACAAAGCACTTTCTGAGAATGATTCTGTCTGGTTATTATACGAAGATATTTCCTTTTCTGCAATTGTCCTCAAATCGCTTGAAATCTCCACCTGAAAATGCCACAGCAAGAGTGTTTCAAATCTGCTCTCTCTAAAGCAAGGTTCAACTCTGTGAGTTGAATACACACAACACAAAAAAGTTACTGAGAACTCTTCTTAGTCTAGCATGAAAGGAAGAAACCCCGTTTGCAACGAAGGCCTCAAAGAGGTCCAAATATCCACTTGCAGACATAACAAGCAGAGTGTTTCTAAACTGCTCTAAGAAAAGAAAGGTTAAACTCTGTGAGTTGAAGGCACACATCACAAAGTAGTTTCTGAGAATGATTCTGTCTAGTTTTTATTTGAAGATATTTCCTTTTCTACTGCTGGCATCAAATCGCTTGAAATCTCCACTTGCAAACTCCACAAAAAGAGTGTTTCAAATCTGCTCTGTGTAAAGGGACGTTCCACTCTGTGAGTTGAATACACACAGCACAAAGAAGTTACTGAGAATTCTTCTGTCTCGCATGAAATGAAGAAATCCCGTTTCCAACGAAGGCCTCAATGCGGTCCATATATCCACTTGCAGACTTTACAAACAGAGTGTTTCCAAACTGCTCTATGAAAAGAAAGGTAAAACTATGTGAGTTGAACGCACACATCACAAAGAATTTTCTGAGAATGATTCTGTCTGGTTTTTATTTGAAGATATTTCCCTTTCTACTGTTGGCATCAAATGGCTAGAAATCTCCACTTGCAAATTCCGCAAAAAGAGTGTTTCAAATCTGCTCTGTCTAAAGGGACGTTCCACTCTGTGAGTTGAATGCACACAACACAAAGAATTTACTGAGAATTCTTCCGTCTACCATTCAATGAAGAAATCCCGTTTCCAACGAAGGCCTCAAACAGGTCCATATATCCAATTGCAGACTTTACAAACAGTGTGTTTCCAAACTCCTCTATGAAAAGAAAGGTTAAACTCTGTGAGTTGAACGCACACATCACAAAGCACTTTCTGAGAATGATTCTGTCTGGTTGTTATACGAAGATATTTCCTTTTCTGCAATTGTCCTCAAATCGCTTGAAATCTCCACCTGAAAATGCCACAGCAAGAGTGTTTCAAATCTGCTCTCTCTAAAGCAAGGTTCAACTCTGTGAGTTGAATACACACAACACAAAAAAGTTACTGAGAACTCTTCTTAGTCTAGCATTAAAGGAAGAAACCCCGTTTGCAACGAAGGCCTCAAAGAGGTCCAAATATCCACTTGCAGACATAACAAGCAGAGTGTTTCTAAACTGCTCTAAGAAAAGAAAGGTTAAACTCTGTGAGTTGAAGGCACACATCACAAAGTAGTTTCTGAGAATGATTCTGTCTAGTTTTTATTTGAAGATATTTCCTTTTCTACTGTTGGCATCAAATCGCTTGAAATCTCCACTTGCAAATTCCACAAAAAGAGTGTTTCAAATCTGCTCTGTGCAAAGGGACGTTCCACTCTGTGAGTTGAATACACACAGCACAAAGAAGTTACTGAGAATTCTTCTGTCTAGCATGAAATGAAGAAATCCCGTTTCCAACGAAGGCCTCAATGCGGTCCATATATCCACTTGCAGACTCTACAAACAGAGTGTTTCCCAACTGCTCTATGAAAAGAAAGGTTAAACTATGTGAGTTGAACGCACACATCACAAAGAATTTTCTGAGAATGATTCTGTCTGGTTTTTATTTGAAGATATTTCCCTTTCTACTGTTGGCATCAAATGGCTAGAAATCTCCACTTGCAAATTCCGCAAAAAGAGTGTTTCAAATCTGCTCTGTCTAAAGGGACGTTCCACTCTGTGAGTTGAATGCACACAACACAAAGAATTTACTGAGAATTCTTCCGTCTAGCATTCAATGAAGAAATCCCGTTTCCAACGAAGGCCTCAAAGAGGTCCATATATCCACTTGCAGACTTTACAAACAGTGTGTTTCCAAACTCCTCTATGAAAAGAAAGGTTAAACTCTGTGAGTGGAACGCACACATCACAAAGCACTTTCTGAGAATGATTCTGTCTGGTTATTATACGAAGATATTTCCTTTTCTGCAATTGTCCTCAAATCGCTTGAAATCTCCACCTGAAAATGCCACAGCAAGAGTGTTTCAAATCTGCTCTCTCTAAAGCAAGGTTCAACTCTGTGAGTTGAATACACACAACACAAAAAAGTTACTGAGAACTCTTCTTAGTCTAGCATGAAAGGAAGAAACCCCGTTTGCAACGAAGGCCTCAAAGAGGTCCAAATATCCACTTGCAGACATAACAAGCAGAGTGTTTCTAAACTGCTCTAAGAAAAGAAAGGTTAAACTCTGTGAGTTGAAGGCACACATCACAAAGTAGTTTCTGAGAATGATTCTGTCTAGTTTTTATTTGAAGATATTTCCTTTTCTACTGTTGGCATCAAATCGCTTGAAATCTCCACTTGCAAACTCCACAAAAAGAGTGTTTCAAATCTGCTCTGTGCAAAGGGACGTTCCACTATGTGAGTTGAATACACACAGCACAAAGAAGTTACTGAGAATTCTTCTGTCTAGCATGAAATGAAGAAATCCCGTTTCCAACGAAGGCCTCAATGCGGTCCATATATCCACTTGCAGACTTTACAAACAGAGTGTTTCCAAACTGCTCTATGAAAAGAAAGGTTAAACTATGTGAGTTGAACGCACACATCACAAAGAATTTTCTGAGAATGATTCTGTCTGGTTTTTATTTGAAGATATTTCCCTTTCTACTGTTGGCATCAAATGGCTAGAAATCTCCACTTGCAAATTCCGCAAAAAGAGTGTTTCAAATCTGCTGTGTCTAAAGGGACGTTCCACTCTGTGAGTTGAATGCACACAACACAAAGAATTTACTGAGAATTCTTCCGTCTAGCATTCAATGAAGAAATTCCGTTTCCAACGGAGGCCTCAAACAGGTCTATATATCCAATTGCAGACTTTACAAACAGTGTGTTTCCAAGCTCCTCTATGAAAAGAAAGGTTAAACTCTGTGAGTTGAACGCACACATCACAAAGCACTTTCTGAGAATGATTCTGTCTGGTTGTTATACGAAGATATTTCCTTTTCTGCAATTGTCCTCAAATCGCTTGAAATCTCCACCTGAAAATGCCACAGCAAGAGTGTTTCAAATCTGCTCTCTCTAAAGCAAGGTTCAACTCTGTGAGTTGAATACACACAACACAAAAAAGTTACTGAGAACTCTTCTTAGTCTAGCATTAAAGGAAGAAACCCCGTTTGCAACGAAGGCCTCAAAGAGGTCCAAATATCCACTTGCAGACATAACAAGCAGAGTGTTTCTAAACTGCTCTAAGAAAAGAAAGGTTAAACTCTGTGAGTTGAAGGCACACATCACAAAGTAGTTTCTGAGAATGATTCTGTCTAGTTTTTATTTGAAGATATTTCCTTTTCTACTGTTGGCATCAAATCGCTTGAAATCTCCACTTGCAAATTCCACAAAAAGAGTGTTTCAAATCTGCTCTGTGCAAAAGGACGTTCCACTCTGTGAGTTGAATACACACAGCACAAAGAAGTTACTGAGAATTCTTCTGTCTAGCATGAAATGAAGAAATCCCGTTTCCAACGAAGGCCTCAATGCGGTCCATATATCCACTTGCAGACTTTACAAACAGAGTGTTTCCAAACTGCTCTATGAAAAGAAAGGTTAAACTATGTGAGTTGAACGCACACATCACAAAGAATTTTCTGAGAATGATTCTGTCTGGTTTTTATTTGAAGATATTTCCCTTTCTACTGTTGGCATCAAATGGCTAGAAATCTCCACTTGCAAATTCCGCAAAAAGAGTGTTTCAAATCTGCTCTGTCTAAAGGGACGTTCCACTCTGTGAGTTGAATGCACACAACACAAAGAATTTACTGAGAATTCTTCCGTCTAGCATTCAATGAAGAAATCCCGTTTCCAACGAAGGCCTCAAACAGGTCCATGTATCCACCTGCAGACTTTACAAACAGTGTGTTTCCAAACTCCTCTATGAAAAGAAAGGTTAAACTCTGTGAGTTGAACGCACACATCACAAAGCACTTTCTGAGAATGATTCTGTCTGGTTATTATACGAAGATATTTCCTTTTCTGCAATTGTCCTCAAATCGCTTGAAATCTCCACCTGAAAATGCCACAGCAAGAGTGTTTCAAATCTGCTCTCTCTAAAGCAAGGTTCAACTCTGTGAGTTGAATACACACAACACAAAAAAGTTACTGAGAACTCTCCTTAGTCTAGCATTAAAGGAAGAAACGCCGTTTGCAACGAAGGCCTCAAAGAGGTCCAAATATCCACTTGCAGACATAACAAGCAGAGTGTTTCTAAACTGCTCTAAGAAAAGAAAGGTTAAACACTGTGAGTTGAAGGCACACATCACAAAGTAGTTTCTGAGAATGATTCTGTCTAGTTTTTATTTGAAGATATTTCCTTTTCTACTGTTGGCATCAAATCGCTTGAAATCTCCACTTGCAAACTCCACAAAAAGAGTGTTTCAAATCTGCTCTGTGCAAAGGGACGTTCCACTCTGTGAGTTGAATACACACAGCACAAAGAAGTTACTGAGAATTCTTCTGTCTAGCATGAAATGAAGAAATCCCGTTTCCAACGAAGGCCTCAATGCGGTCCATATATCCACTTGCAGACTTTACAAACAGAGTGTTTCCAAACTGCTCTATGAAAAGAAAGGTTAAACTATGTGAGTTGAACGCACACATTAGAAAGAATTTTCTGAGAATGATTCTGTCTGGTTTTTATTTGAAGATATTTCCCTTTCAACTGTTGGCATCAAATGGCTAGAAATCTCCACTTGCAAATTCCGCAAAAAGAGTGTTTCAAATCTGCTCTGTCTAAAGGGACGGTTCCACTCTGTGAGTTGAATGCACACAACACAAAGAATTTACTGAGAATTCTTCCGTCTAGCATTCAATGAAGAAATCCCGTTTCCAACGAAGGCCTCAAACAGGTCCATATATCCACTTGCAGAGTTTACAAACAGTGTGTTTCCAAACTCCTCTATGAAAAGAAAGGTTAAACTCTGTGAGTTGAACGCACACATCACAAAGCACTTTCTGAGAATGATTCTGTCTGGTTATTATACGAAGATATTTCCTTTTCTGCAATTGTCCTCAAATCGCTTGAAATCTCCACCTGAAAATGCCACAGCAAGAGTGTTTCAAATCTGCTCTCTCTAAAGCAAGGTTCAACTCTGTGAGTTGAATACACACAACACAAAAAAGTTACTGAGAACTCTTCTTAGTCTAGCATGAAAGGAAGAAACCCCGTTTGCAACGAAGGCCTCAAAGAGGTCCAAATATCCACTTGCAGACATAACAAGCAGAGTGTTTCTAAACTGCTCTAAGAAAAGAAAGGTTAAACTCTGTGAGTTGAAGGCACACATCACAAAGTACTTTCTGAGAATGGTTCTGTCTAGTTTTTATTTGAAGATATTTCCTTTTCTACTGTTGGCATCAAATCGCTTGAAATCTCCACTTGCAAATTCCACAAAAAGAGTGTTTCAAATCTGCTCTGTGCAAAGGGACGTTCCACTCTGTGAGTTGAATGCACACAGCACAAAGAAGTTACTGAGAATTCTTCTGTCTAGCATGAAATGAAGAAATCCCGTTTCCAACGAAGGCCTCAATGCGGTCCATATATCCACTTGCAGACTTTACAAACAGAGTGTTTCCAAACTGCTCTATGAAAAGAAAGGTTAAACTATGTGAGTTGAACGCACACATCACAAAGAATTTTCTGAGAATGATTCTGTCTGGTTTTTATTTGAAGATATTTCCCTTTCTACTGTTGGCATCAAATGGCTAGAAATCTCCACTTGCAAATTCCGCAAAAAGAGTGTTTCAAATCTGCTCTGCCTAAAGGGACGTTCTACTCTGTGAGTTGAATGCACACAACACAAAGAATTTACTGAGAATTCTTCCGTCTAGCATTCAATGAAGAAATCCCGTTTCCAACGAAGGCCTCAAACAGGTCCATATATCCAATTGCAGACTTTACAAACAGTGTGTTTCCAAACTCCTCTATGAAAAGAAAGGTTAAACTCTGTGAGTGGAACGCACACATCACAAAGCACTCTCTGAGAATGATTCTGTCTGGTTGTTATACGAAGATATTTCCTTTTCTGCAATTGTCCTCAAATCGCTTGAAATCTCCACCTGAAAATGCCACAGCAAGAGTGTTTCAAATCTGCTCTCTCTAAAGCAAGGTTCAACTCTGTGAGTTGAATGCACACAACACAAAAAAGTTACTGAGAACTCTTCTTAGTCTAGCATGAAAGGAAGAAACCCCGTTTGCAACGAAGGCCTCAAAGAGGTCCAAATATCCACTTGCAGACATAACAAGCAGAGTGTTTCTAAACTGCTCTAAGAAAAGAAAGGTTAAACTCTGTGAGTTGAAGGCACACATCACAAAGTAGTTTCTGAGAATGATTCTGTCTAGTTTTTATTTGAAGATATTTCCTTTTCTACTGTTGGCATCAAATCGCTTGAAATCTCCACTTGCAAACTCCACAAAAAGAGTGTTTCAAATCTGCTCTGTGTAAAGGGACGTTCCACTCTGTGAGTTGAATACACACAGCACAAAGAAGTTACTGAGAATTCTTCTGTCTAGCATGAAATGAAGAAATCCCGTTTCCAACGAAGGCCTCAATGCGGTCCATATATCCACTTGCAGACTTTACAAACAGAGTGTTTCCAAACTGCTCTATGAAAAGAAAGGTTAAACTATGTGAGTTGAATGCACACATCACAAAGAATTTTCTGAGAATGATTCTGTCTGGTTTTTATTTGAAGATATTTCCCTTTCTACTGTTGGCATCAAATGGCTAGAAATCTCCACTTGCAAATTCCGCAAAAAGAGTGTTTCAAATCTGCTCTGTCTAAAGGGACGTTCCACTCTGTGAGTTGAATGCACACAACACAAAGAATTTACTGAGAATTCTTCCGTCTAGCATTCAATGAAGAAATCCCGTTTCCAACGAAGGCCTCAAACAGGTCCATATATCCAATTGCAGACATTACAAACAGTGTGTTTCCAAACTCCTCTATGAAAAGAAAGGTTAAACTCTGTGAGTTGAACGCACACATCACAAAGCACTTTGCTGAGAATGATTCTGTCTGGTTGTTATACGAAGATATTTCCTTTTCTGCAATTGTCCTCAAATCGTTTGAAATCTCCACCTGAAAATGCCACAGCAAGAGTGTTTCAAATCTGCTCTCTCTAAAGCAAGGTTCAACTCTGTGAGTTGAATACACACAACACAAAAAAGTTACTGAGAACTCTTCTTAGTCTAGCATTAAAGGAAGAAACCCCGTTTGCAACGAAGGCCTCAAAGAGGTCCAAATATCCACTTGCAGACATAACAAGCAGAGTGTTTCTAAACTGCTCTAAGAAAAGAAAGGTTAAACTCTGTGAGTTGAAGGCACACATCACAAAGTAGTTTCTGAGAATGATTCTGTCTAGTTTTTATTTGAAGATATTTCCTTTTCTACTGTTGGCATCAAATCGCTTGAAATCTCCACTTGCAAATTCCACAAAAAGAGTGTTTCAAATCTGCTCTGTGCAAAGGGACGTTCCACTCTGTGAGTTGAATACACACAGCACAAAGAAGTTACTGAGAATTCTTCTGTCTAGCATGAAATGAAGAAATCCCGTTTCCAACGAAGGCCTCAATGCGGTCCATATATCCACTTGCAGACTTTACAAACAGAGTGTTTCCAAACTGCTCTATGAAAAGAAAGGTTAAACTATGTGAGTTGAACGCACACATCACAAAGAATTTTCTGAGAATGATTCTGTCTGGTTTTTATTTGAAGATATTTCCCTTTCTACTGTTGGCATCAAATGGCTAGAAATCTCCACTTGCAAATTCCGCAAAAAGAGTGTTTCAAATCTGCTCTGTCTAAAGGGACGTTCCACTCTGTGAGTTGAATGCACACAACACAAAGAATTTACTGAGAATTCTTCCGTCTAGCATTCAATGAAGAAATCCCGTTTCCAACGGAGGCCTCAAACAGGTCCATATATCCACTTGCAGACTTTACAAACAGTGTGTTTCCAAACTCCTCTATGAAAAGAAAGGTTAAACTCTGTGAGTTGAACGCACACATCACAAAGCACTTTCTGAGAATGATTCTGTCTGGTTTTTATTTGAAGATATTTCCTTTTCTACTGTTGTCATCAAATCGCTTGAAATCTCCATTTGCAAATTCCAGACAAAGAGTGTTTCAAATCTGCTCTGTCTAAAAGGACGTTCCACTCTGTGAGTTGAATGCAGACAACACAAAGAATTTACTGAGAATTCTTCCATCTAGCATTATATGAAAAAAGCCCGTTTCCAAAGAAGGCCTCAAACAGGTCCAAATATCCACTTACAGACATAACAAACAGTGTGTTTCCAAACTGCTCTATGAAAAGGAAGGTTAAACTCTGTGAGTTGAACGCACACATAAGAAAGCACTTGCTGAGAATGATTCTCTCTGGTTTTTATACGAAGATATTTCCTTTTCTGCAATTGTCCTCAAATCGCTTGAAATCTCCACCTGAAAATTGCACAGCAAGAGTGTTTCAAATCTGCTCTCTCTATAGAAAGGTTCAACACTGTGAGTTGAATACACACAACACAAAACAGTTACTGAGAACTCTTCTTAGTCTAGCATGAAATGAAGAAATCCCGTTTGCAACGAAGGCCTCAAAGAGGTCCAAATATCCACTTGCAGACATTACAAGCAGAGTGTTTCTAAACTGCTCTAAGAAAAGAAGGGTTAAACACTGTGAGTTGAAGGCACACATCACAAAGTAGTTTCTGAGAATGATTCTGTCTAGGTTTTATTTGAAGATATTTCCTTTTCTACTGTTGGCATCAAATCGCTTGAAATCTCCACTTGCAAATTCCAGAAAAAGAGTGTTTCATATCTGCTCTGTGTAAAGGGACGTTCCACTCTGTGAGTTGAATAAACACAACACAAGTAAGTTACTGAGAATTCTTCTGTCTAGCATAAAATGAAGAAATCCCGTTTCCAACGAAGTCCTCAAAGAGGTCCATGTATCCACTTGCAGACATTACAAACAGAGTGTTTCTAAACTGCTCTATGAAAGGAAAGGTTAAACTATGCGAGTTGAACGCACACATCACAAAGAATTTTCTGAGAATTTATCTGTCTGGTTTTTATTTGAAGATATTTCCCTTTCTACTGTTGACATCAAATGGCTAGAAATCTCCACTTGCAAATTCCGCAAAAAGAGTGTTTCAAATCTGCTCTGTCTAAAGGGACGTTCCACTCTGTCAGTTGAATGCACACAACACAAAGAATTTACTGAGAATTCTTCCGTCTAGCATTCAATGAAGAAATCCCGTTTCCAACGAAGGCCTCAAACAGGTCCATATATCCAATTGCAGACTTTACAAACAGTGTGTTTCCAAACTCCTCTATGAAAAGAAAGGTTAAACTCTGTGAGTTGAACGCACACATCACAAAGCACTTTCTGAGAATGATTCTGTCTGGTTGTTATACGAAGATATTTCCTTTTCTGCAATTGTCCTCAAATCGCTTGAAATCTCCACCTGAAAATGCCACAGCAAGAGTGTTTCAAATCTGCTCTCTCTAAAGCAAGGTTCAACTCTGTGAGTTGAATACACACAACACAAAAAAGTTACTGAGAACTCTTCTGAGTCTAGCATGAAAGGAAGAAACCCCGTTTGCAACGAAGGCCTCAAAGAGGTCCAAATATCCACTTGCAGACATAACAAGCAGAGTGTTTCTAAACTGCTCTAAGAAAAGAAAGGTTAAACTCTGTGAGTTGAAGGCACACATCACAAAGTAGTTTCTGAGAATGATTCTGTCTAGTTTTTATTTGAAGATATTTCCTTTTCTACTGTTGGCATCAAATCGCTTGAAATCTCCACTTGCAAATTCCACAAAAAGAGTGTTTCAAATCTGCTCTGTGCAAAGGGACGTTCCACTCTGTGAGTTGAATACACACAGCACAAAGAAGTTACTGAGAATTCTTCTGTCTAGCATGAAATGAAGAAATCCCGTTTCCAACGAAGGCCTCAATGCGGTCCATATATCCACTTGCAGACTTTACAAACAGAGTGTTTCCAAACTGCTCTATGAAAAGAAAGGTTAAACTATGTGAGTTGAACGCACACATCACAAAGAATTTTTTGAGAATGATTCTGTCTGGTTTTTATTTGAAGATATTTCCCTTTCTACTGTTGGCATCAAATGGCTAGAAATCTCCACTTGCAAATTCCGCAAAAAGAGTGTTTCAAATCTGCTCTGTCTAAAGGGACGTTCCACTCTGTGAGTTGAATGCACACAACACAAAGAATTTACTGAGAATTCTTCCGTCTAGCATTCAATGAAGAAATCCCGTTTCCAACGAAGGCCTCAAACAGGTCCATATATCCACTTGCAGAGTTTACAAACAGTTTGTTTCCAAACTCCTCTATGAAAAGAAAGGTTAAACTCTGTGAGTGGAACGCACACATCACAAAGCACTTTCTGAGAATGATTCTGTCTGGTTATTATACGAAGATATTTCCTTTTCTGCAATTGTCCTCAAATCGCTTGAAATCTCCACCTGAAAATGCCACAGCAAGAGTGTTTCAAATCTGCTCTCTCTAAAGCAAGGTTCAACTCTGTGAGTTGAATACACACAACACAAAAATGTTACTGAGAACTCTTCTTAGTCTAGCATGAAAGGAAGAAACCCCGTTTGCAACGAAGGCCTCAAAGAGGTCCAAATATCCACTTGCAGACATAACAAGCAGAGTGTTTCTAAACTGCTCTAAGAAAAGAAAGGTTAAACTCTGTGAGTTGAAGGCACACATCACAAAGTAGTTTCTGAGAATGATTCTGTCTAGTTTTTATTTGAAGATATTTCCTTTTCTACTGTTGGCATCAAATCGCTTGAAATCTCCACTTGCAAACTCCACAAAAAGAGTGTTTCAAATCTGCTCTGTGCAAAGGGACGTTCCACTTTGTGAGTTGAGTACACACAGCACAAAGAAGTTACTGAGAATTCTTCTGTCTAGCATGAAATGAAGAAATCCCGTTTCCAACGAAGGCCTCAATGCGGTCCATATATCCACTTGCAGACTTTACAAACAGAGTGTTTCCAAACTGCTCCATGAAAAGAAAGGTTAAACTATGTGAGTTGAACGCACACATCACAAAGAATTTTCTGAGAATGATTCTGTCTGGTTTTTATTTGAAGATATTTCCCTTTCTACTGTTGGCATCAAATGGCTAGAAATCTCCACTTGCAAATTCCGCAAAAAGAGTGTTTCAAATCTGCTCTGTCTAAAGGGACGTTCCACTCTGTGAGTTGAATGCACACAACACAAAGAATTTACTGAGAATTCTTCCGTCTAGCATTCAATGAAGAAATCCCGTTTCCAACGAAGGCCTCAAAGAGGTCCATATATCCACTTGCAGACTTTACAAACAGTGTGTTTCCAAACTCCTCTATGAAAAGAAAGGTTAAACTCTGTGAGTTGAACGCACACATCACAAAGCACTTTCTGAGAATGATTCTGTCTGGTTATTATACGAAGATATTTCCTTTTCTGCAATTGTCCTCAAATCGCTTGAAATCTCCACCTGAAAATGCCACAGCAAGAGTGTTTCAAATCTGCTCTCTCTAAAGCAAGGTTCAACTCTGTGAGTTGAATACACACAACACAAAAAAGTTACTGAGAACTCTTCTTAGTCTAGCATGAAAGGAAGAAACCCCGTTTGCAACGAAGGCCTCAAAGAGGTCCAAATATCCACTTGCAGACATAACAAGCAGAGTGTTTCTAAACTGCTCTAATAAAAGAAAGGTTAAACTCTGTGAGTTGAAGGCACACATCACAAAGTAGTTTCTGAGAATGATTCTGTCTAGTTTTTATTTGAAGATATTTCCTTTTCTACTGTTGGCATCAAATCGCTTGAAATCTCCACTTGCAAATTCCACAAAAAGAGTGTTTCAAATCTGCTCTGTGCAAAGGGACGTTCCACTCTGTGAGTTGAATACACACAGCACAAAGAAGTTACTGAGAATTCTTCTGTCTAGCATGAAATGAAGAAATCCCGTTTCCAACGAAGGCCTCAATGCGGTCCATATATCCACTTGCAGACTTTACAAACAGAGTGTTTCCAAACTGCTCTATGAAAAGAAAGGTTATACTATTGTGAGTTGAACGCACACATCACAAAGAATTTTCTGAGAATGATTCTGTCTGGTTTTTATTTGAAGATATTTCCCTTTCTACTGTTGGCATCAAATGGCTAGAAATCTCCACTTGCAAATTCCGCAAAAAGAGTGTTTCAAATCTGCTCTGTCTAAAGGGACGTTCCACTCTGTCAGTTGAATGCACACAACACAAAGAATTTACTGAGAATTCTTCCGTCTAGCATTCAATGAAGAAATCCCGTTTCCAACGAAGGCCTCAAACAGGTCCATATATCCACTTGCAGACTTTACAAACAGTGTGTTTCCAAACTCCTCTATGAAAAGAAAGGTTAAACTCTGTGAGTGGAACGCACACATCACAAAGCACTTTCTGAGAATGATTCTGTCTGGTGGTTATACGAAGATATTTCCTTTTCTGCAATTGTCCTCAAATCGCTTGAAATCTCCACCTGAAAATGCCACAGCAAGAGTGTTTCAAATCTGCTCTCTCTAAAGCAAGGTTCAACTCTGTGAGTTGAATACACACAACACAAAAAAGTTACTGAGAACTCTTCTTAGTCTAGCATGAAAGGAAGAAACCCCGTTTGCAACGAAGGCCTCAAAGAGGTCCAAATATCCACTTGCAGACATAACAAGCAGAGTGTTTCTAAACTGCTCTAAGAAAAGAAAGGTTAAACTCTGTGAGTTGAAGGCACACATCACAAAGTAGTTTCTGAGAATGATTCTGTCTAGTTTTTATTTGAAGATATTTCCTTTTCTACTGTTGGCATCAAATCGCTTGAAATATCCACTTGCAAACTCCACAAAAAGAGTGTTTCAAATCTGCTCTGTGCAAAGGGACGTTCCACTATGTGAGTTGAATACACACAGCACAAAGAAGTTACTGAGAATTCTTTCTGTCTAGCATGAAATGAAGAAATCCCGTTTCCAACGAAGGCCTCAATGCGGTCCATATATCCACTTGCAGACTTTACAAACAGAGTGTTTCCAAACTGCTCTATGAAAAGAAAGGTTAAACTATGTGAGTTGAACGCACACATCACAAAGAATTTTCTGAGAATGATTCTGTCTGGTTTTTATTTGAAGATATTTCCCTTTCTACTGTTGGCATCAAATGGCTAGAAATCTCCACTTGCAAATTCCGCAAAAAGAGTGTTTCAAATCTGCTCTGTCTAAAGGGACGTTCCACTCTGTGAGTTGAATGCACACAACACAAAGAATTTACTGAGAATTCTTCCGTCTAGCATTCAATGAAGAAATCCCGTTTCCAACGAAGGCCTCAAACAGGTCCATATATCCACTTGCAGAGTTTACAAACAGTGTGTTTCCAAACTCCTCTATGAAAAGAAAGGTTAAACTCTGTGAGTGGAACGCACACATCACAAAGCACTTTCTGAGAATGATTCTGTCTGGTTATTATACGAAGATATTTCCTTTTCTGCAATTGTCCTCAAATCGCTTGAAATCTCCACCTGAAAATGCCACAGCAAGAGTGTTTCAAATCTGCTCTCTCTAAAGCAAGGTTCAACTCTGTGAGTTGAATACACACAACACAAAAAAGTTACTGAGAACTCTTCTTAGTCTAGCATTAAAGGAAGAAACCCCGTTTGCAACGAAGGCCTCAAAGAGGTCCAAATATCCACTTGCAGACATAACAAGCAGAGTGTTTCTAAACTGCTCTAAGAAAAGAAAGGTTAAACTCTGTGAGTTGAAGGCACACATCACAAAGTAGTTTCTGAGAATGATTCTGTCTAGTTTTTATTTGAAGATATTTCCTTTTCTACTGTTGGCATCAAATCGCTTGAAATCTCCACTTGCAAACTCCACAAAAAGAGTATTTCAAATCTGCTCTGTGTAAAGGGACGTTCCACTCTGTGAGTTGAATACACACAGCACAAAGAAGTTACTGAGAATTCTTCTGTCTAGCATGAAATGAAGAAATCCCGTTTCCAACGAAGGCCTCAATGCGGTCCATATATCCACTTGCAGACTTTACAAACAGAGTGTTTCCAAACTGCTCTATGAAAAGAAAGGTAAAACTATGTGAGTTGAACGCACACATCACAAAGAATTTTCTGAGAATGATTCTGTCTGGTTTTTATTTGAAGATATTTCCCTTTCTACTGTTGGCATCAAATGGCTAGAAAACTCCACTTGCAAATTCCGCAAAAAGAGTGTTTAAAATCTTCTCTGTCTAAAGGGACGTTCCACTACTGTGAGTTGAATGCACTCAACACAAAGAATTTACTGAGAATTCTTCCGCCTAGCATTCAATGAAGAAATCCCGTTTCCAAACGAAGGCCTCAAACAGGTCCATATATCCACTTGCAGACTTTACAAACAGTGTGTTTCCAAACTCCTCTATGAAAAGAAAGGTTAAACTCTGTGAGTGGAACGCACACATCACAAAGCACTTTCTGAGAATGATTCTGTCTGGTTATTATACGAAGATATTTCCTTTTCTGCAATTGTCCTCAAATCGCTTGAAATCTCCACCTGAAAATGCCACAGCAAGAGTGTTTCAAATCTGCTCTCTCTAAAGCAAGGTTCAACTCTGTGAGTTGAATACACACAACACAAAAAAGTTACTGAGAACTCTTCTTAGTCTAGCATGAAAGGAAGAAACCCCGTTTGCAACGAAGGCCTCAAAGAGGTCCAAATATCCACTTGCAGACATAACAAGCAGAGTGTTTCTAAACTGCTCTAAGAAAAGAAAGGTTAAACTCTGTGAGTTGAAGGCACACATCACAAAGTAGTTTCTGAGAATGATTCTGTCTAGTTTTTATTTGAAGATATTTCCTTTTCTACTGTTGGCATCAAATCGCTTGAAATCTTCACTTGCAAACTCCACAAAAAGAGTGTTTCAAATCTGCTCTGTGTAAAGGGACGTTCCACTCTGTGAGTTGAATACACACAGCACAAAGAAGTTGCTGAGAATTCTTCTGTCTAGCATGAAATGAAGAAATCCCGTTTCCAACGAAGGCCTCAATGCGATCCATATATCCACTTGCAGACTTTACAAACAGAGTGTTTCCAAACTGCTCTATGAAAAGAAAGGTTAAACTATGTGAGTTGAACGCACACATCACAAAGAATTTTCTGAGAATGATTCTGTCTGGTTTTTATTTGAAGATATTTCCCTTTCTACTGTTGGCATCAAATGGCTAGAAATCTCCACTTGCAAATTCCGCAAAAAGAGTGTTTCAAATCTGCTCTGTCTAAAGGGACGTTCCACTCTGTCAGTTGAATGCACACAACACAAAGAATTTACTGAGAATTCTTCCGTCTAGCATTCAATGAAGAAATCCCGTTTCCAACGAAGGCCTCAAAGAGGTCCATATATCCACTTGCAGACTTTACAAACAGTGTGTTTCCAAACTCCTCTATGGAAAGAAAGGTTAAACTCTGTGAGTTGAACGCACACATCACAAAGCACTTTCTGAGAATGATTCTGTCTGGTTATTATACGAAGATATTTCCTTTTCTGCAATTGTCCTCAAAACGCTTGAAATCTCCACCTGAAAATGCCACAGCAAGAGTGTTTCAAATCTGCTCTCTCTAAAGCAAGGTTCAACTCTGTGAGTTGAATACACACAACACAAAAAAGTTACTGAGAACTCTTCTTAGTCTAGCATGAAAGGAAGAAACCCCGTTTGCAACGAAGGCCTCAAAGAGGTCCAAATATCCACTTGCAGACATAACAAGCAGAGTGTTTCTAAACTGCTCTAAGAAAAGAAAGGTTAAACTATGTGAGTTGAACGCACACATCACAAAGAATTTTCTGAGAATGATTCTGTCTGGTTTTTATTTGAAGATATTTCCCTTTCTACTGTTGGCATCAAATGGCTAGAAATCTCCACTTGCAAATTCCGCAAAAAGAGTGTTTCAAATCTGCTCTGTCTAAAGGGACGTTCCACTCTGTGAGTTGAATGCACACAACACAAAGAATTTACTGAGAATTCTTCCGTCTAGCATTCAATGAAGAAATCCCGTTTCCAACGAAGGCCTCAAACAGGTCCATATATCCAATTGCAGACTTTACAAACAGTGTGTTTCCAAACTCCTCTATGAAAAGAAAGGTTAAACTCTGTGAGTTGAACACACACATCACAAAGCACTTTCTGAGAATGATTCTGTCTGGTTATTATACGGAAGATATTTCCTTTTCTGCAATTGTCCTCAAATCGCTTGAAATCTCCACCTGAAAATGCCACAGCAAGAGTGTTTCAAATCTGCTCTCTCTAAAGCAAGGTTCAACTCTGTGAGTTGAATACACACAACACAAAAAAGTTACTGAGAACTCTTCTTAGTCTAGCATGAAAGGAAGAAACCCCGTTTGCAACGAAGGCCTCAAAGAGGTCCAAATATCCACTTGCAGACATAACAAGCAGAGTGTTTCTAAACTGCTCTAAGAAAAGAAAGGTTAAACTCTGTGAGTTGAAGGCACACATCACAAAGTAGTTTCTGAGAATGGTTCTGTCTAGTTTTTATTTGAAGATATTTCCTTTTCTACTGTTGGCATCAAATCGCTTGAAATCTCCACTTGCAAATTCCACAAAAAGAGTGTTTCAAATCTGCTCTGTGCAAACGGACGTTCCAGTCTGTGAGTTGAATACACACAGCACAGAGAAGTTACTGAGAATTCTTCTGTCTAGCATGAAATGAAGAAATCCCGTTTCCAACGAAGGCCTCAATGCGGTCCATATATCCACTTGCAGACTTTACAAACAGAGTGTTTCCAAACTGCTCTATGAAAAGAAAGGTTAAACTATGTGAGTTGAACGCACACATCACAAAGAATTTTCTGAGAATGATTTCTGTCTGGTTTTTATTTGAAGATATTTCCCTTTCTACTGTTGGCATCAAATGGCTAGAAATCTCCACTTGCAAATTCCGCAAAAAGAGTGTTTCAAATCTGCTCTGTCTAAAGGGACGTTCCACTCTGTGAGTTGAATGCACAAAACACAAAGAATTTACTGAGAATTCTTCCGTCTAGCATTCAATGAAGAAATCCCGTTTCCAAAGAAGGCCTCAAACAGGTCCATATATCCACTTGCAGACATTACAAACAGTGTGTTTCCAAACTCCTCTATGAAAAGAAAGGTTAAACTCTGTGAGTTGAACGCACACATCACAAAGCACTTTCTGAGAATGATTCTGTCTGGTTATTATACGAAGATATTTCCTTTTCTGCAATTGTCCTCAAATCGCTTGAAATCTCCACCTGAAAATGCCACAGCAAGAGTGTTTCAAATCTGCTCTCTCTAAAGCAAGGTTCAACTCTGTGAGTTGAATACACACAACACAAAAAAGTTACTGAGAACTCTTCTTAGTCTAGCATGAAAGGAAGAAACCCCGTTTGCAACGAAGGCCTCAAAGAGGTCCAAATATCCACTTGCAGACATAACAAGCAGAGTGTTTCTAAACTGCTCTAAGAAAAGAAAGGTTAAACTCTGTGAGTTGAAGGCACACATCACAAAGTAGTTTTTGAGAATGATTTCTGTCTAGTTTTTATTTGAAGATATTTCCTTTTCTACTGTTGGCATCAAATCGCTTGAAATCTCCACTTGCAAACTCCACAAAAAGAGTGTTTCAAATCTGCTCTGTGTAAAGGGACGTTCCACTCTGTGAGTTGAATACACACAGCACAAAGAAGTTACTGAGAATTCTTCTGTCTAGCATGAAATGAAGAAATCCCGTTTCCAACGAAGGCCTCAATGCGGTCCATATATCCACTTGCAGACTTTACAAACAGAGTGTTTCCAAACTGCTCTATGAAAAGAAAGGTTAAACTATGTGAGTTGAACGCACACATCACAAAGAATTTTCTGAGAATGATTCTGTCTGGTTTTTATTTGAAGATATTTCCCTTTCTACTGTTGGCATCAAATGGCTAGAAATCTCCACTTGCAAATTCCGCAAAAAGAGTGTTTCAAATCTGCTCTGTCTAAAGGGACGTTCCACTCTGTGAGTTGAATGCACACCACACAAAGAATTTACTGAGAATTCTTCCGTCTAGCATTCAATGAAGAAATCCCGTTTCCAACGATGGCCTCAAACAGGTCCATATATCGAAGTGCAGACTTTACAAACAGTGTGTTTCCAAACTCCTCTATGAAAAGAAAGGTTAAACTCTGTGAGTTGAAAGCACACATCACAAAGTAGTTTCTGAGAATGATTCTTTCTGGTTATTATACGAAGATATTTCCTTTTCTGCAATTGTCCTCAAATCGCTTTAAATCTCCACCTGAAAATGCCACAGCAAGAGTGTTTCAAATCTGCTCTCTCTAAAGCAAGGTTCAACTCTGTGAGTTGAATACACACAACACAAAAAAGTTACTGAGAACTCTTCTTAGTCTAGCATTAAAGGAAGAAACCCCTGTTTGCAACGAAGGCCTCAAAGAGGTCCAAATATCCACTTGCAGACATAACAAGCAGAGTGTTTCTAAACTGCTCTAAGAAAAGAAAGGTTAAACTCTGTGAGTTGAAGGCACACATCACAAAGTAGTTTCTGAGAATGATTCTGTCTAGTTTTTATTTGAAGATATTTCCTTTTCTACTGTTGGCATCAAATCGCTTGAAATCTCCACTTGCAAATTCCACAAAAAGAGTGTTTCAAATCTTCTCTGTGTAAAGGAACGTTCCACTCTGTGAGTTGAATACACACAGCACAAAGAAGTTACTGAGAATTCTTCTGTCTAGCATGAAATGAAGAAATCCCGTTTCCAACGAAGGCCTCAATGCGGTCCATATATCCACTTGCAGACTTTACAAACAGAGTGTTTCCAAACTGCTCTATGAAAAGAAAGGTAAAACTATGTGAGTTGAACGCACACATCACAAAGAATTTTCTGAGAATGATTCTGTCTGGTTTTTATTTGAAGATATTTCCCTTTCTACTGTTGGCATCAAATGGCTAGAAATCACCACTTGCAAATTCCGCAAAAAGAGTGTTTCAAATCTGCTCTGTCTAAAGGGACGTTCCACTCTGTGAGTTGAATGCACACAACACAAAGAATTTACTGAGAATTCTTCCGTCTAGCATTCAATGAAGAAATCCCGTTTCCAACGGAGGCCTCAAACAGGTCCATATATCCAATTGCAGACTTTACAAACAGTGTGTTTCCAAACTCCTCTATGAAAAGAAAGGTTAAACTCTGTGAGTTGAACGCACACATCACAAAGCACTTTCTGAGAATGATTCTGTCTGGTTATTATACGAAGATATTTCCTTTTCTGCAATTGTCCTCAAATCGCTTGAAATCTCCACCTGAAAATGCCACAGCAAGAGTGTTTCAAATCTGCTCTCTCTAAAGCAAGGTTCAACTCTGTGAGTTGAATACACACAACACAAAAAAGTTACTGAGAACTCTTCTTAGTCTAGCATGAAAGGAAGAAACCCCGTTTGCAACGAAGGCCTCAAAGAGGTCCAAATATCCACTTGCAGACATAACAAGCAGAGTGTTTCTAAACTGCTCTAAGAAAAGAAAGGTTAAACTCTGTGAGTTGAAGGCACACATCACAAAGTAGTTTCTGAGAATGATTCTGTCTAGTTTTTATTTGAAGATATTTCCTTTTCTACTGTTGGCATCAAATCGCTTGAAATCTCCACTTGCAAACTCCACAAAAAGAGTGTTTCAAATCTGCTCTGTGCAAAGGGACGTTCCACTCTGTGAGTTGAATACACACAGCACAAAGAAGTTACTGAGAATTCTTCTGTCTAGCATGAAATGAAGAAATCCCGTTTCCAACGAAGGCCTCAATGCGGTCCATATATCCACTTGCAGACTTTACAAACAGAGTGTTTCCAAACTGCTCTATGAAAAGAAAGGTTAAACTATGTGAGTTGAACGCACACATCACAAAGAATTTTCTGAGAATGATTCTGTCTGGTTTTTATTTGAAGATGTTTCCCTTTCTACTGTTGGCATCAAATGGCTAGAAATCTCCACTTGCAAATTCCGCAAAAAGAGTGTTTCAAATCTGCTCTGTCTAAAGGGACGTTCCACTCTGTCAGTTGAATGCACACAACACAAAGAATTTACTGAGAATTCTTCCGTCTAGCATTCAATGAAGAAATCCCGTTTCCAACGAAGGCCTCAAACAGGTCCATATATCCAATTGCAGACTTTACAAACAGTGTGTTTCCAAACTCCTCTATGAAAAGAAAGGTTAAACTCTGTGAGTTGAACGCACACATCACAAAGCACTTTCTGAGAATGATTCTGTCTGGTTTTTATTTGAAGATATTTCCCTTTCTACTGTTGGCATCAAATGGCTAGAAATCTCCACTTGCAAATTCCGCAAAAAGAGTGTTTCAAATCTGCTCTGTCTAAAGGGACGTTCCACTCTGTGAGTTGAATGCACACAACACAAAGAATTTACTGAGAATTCTTCCGTCTAGCATTCAATGAAGAAATCCCGTTTCCAACGAAGGCCTCAAACAGGTCCATATATCCAATTGCAGACTTTACAAACAGTGTGTTTCCAAACTCCTCTATGAAAAGAAAGGTTAAACTCTGTGAGTTGAACGCACACATCACAAAGCACTTTCTGAGAATGATTCTGTCTGGTTATTATACGAAGATATTTCCTTTTCTGCAATTGTCCTCAAATCGCTTGAAATCTCCACCTGAAAATGCCACAGCAAGAGTGTTTCAAATCTGCTCTCTCTAAAGCAAGGTTCAACTCTGTGATTTGAATACACACAACACAAAAAAGTTACTGAGAACTCTTCTTAGTCTAGCATGAAAGGAAGAAACCCCGTTTGCAACGAAGGCCTCAAAGAGGTCCAAATATCCACTTGCAGACATAACAAGCAGAGTGTTTCTAAACTGCTCTAAGAAAAGAAAGGTT
Organism: Homo sapiens; assembly: GCF_000001405.40. NCBI lineage: Eukaryota > Metazoa > Chordata > Mammalia > Primates > Hominidae > Homo > Homo sapiens. Next base: position 60,125,232 of record NC_000007.14, on the reverse strand, counting down.
AAACTCTGTGAGTTGAAGGCACACATCACAAAGTAGTTTCTGAGAATGATTCTGTCTAGTTTTTATTTGAAGATATTTCCTTTTCTACTGTTGGCATCAAATCGCTTGAAATCTCCACTTGCAAACTCCACAAAAAGAGTGTTTCAAATCTGCTCTGTGTAAAGGGACGTTCCACTCTGTGAGTTGAATACACACAGCACAAAGAAGTTACTGAGAATTCTTCTGTCTAGCATGAAATGAAGAAATCCCGTTTCCAACGAAGGCCTCAATGCGGTCCATATATCCACTTGCAGACTTTACAAACAGAGTGTTTCCAAACTGCTCTATGAAAAGAAAGGTTAAACTATGTGAGTTGAACGCACACATCACAAAGAATTTTCTGAGAATGATTCTGTCTGGTTTTTATTTGAAGATATTTCCCTTTCTACTGTTGGCATCAAATGGCTAGAAATCTCCACTTGCCAATTCCGCAAAAAGAGTGTTTCAAATCTGCTCTGTCTAAAGGGACGTTCCACTCTGTGAGTTGAATGCACACAACACAAAGAATTTACTGAGAATTCTTCCGTCTAGCATTCAATGAAGAAATCCCGTTTCCAACGAAGGCCTCAAACAGGTCCATATATCCAATTGCAGACTTTACAAACAGTGTGTTTCCAAACTCCTCTATGAAAAGAAAGGTTAAACTCTGTGAGTTGAACGCACACATCAAAAAGCACTTTCTGAGAATGATTCTGTCTGGTTATTATACGAAGATATTTCCTTTTCTGCAATTGTCCTCAAATCGCTTGAAATCTCCACCTGAAAATGCCACAGCAAGAGTGTTTCAAATCTGTTCTCTCTAAAGCAAGGTTCAACTCTGTGAGTTGAATACACACAACACAAAAAAGTTACTGAGAACTCTTCTTAGTCTAGCATGAAAGGAAGAAACCCCGTTTGCAACGAAGGCCTCAAAGAGGTCCAAATATCCACTTGCAGACATAACAAGCAGAGTGTTTCTAAACTGCTCTAAGAAAAGAAAGGTTAAACTCTGTGAGTTGAAGGCACACATCACAAAGTAGTTTCTGAGAATGATTCTGTCTAGTTTTTATTTGAAGATATTTCCTTTTCTACTGTTGGCATCAAATCGCTTGAAATCTCCACTTGCAAATTCCACAAAAAGAGTGTTTCAAATCTGCTCTGTGCAAAGGGACGTTCCACTCTGTGAGTTGAATACACACAGCACAAAGAAGTTACTGAGAATTCTTCTGTCTAGCATGAAATGAAGAAATCCCGTTTCCAACGAAGGCCTCAATGCGGTCCATATATCCACTTGCAGACTTTACAAACAGAGTGTTTCCAAACTGCTCTATGAAAAGAAAGGTTAAATTATGTGAGTTGAACGCACACATCACAAAGAATTTTCTGAGAATGATTCTGTCTGGTTTTTATTTGAAGATATTTCCCTTTCTACTGTTGGCATCAAATTGCTAGAAATCTCCACTTGCAAATTCCGCAAAAAGAGTGTTTCAAATCTGCTCTGTCTAAAGGGACGTTCCACTCTGTGAGTTGAATGCACACAACACAAAGAATTTACTGAGAATTCTTCCGTCTAGCATTCAATGAAGAAATCCCGTTTCCAACGAAGGCCTCAAAGAGGTCCATATATCCACTTGCAGACTTTACAAACAGTGTGTTTCCAAACTCCTCTATGAAAAGAAAGGTTAAACTCTGTGAGTGGAACGCACACATCACAAAGCACTTTCTGAGAATGATTCTGTCTGGTTATTATACGAAGATATTTCCTTTTCTGCAATTGTCCTCAAATCGCTTGAAATCTCCACCTGAAAATGCCACAGCAAGAGTGTTTCAAATCTGCTCTCTCTAAAGCAAGGTTCAACTCTGTGAGTTGAATACACACAACACAAAAAAGTTACTGAGAACTCTTCTTAGTCTAGCATTAAAGGAAGAAACCCCGTTTGCAACGAAGGCCTCAAAGAGGTCCAAATATCCACTTGCAGACATAACAAGCAGAGTGTTTCTAAACTGCTCTAAGAAAAGAAAGGTTAAACTCTGTGAGTTGAAGGCACACATCACAAAGTAGTTTCTGAGAATGATTCTGTCTAGTTTTTATTTGAAGATATTTCCTTTTCTACTGTTGGCATCAAATCGCTTGAAATCTCCACTTGCAAACTCCACAAAAAGAGTGTTTCAAATCTGCTCTGTGTAAAGGGACGTTCCACACTGTGAGTTGAATACACACAGCACAAAGAAGTTACTGAGAATTCTTCTGTCTAGCATGAAATGAAGAAATCCCGTTTCCAATGAAGGCCTCAAAGCAGTCCATATATCCACTTGCAGACTTTACAAACAGAGTGTTTCCAAACTGCTCTATGAAAAGAAAGGCTAAATTCTGTGAGTTGAACGCACACATCACAAAGAATTTTCTGAGAATGATTCTGTCTAGTTTTTATTTGAAGATATTTCCCTTTCTACTGTTGGCATCAAAAGGCTTGAAATCTCCATTTCAAATTTCCAGAAAAAGAGTGTTTCAAATCTGCTCTGTCTAAAGGGAGGTTCCACTCTGTGAGTTGAATGCACACAACACAAAGAAGTTACTGAGAATTCTTCTGTCTAGCATGAAATGAAGAAATCACGTTTCCAACGAAGGCCTCAAACAGGTCCAAATATCCACTTGCAGACTTTACAAACAGTGTGTTTCCAAACTGCTCTATGAGAAGAAATGCTATACTCTGTGAGTTGAACGCACACATCACAAACACTTTCTGAGAATGATCCTGTCTGGTTTGTATACGAAGATATTTCCTTTTCTGCAATTGTCCTCAAATCGCTTGAATTCTCCAACTGAAAATTCCACAGCAAGAGTGTTTCAAATCTCCTCTCTCTAAACAAAGTTCAACACTGTGAGTTGAATACACACAACACAAAAAGTTACTGAGAACTCTCCTTAGTCTAGCATTAAATGAAGAAATCCCATTTGCAACGAAGGCCTCAAAGACGTCCTAATATCCACTTGCAGACATTACAAGCAGAGTGTTTCTAAACTGCTCTAAGAAAAGAAAGGTTAAACTCTGTGAGTTGAAGGCACACATCTCAAAGTAATTTCTGAGAATGATTCTGTTTAGTTTTTATTTGAAGATGTTTCCTTTTCTACTGCTGACATCAAATCGCTTGAAATCTCCGCATGCAAATTCCACAAAAAGAGTGTTTCAAATCTGCTCTGTCTAAAGGGACTTTCCACTCTGTGAGTTGAATACACACAACACAAAGAAGTTACTGAGAATTCTTCTGTCTAGCATGAAATGAAGAAATCCCGTTTCCAACGAAGGCCTCAAAGTTGTCCCGATATCCACTTGCAGACTTTACAAACGGAGTGTCTCCAAATTGCTCTATGAAAAGAAAGGTTAAACTATGTGAGTTGAACGCACACATCACAAAGAATTTTCTGAGAATGATTCTGTCTAGTTTTTATTTGAAGATATTTCCTTTTCTACTGTTGGCATCAAATCGCTTGAAATCTCCACTTGCAAATTCCACAAAAAGAGTGTTTCAAATCTGCTCTGTCTAAAGGGAGGTTCCACTCTGTGAGTTGAATGCACACAACACAAAGAATTTAGGGAGAATTCTTCCGTCTAGCATTATATGAAAAAATCCCGTTTCCAACGAAGGCGTCAAACAGGTCCAAATATCCACTTGCAGACTTTACAAACAGTGTGATTCCAAACTGCTCTATGAGAAGAAAGGCTAAACTCTGTGAGTTGAATGCACACATCACAAAGCACTTTCTGAGAATGATTCTGTCTGGTTTTTATACGAAGATGTTTCCTTTTCTGCAATTGTCCTCAAATCGCTTGAAATCTCCAACTGAAAATTCCACAGCAAGAGTGTTTCAAATCTCCTCTCTCTAAAGCAAGGTTCAACACTGTGAGTTGAATACACACAACACAAAAAAGTTACTGAGAACTCTCCTTAGTCTAGCATTAAATGAAGAAATCCCGTTTGCAATGAAGGCCTCAAAGAGGTCCAAATATCCACTTGCAGACATTACAAGCAGAGTGTTTCTAAACTGCTCTAAGAAAAGAATGGTTAAACTCTGTGAGTTGAAGGCACACATCATAAAGTAGTTTCTGAGAATGATTCTGTCTAGTTTTTATTTGAAGATATTTCCTTTTCTACTGTTGGCATCAAATCGCTTGAAATCTCCACTTGCAAATTCCACAAAAAGAGTGTTTCAAATCTGCTCTGTCTAAAGGGACGTTCCACTCTGTGAGTTGAATGCACACAACACAAAGAATTTACTGAGAATTCTTCTGTCTAGCATGAAATGAAGAAATCCCGTTTCCAACGAAGGCCTCAATGCGGTCCATATATCCACTTGCAGACTTTACAAACAGAGTGTTTCCAAACTGCTCTATGAAAAGAAAGGTTAAACTATGTGAGTTGAACGCACACATCACAAAGAATTTTCTGAGAATGATTCTGTCTGGTTTTTATTTGAAGATATTTCCCTTTCTACTGTTGGCATCAAATGGCTAGAAATCTCCACTTGCAAATTCCGCAAAAAGAGTGTTTCAAATCTGCTCTGTCTAAAGGGACGTTCCACTCTGTGAGTTGAATGCACACAACACAAAGAATTTACTGAGAATTCTTCCGTCTAGCATTCAATGAAGAAATCCCGTTTCCAACGAAGGGCCTCAAAGAGGTCCATATATCCACTTGCAGACTTTACAAACAGTGTGTTTCCAAACTCCTCTATGAAAAGAAAGGTTAAACTCTGTGAGTGGAATGCACACATCACAAAGCACTTTCTGAGAATGATTCTGTCTGGTTGTTATACGAAGATATTTCCTTTTCTGCAATTGTCCTCAAATCGCTTGAAATCTCCACCTGAAAATGCCACAGCAAGAGTGTTTCAAATCTGCTCTCTCTAAAGCAAGGTTCAGCTCTGTGAGTTGAATACACACAACACAAAAAAGTTACTGAGAACTCTTCTTAGTCTAGCATGAAAGGAAGAAACCCCGTTTGCAACGAAGGCCTCAAAGAGGTCCAAATATCCACTTGCAGACATAACAAGCAGAGTGTTTCTAAACTGCTCTAAGAAAAGAAAGGTTAAACTCTGTGAGTTGAAGGCACACATCACAAAGTAGTTTCTGAGAATGATTCTGTCTAGTTTTTATTTGAAGATATTTCCTTTTCTACTGTTGGCATCAAATCTCTTGAAATCTCCACTTGCAAACTCCACAAAAAGAGTGTTTCAAATCTGCTCTGTGTAAAGGGACGTTCCACTCTGTGAGTTGAATACACACAGCACAAAGAAGTTACTGAGAATTCTTCTGTCTAGCATGAAATGAAGAAATCCCGTTTCCAACGAAGGCCTCAATGCGGTCCATATATCCACTTGCAGACTTTACAAACAGAGTGTTTCCAAACTGCTCTATGAAAAGAAAGGTTAAACTATGTGAGTTGAACGCACACATCACAAAGAATTTTCTGAGAATGATTCTGTCTGGTTTTTATTTGAAGATATTTCCCTTTCTACTGTTGGCATCAAACGGCTAGAAATCTCCACTTGCAAATTCCGCAAAAAGAGTGTTTCAAATCTGCTCTGTCTAAAGGGACGTTCCACTCTGTGAGTTGAATGCACACAACACAAAGAATTTACTGAGAATTCTTCCGTCTAGCATTCAATGAAGAAATCCCGTTTCCAACGAAGGCCTCAAACAGGTCCATATATCCAATTGCAGACTTTACAAACAGTGTGTTTCCAAACTCCTCTATGAAAAGAAAGGTTAAACTCTGTGAGTTGAACGCACACATCACAAAACACTTTCTGAGAATGATTCTGTCTGGTTATTATACGAAGATATTTCCTTTTCTGCAATTGTCCTCAAATCGCTTGAAATCTCCACCTGAAAATGCCACAGCAAGAGTGTTTCAAATCTGCTCTCTCTAAAGCAAGGTTCAACTCTGTGAGTTGAATACACACAACACAAAAAAGTTACTGAGAACTCTTCTTAGTCTAGCATGAAAGGAAGAAATCCCGTTTGCAACGAAGGCCTCAAAGAGGTCCAAATATCCACTTGCAGACATAACAAGCAGAGTGTTTCTAAACTGCTCTAAGAAAAGAAAGGTTAAACTCTGTGAGTTGAAGGCACACATCACAAAGTAGTTTCTGAGAATGATTCTGTCTAGTTTTTATTTGAAGATATTTCCTTTTCTACTGTTGGCATCAAATCGCTTGAAATCTCCACTTGCAAACTCCACAAAAAGAGTGTTTCAAATCTGCTCTGTGTAAAGGGACGTTCCACTCTTGTGAGTTGAATACACACAGCACAAAGAAGTTACTGAGAATTCTTCTGTCTAGCATGAAATGAAGAAATCCCGTTTCCAACGAAGGCCTCAATGCGGTCCATATATCCACTTGCAGACTTTACAAACAGAGTGTTTCCAAACTGCTCTATGAAAAGAAAGGTTAAACTATGTGAGTTGAACGCACACATCACAAAGAATTTTCTGAGAATGATTCTGTCTGGTTTTTATTTGAAGATATTTCCCTTTCTACTGTTGGCATCAAATGGCTAGAAATCTCCACTTGCAAATTCCGCAAAAAGGGTGTTTCAAATCTGCTCTGTCTAAAGGGACGTTCCACTCTGTCAGTTGAATGCACACAACACAAAGAATTTACTGAGAATTCTTCCGTCTAGCATTCAATGAAGAAATCCCGTTTCCAACGAAGGCCTCAAACAGGTCCATATATCCACTTGCAGACTTTACAAACAGTGTGTTTCCAAACTCCTCTATGAAAAGAAAGGTTAAACTCTGTGAGTGGAACGCACACATCACAAAGCACTTTCTGAGAATGATTCTGTCTGGTTATTATACGAAGTAGTTCCTTTTCTGCAATTGTCCTCAAATCGCTTGAAATCTCCACCTGAAAATGCCACAGCAAGAGTGTTTCAAATCTGCTCTCTCTAAAGCAAGGTTCAACTCTGTGAGTTGAATACACACAACACAAAAAAGTTACTGAGAACTCTTCTTAGTCTAGCATGAAAGGAAGAAACCCCGTTTGCAACGAAGGCCTCAAAGAGGTCCAAATATCCACTTGCAGACATAACAAGCAGAGTGTTTCTAAACTGCTCTAAGAAAAGAAAGGTTAAACTCTGTGAGTTGAAGGCACACATCACAAAGTAGTTTCTGAGAATGATTCTGTCTAGTTTTTATTTGAAGATATTTCCTTTTCTACTGTTGGCATCAAATCGCTTGAAATCTCCACTTGCAAATTCCACAAAAAGAGTGTTTCAAATCTGCTCTGTGCAAAGGGACGTTGACTCTGTGAGTTGAATACACACAGCACAAAGAAGTTACTGAGAATTCTTCTGTCTAGCATGAAATGAAGAAATCCCGTTTCCAACGAAGGCCTCAATGCGGTCCATATATCCACTTGCAGACTTTACAAACAGAGTGTTTCCAAACTGCTCTATGAAAAGAAAGGTTAAACTATGTGAGTTGAACGCACACATCACAAAGAATTTTCTGAGAATGATTCTGTCTAGTTTTTATTTGAAGATATTTCCCTTTGTACTGTTGGCAACAAATGGCTAGAAATCTCCACCTGCAACTTCCGCAAAAAGAGTGTTTCAAATCTGCTCTGTCTAAAGGGACGTTCCACTCTGTGAGTTGAATGCACACAACACAAAAAAGTTACTGAGAACTCTTCTTAGTCTAGCATGAAAGGAAGAAACCCCGTTTGCAACGAAGGCCTCAAAGAGGTCCAAATATCCACTTGCAGACATAACAAGCAGAGTGTTTCTAAACTGCTCTAAGAAAAGAAAGGTTAAACTCTGTGAGTTGAAGGCACACATCACAAAGTAGTTTCTGAGAATGATTCTGTCTAGTTTTTATTTGAAGATATTTCCTTTTCTACTGTTGGCATCAAATCGCTTGAAATCTCCACTTGCAAATTCCACAAAAAGAGTGTATCAAATATGCTCTGTTGAAAGGGACGTTCCACTCTGTGAGCTGAATACACACAGCACAAAGAAGTTACTGAGAATTCTTCTGTCTAGCATGAAATGAAGAAATCCCGTTTCCAACGAAGGCCTCAATGCGGTCCATATATCCACTTGCAGACTTTATAAACAGAGTGTTTCCAAACTGCTCTATGAAAAGAAAGGTTAAACTATGTGATTTGAACGCACACATCACAAAGAATTTTCTGAGAATGATTCTGTCTGGTTTTTATTTGAAGATATTTCCCTTTCTACTGTTGGCATCAAATGGCTAGAAATCTCCACTTGCAAATTCCGCAAAAAGAGTGTTTCAAATCTGCTCTGTCTAAAGGGACGTTCCACTCTGTGAGTTGAATGCACACAACACAAAGAATTTACTGAGAATTCTTCCGTCTAGCATTCAATGAAGAAATCCCGTTTCCAACGAAGGCCTCAAACAGGTGCATATATCCAATTGCAGACTTTACAAACAGTGTGTTTCCAAACTCCTCTATGAAAAGAAAGGTTAAACTCTGTGAGTTGAACGCACACATCACAAAGCACTTTCTGAGAATGATTCTGTCTGGTTGTTATACGAAGATATTTCCTTTTCTGCAATTGTCCTCAAATCGCTTGAAATCTCCACCTGAAAATGCCACAGCAAGAGTGTTTCAAATCTGCTCTCTCTAAAGCAAGGTTCAACTCTGTGAGTTGAATACACACAACACAAAAAAGTTACTGAGAACTCTTCTTAGTCTAGCATTAAAGGAAGAAACCCCGTTTGCAACGAAGGCCTCAAAGAGGTCCAAATATCCACTTGCAGACATAACAAGCAGAGTGTTTCTAAACTGCTCTAAGAAAAGAAAGGTTAAACTCTGTGAGTTAAAGGCACACATCACAAAGTAGTTTCTGAGAATGATTCTGTCTAGTTTTTATTTGAAGATATTTCCTTTTCTACTGTTGGCATCAAATCGCTTGAAATCTCCACTTGCAAACTCCACAAAAAGAGTGTTTCAAATCTTCTCTGTGTAAAGGGACGTTCCACTCTGTGAGTTGAATACACACAGCACAAAGAAGTTACTGAGAATTCTTCTGTCTAGCATGAAATGAAGAAATCCCGTTTCCAACGAAGGCCTCAATGCGGTCCATATATCCACTTGCAGACTTTACAAACAGAGTGTTTCCAAACTGCTCTATGAAAAGAAAGGTTAAACTATGTGAGTTGAACGCACACATCACAAAGAATTTTCTGAGAATGATTCTGTCTGGTTTTTATTTGAAGATATTTCCCTTTCTACTGTTGGCATCAAATGGCTAGAAATCTCCACTTGCAAATTCCGCAAAAAGAGTGTTTCAAATCTGCTCTGTCTAAAGGGACGTTCCACTCTGTGAGTTGAATGCACACAACACAAAGAATTTACTGAGAATTCTTCCGTCTAGCATTCAATGAAGAAATCCCGTTTCCAACGAAGGCCTCAAACAGGTCCATATATCCAATTGCAGACTTTACAAACAGTGTGTTTCCAAACTCCTCTATGAAAAGAAAGGTTAAACTCTGTGAGTTGAACGCACACAACACAAAGCACTTTCTGAGAATGATTCTGTCTGGTTGTTATACGAAGATATTTCCTTTTCTGTAATTGTCCTCAAATCGCTTGAAATCTCCACCTGAAAATGCCACAGCAAGAGTGTTTCAAATCTGCTCTCTCTAAAGCAAGGTTCAACTCTGTGAGTTGAATACACACAACACAAAAAAGTTACTGAGAACTCTTCTTAGTCTAGCATGAAAGGAAGAAACCCCGTTTGCAACGAAGGCCTCAAAGAGGTCCAAATATCCACTTGCAGACATAACAAGCAGAGTGTTTCTAAACTGCTCTAAGAAAAGAAAGGTTAAACTCTGTGAGTTGAAGGCACACATCACAAAGTAGTTTCTGAGAATGATTCTGTCTAGTTTTTATTTGAAGATATCTCCTTTTCTACTGTTGGCATCAAATCGCTTGAAATCTCCACTTGCAAATTCCACAAAAAGAGTGTTTCAAATCTGCTCTGTGTAAAGGGACGTTCCCACTCTGTGAGTTGAATACACACAGCACAAAGAAGTTACTGAGAATTCTTCTGTCTAGCATGAAATGAAGAAATCCCGTTTCCAACGAAGGCCTCAATGCGGTCCATATATCCACTTGCAGACTTTACAAACAGAGTGTTTCCAAACTGCTCTATGAAAAGAAAGGTTAAACTATGTGAGTTGAACGCACACATCACAAAGAATTTTCTGAGAATGATTCTGTCTGGTTTTTATTTGAAGATATTTCCCTTTCAACTGTTGGCATCAAATGGCTAGAAATCTCCACTTGCAAATTCCGCAAAAAGAGTGTTTCAAATCTGCTCTGTCTAAAGGGACGGTTCCACTCTGTGAGTTGAATGCACACAACACAAAGAATTTACTGAGAATTCTTCCGTCTAGCAGTCAATGAAGAAATCCCGTTTCCAACGAAGGCCTCAAACAGGTCCATATATCCACTTGCAGACTTTACAAACAGTGTGTTTCCAAACTCCTCTATGAAAAGAAAGGTTAAACTCTGTGAGTTGAACGCACACATCACAAAGCACTTTCTGAGAATGATTCTGTCTGGTTGTTATACGAAGATATTTCCTTTTCTGCAATTGTCCTCAAATCGCTTGAAATCTCCACCTGAAAATGCCACAGCAAGAGTGTTTCAAATCTGCTCTCTCTAAAGCAAGGTTCAACTCTGTGAGTTGAATACACACAACACAAAAAAGTTACTGAGAACTCTTCTTAGTCTAGCATTAAAGGAAGAAACCCCGTTTGCAACGAAGGCCTCAAAGAGGTCCAAATATCCACTTGCAGACATAACAAGCAGAGTGTTTCTAAACTGCTCTAAGAAAAGAAAGGTTAAACTCTGTGAGTTGAAGGCACACATCACAAAGTAGTTTCTGAGAATGATTCTGTCTAGTTGTTATTTGAAGATATTTCATTTTCTACTGTTGGCATCAAATCGCTTGAAATCTCCACTTGCAAACTCCACAAAAAGAGTGTTTCAAATCTGCTCTGTGTAAAGGGACGTTCCACTCTGTGAGTTGAATACACACAGCACAAAGAAGTTACTGAGAATTCTTCTGTCTAGCATGAAATGAAGAAATCCCGTTTCCAACGAAGGCCTCAATGCGGTCCATATATCCACTTGCAGACTTTACAAACAGAGTGTTTCCAAACTGCTCTATGAAAAGAAAGGTTAAACTATGTGAGTTGAACGCACACATCACAAAGAATTTTCTGAGAATGATTCTGTCTGGTTTTTATTTGAAGATATTTCCCTTTCTACTGTTGGCATCAAATGGCTAGAAATCTCCACTTGCAAATTCCGCAAAAAGAGTGTTTCAAATCTGCTCTGTCTAAAGGGACGTTCCACTCTGTGAGTTGAATGCACACCACACAAAGAATTTACTGAGAATTCTTCCGTCTAGCATTCAATGAAGAAATCCCTTTTCCAAAGAAGGCCTCAAACAGGTCCATATATCCAATTGCAGACTTTACAAACAGTGTGTTTCCAAACTCCTCTATGAAAAGAAAGGTTAAACTCTGTGAGTTGAACGCACACATCACAAAGCACTTTCTGAGAATGATTCTGTCTGGTTGTTATACGAAGCTATTTCCTTTTCTGTAATTGTCCTCAAATCGCTTGAAATCTCCACCTGAAAATGCCACAGCAAGAGTGTTTCAAATCTGCTCTCTCTAAAGCAAGGTTCAACTCTGTGAGTTGAATACACACAACACAAAAAAGTTACTGAGAACTCTTCTTAGTCTAGCATTAAAGGAAGAAACCCCGTTTGCAACGAAGGCCTCAAAGAGGTCCAAATATCCACTTGCAGACATAACAAGCAGAGTGTTTCTAAACTGCTCTAAGAAAAGAAAGGTTAAACTCTGTGAGTTGAAGGCACACATCACAAAGTAGTTTCTAAATGATTCTGTCTAGTTTTTATTTGAAGATATTTCCTTTTCTACTGTTGGCATCAAATCGCTTGAAATCTCCACTTGCAAATTCCACAAAGAGTGTTTCAAATCTGCTCTGTGCAAAGGGACGTTCCACTCTGTGAGTTGAATACACACAGCACAAAGAAGTTACTGAGAATTCTTCTGTCTAGCATGAAATGAAGAAATCCCGTTTCCAACGAAGGCCTCAATGCGGTCCATATATCCACTTGCAGACTTTACAAACAGAGTGTTTCCAAACTGCTCTATGAAAAGAAAGGTTAAACTATGTGAGTTGAACGCACACATCACAAAGAATTTTCTGAGAATGATTCTGTCTGGTTTTTATTTGAAGATATTTCCCTTTCTACTGTTGGCATCAAATGGCTAGAAATCTCCACTTGCAAATTCCGCAAAAAGAGTGTTTCAAATCTGCTCTGTCTAAAGGGACGTTCCACTCTGTGAGTTGAATGCACACAACACAAAGAATTTACTGAGAATTCTTCCGTCTAGCATTCAATGAAGAAATCCCGTTTCCAAAGAAGGCCTCAAACAGGTCCATATATCCAATTGCAGACTTTACAAACAGTGTGTTTCCAAACTCCTCTATGAAAAGAAAGGTTAAACTCTGTGAGTTGAACGCACACATCACAAAGCACTTTCTGAGAATGATTCTGTCTGGTTATTATACGAAGATATTTCCTTTTCTGCAATTGTCCTCAAATCGCTTGAAATCTCCACCTGAAAATGCCACAGCAAGAGTGTTTCAAATCTGCTCTCTCTAAAGCAAGGTTCAACTCTGTGAGTTGAATACACACAACACAAAAAAGTTACTGAGAACTCTTCTTAGTCTAGCATGAAAGGAAGAAACCCCGTTTGCAACGAAGGCCTCAAAGAGGTCCAAATATCCACTTGCAGACATAACAAGCAGAGTGTTTCTAAACTGCTCTAAGAAAAGAAAAGGTTAAACTCTGTGAGTTGAAGGCACACATCACAAAGTAGTTTCTGAGAATGATTCTGTCTAGTTTTTATTTGAAGATATTTCCTTTTCTACTGTTGGCATCAAATCGCTTGAAATCTCCACTTGCAAATTCCACAAAAAGAGTGTTTCAAATCTGCTCTGTGTAAAGGAACGTTCCACTCTGTGAGTTGAATACACACAGCACAAAGAAGTTACTGAGAATTCTTCTGTCTAGCATGAAATGAAGAAATCCCGTTTCCAACGAAGGCCTCAATGCGGTCCATATATCCACTTGCAGACTTTACAAACAGAGTGTTTCCAAACTGCTCTATGAAAAGAAAGGTTAAACTATGTGAGTTGAACGCACACATCACAAAGAATTTTCTGAGAATGATTCTGTCTGGTTTTTATTTGAAGATATTTCCCTTTCTACTGTTGGCATCAAATGGCTAGAAATCTCCACTTGCAAATTCCGCAAAAAGAGTGTTTCAATTCTGCTCTGTCTAAAGGGACGTTCCACTTTGTGAGTTGAATGCACACAACACAAAGAATTTACTGAGAATTCTTCCGTCTAGCATGCAATGAAGAAATCCCGTTTCCAACGAAGGCCTCAAACAGGTCCATATATCCAATTGCAGACTTTACAAACAGTGTGTTTCCAAACTCCTCTATGAAAAGAAAGGTTAAACTCTGTGAGTTGAACGCACACATCACAAAGCACTTTCTGAGAATGATTCTGTCTGGTTATTATACGAAGATATTTCCTTTTCTGCAATTGTCCTCAAATCGCTTGAAATCTCCACCTGAAAATGCCACAGCAAGAGTGTTTCAAATCTGCTCTCTCTAAAGCAAGGTTCAACTCTGTGAGTTGAATACACACAACACAAAAAAGTTACTGAGAACTCTTCTTAGTCTAGCATGAAAGGAAGAAACCCCGTTTGCAACGAAGGCCTCAAAGAGGTCCAAATATCCACTTGCAGACATAACAAGCAGAGTGTTTCTAAACTGCTCTAAGAAAAGAAAGGTTAAACTCTGTGAGTTGAAGGCACACATCACAAAGTAGTTTCTGAGAATGATTCTGTCTAGTTTTTATTTGAAGATATTTCCTTTTCTACTGTTGGCATCAAATCGCTTGAAATCTCCACTTGCAAACTCCACAAAAAGAGTGTTTCAAATCTGCTCTCTGTAAAGGGACGTTCCACTCTGTGAGTTGAATACACACAGCACAAAGAAGTTACTGAGTATTCTTCTGTCTAGCATGAAATGAAGAAATCCCGTTTCCAACGAAGGCCTCAATGCGGTCCATATATCCACTTGCAGACTTTACAAACAGAGTGTTTCCAAACTGCTCTATGAAAAGAAAGGTTAAACTATGTGAGTTGAACGCACACATCACAAAGAATTTTCTGAGAATGATTCTGTCTGGTTTTTATTTGAAGATGTTTCCCTTTCTACTGTTGGCATCAAATGGCTAGAAATCTCCACTTGCAAATTCCGCAAAAAGAGTGTTTCAAATCTGCTCTGTCTAAAGGGACGTTCCACTCTGTCAGTTGAATGCACACAACACAAAGAATTTACTGAGAATTCTTCCGTCTAGCATTCAATGAAGAAATCCCGTTTCCAACGAAGGCCTCAAACAGGTCCATATATCCACTTGCAGACTTTACAAACAGTGTGTTTCCAAACTCCTCTATGGAAAGAAAGGTTAAACTCTGTGAGTTGAACGCACACATCACAAAGCACTTTCTGAGAATGATTCTGTCTGGTTATTATACGAAGATATTTCCTTTTCTGCAATTGTCCTCAAATCGCTTGAAATCTCCACCTGAAAATGCCACAGCAAGAGTGTTTCAAATCTGCTCTCTCTAAAGCAAGGTTCAACTCTGTGAGTTGAATACACACAACACAAAAAAGTTACTGAGAACTCTTCTTAGTCTAGCATTAAAGGAAGAAACCCCGTTTGCAACGAAGGCCTCAAAGAGGTCCAAATATCAACTTGCAGACATAACAAGCAGAGTGTTTCTAAGCTGCTCTAAGAAAAGAAAGGTTAAACTCTGTGAGTTGAAGGAACACATCACAAAGTAGTTTCTGAGAATGATTCTGTCTAGTTTTTATTTGAAGATACTTCCTTTTCTACTGTTGGCATCAAATCGCTTGAAATCTCCACTTGCAAACTCCACAAAAAGAGTGTTTCAAATCTGCTCTGTGCAAAGGGACGTTCCACTCTGTGAGTTGAATACACACAGCACAAAGAAGTTACTGAGAATTCTTCTGTCTAGCATGAAATGAAGAAATCCCGTTTCCAACGAAGGCCTCAATGCGGTCCATATATCCACTTGCAGACTTTACAAACAGAGTGTTTCCAAACTGCTCTATGAAAAGAAAGGTTAAACTATGTGAGTTGAACGCACATATCACAAAGAATTTTCTGAGAATGATTCTGTCTGGTTTTTATTTGAAGATATTTCCCTTTCTACTGTTGGCATCAAATGGCTAGAAATCTCCACTTGCAAATTCCGCAAAAAGAGTGTTTCAAATCTGCTCTGTCTAAAGGGACGTTCCACTCTGTGAGTTGAATGCACACAACACAAAGAATTTACTGAGAATCCTTCCGTCTAGCATTCAATGAAGAAATCCCGTTTCCAACGAAGGCCTCAAACAGGTCCATATATCCAATTGCAGACTTTACAAACAGTGTGTTTCCAAACTCCTCTATGAAAAGAAAGGTTAAACTCTGTGAGTTGAACGCACACCTCACAAAGCACTTTCTGAGAATGATTCTGTCTGGTTATTATACGAAGATATTTCCTTTTCTGCAATTGTCCTCAAATCGCTTGAAATCTCCACCTGAAAATTCCACAGCGAGAGTGTTTCAAATCTGCTCTCTCTAAAGCAAGGTTCAACTCTGTGAGTTGAATACACACAACACAGAAAAGTTACTGAGAACTCTTCTTAGTCTAGCATGAAAGGAAGAAACCCCGTTTGCAACGAAGGCCTCAAAGAGGTCCAAATATCCACTTGCAGACATAACAAGCAGAGTGTTTCTAAACTGCTCTAAGAAAAGAAAGGTTAAACTCTGTGAGTTGAAGGCACACATCACAAAGTAGTTTCTGAGAATGATTCTGTCTAGTTTTTATTTGAAGATATTTCCTTTCCAACTTTTGGCATCAAATCGCTTGAATTCTCCACTTTTAAATTCCACAAAAAGAGTGTTTCAAAACTGCTCTGTGTAATGGGACATTCCAATCTGTCAGTTGAATACACACAACACAAAGAAGTTACTGAGAATTCTTCTGTCTAGCATGAAATTAAGAAATTCCGTTTCCAACGAAGTCCTCAAAGCGGTCCATATATCCACTTGCAGACATTACCAACAGAGTGTTTCCAAACTGTCTATGAAAAGAAAGGTTAAACTATGTGAGTTGAACGTACACATCACAAAGAATTTTCTGAGGATGATTCTGTCTAGTTTTTATTTGAAGATATTTCCCTTTCTACCGTTGGCATCAAATGGCTAGAAATCTCCAATTGCAAATTCCGCAAAAAGAGTGTTTCAAATCTGCTCTGTCTAAAGGGACGTTCCACTCTGTGAGTTGAATGCACACAACACAAAGAATTTACTGAGAATTCTTCCGTCTAGCATTCAATGAAGAAATCCCGTTTCCAACGAAGGCCTCAAACAGGTCCATATATCCACTTGCAGACTTTACAAACAGTGTGTTTCCAAACTCCTCTATGAAAAGAAAGGTTAAACTCTGTGAGTTGAACGCACACATCACAAAGCACTTTCTGAGAATGATTCTGTCTGGTTATTATACGAAGATATTTCCTTTTCTGCAATTGTCCTCAAAACGCTTGAAATCTCCACCTGAAAATGCCACAGCAAGAGTGTTTCAAATCTGCTCTCTCTAAAGCAAGGTTCAACTCTGTGAGTTGAATACACACAACACAAAAAAGTTACTGAGAACTCTTCTTAGTCTAGCATGAAAGGAAGAAACCCCGTTTGCAACGAAGGCCTCAAAGAGGTCCAAATATCCACTTGCAGACATAACAAGCAGAGTGTTTCTAAACTGCTCTAAGAAAAGAAAGGTTAAACTCTGTGAGTTGAAGGCACACATCACAAAGTAGTTTCTGAGAATGATTCTGTCTAGTTTTTATTTGAAGATATTTCCTTTTCTACTGTTGGCATCAAATCGCTTGAAATCTCCACTTGCAAACTCCACAAAAAGAGTGTTTCAAATCTGCTCTGTGCAAAGGGACGTTCCACTCTGTGAGTTGAATACACACAGCACAAAGAAGTTACTGAGAATTCTTCTGTCTAGCATGAAATGAAGAAATCCCGTTTCCAACGAAGGCCTCAATGCGGTCCATATATCCACTTGCAGACTTTACAAACAGAGTGTTTCCAAACTGCTCTATGAAAAGAAAGGTTAAACTATGTGAGTTGAACGCACACATCACAAAGAATTTTCTGAGAATGATTCTGTCTGGTTTTTATTTGAAGATATTTCCCTTTCTACTGTTGGCATCAAATGGCTAGAAATCTCCACTTGCAAATTCCGCAAAAAGAGTGTTTCAAATCTGCTCTGTCTAAAGGGACGTTCCACTCTGTGAGTTGAATGCACACAACACAAAGAATTTACTGAGATTTCTTCCGTCTAGCATTCAATGAAGAAATCCCGTTTCCAACGGAGGCCTCAAAGAGGTCCATATATCCAATTGCAGACTTTACAAACAGTGTGTTTCCAAACTCCTCTATGAAAAGAAAGGATAAACTCTGTGAGTCGAACGCACACATCACAAAGCACTTTCTGAGAATGATTCTGTCTGGTTATTATACGAAGATATTTCCTTTTCTGCAATTGTCCTCAAATCGCTTGAAATCTCCACCTGAAAATGCCACAGCAAGAGTGTTTCAAATCTGCTCTCTCTAAAGCAAGGTTCAACTCTGTGAGTTGAATACACACAACACAAAAAAGTTACTGAGAACTCTTCTTAGTCTAGCATGAAAGGAAGAAACCCCGTTTGCAACGAAGGCCTCAAAGAGGTCCAAATATCCACTTGCAGACATAACAAGCAGAGTGTTTCTACACTGCTCTAAGAAAAGAAAGGTTAAACTCTGTGAGTTGAAGGCACACATCACAAAGTAGTTTCTGAGAATGATTCTGTCTAGTTTTTATTTGAAGATATTTCCTTTTCTACTGTTGGCATCAAATCGCTTGAAATCTCCACTTGCAAACTCCACAAAAAGAGTGTTTCAAATCTGCTCTGTCTAAAGGGACGTTCCACTCTGTGAGTTGAATGCACACAACACAAAGAATTTACTGAGAATTCTTCCGTCTAGCATTCAATGAAGAAATCCCGTTTCCAACGAAGGCCTCAAACAGGTCCATATATCCACTTGCAGACTTTACAAACAGTGTGTTTCCAAACTCCTCTATGAAAAGAAAGGTTAAACTCTGTGAGTTGAACGCACACATCACAAAGCACTTTCTGAGAATGATTCTGTCTGGTTATTATACGAAGATATTTCCTTTTCTGCAATTGTCCTCAAATCGCTTGAAATCTCCACCTGAAAATGCCACAGCAAGAGTGTTTCAAATCTGCTCTCTCTAAAGCAAGGTTCAACTCTGTGAGTTGAATACACACAACACAAAAAAGTTACTGAGAACTCTTCTTAGTCTAGCATGAAAGGAAGAAACCCCGTTTGCAACGAAGGCCTCAAAGAGGTCCAAATATCCACTTGCAGACATAACAAGCAGAGTGTTTCTAAACTGCTCTAAGAAAAGAAAGGTTAAACTCTGTGAGTTGAAGGCACACATCACAAAGTAGTTTCTGAGAATGATTCTGTCTAGTTTTTATTTGAAGATATTTCCTTTTCTACTGTTGGCATCAAATCGCTTGAAATCTCCACTTGCAAACTCCACAAAAAGAGTGTTTCAAATCTGCTCTGTGCAATGGGACGTTCCACTCTGTGAGTTGAATACACACAGCACAAAGAAGTTACTGAGAATTCTTCTGTCTAGCATGAAATGAAGAAATCCCGTTTCCAACGAAGGCCTCAATGCGGTCCATATATCCACTTGCAGACTTTACAAACAGAGTGTTTCCAAACTGCTCTATGAAAAGAAAGGTTAAACTATGTGAGTTGAACGCACACATCACAAAGAATTTTCTGAGAATGATTCTGTCTGGTTTTTATTTGAAGATATTTCCCTTTCTACTGTTGGCATCAAATGGCTAGAAATCTCCACTTGCAAATTCCGCAAAAAGAGTGTTTCAAATCTGCTCTGTCTAAAGGGACAGTTCCACTCTGTCAGTTGAATGCACACAACACAAAGAATTTACTGAGAATTCTTCCGTCTAGCATGCAATGAAGAAATCCCGTTTCCAACGAAGGCCTCAAACAGGTCCATATATCCAATTGCAGACTTTACAAACAGTGTGTTTCCAAACTCCTCTATGAAAAGAAAGGTTAAACTCTGTGAGTTGAACGCACACATCACAAAGCACTTTCTGAGAATGATTCTGTCTGGTTATTATACGAAGATATTTCCTTTTCTGCAATTGTCCTCAAAACGCTTGAAATCTCCACCTGAAAATGCCACAGCAAGAGTGTTTCAAATCTGCTCTCTCTAAAGCAAGGTTCAACTCTGTGAGTTGAATACACACAACACAAAAAAGTTACTGAGAACTCTTCTTAGTCTAGCATGAAAGGAAGAAACCCCGTTTGCAACGAAGGCCTCAAAGAGGTCCAAATATCCACTTGCAGACATAACAAGCAGAGTGTTTCTAAACTGCTCTAAGAAAAGAAAGGTTAAACTCTGTGAGTTGAAGGCACACATCACAAAGTAGTTTCTGAGAATGATTCTGTCTAGTTTTTATTTGAAGATATTTCCTTTTCTACTGTTGACATCAAATCGTTTGAAATCTTCACTTGCAAACTCCACAAAAAGAGTGTTTCAAATCTGCTCTGTGTAAAGGGACGTTCCACTCTGTGAGTTGAATACACACAGCACAAAGAAGTTGCTGAGAATTCTTCTGTCTAGCATGAAATGAAGAAATCCCGTTTCCAACGAAGGCCTCAATGCGGTCCATATATCCACTTGCAGACTTTACAAACAGAGTGTTTCCAAACTGCTCTATGAAAAGAAAGGTTAAACTATGTGAGTTGAACGCACACATCACAAAGAATTTTCTGAGAATGATTCTGTCTGGTTTTTATTTGAAGATATTTCCCTTTCTACTGTTGGCATCAAATGGCTAGAAATCTCCACTTGCAAATTCCACAAAAAGAGTGTTTCAAATCTGCTCTGTCTAAAGGGACGTTCCACTCTGTGAGTTGAATGCACACAACACAAAGAATTTACTGAGAATTCTTCCGTCTAGCATTCAATGAAGAAATCCCGTTTCCAACGAAGGCCTCAAACAGGTCCATATATCCACTTGCAGACTTTACAAACAGTGTGTTTCCAAACTCCTCTATGAAAAGAAAGGTTAAACTCTGTGAGTTGAACGCACACATCACAAAGCACTTTCTGAGAATGATTCTGTCTGGTTATTATACGAAGATATTACCTTTTCTGCAATTGTCCTCAAATCGCTTGAAATCTCCACCTGAAAATGCCACAGCAAGAGTGTTTCAAATCTGCTCTCTCTAAAGCAAGGTTCACCTCTGTGAGTTGAATACACACAACACAAAAAAGTTACTGAGAACTCTTCTTAGTCTAGCATGAAAGGAAGAAACCCCGTTTGCAACGAAGGCCTCAAAGAGGTCCAAATATCCACTTGCAGACATAACAAGCAGAGTGTTTCTAAACTGCTCTAAGAAAAGAAAGGTTAAACTCTGTGAGTTGAAGGCACACATCACAAAGTAGTTTCTGAGAATGATTCTGTCTAGTTTTTATTTGAAGATATTTCCTTTTCTACTGTTGGCATCTAATCGCTTGAAATCTCCACTTGCAAACTCCACAAAAAGAGTGTTTCAAATCTGCTCTGTGCAAAGGGATGTTCCACTCTGTGAGTTGAATACACACAGCACAAAGAAGTTACTGAGAATTCTTCTGTCTAGCATGAAATGAAGAAATCCCGTTTCCAACGAAGGCCTCAATGCGGTCCATATATCCACTTGCAGACTTTACAAACAGAGTGTTTCCAAACTGCTCTATGAAAAGAAAGGTTAAACTATGTGAGTTGAACGCACACATCACAAAGAATTTTCTGAGAATGATTCTGTCTGGTTTTTATTTGAAGATATTTCCCTTTCTACTGTTGGCATCAAATGGCTAGAAATCTCCACTTGCAAATTCCGCAAAAAGAGTGTTTCAAATCTGCTCTGTCTAAAGGGACGTCCCACTCTGTGAGTTGAATGCACACAACACAAAGAATTTACTGAGAATTCTTCCGTCTAGCATTCAATGAAGAAATCCCGTTTCCAACGAAGGCCTCAAACAGGTCCATATATCCACTTGCAGACTTTACAAACAGTGTGTTTCCAAACTCCTCTATGAAAAGAAAGGTTAAACTCTGTGAGTGGAACGCACACATCACAAAGCACTTTCTGAGAATGATTCTGTCTGGTTGTTATACGAAGATATTTCCTTTTCTGCAATTGTCCTCAAATCGCTTGAAATCTCCACCTGAAAATGCCACAGCAAGAGTGTTTCAAATCTGCTCTCTCTAAAGCAAGGTTCAACTCTGTGAGTTGAATACACACAACACAAAAAAGTTACTGAGAACTCTTCTTAGTCTAGCATGAAAGGAAGAAACCCCGTTTGCAACGAAGGCCTCAAAGAGGTCCAAATATCCACTTGCAGACATAACAAGCAGAGTGTTTCTAAACTGCTCTAAGAAAAGAAAGGTTAAACTCTGTGAGTTGAAGGCACACATCACAAAGTAGTTTCTGAGAATGATTCTGTCTAGTTTTTATTTGAAGATATTTCCTTTTCTACTGTTGGCATCAAATCGCTTGAAATCTCCACTTGCAAATTCCACAAAAAGAGTGTTTCAAATCTGCTCTGTGAAAAGGGACGTTCCACTCTGTGAGTTGAATGCACACAGCACAAAGAAGTTACTGAGAATTCTTCTGTCTAGCATGAAATGAAGAAATCCCGTTTCCAACGAAGGCCTCAATGCGGTCCATATATCCACTTGCAGACTTTACAAACAGAGTGTTTCCAAACTGCTCTATGAAAAGAAAGGTTAAACTATGTGAGTTGAACGCACACATCACAAAGAATTTTCTGAGAATGATTCTGTCTGGTTTTTATTTGAAGATATTTCCCTTTCTACTGTTGGCATCAAATGGCTAGAAATCTCCACTTGCAAATTCCGCAAAAGAGTGTTTCAAATGTGCTCTGTCTAAAGGGACGTTCCACTCTGTGAGTTGAATGCACACAACACAAAGAATTTACTGAGAATTCTTCCGTCTAGCATTCAATGAAGAAATCCCGTTTCCAACGAAGGCCTCAAACAGGTCCATATATCCAAATGCAGACATTACAAACAGTGTGTTTCCAAACTCCTCTATGAAAAGAAAGGTTAAACTCTGTGAGTTGAAGGCACACTTCACAAAGTAGTTTCTGAGAATGATTCTGTCTAGTTTTTATTTGAAGATATTTCCTTTTCTACTGTTGGCATCAAATCGCTTGAAATCTCCAATTGCAAATTCCACAAAAAGAGTGTTTCAAATCTGCTCTGTGCAAAGGGACGTTCCACTCTGTGAGTTGAATACACACAGCACAAAGAAGTTACTGAGAATTCTTCTGTCTAGCATGAAATGAAGAAATCCCGTTTCCAACGAAGGCCTCAATGCGGTCCATATATCCACTTGCAGACTTTACAAACAGAGTGTTTCCAAACTGCTCTATGAAAAGAAAGGTTAAACTATGTGAGTTGAACGCACACATCACAAAGAATTTTCTGAGAATGATTCTGTCTGGTTTTTATTTGAAGATATTTCCCTTTCTACTGTTGGCATCAAATGGCTAGAAATCTCCACTTGCAAATTCCGCAAAAAGAGTGTTTCAAA
Source organism: Homo sapiens (assembly GCF_000001405.40). Taxonomy (NCBI): domain Eukaryota; kingdom Metazoa; phylum Chordata; class Mammalia; order Primates; family Hominidae; genus Homo; species Homo sapiens. Next base: position 60,102,265 of record NC_000007.14, on the reverse strand, counting down.
TCTGCTCTGTCTAAAGGGACGTTCCACTCTGTGAGTTGAATGCACACAACACAAAGAATTTACTGAGAATTCATCCGTCTAGCATTCAATGAAGAAATCCCGTTTCCAACGAAGGCCTCAAACAGGTCCATATATCCACTTGCAGAGTTTACAAACAGTGTGTTTCCAAACTCCTCTATGAAAAGAAAGGTTAAACTCTGTGAGTGGAACGCACACATCACAAAGCACTTTCTGAGAATGATTCTGTCTGGTTGTTATACGAAGATATTTCCTTTTCTGCAATTGTCCTCAAATCGCTTGAAATCTCCACCTGAAAATGCCACAGCAAGAGTGTTTCAAATCTGCTCTCTCTAAAGCAAGGTTCAGCTCTGTGAGTTGAATACACACAACACAAAAAAGTTACTGAGAACTCTTCTTAGTCTAGCATGAAAGGAAGAAACCCCGTTTGCAACGAAGGCCTCAAAGAGGTCCAAATATCCACTTGCAGACATAACAAGCAGAGTGTTTCTAAACTGCTCTAAGAAAAGAAAGGTTAAACTCTGTGAGTTGAAGGCACACATCACAAAGTAGTTTCTGAGAATGATTCTGTCTAGTTTTTATTTGAAGATATTTCCTTTTCTACTGTTGGCATCAAATCGTTTGAAATCTCCACTTGCAAATTCCACAAAAAGAGTGTTTCAAATCTGCTCTGTGCAAAGGGACGTTCCACTCTGTGAGTTGAATACACACAGCACAAAGAAGTTACTGAGAATTCTTCTGTCTAGCATGAAATGAAGAAATCCCGTTTCCAACGAAGGCCTCATTGCGGTCCATATATCCACTTGCAGACTTTACAAACAGAGTGTTTCCAAACTGCTCTATGAAAAGAAAGGTTAAACTATGTGAGTTGAACGCACACATCACAAAGAATTTTCTGAGAATGATTCTGTCTGGTTTTTATTTGAAGATATTTCCCTTTCTACTGTTGGCATCAAATGGCTAGAAATCTCCACTTGCAAATTCCGCAAAAAGAGTGTTTCAAATCTGCTCTGTCTAAAGGGACGTTCCACTCTGTGAGTTGAATGCACACAACACAAATAATTTACTGAGAATTCTTCCGTCTAGCATTCAATGAAGAAATCCCGTTTCCAACGAAGGCCTCAAACAGGTCCATATATCCACTTGCAGACTTTACAAACAGTGTGTTTCCAAACTCCTCTATGAAAAGAAAGGTTAAACTCTGTGAGTTGAACGCACACATCACAAAGCACTTTCTGAGAATGATTCTGTCTGGTTATTATACGAAGATATTTCCTTTTCTGCAATTGTCCTCAAATCGCTTGAAATCTCCACCTGAAAATGCCACAGCAAGAGTGTTTCAAATCTGCTCTCTCTAAAGCAAGGTTCAACTCTGTGAGTTGAATACACACAACACAAAAAAGTTACTGAGAACTCTTCTTAGTCTAGCATGAAAGGAAGAAACCCCGTTTGCAACGAAGGCCTCAAAGAGGTCCAAATATCCACTTGCAGACATAACAAGCAGAGTGTTTCTAAACTGCTCTAAGAAAAGAAAGGTTAAACTCTGTGAGTTGAAGGCACACATCACAAAGTAGTTTCTGAGAATGATTCTGTCTAGTTTTTATTTGAAGATATTTCCTTTTCTACTGTTGGCATCAAATCGCTTGAAATCTTCACTTGCAAACTCCACAAAAAGAGTGTTTCAAATCTGCTCTGTGTAAAGGGACGTTCCACTCTGTGAGTTGAATACACACAGCACAAAGAAGTTGCTGAGAATTCTTCTGTCTAGCATGAAATGAAGAAATCCCGTTTCCAACGAAGGCCTCAATGCGGTCCATATATCCACTTGCAGACTTTACAAACAGAGTGTTTACAAACTGCTCTATGAAAAGAAAGGTTAAACTATGTGAGTTGAACGCACACATCACAAAGAATTTTCTGAGAATGATTCTGTCTGGTTTTTATTTGAAGATATTTCCCTTTCTACTGTTGGCATCAAATGGCTAGAAATCTCCACTTGCAAATTCCGCAAAAAGAGTGTTTCAAATCTGCTCTGTCTAAAGGGACGTTCCACTCTGTCAGTTGAATGCACACAACACAAAGAATTTACTGAGAATTCTTCCGTCTAGCATTCAATGAAGAAATCCCGTTTCCAACGAAGGCCTCAAACAGGTCCATATATCCACTTGCAGACTTTACAAACAGTGTGTTTCCAAACTCCTCTATGAAAAGAAAGCTTAAACTCTGTGAGTTGAACGCACACATCACAAAGCACTTTCTGAGAATGATTCTGTCTGGTTATTATACGAAGATATTTCCTTTTCTGCAATTGTCCTCAAATCGCTTGAAATCTCCACCTGAAAATGCCACAGCAAGAGTGTTTCAAATCTGCTCTCTCTAAAGCAAGGTTCAACTCTGTGAGTTGAATACACACAACACAAAAAAGTTACTGAGAACTCTTCTTAGTCTAGCATTAAAGGAAGAAACCCCGTTTGCAACGAAGGCCTCAAAGAGGTCCAAATATCCACTTGCAGACATAACAAGCAGAGTGTTTCTAAACTGCTCTAAGAAAAGAAAGGTTAAACTCTGTGAGTTGAAGGCACACATCACAAAGTAGTTTCTGAGAATGATTCTGTCTAGTTTTTATTTGAAGATATTTCCTTTTCTACTGTTGGCATCAAATCGCTTGAAATCTCCACTTGCAAACTCCACAAAAAGAGTGTTTCAAATCTGCTCTGTGTAAAGGGACGTTCCACTCTGTGAGTTGAATACACACAGCACAGAGAAGTTACTGAGAATTCTTCTGTCTAGCATGAAATGAAGAAATCCCGTTTCCAACGAAGGCCTCAATGCGGTCCATATATCCACTTGCAGACTTTACAAACAGAGTGTTTCCAAACTGCTCTATGAAAAGAAAGGTTAAACTATGTGAGTTGAACGCACACATCACAAAGAATTTTCTGAGAATGATTCTGTCTGGTTTTTATTTGAAGATATTTCCCTTTCTACTGTTGGCATCAAATGGCTAGAAATCTCCACTTGCAAATTCCGCAAAAAGAGTGTTTCAAATCTGCTCTGTCTAAAGGGACGTTCCACTCTGTGAGTTGAATGCACACCACACAAAGAATTTACTGAGAATTCTTCCGTCTAGCATTCAATGAAGAAATCCCGTTTCCAACGAAGGCCTCAAACAGGTCCATATATCCAATTGCAGACTTTACAAACAGTGTGTTTCCAAACTCCTCTATGAAAAGAAAGGTTAAACTCTGTGAGTTGAACGCACACATCACAAAGCACTTTCTGAGAATGATTCTGTCTGGTTGTTATACGAAGATATTTCCTTTTCTGCAATTGTCCTCAAATCGCTTGAAATCTCCACCTGAAAATGCCACAGCAAGAGTGTTTCAAATCTGCTCTCTCTAAAGCAAGGTTCAACTCTGTGAGTTGAATACACACAACACAAAAAAGTTACTGAGAACTCTTCTTAGTCTAGCATGAAAGGAAGAAACCCCGTTTGCAACGAAGGCCTCAAAGAGGTCCAAATATCCACTTGCAGACATAACAAGCAGAGTGTTTCTAAACTGCTCTAAGAAAAGAAAGGTTAAACTCTGTGAGTTGAAGGCACACATCACAAAGTAGTTTCTGAGAATGATTCTGTCTAGTTTTTATTTGAAGATATTTCCTTTTCTACTGTTGGCATCAAATCGCTTGAAATCTCCAATTGCAAACTCCACAAAAAGAGTGTTTCAAATCTGCTCTGTGCAAAGGGACGTTCCACTCTGTGAGTTGAATACACACAGCACAAAGAAGTTACTGAGAATTCTTCTGTCTAGCATGAAATGAAGAAATCCCATTTCCAACGAAGGCCTCAATGCGGTCCATATATCCACTTGCAGACTTTACAAACAGAGTGTTTCCAAACTGCTCTATGAAAAGAAAGGTTAAACTATGTGAGTTGAACGCACACATCACAAAGAATTTTCTGAGAATGATTCTGTCTGGTTTTTATTTGAAGATATTTCCCTTTCTACTGTTGGCATCAAATGGCTAGAAATCTCCACTTGCAAATTCCGCAAAAAGAGTGTTTCAAATCTGCTCTGTCTAAAGGGACGTTCCACTCTGTGAGTTGAATGCACACAACACAAAGAATTTACTGAGAATTCTTCTGTCTAGCAGTCAATGAAGAAATCCCGTTTCCAACGAAGGCCTCAAACAGGTCCATATATCCAATTGCAGACTTTACAAACAGTGTGTTTCCAAACTCCTCTATGAAAAGAAAGGTTAAACTCTGTGAGTTGAACCCACACATCACAAAGCACTTTCTGAGAATGATTCTGTCTGGTTGTTATACGAAGATATTTCCTTTTCTGCAATTGTCCTCAAATCGCTTGAAATCTCCACCTGAAAATGCCACAGCAAGAGTGTTTCAAATCTGCTCTCTCTAAAGCAAGGTTCAACTCTGTGAGTTGAATACACACAACACAAAAAAGTTACTGAGAACTCTTCTTAGTCTAGCATGAAATGAAGAAACCCCGTTTGCAACGAAGGCCTCAAAGAGGTCCAAATATCCACTTGCAGACATAACAAGCAGAGTGTTTCTAAACTGCTCTAAGAAAAGAAAGGTTAAACTCTGTGAGTTGAAGGCACACATCACAAAGTAGTTTCTGAGAATGATTCTGTCTAGTTTTTATTTGAAGATATTTCCTTTTCTACTGTTGGCATCAAATCGCTTGAAATCTCCACTTGCAAACTCCACAAAAAGAGTGTTTCAAATCTGCTCTGTGTAAAGGGACGTTCCACTCTGTGAGTTGAATACACACAGCACAAAGAAGTTACTGAGAATTCTTCTGTCTAGCATGAAATGAAGAAATCCCGTTTCCAACGAAGGCCTCAATGCGGTCCATATATCCACTTGCAGAGTTTACAAACAGAGTGTTTCCAAACTGCTCTATGAAAAGAAAGGTTAAACTATGTGAGTTGAACGCACACATCACAAAGAATTTTCTGAGAATGATTCTGTCTGGTTTTTATTTGAAGATATTTCCCTTTCTACTGTTGGCATCAAATGGCTAGAAATCTCCACTTGCAAATTCCGCAAAAAGAGTGTTTCAAATCTGCTCTGTCTAAAGGGACGTTCCACTCTGTGAGTTGAATGCACACAACACAAAGAATTTACTGAGAATTCTTCCGTCTAGCATTCAATGAAGAAATCCCGTTTCCAACGAAGGCCTCAAACAGGTCCATATATCCAATTGCAGACTTTACAAACAGTGTGTTTCCAAACTCCTCTATGAAAAGAAAGGTTAAACTCTGTGAGTTGAACGCACACATCACAAAGCACTTTCTGAGAATGATTCTGTCTGGTTATTATACGAAGATATTTCCTTTTCTGCAATTGTCCTCAAATCGTTTGAAATCTCCACCTGAAAATGCCACAGCAAGAGTGTTTCAAATCTGCTCTCTCTAAAGCAAGGTTCAACTCTGTGAGTTGAATACACACAACACAAAAAAGTTACTGAGAACTCTTCTTAGTCTAGCATGAAAGGAAGAAACCCCGTTTGCAACGAAGGCCTCAAAGAGGTCCAAATATCCACTTGCAGACATAACAAGCAGAGTGTTTCTAAACTGCTCTAAGAAAAGAAAGGTTAAACTCTGTGAGTTGAAGGCAGACATCACAAAGTAGTTTCTGAGAATGATTCTGTCTAGTTTTTATTTGAAGATATTTCCTTTTCTACTGTTGGCATCAAATCGCTTGAAATCTCCACTTGCAAACTCCACAAAAAGAGTGTTTCAAATCTGCTCTGTGCAAAGGGACGTTCCACTCTGTGAGTTGAGTACACACAGCACAAAGAAGTTACTGAGAATTCTTCTGTCTAGCATGAAATGAAGAAATCCCGTTTCCAACGAAGGCCTCAATGCGGTCCATATATCCACTTGCAGACTTTACAAACAGAGTGTTTCCAAACTGCTCTATGAAAAGAAAGGTTAAACTATGTGAGTTGAACGCACACATCACAAAGAATTTTCTGAGAATGATTCTGTCTGGTTTTTATTTGAAGATATTTCCCTTTCTACTGTTGGCATCAAATGGCTAGAAATCTCCACTTGCAAATTCCGCAAAAAGAGTGTTTCAAATCTGCTCTGTCTAAAGGGACGTTCCACTCTGTGAGTTGAATGCACACCACACAAAGAATTTACTGAGAATTCTTCCGTCTAGCATGCAATGAAGAAATCCCGTTTCCAACGAAGGCCTCAAACAGGTCCATATATCCAATTGCAGACTTTACAAACAGTGTGTTTCCAAACTCCTCTATGAAAAGAAAGGTTAAACTCTGTGAGTTGAACGCACACATCACAAAGCACTTTCTGAGAATGATTCTGTCTGGTTATTATACGAAGATATTTCCTTTTCTGCAATTGTCCTCAAATCGCTTGAAATCTCCACCTGAAAATGCCACAGCAAGAGTGTTTCAAATCTGCTCTCTCTAAAGCAAGGTTCAACTCTGTGAGTTGAATACACACAACACAAAAAAGTTACTGAGAACTCTTCTTAGTCTAGCATGAAAGGAAGAAACCCCGTTTGCAACGAAGGCCTCAAAGAGGTCCAAATATCCACTTGCAGACATAACAAGCAGAGTGTTTCTAAACTGCTCTAAGAAAAGAAAGGTTAAACTCTGTGAGTTGAAGGCACACATCACAAAGTAGTTTCTGAGAATGATTCTGTCTAGTTTTAATTTGAAGATATTTCCTTTTCTACTGATGGGATCAAATCGCTTGAAATCTCCACTTGCAAAATCCACAAAAAGAGTGTTTCAAATCTACTCTGTCTAAAGGGACGTTCCACTCTGTGACTTGAATACACACAACCCAAAGAAGTTACTGAGAATTCTTCTGTCTAGCATGAAATGAAGAAATCCCGTTTCCAACGAAGGGCCTCAATGCGGTCCATATATCCACTTGCAGACTTTACAAACAGAGTGTTTCCAAACTGCTCTATGAAAAGAAAGGTTAAACTATGTGAGTTGAACGCACACATCACAAAGAATTTTCTGAGAATGATTCTGTCTGGTTTTTATTTGAAGATATTTCCCTTTCTACTGTTGGCATCAAATGGCTAGAAATCTCCACTTGCAAATTCCGCAAAAAGAGTGTTTCAAATCTGCTCTGTCTAAAGGGACGTTCCACTCTGTCAGTTGAATGCACACAACACAAAGAATTTACTGAGAATTCTTCCGTCTAGCATTCAATGAAGAAATCCCGTTTCCAACGAAGGCCTCAAACAGGTCCATATATCCACTTGCAGACTTTACAAACAGTGTGTTTCCAAACTCCTCTATGAAAAGAAAGGTTAAACTCTGTGAGTTGAACGCACACATCACAAAGCACTTTCTGAGAATGATTCTGTCTGGTTGTTATACGAAGATATTTCCTTTTCTGCAATTGTCCTCAAATCGCTTGAAATCTCCACCTGAAAATGCCACAGCAAGAGTGTTTCAAATCTGCTCTCTCTAAAGCAAGGTTCAACTCTGTGAGTTGAATACACACAACACAAAAAAGTTACTGAGAACTCTTCTTAGTCTAGCATGAAAGGAAGAAACCCCGTTTGCAACGAAGGCCTCAAAGAGGTCCAAATATCCACTTGCAGACATAACAAGCAGAGTGTTTCTAAACTGCTCTAAGAAAAGAAAGGTTAAACTCTGTGAGTTGAAGGCACACATCACAAAGTAGTTTCTGAGAATGATTCTGTCTAGTTTTTATTTGAAGATATTTCCTTTTCTACTGTTGGCATCAAATCGCTTGAAATCTCCACTTGCACACTCCACAAAAAGAGTGTTTCAAATCTGCTCTGTGCAAAGGGACGTTCCACTCTGTGAGTTGAATACACACAGCACAAAGAAGTTACTGAGAATTCTTCTGTCTAGCATGAAATGAAGAAATCCCGTTTCCAACGAAGGCCTCAATGCGGTCCATATATCCACTTGCAGACTTTACAAACAGTGTTTCCAAACTGCTCTATGAATAGAAAGGTTAAACTATGTGAGTTGAACGCACACATCACAAAGAATTTTCTGAGAATGATTCTGTCTGGTTTTTATTTGAAGATATTTCCCTTTCTACTGTTGGCATCAAATGGCTAGAAATCTCCACTTGCAAATTCCGCAAAAAGAGTTTTTCAAATCTGCTCTGTCTAAAGGAACGTTCCACTCTGTGAGTTGAATGCACACAACACAAAGAATTTACTGAGAATTCTTCCGTCTAGCATTCAATGAAGAAATCCCGTTTCCAACGAAGGCCTCAAAGAGGTCCATATATCCACTTGCAGACTTTACAAACAGTGTGTTTCCAAACTCCTCTATGAAAAGAAAGGTTAAACTCTGTGAGTTGAACGCACACATCACAAAGCACTTTCTGAGAATGATTCTGTCTGGTTATTATACGAAGATATTTCCTTTTCTGCAATTGTCCTCAAATCGCTTGAAATCTCCACCTGAAAATTCCACAGCGAGAGTGTTTCAAATCTGCTCTCTCTAAAGCAAGGTTCAACTCTGTGAGTTGAATACACACAACACAAAAAAGTTACTGAGAACTCTTCTTAGTCTAACATTAAAGGAAGAAACCCCGTTTGTAACGAAGGCCTCAAAGAGGTCCAAATATCCACTTGCAGACATAACAAGCAGAGTGTTTCTAAACTGCTCTAAGAAAAGAAAGGTTAAACTCTGTGAGTTGAAGGCACACATCACAAAGTAGTTTCTGAGAATGATTCTGTCTAGTTTTTATTTGAAGATACTTCCTTTTCTACTGTTGGCATCAAATCGCTTGAAATCTCCACTTGCAAACTCCACAAAAAGAGTGTTTCAAATCTGCTCTGTGCAAAGGGACGTTCCACTCTGTGAGTTGAATACACACAGCACAAAGAAGTTACTGAGAATTCTTCCGTCTAGCATTCAATGAAGAAATCCCGTTTCCAACGAAGGCCTCAAACAGGTCCATATATCCACTTGCAGACTTTACAAACAGAGTGTTTCCAAACTGCTCTATGAAAAGAAAGGTTAAACTATGTGAGTTGAACGCACACATCACAAAGAATTTTCTGAGAATGATTCTGTCTGGTTATTATACGAAGATATTTCCTTTTCTGCAATTGTCCTCAAATCGCTTGAAATCTCCACCTGAAAATGCCACAGCAAGAGTGTTTCAAATCTGCTCTCTCTAAAGCAAGGTTCAACTCTGTGAGTTGAATACACACAACACAAAAAAGTTACTGAGAACTCTTCTTAGTCTAGCATGAAAGGAAGAAACCCCGTTTGCAACGAAGGCCTCAAAGAGGTCCAAATATCCACTTGCAGACATAACAAGCAGAGTGTTTCTAAACTGCTCTAAGAAAAGAAAGGTTAAACTCTGTGAGTTGAAGGCACACATCACAAAGTAGTTTCTGAGAATGATTCTGTCTAGTTTTTATTTGAAGATATTTCCTTTTCTACTGTTGGCATCAAATCGCTTGAAATCTCCACTTGCAAACTCCACAAAAAGAGTGTTTCAAATCTGCTCTGTGTAAAGGGACGTTCCACTCTGTGAGTTGAATACACACAGCACAAAGAAGTTACTGAGAATTCTTCTGTCTAGCATGAAATGAAGAAATCCCGTTTCCAACGAAGGCCTCAATGCGGTCCATATATCCACTTGCAGACTTTACAAACAGAGTGTTTCCAAACTGCTCTATGAAAAGAAAGGTTATACTATTGTGAGTTGAACGCACACATCACAAAGAATTTTCTGAGAATGATTCTGTCTAGTTTTTATTTGAAGATATTTCCCTTTCTACTGTTGGCATCCAATGGCTAGAAATCTCCACTTGCAAATTCCGCAAAAAGAGTGTTTCAAATCTGCTCTGTCTAAAGGGACGTTCCACTCTGTGAGTTGAATGCACACAACACAAAGAATTTACTGAGAATTCTTCCGTCTAGCATTCAATGAAGAAATCCCGTTTCCAACGAAGGCCTCAAAGAGGTCCATATATCCACTTGCAGACTTTACAAACAGTGTGTTTCCAAACTCCTCTATGAAAAGAAAGGTTAAACTCTGTGAGTGGAACGCACACATCACAAAGCACTTTCTGAGAATTATTCTGTCTGGTTATTATACGAAGATATTTCCTTTTCTGCAATTGTCCTCAAATCGCTTGAAATCTCCACCTGAAAATGCCACAGCAAGAGTGTTTCAAATCTGCTCTCTCTAAAGCAAGGTTCAACTCTGTGAGTTGAATACACACAACACAAAAAAGTTACTGAGAACTCTTCTTAGTCTAGCATTAAAGGAAGAAACCCCGTTTGCAACGAAGGCCTCAAAGAGGTCCAAATATCCACTTGCAGACATAACAAGCAGAGTGTTTCTAAACTGCTCTAAGAAAAGAAAGGTTAAACTCTGTGAGTTGAAGGCACACATCACAAAGTAGTTTCTGAGAATGATTCTGTCTAGTTTTTATTTGAAGATATTTCCTTTTCTACTGTTGGCATCAAATCGCTTGAAATCTCCACTAGCAAACTCCACAAAAAGAGTGTTCCAAATCTGCTCTGTGCAAAGGGACGTTCCACTCTGTGAGTTGAATACACACAGCACAAAGAAGTTACTGAGAATTCTTCTGTCTAGCATGAAATGAAGAAATCCCGTTTCCAACGAAGGCCTCAATGCGGTCCATATATCCACTTGCCAGACTTTACAAACAGAGTGTTTCCAAACTGCTCTATGAAAAGAAAGGTTAAACTATGTGAGTTGAACGCACACATCACAAAGAATTTTCTGAGAATGATTCTGTCTGGTTTTTATTTGAAGATATTTCCCTTTCTACTGTTGGCATCAAATGGCTAGAAATCTCCACTTGCAAATTCCGCAAAAAGAGTGTTTCAAATCTGCTCTGTCTAAAGGGACGTTCCACTCTGTGAGTTGAATGCACACAACACAAAGAATTTACTGAGAATTCTTCCGTCTAGCATTCAATGAAGAAATCCCGTTTCCAACGAAGGCCTCAAACAGGTCCATATATCCAATTGCAGACTTTACAAACAGTGTGTTTCCAAACTCCTCTATGAAAAGAAAGGTTAAACTCTGTGAGTTGAACGCACACATCACAAAGCACTTTCTGAGAATGATTCTGTCTGGTTATTATACGAAGATATTTCCTTTTCTGCAATTGTCCTCAAATCGCTTGAAATCTCCACCTGAAAATGCCACAGCAAGAGTGTTTCAAATCTGCTCTCTCTAAAGCAAGGTTCAACTCTGTGATTTGAATACACACAACACAAAAAAGTTACTGAGAACTCTTCTTAGTCTAGCATGAAAGGAAGAAACCCCGTTTGCAACGAAGGCCTCAAAGAGGTCCAAATATCCACTTGCAGACATAACAAGCAGAGTGTTTCTAAACTGCTCTAAGAAAAGAAAAGGTTAAACTCTGTGAGTTGAAGGCACACATCACAAAGTAGTTTCTGAGAATGATTCTGTCTAGTTTTTATTTGAAGATATTTCCTTTTCTACTGTTGGCATCAAATCGCTTGAAATCTCCACTTGCAAATTCCACAAAAAGAGTGTTTCAAATCTGCTCTGTGTAAAGGAACGTTCCACTCTGTGAGTTGAATACACACAGCACAAAGAAGTTACTGAGAATTCTTCTGTCTAGCATGAAATGAAGAAATCCCGTTTCCAACGAAGGCCTCAATGCGGTCCATAGATCCACTTGCAGACTTTACAAACAGAGTGTTTCCAAACTGCTCTATGAAAAGAAAGGTTAAACTATGTGAGTTGAACGCACACATCACAAAGAATTTTCTGAGAATGATTCTGTCTGGTTTTTATTTGAAGATATTTCCCTTTCTACTGTTGGCATCAAATGGCTAGAAATCTCCACTTGCAAATTCCGCAAAAAGAGTGTTTCAAATCTGCTCTGTCTAAAGGGACGTTCCACTCTGTGAGTTGAATGCACACCACACAAAGAATTTACTGAGAATTCTTCCGTCTAGCATTCAATGAAGAAATCCCGTTTCCAACGAAGGCCTCAAACAGGTCCATATATCCAATTGCAGACTTTACAAACAGTGTGTTTCCAAACTCCTCTATGAAAAGAAAGGTTAAACTCTGTGAGTTGAACGCACACATCACAAAGCACTTTCTGAGAATGATTCTGTCTGGTTATTATACGAAGATATTTCCTTTTCTGCAATTGTCCTCAAATCGCTTGAAATCTCCACCTGAAAATGCCACAGCAAGAGTGTTTCAAATCTGCTCTCTCTAAAGCAAGGTTCAACTCTGTGGGTTGAATACACACAACACAAAAAAGTTACTGAGAACTCTTCTTAGTCTAGCATTAAAGGAAGAAACCCCGTTTGCAACGAAGGCCTCAAAGAGGTCCAAATATCCACTTGCAGACATAACAAGCAGAGTGTTTCTAAACTGCTCTAAGAAAAGAAAGGTTAAACTCTGTGAGTTGAAGGCACACATCACAAAGTAGTTTCTGAGAATGATTCTGTCTAGTTTTTATTTGAAGATATTTCCTTTTCTACTGTTGGCATCAAATCGCTTGAAATCTCCACTTGCAAATTCCACAAAAAGAGTGTTTCAAATCTGCTCTGTGTAAAGGGACGTTCCACTCTGTGAGTTGAATACACACAGCACAAAGAAGTTACTGAGAATTCTTCTGTCTAGCATGAAATGAAGAAATCCCGTTTCCAACGAAGGCCTCAATGCGGTCCATATATCCACTTGCAGACTTTGCAAACAGAGTGTTTCCAAACTGCTCTATGAAAAGAAAGGTTAAACTATGTGATTTGAACGCACACATCACAAAGAATTTTATGAGAATGATTCTGTCTGGTTTTTATTTGAAGATATTTCCCTTTCTACTGTTGGCATCAAATGGCTAGAAATCTCCACTTGCAAATTCCGCAAAAAGAGTGTTTCAAATCTGCTCTGTCTAAAGGGACGTTCCACTCTGTGAGTTGAATGCACACAACACAAAGAATTTACTGAGAATTCTTCCGTCTAGCATTCAATGAAGAAATCCCGTTTCCAACGAAGGCCTCAAACAGGTCCATATATCCAATTGCAGACTTTACAAACAGTGTGTTTCCAAACTCCTTTATGAAAAGAAAGGTTAACTCTGTGAGTTGAATGCACACATCACAAAGCACTTTCTGATAATGATTCTGTCTAGTTTTTGTTTGCAGATATTTCCTTTTCTACTGTTGGCATCAAATCGCTTGAAATCTCCACTTGCAAATTCCACAAAAAGAGTGTTTCAAATCTGCTCTGTGTAAAGGGACGTTCCAATCTGTGAGTTGAATACACACAACACAAAGAAGTTACTGAGAATTCTTCCGTCTAGCATTCAATGAAGAAATCCCGTTTCCAAAGAAGGCCTCAAACAGGTCCATATATCCACTTGCAGACTTTACAAACAGTGTGTTTCCAAACTCCTCTATGAAAAGAAAGGTTAAACTCTGTGAGTTGAACGCACACATCACAAAGCACTTTCTGAGAATGATTCTGTCTGGTTATTATACGAAGATATTTCCTTTTCTGCAATTGTCCTCAAATCGCTTGAAATCTCCACCTGAAAATGCCACAGCAAGAGTGTTTCAAATCTGCTCTCTCTAAAGCAAGGTTCAACTCTGTGAGTTGAATACACACAACACAAAAAAGTTACTGAGAACTCTTCTTAGTCTAGCATGAAAGGAAGAAACCCCGTTTGCAACGAAGGCCTCAAAGAGGTCCAAATATCCACTTGCAGACATAACAAGCAGAGTGTTTCTAAACTGCTCTAAGAAAAGAAAGGTTAAACTCTGTGAGTTGAAGGCACACATCACAAAGTAGTTTCTGAGAATGATTCTGTCTAGTTTTTATTTGAAGATATTTCCTTTTCTACTGTTGGCATCAAATCGCTTGAAATCTCCACTTGCAAACTCCACAAAAAGAGTGTTTCAAATCTGCTCTGTGCAAAGGGACGTTCCACTTTGTGAGTTGAGTACACACAGCACAAAGAAGTTACTGAGAATTCTTTTGTCTAGCATGAAATGAAGAAATCCCGTTTCCAACGAAGGCCTCAATGCGGTCCATATATCCACTTGCAGACTTTACAAACAGAGTGTTTCCAAACTGCTCCATGAAAAGAAAGGTTAAACTATGTGAGTTGAACGCACACATCACAAAGAATTTTCTGAGAATGATTCTGTCTGGTTTTTATTTGAAGATATTTCCCTTTCTACTGTTGGCATCAAATGGCTAGAAATCTCCACTTGCAAATTCCGCAAAAAGAGTGTTTCAAATCTGCTCTGTCTAAAGGGACGTTCCACTCTGTGAGTTGAATGCACACAACACAAAGAATTTACTGAGAATTCTTCCGTCTAGCATTCAATGAAGAAATCCCGTTTCCAACGAAGGCCTCAAACAGGTCCATATATCCACTTGCAGAGTTTACAAACAGTGTGTTTCCAAACTCCTCTATGAAAAGAAAGGTTAAACTCTGTGAGTGGAACGCACACATCACAAAGCACTTTCTGAGAATGATTCTGTCTGGTTATTATACGAAGATATTTCCTTTTCTGCAATTGTCCTCAAATCGCTTGAAATCTCCACCTGAAAATTCCACAGCGAGAGTGTTTCAAATCTGCTCTCTCTAAAGCAAGGTTCAACTCTGTGAGTTGAATACACACAACACAAAAAAGTTACTGAGAACTGTTCTTAGTCTAGCATTAAAGGAAGAAACCCCGTTTGCAACGAAGGCCTCAAAGAGGTCCAAATATCCACTTGCAGACATAACAAGCAGAGTGTTTCTAAACTGCTCTAAGAAAAGAAAGGTTAAACTCTGTGAGTTGAAGGCACACATCACAAAGTAGTTTCTGAGAATGATTCTGTCTAGTTTTTATTTGCAGATATTTCCTTTTCTACTGTTGGCATCAAATCGCTTGAAATCTCCACTTGCAAATTCCACAAAAAGAGTGTTTCAAATCTGCTCTGTGTAAAGGGACGTTCCATTCTGTGAGTTGAATGCACACAACACAAAGAAGTTACTGAGAATTCTTCTGTCTAGCCTGAAATGAAGAAATCCCGTTTCCAACGAAGGCCTCAAAGCGGTCCATATATCCACTTGCAGACATTACCAACAGAGTGTTTCCAAACTGCTCTATGAAAAGAAAGGTTAAACTATGTGAGTTGAACGCACACATCACAAAGAATTTTCTGAGGATGATTCTGTCTGGTTTTTATTTGAAGATATTTCCCTTTCTACTGTTGGCATCAAATGGCTAGAAATCTCCACTTGCAAATTCCGCAAAAAGAGTGTTTCAAATCTGCTCTGTCTAAAGGGACGTTCCACTCTGTGAGTTGAATGCACACAACACAAAGAATTTACTGAGAATTCTTTCGGTCTAGCATTCAATAAAGAAATCCCGTTTCCAACGAAGGCCTCAAACAGGTCCATATATCCAATTGCAGACTTTACAAACAGTGTGTTTCCAAACTCCTCTATGAAAAGAAAGGTTAAACTCTGTGAGTGGAACGCACACATCACAAAGCACTTTCTGAGAATGATTCTGTCTGGTTGTTATACGAAGATATTTCCTTTTCTGCAATTGTCCTCAAATCGCTTGAAATCTCCACCTGAAAATGCCACAGCAAGAGTGTTTCAAATCTGCTCTCTCTAAAGCAAGGTTCAACTCTGTGAGTTGAATACACACAACACAAAAAAGTTACTGAGAACTCTTCTTAGTCTAGCATGAAAGGAAGAAACCCCGTTTGCAACGAAGGCCTCAAAGAGGTCCAAATATCCACTTGCAGACATAACAAGCAGAGTGTTTCTAAACTGCTCTAAGAAAAGAAAGGTTAAACTCTGTGAGTTGAAGGCACACATCACAAAGTAGTTTCTGAGAATGATTCTGTCTAGTTTTTATTTGAAGATATTTCCTTTTCTACTGTTGGCATCAAATCGCTTGAAATCTCCACTTGCAAACTCCACAAAAAGAGTGTTTCAAATCTGCTCTGTGCAAAGGGACGTTCCACTCTGTGAGTTGAATACACACAGCACAAAGAAGTTACTGAGAATTCTTCTGTCTAGCATGAAATGAAGAAATCCCGTTTCCAACGAAGGCCTCAATGCGGTCCATATATCCACTTGCAGACTTTACAAACAGAGTGTTTCCAAACTGCTCTATGAAAAGAAAGGTTAAACTATGTGAGTTGAACGCACACATCACAAAGAATTTTCTGAGAATGATTCTGTCTGGTTTTTATTTGAAGATATTTCCCTTTCTACTGTTGGCATCAAATGGCTAGAAATCTCCACTTGTAAATTCCGCAAAAAGAGTGTTTCAAATCTGCTCTGTCTAAAGGGACGTTCCACTCTGTGAGTTGAATGCACACAACACAAAGAATTTACTGAGAATTCTTCCGTCTAGCATTCAATGAAGAAATCCCGTTTCCAACGAAGGCCTCAAACAGGTCCATATATCCACTTGCAGACTTTACAAACAGTGTGTTTCCAAACTCCTCTATGAAAAGAAAGGTTAAACTCTGTGAGTTGAACGCACACATCACAAAGCACTTTCTGAGAATGATTCTGTCTGGTTATTATACGAAGATATTTCCTTTTCTGCAATTGTCCTCAAAACGCTTGAAATCTCCACCTGAAAATGCCACAGCAAGAGTGTTTCAAATCTGCTCTCTCTAAAGCAAGGTTCAACTCTGTGAGTTGAATACACACAACACAAAAAAGTTACTGAGAACTCTTCTTAGTCTAGCATTAAAGGGAAGAAACCCCGTTTGCAACGAAGGCCTCAAAGAGGTCCAAATATCCACTTGCAGACATAACAAGCAGAGTGTTTCTAAACTGCTCTAAGAAAAGAAAGGTTAAACTCTGTGAGTTGAAGGCACACATCACAAAGTAGTTTCTGAGAATGATTCTGTCTAGTTTTTATTTGAAGATATTTCCTTTTCTACTGTTGGCATCAAATCGCTTGAAATATCCACTTGCAAACTCCACAAAAAGAGTGTTTCAAATCTGCTCTGTGCAAAGGGACGTTCCACTCTGTGAGTTGAATACACACAGCACAAAGAAGTTACTGAGAATTCTTCTGTCTAGCATGAAATGAAGAAATCCCGTTTCCAACGAAGGCCTCAATGCGGTCTATATATCCACTTGCAGACATCACAAACAGAGTGTTTCCAAACTGCTCTATGAAAAGAAAGGTTAAACTATGTGAGTTGAACGCACACATCACAAAGAATTTTCTGAGAATGATTCTGTCTGGTTTTTATTTGAAGATATTTCCCTTTCTACTGTTGGCATCAAATGGCTAGAAATCTCCACTTGCAAATTCCGCAAAAAGAGTGTTTCAAATCTGCTCTGTCTAAAGGGACGTTCCACTCTGTGAGTTGAATGCACACAACACAAAGAATTTACTGAGAATTCTTCCGTCTAGCATTCAATGAAGAAATCCCGTTTCCAACGAAGCCTCAAACAGGTCCATATATCCACTTGCAGACTTTACAAACAGTGTGTTTCCAAACTCCTCTATGAAAAGAAAGGTTAAACTCTGTGAGTTGAACGCACACATCACAAAGCACTTTCTGAGAATGATTCTGTCTGGTTATTATACGAAGATATTTCCTTTTCTGCAATTGACCTCAAATCGCTTGAAATCTCCACCTGAAAATGCCACAGCAAGAGTGTTTCAAATCTGCTCTCTCTAAAGCAAGGTTCAACTCTGTGAGTTGAATACACACAACACAAAAAAGTTACTGAGAACTCTTCTTAGTCTAGCATGAAAGGAAGAAACCCCGTTTGCAACGAAGGCCTCAAAGAGGTCCAAATATCCACTTGCAGACATAACAAGCAGAGTGTTTCTAAACTGCTCTAAGAAAAGAAAGGTTAAACTCTGTGAGTTGAAGGCACACATCACAAAGTAGTTTCTGAGAATGATTCTGTCTAGTTTTTATTTGAAGATATTTCCTTTTCTACTGTTGGCATCAAATCGCTTGAAATCTCCACTTGCAAACTCCACAAAAAGAGTGTTTCAAATCTTCTCTGTGTAAAGGGACGTTCCACTCTGTGAGTTGAATACACACAGCACAAAGAAGTTACTGAGAATTCTTCTGTCTAGCATGAAATGAAGAAATCCCGTTTCCAACGAAGGCCTCAAAGCGGTCCATATATCCACTTGCAGACATTACCAACAGAGTGTTCCCAAACTGCTCTATGAAAAGAAAGGTTAAACTATGTGAGTTGAACGCACACATCACAAAGAATTTTCTGAGAATGATTCTGTCTGGTTTTTATTTGAAGATATTTCCCTTTCTACTGTTGGCATCAAATGGCTAGAAATCTCCACTTGCAAATTCCGCAAAAAGAGTGTTTCAAATCTGCTCTGTCTAAAGGGACGTTCCACTCTGTGAGTTGAATGCACACAACACAAAGAATTTACTGAGAATTCTTCCGTCTAGCATTCAATGAAGAAATCCCGTTTCCAACGAAGGCCTCAAACTGGTCCATATATCCACTTGCAGACTTTACAAACAGTGTGTTTCCAAACTCCTCTATGAAAGGAAAGGTTAAACTCTGTGAGTTGAACGCACACATCACAAAGCACTTTCTGAGAATGATTCTTTCTGGTTATTATACGAAGATATTTCCTTTTCTGCAATTGTCCTCAAATCGCTTGAAATCTCCACCTGAAAATGTCACAGCAAGAGTGTTTCAAATCTGCTCTCTCTAAAGCAAGGTTCAACTCTGTGAGTTGAATACACACAACACAAAAAAGTTACTGAGAACTCTTCTTAGTCTAGCATGAAAGAAGAAACCCCGTTTGCAACGAAGGCCTCAAAGAGGTCCAAATATCCACTTGCAGACATAACAAGCAGAGTGTTTCTAAACTGCTCTAAGAAAAGAAAGGTTAAACTCTGTGAGTTGAAGGCACACATCACAAAGTAGTTTCTGAGAATGATTCTGTCCAGTTTTTATTTGAAGATATTTCCTTTTCTACTGTTGGCATCAAATCGCTTGAAATCTCCACTTGCAAACTCCACAAAAAGAGTGTTTCAAATCTGCTCTGTGTAAAGGGACGTTCCACTCTGTGAGTTGAATACACACAGCACAAAGAAGTTACTGAGAATTCTTCTGTCTAGCATGAAATGAAGAAATCCCGTTTCCAACGAAGGCCTCAATGCGGTCCATAGATCCACTTGCAGACTTTACAAACAGAGTGTTTCCAAACTGCTCTATGAAAAGAAAGGTTAAACTATGTGAGTTGAACGCACACATCACAAAGAATTTTCTGAGAATGATTCTGTCTGGTTTTTATTTGAAAATATTTCCCTTTCTACTGTTGGCATCAAATGGCTAGAAATCTCCACTTGCAAATTCCGCAAAAAGAGTGTTTCAAATCTGCTCTGTCTAAAGGGACGTTCCACTCTGTGAGTTGAATGCACACAACACAAAGAATTTACTGAGAATTCTTCCGTCTAGCATTCAATGAAGAAATCCCGTTTCCAACGAAGGCCTCAAACAGGTCCATATATCCACTTGCAGACTTTACAAACAGTGTGTTTCCAAACTCCTCTATGAAAAGAAAGGTTAAACTCTGTGAGTGGAACGCACACATCACAAAGCACTTTCTGAGAATGATTCTGTCTGGTTGTTATACGAAGATATTTCCTTTTCTGCAATTGTCCTCAAATCGCTTGAAATCTCCACCTGAAAATGTCACAGCAAGAGTGTTTCAAATCTGCTCTCTCTAAAGCAAGGTTCAACTCTGTGAGTTGAATACACACAGCACAAAAAAGTTACTGAGAACTCTTCTTAGTCTAGCATGAACGGAAGAAACCCCGTTTGCAACGAAGGCCTCAAAGAGGTCCAAATATCCACTTGCAGACATAACAAGCAGAGTGTTTCTAAACTGCTCTAAGAAAAGAAAGGTTAAACTCTGTGAGTTGAAGGCACACATCACAAAGTAGTTTCTGAGAATGATTCTGTCTAGTTTTTATTTGAAGCATATTTCCTTTTCTACTGTTGGCATCAAATCGCTTGAAATCTCCACTTGCAAACTCCACAAAAAGAGTGTTTCAAATCTGCTCTGTGTAAAGGGACGTTCCACTCTGTGAGTTGAATACACACAGCACAAAGAAGTTACTGAGAATTCTTCTGTCTAGCATGAAATGAAGAAATCCCGTTTCCAACGAAGGCCTCAATGCGGTCCATATATCCACTTGCAGACTTTACAAACAGAGTTTTTCCAAACTGCTCTATGAAAAGAAAGGTTAAACTATGTGAGTTGAACGCACACATCACAAAGAATTTTCTGAGAATGATTCTGTCTGGTTTTTATTTGAAGATATTTCCCTTTCTACTGTTGGCATCAAATGGCTAGAAATCTCCACTTGCAAATTCCGCAAAAAGAGTGTTTCAAATCTGCTCTGTCTAAAGGGACGTTCCACTCTGTGAGTTGAATGCACACAACACAAAGAATTTACTGAGAATTCTTCCGTCTAGCATTCAATGAAGAAATCCCGTTTCCAACGAAGGCCTCAAACAGGTCCATATATCCACTTGCAGACTTTACAAACAGTGTGTTTCCAAACTCCTCTATGAAAAGAAAGGTTAAACTCTGTGAGTTGAACGCACACATCACAAAGCACTTTCTGAGAATGATTCTGTCTGGTTATTATACGAAGATATTTCCTTTTCTGCAATTGTCCTCAAATCGCTTGAAATCTCCACCTGAAAATGCCACAGCAAGAGTGTTTCAAATCTGCTCTCTCTAAAGCAAGGTTCAACTCTGTGAGTTGAATACACACAACACAAAAAAGTTACTGAGAACTCTTCTTAGTCTAGCATGAAAGGAAGAAACCCCGTTTGCAACGAAGGCCTCAAAGAGGTCCAAATATCCACTTGCAGACATAACAAGCAGAGTGTTTCTAAACTGCTCTAAGAAAAGAAAGGTTAAACTCTGTGAGTTGAAGGCACACATCACAAAGTAGTTTCTGAGAATGATTCTGTCTAGTTTTTATTTGAAGATATTTCCTTTTCTACTGTTGGCATCAAATCGCTTGAAATCTCCACTTGCAAACTCCACAAAAAGAGTGTTTCAAATCTGCTCTGTGCAAAGGGACGTTCCACTCTGTGAGTTGAATACACACAGCACAAAGAAGTTACTGAGAATTCTTCTGTCTAGCATGAAATGAAGAAATCCCGTTTCCAACGAAGGCCTCAATGCGGTCCATATATCCACTTGCAGACTTTACAAACAGAGTGTTTCCAAACTGCTCTATGAAAAGAAAGGTTAAACTATGTGAGTTGAACGCACACATCACAAAGAATTTTCTGAGAATGATTCTGTCTGGTTTTTATTTGAAGATATTTCCCTTTCTACTGTTGGCATCAAATGGCTAGAAATCTCCACTTGCAAATTCCGCAAAAAGAGTGTTTCAAATCTGCTCTGTCTAAAGGGACGTTCCACTCTGTGAGTTGAATGCACACAACACAAAGAATTTACTGAGAATTCTTCCGTCTAGCATTCAATGAAGAAATCCCGTTTCCAACGAAGGCCTCAAACAGGTCCATATATCCAATTGCAGACTTTACAAACAGTGTGTTTCCAAACTCCTCTATGAAAAGAAAGGTTAAACTCTGTGAGTGGAACGCACACATCACAAAGCACTTTCTGAGAATGATTCTGTCTGGTTGTTATACGAAGATATTTCCTTTTCTGCAATTGTCCTCAAATCGCTTGAAATCTCCACCTGAAAATGTCACAGCAAGAGTGTTTCAAATCTGCTCTCTCTAAAGCAAGGTTCAACTCTGTGAGTTGAATACACACAACACAGAAAAGTTACTGAGAACTCTTCTTAGTCTAGCATGAAAGGAAGAAACCCCGTTTGCAACGAAGGCCTCAAAGAGGTCCAAATATCCACTTGCAGACATAACAAGCAGAGTGTTTCTAAACTGCTCTAAGAAAAGAAAGGTTAAACTCTGTGAGTTGAAGGCACACATCACAAAGTAGTTTCTGAGAATGATTCTGTCCAGTTTTTATTTGAAGATATTTCCTTTTCTACTGTTGGCATCAAATCGCTTGAAATCTCCACTTGCAAACTCCACAAAAAGAGTGTTTCAAATCTGCTCTGTGTAAAGGGACGTTCCACTCTGTGAGTTGAATACACACAGCACAAAGAAGTTACTGAGAATTCTTCTGTCTAGCATGAAATGAAGAAATCCCGTTTCCAACGAAGGCCTCAATGCGGTCCATATATCCACTTGCAGACTTTACAAACAGAGTGTTTCCAAACTGCTCTATGAAAAGAAAGGTTAAACTATGTGAGTTGAACGCACACATCACAAAGAATTTTCTGAGAATGATTCTGTCTGGTTTTTATTTGAAGATATTTCCCTTTCTACTGTTGGCATCAAATGGCTAGAAATCTCCACTTGCAAATTCCGCAAAAAGAGTGTTTCAAATCTGCTCTGTCTAAAGGGACGTTCCACTCTGTCAGTTGAATGCACACAACACAAAGAATTTACTGAGAATTCTTCCGTCTAGCATTCAATGAAGAAATCCCGTTTCCAACGAAGGCCTCAAACAGGTCCATATATCCACTTGCAGACTTTACAAACAGTGTGTTTCCAAACTCCTCTATGAAAAGACAGGTTAAACTCTGTGAGTTGAACGCACACATCACAAAGCACTTTCTGAGAATGATTCTGTCTGGTTATTATACGAAGATATTTCCTTTTCTGCAATTGTCCTCAAATCGCTTGAAATCTCCACCTGAAAATGCCACAGCAAGAGTGTTTCAAATCTGCTCTCTCTAAAGCAAGGTTCAACTCTGTGAGTTGAATACACACAACACAAAAAAGTTACTGAGAACTCTTCTTAGTCTAGCATTAAAGGAAGAAACCCCGTTTGCAATGAAGGCCTCAAAGAGGTCCAAATATCAACTTGCAGACATAACAAGCAGAGTGTTTCTAAGCTGCTCTAAGAAAAGAAAGGTTAAACTCTGTGAGTTGAAGGCACACATCACAAAGTAGTTTCTGAGAATGATTCTGTCTAGTTTTTATTTGAAGATATTTCCTTTTCTACTGTTGGCATCAAATCGCTTGAAATCTCCACTTGCAAACTCCACAAAAAGAGTGTTTCAAATCTGCTCTGTGCAAAGGGACGTTCCACTCTGTGAGTTGAATACACACAGCACAAAGAAGTTACTGAGAATTCTTGTCTAGCATGAAATGAAGAAATCCCGTTTCCAACGAAGGCCTCAATGCGGTCTATATATCCACTTGCAGACATCACAAACAGAGTGTTTCCAAACTGCTCTATGAAAAGAAAGGTTAAACTATGTGAGTTGAACGCACACATCACAAAGAATTTTCTGAGAATGATTCTGTCTGGTTTTTATTTGAAGATATTTCCCTTTCTACTGTTGGCATCAAATGGCTAGAAATCTCCACTTGCAAATTCCGCAAAAAGAGTGTTTCAAATCTGCTCTGTCTAAAGGGACGTTCCACTCTGTGAGTTGAATGCACACAACACAAAGAATTTACTGAGAATTCTTCCGTCTAGCATTATATGATAAAATCCCGTTTCCAACGAAGGCCTCAAACAGGTCCATATATCCACTTGCAGACTTTACAAACAGTGTGTTTCCAAACTCCTCTATGAAAAGAAAGGTTAAACTCTGTGAGTTGAACGCACACATCACAAAGCACTTTCTGAGAATGATTCTGTCTGGTTATTATACGAAGATATTTCCTTTTCTGCAATTGTCCTCAAATCGCTTGAAATCTCCACCTGAAAATGCCACAGCAAGAGTGTTTCAAATCTGCTCTCTCTAAAGCAAGGTTCACCTCTGTGAGTTGAATACACACAACACAAAAAAGTTACTGAGAACTCTTCTTAGTCTAGCATGAAAGGAAGAAACCCCGTTTGCAACGAAGGCCTCAAAGAGGTCCAAATATCCACTTGCAGACATAACAAGCAGAGTGTTTCTAAACTGCTCTAAGAAAAGAAAGGTTAAACTCTGTGAGTTGAAGGCACACATCACAAAGTAGTTTCTGAGAATGATTCTGTCTAGTTTTTATTTGAAGATATTTCCTTTTCTACTGTTGGCATCAAATCGCTTGAAATCTCCACTTGCAAACTCCACAAAAAGAGTGTTTCAAATCTGCTCTGTGTAAAGGGACGCTCCACTCTGTGAGTTGAATACACACAGCACAAAGAAGTTACTGAGAATTCTTCTGTCTAGCATGAAATGAAGAAATCCCGTTTCCAACGAAGGCCTCAATGCGGTCCATATATCCACTTGCAGACTTTACAAACAGAGTGTTTCCAAACTGCTCTATGAAAAGAAAGGTTAAACTATGTGAGTTGAACGCACACATCACAAAGAATTTTCTGAGAATGATTCTGTCTAGTTTTTATTTGAAGATATTTCCTTTTCTACTGTTGGCATCAAATGGCTAGAAATCTCCACTTGCAAATTCCGCAAAAAGAGTGTTTCAAATCTGCTCTGTCTAAAGGGACGTTCCACTCTGTGAGTTGAATGCACACAACACAAAGAATTTACTGAGAATTCTTCCGTCTAGCATGCAATGAAGAAATCCCGTTTCCAACGAAGGCCTCAAACAGGTCCATATATCCAATTGCAGACTTTACAAACAGTGTGTTTCCAAACTCCTCTATGAAAAGAAAGGTTAAACTCTGTGAGTTGAACGCACACATCACAAAGCACTTTCTGAGAATGATTCTGTCTGGTTGTTATACGAAGATATTTCCTTTTCTGCAATTGTCCTCAAATCGCTTGAAATCTCCACCTGAAAATGCCACAGCAAGAGTGTTTCAAATCTGCTCTCTCTAAAGCAAGGTTCAACTCTGTGAGTTGAATACACACAACACAAAAAAGTTACTGAGAACTCTTCTTAGTCTAGCATGAAAGGAAGAAACCCCGTTTGCAACGAAGGCCTCAAAGAGGTCCAAATATCCACTTGCAGACATAACAAGCAGAGTGTTTCTAAACTGCTCTAAGAAAAGAAAGGTTAAACTCTGTGAGTTGAAGGCACACATCACAAAGTAGTTTCTGAGAATGATTCTGTCTAGTTTTTATTTGAAGATATTTCCTTTTCTACTGTTGGCATCAAATCGCTTGAAATCTCCACTTGCAAACTCCACAAAAAGAGTGTTTCAAATCTGCTCTGTGTAAAGGGACGTTCCACTCTGTGAGTTGAATACACACAGCACAAAGAAGTTACTGAGAATTCTTCTGTCTAGCATGAAATGAAGAAATCCCGTTTCCAACGAAGGCCTCAATGCGGTCCATATATCCAGTTGCAGACTTTACAAACAGAGTGTTTCCAAACTGCTCTATGAAAAGAAAGGTTAAACTATGTGAGTTGAACGCACACATCACAAAGAATTTTCTGAGAATGATTCTGTCTGGTTTTTATTTGAAGATATTTCCCTTTCTACTGTTGGCATCAAATGGCTAGAAATCGCCACTTGCAAATTCCGCAAAAAGAGTGTTTCAAATCTGCTCTGTCTAAAGGGACGTTCCACTCTGTGAGTTCAATGCACACAACACAAAGAATTTACTGAGAATTCTTCCGTCTAGCATTCAATGAAGAAATCCCGTTTCCAACGAAGGCCTCAAAGAGGTCCATATATCCACTTGCAGACTTTACAAACAGAGTGTTTCCAAACTGCTCTATGAAAAGAAAGGTTAAACTATGTGAGTTGAACGCACACATCACAAAGAATTTTCTGAGAATGATTCTGTCTGGTTTTTATTTGAAGATATTTCCCTTTCTACTGTTGGCATCAAATGGCTAGAAATCTCCACTTGCAAATTCCGCAAAAAGAGTGTTTCAAATCTGCTCTGTCTAAAGGGACGTTCCACTCTGTCAGTTGAATGCGCACAACACAAAGTATTTACTGAGAATTCTTCCGTCTAGCATTCAATGAAGAAATCCCGTTTCCAACGAAGGCCTCAAACAGGTCCATATATCCAATTGCAGACTTTACAAACAGTGTGTTTCCAAACTCCTCTATGGAAAGAAAGGTTAAACTCTGTGAGTGGAACGCACACATCACAAAGCACTTTCTGAGAATGATTCTGTCTGGTTATTATACGAAGATATTTCCTTTTCTGCAATTGTCCTCAAATCGCTTGAAATCTCCACCTGAAAATGCCACAGCAAGAGTGTTTCAAATCTGCTCTCTCTAAAGCAAGGTTCAACTCTGTGAGTTGAATACACACAACACAAAAAAGTTACTGAGAACTCTTCTTAGTCTAGCATTAAAGGAAGAAACGCCGTTTGCAACGAAGGCCTCAAAGAGGTCCAAATATCCACTTGCAGACATAACAAGCAGAGTGTTTCTAAACTGCTCTAAGAAAAGAAATGTTAAACTCTGTGAGTTGAAGGCACACATCACAAAGTAGTTTCTGAGAATGATTCTGTCTAGTTTTTATTTGAAGATATTTCCTTTTCTACTGTTGGCATCAAATCGCTTGAAATCTCCACTTGCAAATTCCACAAAAAGAGTGTTTCAAATCTGCTCTGTGCAAAGGGACGTTCCACTCTGTGAGTTGAATACACACAGCACAAAGAAGTTACTGAGAATTCTTCTGTCTAGCATGAAATGAAGAAATCTCGTTTCCAACGAAGGCCTCAATGCGGTCCATATATCCACTTGCAGACTTTACAAACAGAGTGTTTCCAAACTGCTCTATGAAAAGAAAGGTTAAACTATGTGAGTTGAACGCACACATCACAAAGAATTTTCTGAGAATGATTCTGTCTGGTTTTTATTTGAAGATATTTCCCTTTCTACTGTTGGCATCAAATGGCTAGAAATCTCCACTTGCAAATTCCGCAAAAAGAGTGTTTCAAATCTGCTCTGTCTTAAGGGACGTTCCACTCTGTCAGTTGAATGCACACAACACAAAGAATTTACTGAGAATTCTTCCGTCTAGCATGCAATGAAGAAATCCCGTTTCCAACGAAGGCCTCAAACAGGTCCATATATCCAATTGCAGACTTTACAAACAGTGTGTTTCCAAACTCCTCTATGAAAAGAAAGGTTAAACTCTGTGAGTTGAACGCACACATCACAAAGCACTTTCTGAGAATGATTCTGTCTGGTTATTATACGAAGATATTTCCTTTTCTGCAATTGTCCTCAAATCGCTTGAAATCTCCACCTGAAAATGCCACAGCAAGAGTGTTTCAAATCTGCTCTCTCTAAAGCAAGGTTCAACTCTGTGAGTTGAATACACACAACACAAAAAAGTTACTGAGAACTCTTCTTAGTCTAGCATGAAAGGAAGAAACCCCGTTTGCAACGAAGGCCTCAAAGAGGTCCAAATATCCACTTGCAGACATAACAAGCAGAGTGTTTCTAAACTGCTCTAAGAAAAGAAAGGTTAAACTCTGTGAGTTGAAGGCACACATCACAAAGTAGTTTCTGAGAATGATTCTGTCTAGTTTTTATTTGAAGATATTTCCTTTTCTACTGTTGGCATCAAATCGCTTGAAATCTCCACTTGCAAACTCCACAAAAAGAGTGTTTCAAATCTGCTCTGTGCAATGGGACGTTCCACTCTGTGAGTTGAATACACACAGCACAAAGAAGTTACTGAGAATTCTTCTGTCTAGCATGAAATGAAGAAATCCCGTTTCCAACGAAGGCCTCAATGCGGTCCATATATCCACTTGCAGACTTTACAAACAGAGTGTTTCCAAACTGCTCTATGAAAAGAAAGGTTAAACTATGTGAGTTGAACGCACACATCACAAAGAATTTTCTGAGAATGATTCTGTCTGGTTTTTATTTGAAGATATTTCCCTTTCTACTGTTGGCATCAAATTGCTAGAAATCTCCACTTGCAAATTCCGCAAAAAGAGTGTTTCAAATCTGCTCTGTCTAAAGGGACGTTCCACTCTGTGAGTTGAATGCACACAACACAAAGAATTTACTGAGAATTCTTCCGTCTAGCATTCAATGAAGAAATCCCGTTTCCAACGAAGGCCTCAAAGAGGTCCATATATCCACTTGCAGACTTTACAAACAGTGTGTTTCCAAACTCCTCTATGAAAAGAAAGGTTAAACTCTGTGAGTTGAACGCACACATCACAAAGCACTTTCTGAGAATGATTCTGTCTGGTTATTATACGAAGATATTTCCTTTTCTGCAATTGTCCTCAAATCGCTTGAAATCTCCACCTGAAAATGCCACAGCAAGAGTGTTTCAAATCTGCTCTCTCTAAAGCAAGGTTCAACTCTGTGAGTTGAATACACACAACACAAAAAAGTTACTGAGAACTCTTCTTAGTCTAGCATTAAAGGAAGAAACCCCGTTTGCAACGAAGGCCTCAAAGAGGTCCAAATATCCACTTGCAGACATAACAAGCAGAGTGTTTCTAAACTGCTCTAAGAAAAGAAAGGTTAAACTCTGTGAGTTGAAGGCACACATCACAAAGTAGTTTCTGAGAATGATTCTGTCTAGTTTTTATTTGAAGATATTTCCTTTTCTACTGTTGGCATCAAATCGCTTGAAATCTCCACTTGCAAACTCCACAAAAAGAGTGTTTCAAATCTGCTCTGTGCAAAGGGACGTTCCACTCTGTGAGTTGAATACACACAGCACAAAGAAGTTACTGAGAATTCTTCTGTCTAGCATGAAATGAAGAAATCCCGTTTCCAACGAAGGCCTCAATGCGGTCCATATATCCACTTGCAGACTTTACAAACAGAGTGTTTCCAAACTGCTCTATGAAAAGAAAGGTTAAACTATGTGAGTTGAACGCACACATCACAAAGAATTTTCTGAGAATGATTCTGTCTGGTTTTTATTTGAAGATATTTCCCTTTCTACTGTTGGCATCAAATGGCTAGAAATCTCCACTTGCAAATTCCGCAAAAAGAGTGTTTCAAATCTGCTCTGTCTAAAGGGACGTTCCACTCTGTGAGTTGAATGCACACAACACAAAGAATTTACTGAGAATTCTTCCGTCTAGCATTCAATGAAGAAATCCCGTTTCCAACGAACGCCTCAAACAGGTCCATATATCCACTTGCAGAGTTTACAAACAGTGTGTTTCCAAACTCCTCTATGAAAAGAAAGGTTAAACTCTGTGAGTGGAACGCACACATCACAAAGCACTTTCTGAGAATGATTCTGTCTGGTTATTATACGAAGATATTTCCTTTTCTGCAATTGTCCTCAAATCGCTTGAAATCTCCACCTGAAAATGCCACAGCAAGAGTGTTTCAAATCTGCTCTCTCTAAAGCAAGGTTCAACTCTGTGAGTTGAATACACACAACACAAAAAAGTTACTGAGAACTCTTCTTAGTCTAGCATGAAAGGAAGAAACCCCATTTGCAACGAAGGCCTCAAAGAGGTCCAAATATCCACTTGCAGACATAACAAGCAGAGTGTTTCTAAACTGCTCTAAGAAAAGAAAGGTTAAACTCTGTGAGTTGAAGGCACACATCACAAAGTAGTTTCTGAGAATGATTCTGTCTAGTTTTTATTTGAAGATATTTCCTTTTCTACTGTTGGCATCAAATCGCTTGAAATCTCCACTTGCAAACTCCACAAAAAGAGTGTTTCAAATCTGCTCTGTGTAAAGGGACGTTCCACTCTGTGAGTTGAATACACACAGCACAAAGAAGTTACTGAGAATTCTTCTGTCTAGCATGAAATGAAGAAATCCCGTTTCCAACGAAGGCCTCAATGCGGTCCATATATCCACTTGCAGACTTTACAAACAGAGTGTTTCCAAACTGCTCTATGAAAAGAAAGGTTAAACTATGTGAGTTGAACGCACACATCACAAAGAATTTTCTGAGAATGATTCTGTCTGGTTTTTATTTGAAGATATTTCCCTTTCTACTGTTGGCATCAAATGGCTAGAAATCTCCACTTGCAAATTCCGCAAAAAGAGTGTTTCAAATCTGCTCTGTCTAAAGGGACGTTCCACTCTGTGAGTTGAATGCACACAACACAAAGAATTTACTGAGAATTCTTCCGTCTAGCATTCAATGAAGAAATCCCGTTTCCAACGAAGGCCTCAAACAGGTCCATATATCCAATTGCAGACTTTACAAACAGTGTGTTTCCAAACTCCTCTATGAAAAGAAAGGTTAAACTCTGTGAGTTGAACGCACACATCACAAAGCACTTTCTGAGAATGATTCTGTCTGGTTATTATACGAAGATATTTCCTTTTCGGCAATTGTCCTCAAATCGCTTGAAATCTCCACCTGAAAATTCCACAGCGAGAGTGTTTCAAATCTGCTCTCTCTAAAGCAAGGTTCAACTCTGTGAGTTGAAAACACACAACACAAAAAAGTTACTGAGAACTGTTCTTAGTCTAGCATTAAAGGAAGAAACCCCGTTTGCAACGAAGGCCTAAAAGAGGTCCAAATATCCACTTGCAGACATAACAAGCAGAGTGTTTCTAAACTGCTCTAAGAAAAGAAAGGTTAAACTCTGTGAGTTGAAGGCACACATCACAAAGTAGTTTCTGAGAATGATTCTGTCTAGTTTTTATTTGAAGATATTTCCTTTTCTACTGTTGGCATCAAATCGCTTGAAATCTCCACTTGCAAACTCCACAAAAAGAGTGTTTCAAATCTGCTCTGTGAAAAGGGACGTTCCACTCTGTGAGTTGAATACACACAGCACAAAGAAGTTACTGAGAATTCTTCTGTCTAGCATGAAATGAAGAAATCCCGTTTCCAACGAAGGCCTCAATGCGGTCCATATATCCACTTGCAGACTTTACAAACAGAGTGTTTCCAAACTGCTCTATGAAAAGAAAGGTTAAACTATGTGAGTTGAACTGCACACATCACAAAGAATTTTCTGAGAATGATTCTGTCTGGTTTTTATTTGAAGATATTTCCCTTTCTACTGTTGGCATCAAATGGCTAGAAATCTCCACTTGCAAATTCCGCAAAAAGAGTGTTTCAAATCTGCTCTGTCTAAAGGGACGTTCCACTCTGTCAGTTGAATGCACACAACACAAAGAATTTACTGAGAATTCTTCCGTCTAGCATTCAATGAAGAAATCCCGTTTCCAACGAAGGCCTCAAACAGGTCCATATATCCACTTGCAGACGTTACAAACAGTGTGTTTCCAAACTCCTCTATGAAAAGAAAGGTTAAAGTCTGTGAGGTTGAACGCACACATCACAAAGCACTTTCTGTGAATGATTCTGTCTGGTTATTATACGAAGATATTTCCTTTTCTGCAATTGTCCTCAAATCGCTTGAAATCTCCACCTGAAAATGCCACAGCAAGAGTGTTTCAAATCTGCTCTCTCTAAAGCGAGGTTCAACTCTGTGAGTTGAATACACACAACACAAAAAAGTTACTGAGAACTCTTCTTAGTCTAGCATGAAAGGAAGAAACCCCGTTTGCAACGAAGGCCTCAAAGAGGTCCAAATATCCACTTGCAGACATAACAAGCAGAGTGTTTCTAAACTGCTCTAAGAAAAGAAAGGTTAAACTCTGTGAGTTGAAGGCACACATCACAAAGTAGTTTCTGAGAATGATTCTGTCTAGTTTTTATTTGAAGATATTTCCTTTTCTACTGTTGGCATCAAATCGCTTGAAATCTCCACTTGCAAACTCCACAAAAAGAGTGTTTCAAATCTGCTCTGTGTAAAGGGACGTTCCACTCTGTGAGTTGAATACACACAGCACAAAGAAGTTACTGAGAATTCTTCTGTCTAGCATGAAATGAAGAAATCCCGTTTCCAACGAAGGCCTCAATGCGGTCCATATATCCACTTGCAGACTTTACAAACAGAGTGTTTCCAAACTGCTCTATGAAAAGAAAGGTTAAACTATGTGAGTTGAACGCACACATCACAAAGAATTTTCTGAGAATGATTCTGTCTGGTTTTTATTTGAAGATGTTTCCCTTTCTACTGTTGGCATCAAATGGCTAGAAATCTCCACTTGCAAATTCCGCAAAAAGAATGTTTCAAATCTGCTCTGTCCAAAGGGTCGTTCCACTCTGTCAGTTGAATGCACACAACACAAAGAATTTACTGAGAATTCTTCCGTCTAGCATTCAATGAAGAAATCCCGTTTCCAACGAAGGCCTCAAACAGGTCCATATATCCACTTGCAGACTTTACAAACAGTGTGTTTCCAAACTCCTCTATGGAAAGAAAGGTTAAACTCTGTGAGTTGAACGCACACATCACAAAGCACTTTCTGAGAATGATTCTGTCTGGTTATTATACGAAGATATTTCCTTTTCTGCAATTGTCCTCAAATCGCTTGAAATCTCCACCTGAAAATGCCACAGCAAGAGTGTTTCAAATCTGCTCTCTCTAAAGCAAGGTTCAACTCTGTGAGTTGAATACACACAACACAAAAAAGTTACTGAGAACTCTTTCTTAGTCTAGCATGAAAGGAAGAAACCCCGTTTGCAACGAAGGCCTCAAAGAGGTCCAAATATCCACTTGCAGACATAACAAGCAGAGTGTTTCTAAACTGCTCTAAGAAAAGAAAGGTTAAACTCTGTGAGTTGAAGGCACACATCACAAAGTAGTTTCTGAGAATGATTCTGTCTAGTTTTTATTTGAAGATATTTCCTTTTCTACTGTTGGCATCAAATCGCTTGAAATCTCCACTTGCAAACTCCACAAAAAGAGTGTTTCAAATCTGCTCTGTGTAAAGGGACGTTCCACTCTGTGAGTTGAATACACAAAGCACAAAGAAGTTACTGAGAATTCTTCTGTCTAGCATGAAATGAAGAAATCCCGTTTCCAACGAAGGCCTCAATGCGGTCCATATATCCACTTGCAGACTTTACAAACAGAGTGTTTCCAAACTGCTCTATGAAAAGAAAGGTTAAACTATGTGAGTTGAACGCACACATCACAAAGAATTTTCTGAGAATGATTCTGTCTGGTTTTTATTTGAAGATATTTCCCTTTCTACTGTTGGCATCAAATGGCTAGAAATCTCCACTTGCAAATTCCGCAAAAAGAGTGTTTCAAATCTGCTCTGCCTAAGGGGACGTTCCACTCTGTGAGTTGAATGCACACAACACAAAGAATTTACTGAGAATTCTTCCGTCTAGCATTCAATGAAGAAATCCCGTTTCCAACGAAGGCCTCAAACAGGTCCATATATCCACTTGCAGAGTTTACAAACAGTTTGTTTCCAAACTCCTCTATGAAAAGAAAGGTTAAACTCTGTGAGTGGAACGCACACATCACAAAGCACTTTCTGAGAATGATTCTGTCTGGTTATTATACGAAGATATTTCCTTTTCTGCAATTGTCCTCAAATCGCTTGAAATCTCCACCTGAAAATGCCACAGCAAGAGTGTTTCAAATCTGCTCTCTCTAAAGCAAGGTTCAACTCTGTGAGTTGAATACACACAACACAAAAAAGTTACTGAGAACTCTTCTTAGTCTAGCATGAAAGGAAGAAACCCCGTTTGCAACGAAGGCCTCAAAGAGGTCCAAATATCCACTTGCAGACATAACAAGCAGAGTGTTTCTAAACTGCTCTAAGAAAAGAAAGGTTAAACTCTGTGAGTTGAAGGCAGACATCACAAAGTAGTTTCTGAGAATGATTCTGTCTAGTTTTTATTTGAAGATATTTCCTTTTCTACTGTTGGCATCAAATCGCTTGAAATCTCCACTTGCAAACTCCACAAAAAGAGTGTTTCAAATCTGCTCTGTGCAAAGGGACGTTCCACTCTGTGAGTTGAGTACACACAGCACAAAGAAGTTACTGAGAATTCTTCTGTCTAGCATGAAATGAAGAAATCCCGTTTCCAACGAAGGCCTCAATGCGGTCCATATATCCACTTGCAGACTTTTCAAACAGAGTGTTTCCAAACTGCTCTATGAAAAGAAAGGTTAAACTATGTGAGTTGAACGCACACATCACAAAGAATTTTCTGAGAATGATTCTGTCTGGTTTTTATTTGAAGATATTTCCCTTTCTACTGTTGGCATCAAATGGCTAGAAATCTCCACTTGCAAATTCCGCAAAAAGAGTGTTTCAAATCTGCTCTGTCTAAAGGGACGTTCCACTCTGTGAGTTGAATGCACACAACACAAAGAATTTACTGAGAATTCTTCCGTCTAGCATTCAATGAAGAAATCCCGTTTCCAATGAAGGCCTCAAACAGGTCCATATATCCAATTGCAGACTTTACAAACAGTGTGTTTCCAAACTCCTCTATGAAAAGAAAGGTTAAACTCTGTGAGTTGAACGCACACATCACAAAGCACTTTCTGAGAATGATTCTGTCTGGTTATTATACGAAGATATTTCCTTTTCTGCAATTGTCCTCAAATCGCTTGAAATCTCCACCTGAAAATGCCACAGCAAGAGTGTTTCAAATCTGCTCTCTCTAAAGCAAGGTTCAACTCTGTGAGTTGAATACACACAACACAAAAAAGTTACTGAGAACTCTTCTTAGTCTAGCATGAAAGGAAGAAACCCCGTTTGCAACGAAGGCCTCAAAGAGGTCCAAATATCCACTTGCAGACATAACAAGCAGAGTGTTTCTAAACTGCTCTAAGAAAAGAAAGGTTAAACTCTGTGAGTTGAAGGCAGACATCACAAAGTAGTTTCTGAGAATGATTCTGTCTAGTTTTTATTTGAAGATATTTCCTTTTCTACTGTTGGCATCAAATCGCTTGAAATCTCCACTTGCAAACTCCACAAAAAGAGTGTTTCAAATCTGCTCTGTGTAAAGGAACGTTCCACTCTGTGAGTTGAATACACACAGCACAAAGAAGTTACTGAGAATTCTTCTGTCTAGCATGAAATGAAGAAATCCCGTTTCCAACGAAGGCCTCAATGCGGTCCATATATCCACTTGCAGACTTTACAAACAGAGTGTTTCCAAACTGCTCTATGAAAAGAAAGGTTAAACTATGTGAGTTGAACGCACACATCACAAAGAATTTTCTGAGAATGATTCTGTCTGGTTTTTATTTGAAGATATTTCCCTTTCTACTGTTGGCATCAAATGGCTAGAAATCTCCACTTGCAAATTCCGCAAAAAGAGTGTTTCAAATCTCCTCTGTCTAAAGGGACGTTCCACTCTGTGAGTTGAATGCACACAACACAAAGAATTTACTGAGAATTCTTCCGTCTAGCATTCAATGAAGAAATCCCGTTTCCAACGAAGGCCTCAAACAGGTCCATATATCCACTTGCAGACTTTACAAACAGTGTGTTTCCAAACTCCTCTATGAAAAGAAAGGTTAAACTCTGTGAGTTGAACGCACACATCACAAAGCACTTTCTGAGAATGATTCTGTCTGGTTATTATACGAAGATATTTCCTTTTCTGCAATTGTCCTCAAATCGCTTGAAATCTCCACCTGAAAATGCCACAGCAAGAGTGTTTCAAATCTGCTCTCTCTAAAGCAAGGTTCAACTCTGTGAGTTGAATACACACAACCCAAAAAGTTACTGAGAACTCTTCTTAGTCTAGCATGAAAGGAAGAAACCCCGTTTGCAACGAAGGCCTCAAAGAGGTCCAAATTTCCACTTGCAGACATCACAAGCAGAGTGTTTCTAAACTGCTCTAAGAAAAGAAAGGTTAAACTCTGTGAGTTGAAGGCACACATCACAAAGTAGTTTCTGAGAATGATTCTGTCTAGTTTTTATTTGAAGATATTTCCTTTTCTACTGTTGGCATCAAATCGCTTGAAATCTCCACTTGCAAACTCCACAAAAAGAGTGTTTCAAATCTGCTCTGTGTAAAGGGACGTTCCACTCTGTGAGTTGAATACACACAGCACAAAGAAGTTACTGAGAATTCTTCTGTCTAGCATGAAATGAAGAAATCCCGTTTCCAACGAAGGCCTCAATGCGGTCCATATATCCACTTGCAGACTTTACAAACAGAGTGTTTCCAAACTGCTCTATGAAAAGAAAGGTTAAACTATGTGAGTTGAACGCACACATCACAAAGAATTTTCTGAGAATGATTCTGTCTGGTTTTTATTTGAAGATATTTCCCTTTCTACTGTTGGCATCAAATGGCTAGAAATCTCCACTTGCAAATTCCGCAAAAAGAGTGTTTCAAATCTGCTCTGTCTAAAGGGACGTTCCACTCTGTGAGTTGAATGCACACAACACAAAGAATTTACTGAGAATTCTTCCGTCTAGCATTCAATGAAGAAATCCCGTTTCCAACGAAGGCCTCAAACAGGTCCATATATCCACTTGCAGACTTTACAAACAGTGTGTTTCCAAACTCCTCTATGAAAAGAAAGGTTAAACTCTGTGAGTTGAACGCACACATCACAAAGCACTTTCTGAGAATGATTCTGTCTGGTTATTATACGAAGATATTTCCTTTTCTGCAATTGTCCTCAAATCGCTTGAAATCTCCACCTGAAAATGCCACAGCAAGAGTGTTTCAAATCTGCTCTCTCTAAAGCAAGGTTCAACTCTGTGAGTTGAATACACACAACACAAAAAAGTTACTGAGAACTCTTCTTAGTCTAGCATGAAAGGAAGAAACCCCGTTTGCAACGAAGGCCTCAAAGAGGTCCAAATATCCACTTGCAGACATAACAAGCAGAGTGTTTCTAAACTGCTCTAAGAAAAGAAAGGTTAAACTCTGTGAGTTGAAGGCAGACATCACAAAGTAGTTTCTGAGAATGATTCTGTCTAGTTTTATTTGAAGATATTTCCTTTTCTACTGTTGGCATCAAATCGCTTGAAATCTCCACTTGCAAATTCCACAAAAAGAGTGTTTCAAATCTGCTCTGTGCAAAGGGACGTTCCACTCTGTGAGTTGAATACACACAGCACAAAGAAGTTACTGAGAATTCTTCTGTCTAGCATGAAATGAAGAAATCCCGTTTCCAACGAAGGCCTCAATGCGGTCCATATATCCACTTGCAGACTTTACAAACAGAGTGTTTCCAAACTGCTCTATGAAAAGAAAGGTTAAACTATGTGAGTTGAACGCACACATCACAAAGAATTTTCTGAGAATGATTCTGTCTAGTTTTTATTTGAAGATATTTCCCTTTGTACTGTTGGCATCAAATGGCTAGAAATCTCCACTTGCAACTTCCGCAAAAAGAGTGTTTCAAATCTGCTCTGTCTAAAGGGACGTTCCACTCTGTGAGTTGAATGCACACAACACAAAAAAGTTACTGAGAACTCTTCTTAGTCTAGCATTAAAGGAAGAAACCCCGTTTGCAACGAAGGCCTCAAAGAGGTCCAAATATCCACTTGCAGACATAACAAGCAGAGTGTTTCTAAACTGCTCTAAGAAAAGAAAGGTTAAACTCTGTTAGTTGAAGGCACACATCACAAAGTAGTTTCTGAGAATGATTCTGTCTAGTTTTTATTTGAAGATATTTCCTTTTCTACTGTTGGCATCAAATCGCTTGAAATCTCCACTTGCAAACTCCACAAAAAGAGTGTTTCAAATCTGCTCTGTGTAAAGGGACGTTCCACTCTGTGAGTTGAATACACACAGCACAAAGAAGTTACTGAGAATTCTTCCCTCTAGCATTCAATGAAGAAATCCCGTTTCCAACGAAGGCCTCAAACAGGTCCATATATCCACTTGCAGACTTTACAAAAAGAGTGTTTCCAAACTGCTCTATGAAAAGAAAGGTTAAACTATGTGAGTTGAACGCACACATCACAAAGAATTTTCTGAGAATGATTCTGTCTGGTTTTTATTTGAAGATATTTCCCTTTCTACTGTTGGCATCAAATGGCTAGAAATCTCCACTTGCAAATTCCGCAAAAAGAGTGTTTCAAATCTGCTCTGTCTAAAGGGACGTTCCACTCTGTCAGTTGAATGCGCACAACACAAAGTATTTACTGAGAATTCTTCCGTCTAGCATGCAATGAAGAAATCCCGTTTCCAACGAAGGCCTCAAACAGGTCCATATATCCAATTGCAGACTTTACAAACAGTGTGTTTCCAAACTCCTCTATGAAAAGAAAGGTTAAACTCTGTGAGTTGAACGCACACATCACAAAGCACTTTCTGAGAATGATTCTGTCTGGTTATTATACGAAGATATTTCCTTTTCTGCAATTGTCCTCAAATCGCTTGAAATCTCCACCTGAAAATGCCACAGCAAGAGTGTTTCAAATCTGCTCTCTCTAAAGCAAGGTTCAACTCTGTGAGTTGAATACACACAACACAAAAAAGTTACTGAGAACTCTTCTTAGTCTAGCATGAAAGGAAGAAACCCCGTTTGCAACGAAGGCCTCAAAGAGGTCCAAATATCCAGTTGCAGACATAACAAGCAGAGTGTTTCTAAACTGCTCTAAGAAAAGAAAGGTTAAACTCTGTGAGTTGAAGGCACACATCACAAAGTAGTTTCTGAGAATGGTTCTGTCTAGTTTTTATTTGAAGATATTTCCTTTTCTACTGTTGGCATCAAATCGCTTGAAATCTCCACTTGCAAATTCCACAAAAAGAGTGTTTCAAATCTGCTCTGTGCAAAGGGACGTTCCACTCTGTGAGTTGAATACACACAGCACAAAGAAGTTACTGAGAATTCTTCTGTCTAGCATGAAATGAAGAAATCCCGTTTCCAACGAAGGCCTCAATGCGGTCCATATATCCACTTGCAGACTTTACAAACAGAGTGTTTCCAAACTGCTCTATGAAAAGAAAGGTTAAACTATGTGAGTTGAACGCACACATCACAAAGAATTTTCTGAGAATGATTCTGTCTGGTTTTTATTTGAAGATATTTCCCTTTCTACTGTTGGCATCAAATGGCTAGAAATCTCCACTTGCAAATTCCGCAAAAAGAGTGTTTCAAATCTGCTCTGTCTAAAGGGACGTTCCACTCTGTGAGTTGAATGCACACAACACAAAGAATTTACTGAGAATTCTTCCGCCTAGCATTCAATGAAGA
Source organism: Homo sapiens (assembly GCF_000001405.40). Classification (NCBI taxonomy): domain Eukaryota; kingdom Metazoa; phylum Chordata; class Mammalia; order Primates; family Hominidae; genus Homo; species Homo sapiens. The sequence goes on along the minus strand of NC_000007.14, from coordinate 60,063,333 downwards.
AATCCCGTTTCCAACGAAGGCCTCAAACAGGTCCATATATCCACTTGCAGACATTACAAACAGTGTGTTTCCAAACTCCTCTATGAAAAGAAAGGTTAAACTCTGTGAGTTGAACGCACACATCACAAAGCACTTTCTGAGAATGATTCTGTCTGGTTATTATACGAAGATATTTCCTTTTCTGCAATTGTCCTCAAATCGCTTGAAATCTCCACCTGAAAATGCCACAGCAAGAGTGTTTCAAATCTGCTCTCTCTAAAGCAAGGTTCAACTCTGTGAGTTGAATACACACAACACAAAAAAGTTACTGAGAACTCTTCTTAGTCTAGCGTGAAAGGAAGAAACCCCGTTTGCAACGAAGGCCTCAAAGAGGTCCAAATATCCACTTGCAGACATAACAAGGAGAGTGTTTCTAAACTGCTCTAAGAAAAGAAAGGTTAAACTCTGTGAGTTGAAGGCACACATCACAAAGTAGTTTCTGAGAATGATTCTGTCTAGTTTTTATTTGAAGATATTTCCTTTTCTACTGTTGGCATCAAATCGCTTGAAATCTCCACTTGCAAACTCCACAAAAAGAGTGTTTCAAATCTGCTCTGTGCAAAGGGACGTTCCACTCTGTGAGTTGAATACACACAGCACAAAGAAGTTACTGAGAATTCTTCTGTCTAGCATGAAATGAAGAAATCCCGTTTCCAACGAAGGCCTCAATGCGGTCCATATATCCACTTGCAGACTTTACAAATAGAGTGTTTCCAAACTGCTCTATGAAAAGAAAGGTTAAACTATGTGAGTTGAACGCACACATCACAAAGAATTTTCTGAGAATGATTCTGTCTAGTTTTTATTTGAAGATATTTCCCTTTCTACCGTTGGCATCAAATGGCTAGAAATCTCCACTTGCAAATTCTGCAAAAAGAGTGTTTCAAACCTGCTCTGTCTAAAGGGACGTTCCACTCTGTGAGTTGAATGCACACAACACAAAGAATTTACTGAGAATTCCTCCGTCTAGCATTATATGATAAAATCCCGTTTCCAACGAAGGCCTCAAACAGGTCCATATATCCACTTGCAGACTTTACAAACAGTGTGTTTCCAAACTCCTCTATGAAAAGAAAGGTTAAACTCTGTGAGTTGAACGCACACATCACAGAGCACTTTCTGAGAATGATTCTGTCTGGTTATTATACGAAGATATTTCCTTTTCTGCAATTGTCCTCAAATCGCTTGAAATCTCCACCTGAAAATGCCACAGCAAGAGTGTTTCAAATCTGCTCTCTCTAAAGCAAGGTTCAACTCTGTGAGTTGAATACACACAACACAAAAAAGTTACTGAGAACTCTTCTTAGTCTAGCATTAAAGGAAGAAACCCCGTTTGCAACGAAGGCCTCAAAGAGGTCCAAATATCAACTTGCAGACATAACAAGCAGAGTGTTTCTAAGCTGCTCTCAGAAAAGAAAGGTTAAACTCGGTGAGTTGAAGGCACACATCACAAAGTAGTTTCTGAGAATGATTCTGTCTAGTTTTTATTTGAAGATACTTCCTTTTCTACTGTTGGCATCAAATCGCTTGAAATCTCCACTTGCAAACTCCACAAAAAGAGTGTTTCAAATCTGCTCTGTGCAAAGGGACGTTCCACTCTGTGAGTTGAATACACACAGCACAAAGAAGTTACTGAGAATTCTTCTGTCTAGCATGAAATGAAGAAATCCCGTTTCCAACGAAGGCCTCAATGCGGTCCATATATCCACTTGCAGACTTTACAAACAGAGTGTTTCCAAACTGCTCTATGAAAAGAAAGGTTAAACTATGTGAGTTAAACGCACACATCACAAAGAATTTTCTGAGAATGATTCTGTCTGGTTTTTATTTGAAGATATTTCCCTTTCTACTGTTGACATCAAATGGCTAGAAATCTCCACTTGCAAATTCCGCAAAAAGAGTGTTTCAAATCTGCTCTGTCTAAAGGGACGTTCCACTCTGTGAGTTGAATGCACACAACACAAAGAATTTACTGAGAATTCTTCCGTCTAGCATTCAATGAAGAAATCCCGTTTCCAACGAAGGCCTCAAACAGGTCCATATATCCAATTGCAGACTTTACAAACAGTGTGTTTCCAAACTCCTCTATGAAAAGAAAGGTTAAACTCTGTGAGTTGAACGCACACATCACAAAGCACTTTCTGAGAATGATTCTGTCTGGTTATTATACGAAGATATTTCCTTTTCTGCAATTGTCCTCAAATCGCTTGAAATCTCCACCTGAAAATGCCACAGCAAGAGTGTTTCAAATCTGCTCTCTCTAAAGCAAGGTTCAACTCTGTGAGTTGAATACACACAACACAAAAAAGTTACTGAGAACTCTTCTTAGTCTAGCATGAAAGGAAGAAACCCCGTTTGCAACGAAGGCCTCAAAGAGGTCCAAATATCCACTTGCAGACATAACAAGCAGAGTGTTTCTAAACTGCTCTAAGAAAAGAAAGGTTAAACTCTGTGAGTTGAAGGCACACATCACAAAGTAGTTTCTGAGAATGATTCTGTCTAGTTTTTATTTGAAGATATTTCCTTTTCTACTGTTGGCATCAAATCGCTTGAAATCTCCACTTGCAAACTCCACAAAAAGAGTGTTTCAAATCTGCTCTGTGCAAAGGGACGTTCCACTCTGTGAGTTGAATACACACAGCACAAAGAAGTTACTGAGAATTCTTCTGTCTAGCAAGAAATGAAGAAATCCCGTTTCCAACGAAGGCCTCAATGCGGTCCATATATCCACTTGCAGACTTTACAAACAGAGTGTTTCCAAACTGCTCTATGAAAAGAAAGGTTAAACTATGTGAGTTGAACGCACACATCACAAAGAATTTTCTGAGAATGATTCTGTCTGGTTTTTATTTGAAGATATTTCCCTTTCTACTGTTGGCATCAAATGGCTAGAAATCTCCACTTGCAAATTCCGTAAAAAGAGTGTTTCAAATCTGCTCTGTCTAAAGGGACGTTCCACTCTGTCAGTTGAATGCACACAACACAAAGAATTTACTGAGAATTCTTCCGTCTAGCATTCAATGAAGAAATCCCGTTTCCAACGAAGGCCTCAAACAGGTCCATATATCCACTTGCAGACTTTACAAACAGTGTGTTTCCAAACTCCTCTATGAAAAGAAAGGTTAAACTCTGTGAGTTGAACGCACACATCACAAAGCACTTTCTGAGAATGATTCTCTCTGGTTATTATACGAAGATATTTCCTTTTCTGCAATTGTCCTCAAATCGCTTGAAATCTCCACCTGAAAATGCCACAGCAAGAGTGTTTCAAATCTGCTCTCTCTAAAGCAAGGTTCACCTCTGTGAGTTGAATACACACAACACAAAAAAGTTACTGAGAACTCTTCTTAGTCTAGCATTAAAGGAAGAAATCCCGTTTGCAACGAAGGCCTCAAAGAGGTCCAAATATCCACTTGCAGACATAAGAAGCAGAGTGTTTCTAAACTGCTCTAAGAAAAGAAAGGTTAAACTCTGTGAGTTGAAGGCACACATCACAAAGTAGTTTCTGAGAATGATTCTGTCTAGTTTTTATTTGAAGATATTTCCTTTTCTACTGCTGGCATCAAATCGCTTGAAATCTCCACTTGCAAATTCCACAAAAAGAGTGTTTCAAATCTGCTCTGTCTAAAGGGACGTTCCACTCTGTGAGTTGAATACACACAGCACAAAGAAGTTACTGAGAATTCTTCTGTCTAGCATGAAATGAAGAAATCCCGTTTCCAACGAAGGCCTCAATGCGGTCCATATATCTACTTGCAGACTTTACAAACAGAGTGTTTCCAAACTGCTCTATGAAAAGAAAGGTTAAAGTATGTGAGTTGAACGCACACATCACAAAGAATTTTCTGAGAATGATTCTGTCTGGTTTTTATTTGAAGATATTTCCCTTTCTACTGTTGGCATCAAATGGCTAGAAATCTCCACTTGCAAATTCCGCAAAAAGAGTGTTTCAAATCTGCTCTGTCTAAAGGGACGTTCCATTCTGTGAGTTGAATGCACACAACACAAAGAATTTACTGAGAATTCTTCCGTCTAGCATTCAATGAAGAAATCCCGTTTCCAACGAAGGCCTCAAACAGGTCCATATATCCAATTGCAGACTTTACCAACAGTGTGTTTCCAAACTCCTCTATGAAAAGAAAGGTTAAACTCTGTGAGTTGAAGGCACACATCTCAAAGTAGTTTCTGAGAATGATTCTGTCTAGTTTTTATTTGAAGATATTTCCTTTTCTACTGTTGGCATCAAATCGCTTGAAATCTCCACTTGCAAATTCCACAAAAAGAGTGTTTCAAATCTGCTCTGTGCAAAGGGACGTTCCACTCTGTGAGTTGAATACACACAGCACAAAGAAGTTACTGAGAATTCTTCTGTCTAGCATGAAATGAAGAAATCCCGTTTCCAACGAAGGCCTCAATGCTGGTCCATATATCCACTTGCAGACTTTACAAACAGAGTGTTTCCAAACTGCTCTATGAAAAGAAAGGTTAAACTATGTGAGTTGAATGCACACATCACAAAGAATTTTCTGAGAATGATTCTGTCTGGTTTTTATTTGAAGATATTTCCCTTTCTACTGTTGGCATCAAATGGCTAGAAATCTCCACTTGCAAATTCCGCAAAAAGAGTGTTTCAAATCTGCTCTGTCTAAAGGGACGTTCCACTCTGTGAGTTGAATGCACACAACACAAAGAATTTACTGAGAATTCTTCCGTCTAGCATGCAATGAAGAAATCCCGTTTCCAACGAAGGCCTCAAACAGGTCCATATATCCAATTGCAGACTTTACAAACAGTGTGTTTCCAAACTCCTCTATGAAAAGAAAGGTTAAACTCTGTGAGTTGAACGCACACATCACAAAGCACTTTCTGAGAATGATTTTGTCTGGTTATTATACGAAGATATTTCCTTTTCTGCAATTGTCCTCAAATCGCTTGAAATCTCCACCTGAAAATGCCACATCAAGAGTGTTTCAAATCTGCTCTCTCTAAAGCAAGGTTCAACTCTGTGAGTTGAATACACACAACACAAAAAAGTTACTGAGAACTCTTCTTAGTCTAGCATGAAAGGAAGAAACCCCGTTTGCAACGAAGGCCTCAAAGAGGTCCAAATATCCACTTGCAGACATAACAAGCAGAGTGTTTCTAAACTGCTCTAAGAAAAGAAAGGTTAAACTCTGTGAGTTGAAGGCACACATCACAAAGTAGTTTCTGAGAATGATTCTGTCTAGTTTTTATTTGAAGATATTTCCTTTTCTACTGTTGGCATCAAATCGCTTGAAATCTCCACTTGCAAACTCCACAAAAAGAGTGTTTCAAATCTGCTCTGTGTAAAGGGACGTTCCACTCTGTGAGTTGAATAGACACAGCACAAAGAAGTTACTGAGAATTCTTCTGTCTAGCATGAAATGAAGAAATCCCGTTTCCAACGAAGGCCTCAATGCGGTCCATATATCCACTTGCAGACTTTACAAACAGAGTGTTTCCAAACTGCTCTATGAAAAGAAAGGTTAAACTATGTGAGTTGAACGCACACATCACAAAGAATTTTCTGAGAATGATTCTGTCTGGTTTTTATTTGAAGATATTTCCCTTTCTACTGTTGGCATCAAATGGCTAGAAATCTCCACTTGCAAATTCCGCAAAAAGAGTGTTTCAAATCTGCTGTGTCTAAAGGGACGTTCCACTCTGTGAGTTGAATGCACACAACACAAAGAATTTACTGAGAATTCTTCCGTCTAGCATTCAATGAAGAAATCCCGTTTCCAACGAAGGCCTCAAACAGGTCCATATATCCAATTGCAGACTTTACAAACAGTGTGTTTCCAAACTCCTCTATGAAAAGAAAGGTTAAACTCTGTGAGTTGAACGCACACATCACAAAGCACTTTCTGAGAATGATTCTGTCTGGTTATTATACGAAGATATTTCCTTTTCTGCAATTGTCCTCAAATCGCTTGAAATCTCCACCTGAAAATGCCACAGCAAGAGTGTTTCAAATCTGCTCTCTCTAAAGCAAGGTTCAACTCTGTGAGTTGAATACACACAACACAAAAAAGTTACTGAGAACTCTTCTTAGTCTAGCATGAAAGGAAGAAACCCCGTTTGCAACGAAGGCCTCAAGAGGTCCAAATATCCACTTGCATACATAACAAGCAGAGTGTTTCTAAACTGCTCTAAGAAAAGAAAGGTTAAACTCTTTGAGTTGAAGGCACACATCACAAAGTAGTTTCTGAGAATGATTCTGTCTAGTTTTTATTTGAAGATATTTCCTTTTCTACTGTTGGCATCAAATCGCTTGAAATCTCCACTTGCAAATTCCACAAAAAGAGTGTTTCAAATCTGCTCTGTGTAAAGGAACGTTCCACTCTGTGAGTTGAATACACACAGCACAAAGAAGTTACTGAGAATTCTTCTGTCTAGCATGAAATGAAGAAATCCCGTTTCCAACGAAGGCCTCAATGCCGTCCATATATCCACTTGCAGACTTTACAAACAGAGTGTTTCCAAACTGCTCTATGAAAAGAAAGGTTAAACTATGTGAGTTGAACGCACACATCACAAAGAATTTTCTGAGAATGATTCTGTCTGGTTTTTATATGAAGATATTTCCCTTTCTACTGTTGGCATCAAATGGCTAGAAATCTCCACTTGCAAATTCTGCAAAAAGAGTGTTTCAAATCTGCTCTGTCTAAAGGGACGTTCCACTCTGTGAGTTGAATGCACACAACACAAAGAATTTACTGAGAATCCTTCCGTCTAGCATGCAATGAAGAAATCCCGTTTCCAACGAAGGCCTCAAACAGGTCCATATATCCAATTGCAGACTTTACAAACAGTGTGTTTCCAAACTCCTCTATGAAAAGAAAGGTTAAACTCTGTGAGTTGAACGCACACATCACAAAGCACTTTCTGAGAATGATTCTGTCTGGTTGTTATACGAAGATATTTCCTTTTCTTCAATTGTCCTCAAATCGCTTGAAATCTCCACCTGAAAATGCCACAGCAAGAGTGTTTCAAATCTGCTCTCTCTAAAGCAAGGTTCAGCTCTGTGAGTTGAATACACACAACACAAAAAAGTTACTGAGAACTCTTCTTAGTCTAGCATGAAAGGAAGAAACCCCGTTTGCAACGAAGGCCTCAAAGAGGTCCAAATATCCACTTGCAGACATAACAAGCAGAGTGTTTCTAAACTGCTCTAAGAAAAGAAAGGTTAAACTCTGTGAGTTGAAGGCACACATCACAAAGTAGTTTCTGAGAATGATTCTGTCTAGTTTTTATTTGAAGATATTTCCTTTTCTACTGTTGGCATCAAATCGCTTGAAATCTCCACTTGCAAATTCCACAAAAAGAGTGTTTCAAATCTGCTCTGTGCAAAGGGACGTTCCACTCTGTGAGTGGAATACACACAGCACAAAGGAGTTACTGAGAATTCTTCTGTCTAGCATGAAATGAAGAAATCCCGTTTCCAACGAAGGCCTCAATGCGGTCCATATATCCACTTGCAGACTTTACAAACAGAGTGTTTCCAAACTGCTCTATGAAAAGAAAGGTTAAACTATGTGAGTTGAACGCACACATCACAAAGAATTTTCTGAGAATGATTCTGTCTGGTTTTTATTTGAAGATATTTCCCTTTCTACTGTTGGCATCAAATGGCTAGAAATCTCCACTTGCAAATTCCGCAAAAAGAGTGTTTCAAATCTGCTCTGTCTAAAGGGACGTTCCACTCTGTGAGTTGAATGCACACAACACAAAGAATTTACTGAGAATTCTTCCGTCTAGCATTCAATGAAGAAATCCCGTTTCCAATGAAGGCCTCAAACAGGTCCATATATCCACTTGCAGAGTTTACAAACAGTGTGTTTCCAAACTCCTCTATGAAAAGAAAGGTTAAACTCTGTGAGTGGAACGCACACATCACAAAGCACTTTCTGAGAATGATTCTGTCTGGTTATTATACGAAGATATTTCCTTTTCTGCAATTGTCCTCAAAACGCTTGAAATCTCCACCTGAAAATGCCACAGCAAGAGTGTTTCAAATCTGCTCTCTCTAAAGCAAGGTTCAACTCTGTGAGTTGAATACACACAACACAAAAAAGTTACTGAGAACTCTTCTTAGTCTAGCATTAAAGGAAGAAACCCCGTTTGCAACGAAGGCCTCAAAGAGGTCCAAATATCCACTTGCAGACATAACAAGCAGAGTGTTTCTAAACTGCTCTAAGAAAAGAAAGGTTAAACTCTGTGAGTTGAAGGCACACATCACAAAGTAGTTTCTGAGAATGATTCTGTCTAGTTTTTATTTGAAGATATTTCCTTTTCTACTGTTGGCATCAAATCGCTTGAAATCTCCACTTGCAAACTCCACAAAAAGAGTGTTTCAAATCTTCTCTGTGTAAAGGGACGTTCCACTCTGTGAGTTGAATACACACAGCACAAAGAAGTTACTGAGAATTCTTCTGTCTAGCATGAAATGAAGAAATCCCGTTTCCAACGAAGGCCTCAATGCGGTCCATATATCCACTTGCAGACTTTACAAACAGAGTGTTTCCAAACTGCTCTATGAAAAGAAAGGTTAAACTATGTGAGTTGAACGCACACATCACAAAGAATTTTCTGAGAATGATTCTGTCTGGTTTTTATTTGAAGATATTTCCCTTTCTACTGTTGGCATCAAATGGCTAGAAATCTCCACTTGCAAATTCCGCAAAAAGAGTGTTTCAAATCTGCTCTGTCTAAAGGGACGTTCCACTCTGTCAGTTGAATGCACACAACACAAAGTATTTACTGAGAATTCTTCCGTCTAGCATTCAATGAAGAAATCCCGTTTCCAACGAAGGCCTCAAACAGGTCCATATATCCAATTGCAGACTTTACAAACAGTGTGTTTCCAAACTCCTCTATGAAAAGAAAGGTTAAACTCTGTGAGTTGAACGCACACATCACAAAGCACTTTCTGAGAATGATTCTGTCTGGTTATTATACGAAGATATTCCCTTTTCTGCAATTGTCCTCAAAACGCTTGAAATCTCCACCTGAAAATGCCACAGCAAGAGTGTTTCAAATCTGCTCTCTCTAAAGCAAGGTTCAACTCTGTGAGTTGAATACACACAACACAAAAAAGTTACTGAGAACTCTTCTTATTCTAGCATTAAAGGAAGAAACCCCGTTTGCAACGAAGGCCTCAAAGAGGTCCAAATATCCACTTGCAGACATAACAAGCAGAGTGTTTCTAAACTGCTCTAAGATAAGAAAGGTTAAACTCTGTGAGTTGAAGGCACACATCACAAAGTAGTTTCTGAGAATGATTCTGTCTAGTTTTTATTTGAAGATATTTCCTTTTCTACTGTTGGCATCAAATCGCTTGAAATCTCCACTTGCAAACTCCACAAAAAGAGTGTTTCAAATCTGCTCTGTGTAAAGGGACGTTCCACTCTGTGAGTTGAATACACACAGCACAAAGAAGTTACTGAGAATTCTTCTGTCTAGCATGAAATGAAGAAATCCCGTTTCCAACGAAGGCCTCAAAGCGGTCCATATATCCACTTGCAGACTTTACAAACAGAGTGTTCCCAAACTGCTCTATGAAAAGAAAGGTTAAACTATGTGAGTTGAACGCACACATCACAAAGAATTTTCTGAGAATGATTCTGTCTGGTTTTTATTTGAAGATATTTCCCTTTCTACTGTTGGCATCAAATGGCTAGAAATCTCCACTTGCAAATTCCGCAAAAAGAGTGTTTCAAATCTGCTCTGTCTAAAGGGACGTTCCACTCTGTGAGTTGAATGCACACAACACAAAGAATTTACTGAGAATTCTTCCGTCTAGCATTCAATGAAGAAATCCCGTTTCCAACGAAGGCCTCAAACAGGTCCATATATCCACTTGCAGACTTTACAAACAGTGTGTTTCCAAACTCCTCTATGAAAAGAAAGGTTAAACTCTGTGAGTGGAACGCACACATCACAAAGCACTTTCTGAGAATGATTCTGTCTGGTTATTATACGAAGATATTTCCTTTTCTGCAATTGTCCTCAAATCGCTTGAAATCTCCACCTGAAAATGCCACAGCAAGAGTGTTTCAAATCTGCTCTCTCTAAAGCAAGGTTCAACTCTGTGAGTTGAATACACACAACACAAAAAAGTTACTGAGAACTCTTCTTAGTCTAGCATTAAAGGAAGAAACCCCGTTTGCAACGAAGGCCTCAAAGAGGTCCAAATATCCACTTGCAGACATAACAAGCAGAGTGTTTCTAAACTGCTCTAAGAAAAGAAAGGTTAAACTCTGTGAGTTGAAGGCACACATCACAAAGTAGTTTCTGAGAATGATTCTGTCTAGTTTTTATTTGAAGATATTTCCTTTTCTACTGTTGGCATCAAATCGCTTGAAATCTCCACTTGCAAACTCCACAAAAAGAGTGTTTCAAATCTGCTCTGTGCAAAGGGACGTTCCACTCTGTGAGTTGAATACACACAGCACAAAGAAGTTACTGAGAATTCTTCTGTCTAGCATGAAAGGAAGAAATCCCGTTTCCAACGAAGGCCTCAATGCGGTCCATATATCCACTTGCAGACTTTACAAACAGAGTGTTTCCAAACTGCTCTATGAAAAGAAAGGTTAAACTATGTGAGTTGAACGCACACATCACAAAGAATTTTCTGAGAATGATTCTGTCTGGTTTTTATTTGAAGATATTTCCCTTTCTACTGTTGGCATCAAATGGCTAGAAATCTCCACTTGCAAATTCCGCAAAAAGAGTGTTTCAAATCTGCTCTGTCTAAAGGGACGTTCCACTCTGTGAGTTGAATGCACCCAACACAAAGAATTTACTGAGAATTCTTCCGTCTAGCATTATATGATAAAATCCCGTTTCCAACGAAGGCCTCAAACAGGTCCATATATCCACTTGCAGACTTTACAAACAGTGTGTTTCCACACTCCTCTATGAAAAGAACGGTTAAACTCTGTGAGTTGAACGCACACATCACAAAGCACTTTCTGAGAATGATTCTGTCTGGTTATTATACGAAGATATTTCCTTTTCTGCAACTGTCCTCAAATCGCTTGAAATCTCCACCTGAAAATGCCACAGCAAGAGTGTTTCAAATCTGCTCTCTCTAAAGCAAGGTTCAACTCTGTGAGTTGAATACACACAACACAAAAAAGTTACTGAGAACTCTTCTTAGTCTAGCATGAAAGGAAGAAACCCCGTTTGCAACGAAGGCCTCAAAGAGGTCCAAATATCCACTTGCAGACATAACAAGCAGAGTGTTTCTAAACTGCTCTAAGAAAAGAAAGGTTAAACTCTGTGAGTTGAAGGCACACATCACAAAGTAGTTTCTGAGAATGATTCTGTCTAGTTTTTATTTGAAGATATTTCCTTTTCTACTGTTGGCATCAAATAGCTTGAAATCTCCACTTGCAAACTCCACAAAAAGAGTGTTTCAAATCTGCTCTGTGTAAAGGGACGTTCCCCTCTGTGAGTTGAATACACACAGCACAAAGAAGTTACTGAGAATTCTTCTGTCTAGCATGAAATGAAGAAATCCCGTTTCCAACGAAGGCCTCAATGCGGTCCATATATCCACTTGCAGACTTTACAAACAGAGTGTTTCCAAACTGCTCTATGAAAAGAAAGGTTAAACTATGTGAGTTGAACGCACACATCACAAAGAATTTTCTGAGAATGATTCTGTCTGGTTTTTATTTGAAGATATTTCCCTTTCTACTGTTGGCATCAAATGGCTAGAAATCTCCACTTGCAAATTCCGCAAAAAGAGTGTTTCAAATCTGCTCTGTCTAAAGGGACGTTCCACTCTGTGAGTTGAATGCACACCACACAAAGAATTTACTGAGAATTCTTCCGTCTAGCATTCAATGAAGAAATCCCGTTTCCAACGAAGGCCTCAAACAGGTCCATATATCCAATTGCAGACTTTACAAACAGTGTGTTTCCAAACTCCTCTATGAAAAGAAAGGTTAAACTCTGTGAGTTGAACGCACACATCACAAAGCACTTTCTGAGAATGATTCTGTCTGGTTATTATACGAAGCATATTTCCTTTTCTGCAATTGTCCTCAAAACGCTTGAAATCTCCACCTGAAAATGCCACAGCAAGAGTGTTTCAAATCTGCTCTCTCTAAAGCAAGGTTCAACTCTGTGAGTTGAATACACACAACACGGAAAAGTTACTGAGAACTCTTCTTAGTCTAGCATGAAAGGAAGAAACCCCGTTTGCAACGAAGGCCTCAAAGAGGTCCAAATATCCACTTGCAGACATAACAAGCAGAGTGTTTCTAAACTGCTCTAAGAAAAGAAAGGTTAAACTCTGTGAGTTGAAGGCACACATCACAAAGTAGTTTCTGAGAATGATTCTGTCTAGTTTTTATTTGAAGATATTTCCTTTTCTACTGTTGGCATCAAATCGCTTGAAATCTCCACTTGCAAACTCCACAAAAAGAGTGTTTCAAATCTGCTCTGTGCAAAGGGACGTTCCACTCTGTGAGTTGAATACACACAGCACAAAGAAGTTACTGAGAATTCTTCTGTCTAGCATGAAATGAAGAAATCCCGTTTCCAACGAAGGGCCTCAATGCGGTCCATATATCCACTTGCAGACTTTACAAACAGAGTGTTTCCAAACTGCTCTATGAAAAGAAAGGTTAAACTATGTGAGTTGAACGCACACATCACAAAGAATTTTCTGAGAATGATTCTGTCTAGTTTTTATTTGAAGATAATTCCCTTTCTACTGTTGGCATCAAATTGCTTGAAATCTCCACTTGCAAATTCCACAAAAACAGTGTTTCAAATCTCCTGTGTCTAAAGGGACGTTCCACTCTGTGAGTTGAATCCACACAACACAAAGTATTCACTGAGAATTCTTCCGTCTAGCATTCAATGAAGAAATCCCGTTTCCAACGAAGGCCTCAAACAGGTCCATATATCCAATTGCAGACTTTACAAACAGTGTGTTTCCAAACTCCTCTATGAAAAGAAAGGTTAAACTCTGTGAGTTGAACGCACACAACACAAAGCACTTTCTGAGAATGATTCTGTCTGGTTATTATACGAAGATATTTCCTTTTCTGCAATTGTCCTCAAATCGCTTGAAATCTCCACCTGAAAATGCCACAGCAAGAGTGTTTCAAATCTGCTCTCTCTAAAGCAAGGTTCAACTCTGTGAGTTGAATACACACAACACAAAAAAGTTACTGAGAACTCTTCTTAGTCTAGCATTAAAGGAAGAAACCCCGTTTGCAACGAAGGCCTCAAAGAGGTCCAAATATCCACTTGCAGACATAACAAGCAGAGTGTTTCTAAACTGCTCTAAGAAAAGAAAGGTTAAACTCTGTGAGTTGAAGGCACACATCACAAAGTAGTTTCTGAGAATGATTCTGTCTAGTTTTTATTTGAAGATATTTCCTTTTCTACTGTTGGCATCAAATCGCTTGAAATCTCCACTTGCAAATTCCACAAAAAGAGTATTTCAAATCTGCTCTGTGCAAAGGGACGTTCCACTCTGTGAGTTGAATACACACAGCACAAAGAAGTTACTGAGAATTCTTCTGTCTAGCATGAAATGAAGAAATCCCGTTTCCAACGAAGGCCTCAATGCGGTCCATATATCCACTTGCAGACTTTACAAACAGAGTGTTTCCAAACTGCTCTATGAAAAGAAAGGTTAAACTATGTGAGTTGAACGCACACATCACAAAGAATTTTCTGAGAATGATTCTGTCTGGTTTTTATTTGAAGATATTTCCCTTTCTACTGTTGGCATCAAATGGCTAGAAATCTCCACTTGCAAATTCCGCCAAAAAGTGTTTCAAATCTGCTCTGTCTAAAGGGACGTTCCACTCTGTGAGTTGAATGCACACAACACAAAGAATTTACTGAGAATTCTTCCGTCTAGCATTCAATGAAGAAATCCCGTTTCCAACGGAAGCCTCAAACAGGTCCATATATCCACTTGCAGACTTTACAAACAGTGTGTTTCCAAGCTCCTCTATGAAAAGAAAGGTTAAACTCTGTGAGTTGAACGCACACATCACAAAGCACTTTCTGAGAATGATTCTGTCTGGTTATTATACGAAGTATATTTCCTTTTCTGCAATTGTCCTCAAATCGCTTGAAATCTCCACCTGAAAATTCCACAGCGAGAGTGTTTCAAATCTGCTCTCTCTAAAGCAAGGTTCAACTCTGTGAGTTGAATACACACAACACAAAAAAGTTACTGAGAACTCTTCTTAGTCTAGCATTAAAGGAAGAAACCCCGTTTGCAACGAAGGCCTCAAAGAGGTCCAAATATCAACTTGCAGACATAACAAGCAGAGTGTTTCTAAGCTGCTCTCAGAAAAGAAAGGTTAAACTCGGTGAGTTGAAGGCACACATCACAAAGTAGTTTCTGAGAATGATTCTGTCTAGTTTTTATTTGAAGATACTTCCTTTTCTACTGTTGGCATCAAATCGCTTGAAATCTCCACTTGCAAACTCCACAAAAAGAGTGTTTCAAATCTGCTCTGTGTAAAGGGACGTTCCACTCTGTGAGTTGAATACACACAGCACAAAGAAGTTACTGAGAATTCTTCTGTCTAGCATGAAATGAAGAAATCCCGTTTCCAACGAAGGCCTCAATGCGGTCCATATATCCACTTGCAGACTTTACAAACAGAGTGTTTCCAAACTGCTCTATGAAAAGAAAGGTTAAACTATGTGAGTTGAACGCACACATCACAAAGAATTTTCTGAGAATGATTCTGTCTGGTTTTTATTTGAAGATATTTCCCTTTCTACTGTTGGCATCAAATGGCTAGAAATCTCCACTTGCAAATTCCGCAAAAAGAGTGTTTCAAATCTGCTCTGTCTAAAGGGACGTTCCACTCTGTGAGTTGAATGCACACAACACAAAGAATTTACTGAGAATTCTTCCGTCTAGCATGCAATGAAGAAATCCCGTTTCCAACGAAGGCCTCAAACAGGTCCATATATCCAATTGCAGACTTTACAAACAGTGTGTTTCCAAACTCCTCTATGAAAAGAAAGGTTAAACTCTGTGAGTTGAACGCACACATCACAAAGCACTTTCTGAGAATGATTCTGTCTGGTTGTTATACGAAGATATTTCCTTTTCTGCAATTGTCCTCAAATCGCTTGAAATCTCCACCTGAAAATGCCACAGCAAGAGTGTTTCAAATCTGCTCTCTCTAAAGCAAGGTTCAGCTCTGTGAGTTGAATACACACAACACAAAAAAGTTACTGAGAACTCTTCTTAGTCTAGCATGAAAGGAAGAAACCCCGTTTGCAACGAAGGCCTCAAAGAGGTCCAAATATCCACTTGCAGACATAACAAGCAGAGTGTTTCTAAACTGCTCTAAGAAAAGAAAGGTTAAACTCTGTGAGTTGAAGGCACACATCACAAAGTAGTTTCTGAGAATGATTCTGTCTAGTTTTTATTTGAAGATATTTCCTTTTCTACTGTTGGCATCAAATCGCTTGAAATCTCCACTTGCAAATTCCACAAAAAGAGTGTTTCAAATCTGCTCTGTGTAAAGGGACGTTGCACTCTGTGAGTTGAATACACACAGCACAAAGAAGTTACTGAGAATTCTTCTGTCTAGCATGAAATGAAGAAATCCCGTTTCCAACGAAGGCCTCAATGCGGTCCATATATCCACTTGCAGACTTTACAAACAGAGTGTTTCCAAACGGCTCTATGAAAAGAAAGGTTAAACTATGTGAGTTGAACGCACACATCACAAAGAATTTTCTGAGAATGATTCTGTCTGGTTTTTATTTGAAGATATTTCCCTTTCTACTGTTGGCATCAAATGGCTAGAAAACTCCACTTGCAAATTCCGCAAAAAGAGTGTTTAAAATCTTCTCTGTCTAAAGGGACGTTCCACTCTGTGAGTTGAATGCACACAACACAAAGAATTTACTGAGAATTCTTCCGTCTAGCATTATATGATAAAATCCCGTTTCCAACGAAGGCATCAAACAGGTCCATATATCCACTTGCAGACTTTACAAACAGTGTGTTTCGAAACTCCTCTATGAAAAGAAAGGTTGAACTCTGTGAGTTGAACGCACACATCACAAAGCACTTTCTGAGAATGATTCTCTCTGGTTATTATACGAAGATATTTCCTTTTCTGCAATTGTCCTCAAATCGCTTGAAATCTCCACCTGAAAATGCCACAGCAAGAGTGTTTCAAATCTGCACTCTCTAAAGCAAGGTTCAACTCTGTGAGTTGAATACACACAACACAAAAAAGTTACTGAGAACTCTTCTTAGTCTAGCATGAAAGGAAGAAACCCCGTTTGCAACGAAGGCCTCAAAGAGGTCCAAATATCCACTTGCAGACATAACAAGCAGAGTGTTTCTAAACTGCTCTAAGAAAAGAAAGGTTAAACTCTGTGAGTTGAAGGCACACATCACAAAGTAGTTTCTGAGAATGGTTCTGTCTAGTTTTTATTTGAAGATATTTCCTTTTCTACTGTTGGCATCAAATCGCTTGAAATCTCCACTTGCAAATTCCACAAAAAGAGTGTTTCAAATCTGCTCTGTGCAAACGGACGTTCCAGTATGTGAGTTGAATACACACAGCACAGAGAAGTTACTGAGAATTCTTCTGTCTAGCATGAAATGAAGAAATCCCGTTTCCAACGAAGGCCTCAATGCGGTCCATATATCCACTTGCAGACTTTACAAACAGAGTGTTTCCAAACTGCTCTATGAAAAGAAAGGTTAAACTATGTGAGTTGAACGCACACATCACAAAGAATTTTCTGAGAATGATTCTGTCTGGTTTTTATTTGAAGATGTTTCCCTTTCTACTGTTGGCATCAAATGGCTAGAAATCTCCACTTGCAAATTCCGCAAAAAGAGTGTTTCAAATCTGCTCTGTCTAAAGGGACGTTCCACTCTGTGAGTTGAATGCACACAACACAAAGAATTTACTGAGAATTCTTCCGTCTAGCATTCAATGAAGAAATCCCGTTTCCAACGAAGGCCTCAAACAGGTCCATATATCCACTTGCAGACTTTACAAACAGTGTGTTTCCAAACTCCTCTATGAAAAGAAAGGTTAAACTCTGTGAGTTGAACGCACACATCACAAAGCACTTTCTGAGAATGATTCTGTCTGGTTATTATACGAAGATATTTCCTTTTCTGCAATTGTCCTCAAATCGCTTGAAATCTCCACCTGAAAATGCCACAGCAAGAGTGTTTCAAATCTGCTCTCTCTAAAGCAAGGTTCAACTCTGTGAGTTGAATACACACAACACAAAAAAGTTACTGAGAACTCTTCTTAGTCTAGCATGAAAGGAAGAAACCCCGTTTGCAACGAAGGCCTCAAAGAGGTCCAAATATCCACTTGCAGACATAACAAAAAGAGTGTTTCTAAACTGCTCTAAGAAAAGAAAGGTTAAACTCTGTGAGTTGAAGGCACACATCACAAAGTAGTTTCTTAGAATGATTCTGTCTAGTTTTTATTTGAAGATATTTCCTTTTCTACTGTTGGCATCAAATCGCTTGAAATCTCCACTTGCAAACTCCACAAAAAGAGTGTTTCAAATCTGCTATGTGCAAAGGGACGTTCCACTCTGTGAGTTGAATACACACAGCACAAAGAAGTTACTGAGAATTCTTCTGTCTAGCATGAAATGAAGAAATCCCGTTTCCAACGAAGGCCTCAATGCGGTCCATAGATCCACTTGCAGACTTTACAAACAGAGTGTTTCCAAACTGCTCTATGAAAAGAAAGGTTAAACTATGTGAGTTGAACGCACACATCACAAAGAATTTTCTGAGAATGATTCTGTCTGGTTTTTATTTGAAGATATTTCCCTTTCTACTGTTGGCATCAAATGGCTAGAAATCTCCACTTGCAAATTCCGCAAAAAGAGTGTTTCAAATCTGCTCTGTCTAAAGGGACGTTCCACTCTGTGAGTTGAATGCACACAACACAAAGAATTTACTGAGAATTCTTCCGTCTAGCATTCAATGAAGAAATCCCGTTTCCAACGAAGGCCTCAAACAGGTCCATATATCCAAATGCAGACTTTACAAACAGTGTGTTTCCAAACTCCTCTATGAAAAGAAAGGTTAAACTCTGTGAGTTGAACGCACACATCACAAAGCACTTTCTGAGAATGATTCTGTCTGGTTATTATACGAAGATATTTCCTTTTCTGCAATTGTCCTCAAATCGCTTGAAATCTCCACCTGAAAATGCCACAGCAAGAGTGTTTCAAATCTGCTCTCTCTAAAGCAAGGTTCAACTCTGTGAGTTGAATACACACAACACAAAAAAGTTACTGAGAACTCTTTCTTAGTCTAGCATGAAAGGAAGAAACCCCGTTTGCAACGAAGGCCTCAAAGAGGTCCAAATATCCACTTGCAGACATAACAAGCAGAGTGTTTCTAAACTGCTCTAAGAAAAGAAAGGTTAAACTCTGTGAGTTGAAGGCACACATCACAAAGTAGTTTCTGAGAATGATTCTGTCTAGTTTTTATTTGAAGATATTTCCTTTTCTACTGTTGGCATCAAATCGCTTGAAATCTCCACTTGCAAACTCCACAAAAAGAGTGTTTCAAATCTGCTCTGTGCAAAGGGACGTTCCACTCTGTGAGTTGAATACACACAGCACAAAGAAGTTACTGAGAATTCTTCTGTCTAGCATGAAATGAAGAAATCCCGTTTCCAACGAAGGCCTCAATGCGGTCCATATATCCACTTGAAGACTTTACAAACAGAGTGTTTCCAAACTGCTCTATGAAAAGAAAGGTTAAACTATATGAGTTGAACGCACACATCACAAAGAATTTTCTGAGAATGATTCTGTCTGGTTTTTATTTGAAGATATTTCCCTTTCTACTGTTGGCATCAAATGGCTAGAAATCTCCACTTGCAAATTCCGCAAAAAGAGTGTTTCAAATCTGCTCTGTCTAAAGGGACGTTCCACTCTGTGAGTTGAATGCACACAACACAAAGAATTTACTGAGAATTCTTCCGTCGAGCATTCAATGAAGAAATCCCGTTTCCAACGAAGGCCTCAAACAGGTCCATATATCCAATTGCAGACTTTACAAACAGTGTGTTTCCAAACTCCTCTATGAAAAGAAAGGTTAAACTCTGTGAGTTGAACGCACACATCACAAAGCACTTTCTGAGAATGATTCTGTCTGGTTGTTATACGAAGATATTTCCTTTTCTGCAATTGTCCTCAAATCGCTTGAAATCTCCACCTGCAAATGCCACAGCAAGAGTGTTTCAAATCTGCTCTCTCTAAAGCAAGGTTCAACTCTGTGAGTTGAATACACACAACACAAAAAAGTTACTGAGAACTCTTCTTAGTCTAGCATGAAAGGAAGAAACCCCGTTTGCAACGAAGGCCTCAAAGAGGTCCAAATATCCACTTGCAGACATAACAAGCAGAGTGTTTCTAAACTGCTCTAAGAAAAGAAAGGTTAAACTCTGTGAGTTGAAGGCACACATCACAAAGTAGTTTCTGAGAATGATTCTGTCTAGTTTTTATTTGAAGATATTTCCTTTTCTACTGTTGGCATCAAATCGCTTGAAATCTCCACTTGCAAATTCCACAAAAAGAGTGTTTCAAATCTGCTCTGTCTAAAGGGACGTTCCACTCTGTGAGTTGAATACACACAACACAAAGAAGTTACTGAGAATTCTTCTGTCTAGCATGAAATGAAGAAATCCCGTTTCCAACGAAGGCCTCAAAGCGGTCCATATATCTACTTGCAGACTTTACAAGCAGAGTGTTTCCAAACTGCTCTATGAAAAGAAAGGTTAAACTATGTGAGTTGAACGCACACATCACAAAGAATTTTCTGAGAATGATTCTGTCTAGTTTTTATTTGAAGATATTTCCCTTTCTATTGTTGGCATCAAATGGCTTGAAATCTCCATTTCCAAATTTCGCAAAAAGAGTGTTTCAAATCTGCTCTGTCTAAAGGGACGTTCCACTCGGTGAGTTGAATGCACACAACACAAAGAATTTACTGAGAATTCTTCTGTCTAGCATTCAATGAAGAAATCCCGTTTCCAAAGAAGGCCTCAAACAGGTCCAAATATCCACTTACAGACATAACAAACAGTGTGTTTCCAAACTGCTCTATGAAAAGGAAGGTTAAACTCTGTGAGTTGAACGCACACATAAGAAAGCACTTGCTGAGAATGATTCTCTCTGGTTTTTATACGAAGATATTTCCTTTTCTGCAATTGTCCTCAAATCGCTTGAAATCTCCACCTGAAAATTGCACAGCAAGAGTGTTTCAAATCTGCTCTCTCTATAGAAAGGTTCAACACTGTGAGTTGAATACACACAACACAAAACAGTTACTGAGAACTCTTCTTAGTCTAGCATGAAATGAAGAAATCCCGTTTGCAACGAAGGCCTCAAAGAGGTCCAAATATCCACTTGCAGACATTACAAGCAGAGTGTTTCTAAACTGCTCTAAGAAAAGAAGGGTTAAACACTGTGAGTTGAAGGCACACATCACGAAGTAGTTTCTGAGAATGATTCTGTCTAGGTTTTATTTGAAGATATTTCCTTTTCTACTGTTGGCATCAAA
The DNA here is from genome assembly GCF_000001405.40 of Homo sapiens. Taxonomy (NCBI): domain Eukaryota; kingdom Metazoa; phylum Chordata; class Mammalia; order Primates; family Hominidae; genus Homo; species Homo sapiens. Next base: position 60,042,692 of record NC_000007.14, on the reverse strand, counting down.
TCGCTTGAAATCTCCACTTGCAAATTCCAGAAAAAGAGTGTTTCATATCTGCTCTGTGTAAAGGGACGTTCCACTCTGTGAGTTGAATAAACACAACACAAGTAAGTTACTGAGAATTCTTCTGTCTAGCATGAAATGAAGAAATCCCGTTTCCAACGAAGGCCTCAATGCGGTCCATATATCCACTTGCAGACTTTACAAACAGAGTGTTTCCAAACTGCTCTATGAAAAGAAAGGTTAAACTATGTGAGTTGAACGCACACATCACAAAGAATTTTCTGAGAATGATTCTGTCTGGTTTTTATTTGAAGATATTTCCCTTTCTACTGTTGGCATCAAATGGCTAGAAATCTCCACTTGCAAATTCCGCAAAAAGAGTGTTTCAAATCTGCTCTGTCTAAAGGGACGTTCCACTCTGTGAGTTGAATGCACACAACACAAAGAATTTACTGAGAATTCTTCCGTCTAGCATTCAATGAAGAAATCCCGTTTCCAACGAAGGCCTCAAACAGGTCCATATATCCACTTGCAGACTTTACAAACAGTGTGTTTCCAAACTCCTCTATGAAAAGAAAGGTTAAACTCTGTGAGTGGAACGCACACATCACAAAGCACTTTCTGAGAATGATTCTGTCTGGTTATTATACGAAGATATTTCCTTTTCTGCAATTGTCCTCAAATCGCTTGAAATCTCCACCTGAAAATGCCACAGCAAGAGTGTTTCAAATCTGCTCTCTCTAAAGCAAGGTTCAACTCTGTGAGTTGAATACACACAACACAAAAAAGTTACTGAGAACTCTTCTTAGTCTAGCATGAAAGGAAGAAACCCCGTTTGCAACGAAGGCCTCAAAGAGGTCCAAATATCCACTTGCAGACATAACAAGCAGAGTGTTTCTAAACTGCTCTAAGAAAAGAAAGGTTAAACTCTGTGAGTTGAAGGCACACATCACAAAGTAGTTTCTGAGAATGATTCTGTCTAGTTTTTATTTGAAGATATTTCCTTTTCTACTGTTGGCATCAGATCGCTTGAAATCTCCACTTGCAAATTCCACAAAAAGAGTGTTTCAAATCTGCTCTGTGCAAAGGGACGTTCCACTCTGTGAGTTCAATACACACAGCACAAAGAAGTTACTGAGAATTCTTCTGTCTAGCATGAAATGAAGAAATCCCGTTTCCAACGAAAGCCTCAATGCGGTCCATATATCCACTTGCAGACTTTACAAACAGAGTGTTTCCAAACTGCTCTATGAAAAGAAAGGTTAAACTATGTGAGTTGAACGCACACATCACAAAGAATTTTCTGAGAATGATTCTGTCTGGTTTTTATTTGAAGATATTTCCCTTTCTACTGTTGGCATCAAATGGCTAGAAATCTCCACTTGCAAATTCCGCAAAAAGAGTGTTTCAAATCTGCTCTGTCTAAAGGGACGTTCCACTCTGTCAGTTGAATGCACACAACACAAAGAATTTACTGAGAATTCTTCCGTCTAGCATTCAATGAAGAAATCCCGTTTCCAACGAAGGCCTCAAACAGGTCCATATATCCAATTGCAGACTTTACAAACAGTGTGTTTCCACACTCCTCTATGAAAAGAAAGGTTAAACTCTGTGAGTTGAACGCACACATCACAAAGCACTTTCTGAGAATGATTCTGTCTGGTTATTATACGAAGATATTTCCTTTTCTGCAATTGTCCTCAAATCGCTTGAAATCTCCACCTGAAAATGCCACAGCAAGAGTGTTTCAAATCTGCTCTCTCTAAAGCAAGGTTCAACTCTGTGAGTTGAATACACACAACACAAAAAGTTACTGAGAACTCTTCTTAGTCTAGCATGAAAGGAAGAAACCCCGTTTGCAACGAAGGCCTCAAAGAGGTCCAAATATCCACTTGCAGACATAACAAGCAGAGTGTTTCTAAAGTGCTCTAAGAAAAGAAAGGTTAAACTCTGTGAGTTGAAGGCACACATCACAAAGTAGTTTCTGAGAATGATTCTGTCTAGTTTTTATTTGAAGATATTTCCTTTTCTACTGTTGGCATCAAATCGCTTGAAATCTCCACTTGCAAACTCCACAAAAAGAGTGTTTCAAATCTGCTCTGTGCAAAGGGACGTTCCACTCTGTGAGTTGAATACACACAACACAAAGAAGTTACTGAGAATTCTTCTGTCTAGCATGAAATGAAGAAATCCCGTTTCCAACGAAGGCCTCAATGCGGTCCATATATCCACTTGCAGACTTTACAAACAGAGTGTTTCCAAACTGCTCTATGAAAAGAAAGGTTAAACTATGTGAGTTGAACGCACACATCACAAAGAATTTTCTGAGAATGATTCTGTCTGGTTTTTATTTGAAGATATTTCCCTTTCTACTGTTGGCATCAAATGGCTAGAAATCTCCACTTGCAAATTCCGCAAAAAGAGTGTTTCAAATCTGCTCTGTCTAAAGGGACGTTCCACTCTGTGAGTTGAATGCACACAACACAAAGAATTTACTGAGAATTCTTCCGTCTAGCATTCAATGAAGAAATCCCGTTTCCAACGAAGGCCTCAAACAGGTCCATATATCCAATTGCAGACATTACAAACAGTGTGTTTCCAAACTCCTCTATGAAAAGAAAGGTTAAACTCTGTGAGTTGAACGCACACATCACAAAGCACTTTCTGAGAATGATTCTGTCTGGTTATTATACGAAGATATTTCCTTTTCTGCAATTGTCCTCAAATCGCTTGAAATCTCCACCTGAAAATGCCACAGCAAGAGTGTTTCAAATCTGCTCTCTCTAAAGCAAGGTTCAACTCTGTGAGTTGAATACACACAACACAAAAAAGTTACTGAGAACTCTTCCGTCTAGCATTCAATGAAGAAATCCCGTTTCCAACGAAGGCCTCAAAGAGGTCCAAATATCCACTTGCAGACATAACAAGCAGAGTGTTTCTAAACTGCTCTAAGAAAAGAAAGGTTAAACTCTGTGAGTTGAAGGCACACATCACAAAGTAGTTTCTAAATGATTCTGTCTAGTTTTTATTTGAAGATATTTCCTTTTCTACTGTTGGCATCAAATCGCTTGAAATCTCCACTTGCAAATTCCACAAAGAGTGTTTCAAATCTGCTCTGTGCAAAGGGACGTTCCACTCTGTGAGTTGAATACACACAGCACAAAGAAGTTACTGAGAATTCTTCTGTCTAGCATGAAATGAAGAAATCCCGTTTCCAACGAAGGCCTCAATGCGGTCCATATATCCACTTGCAGACTTTACAAACAGAGTGTTTCCAAACTGCTCTATGAAAAGAAAGGTTAAACTATGTGAGTTGAACGCACACATCACAAAGAATTTTCTGAGAATGATTCTGTCTAGTTTTTATTTGAAGATATTTCCCTTTCTACTGTTGGCATCAAATGGCTAGAAATCTCCACTTGCAACTTCCGCAAAAAGAGTGTTTCAAATCTGCTCTGTCTAAAGGGACGTTCCACTCTGTGAGTTGAATGCACACAACACAAAGAATTTACTGAGAATTCTTCCGCCTAGCATTCAATGAAGAAATCCCGTTTCCAACGAAGGCCTCAAACAGGTCCATATATCCAATTGCAGACTTTACAAACAGTGTGTTTCCAAACTCCTCTATGAAAAGAAAGGTTAAACTCTGTGAGTTGAACGCACACATCACAAAGCACTTTCTGAGAATGATTCTGTTTGGTTTTTATAAGAAGATATTTCCTTTTCTGCAATTTTCCCCAAATCGCTTGAAATCTCCACCTGAAAATTCCACAGCAAGAGTGTTTCAAGTCTGCTCTCTCTAAAGCAAGGTTCAACACTGTGAGTTGAATACACTCAACAAAAAAAAGTTACTGAGAACTCTTCTTAGTCTAGCATTAAATGAAGAAATCCCGTTTGCAACGAAGGCCGCAAAGACGTCCTAATATCCACTTGCAGACATTACAAGCAGAGTGTTTCTAAACTGCTCTAAGAAAAGAAAGGTTAAACTCAGTGAGTTGAAGGCACACATCTCAAAGTAATTTCTGAGAATGATTCTGTCTAGTTTTTATTTGAAGATGTTTCCTTTTCTACTGCCGGCATCAAATCGCTTGAAATCTCCACATGCAAATTCCACAAAAAGTGTGTTTCAAATCTGCTCTGTCTAAAGGGACATTCCACTCTGTGAGTTGAATACACACCACACAAAGAAGTTACTGAGAATTTTTCTGTCTAGCATGAAATGAAGAAATCCCGTTTCCAAGGAAGGCCTCAAAGCGGTCCATATATCCACTTGCAGACTTTACAGACGGAGAGTCTCCAAACTGCTCTATGAAAAGAAAGGTTAAACTATGTGAGTTGAACACACACATCACAAAGAATTTTCTGAGAATGATTCTGTCTAGTTTTTATTTGAAGATATTTCCTTTTCTACTGTTGGCATCAAATCGCTTGAAATCTCCACTTGCAAATTCCACAAAAAGAGTGTTTCAAATCTGCTCTGTCTAAAGGGACGTTGCACTCTGTGAGTTCAATGCACACAACACAAAGAATTTGGGGAGAATTCTTCCGTATAGCATTATATGAAAAAATCCCGTTTCCAACGAAGGCTTCAAACAGGTCCAAATATCCACTTGCAGACTTTACAAACAGTGTGATTCCAAACTGCTCTATGAGAAGAAAGTCTAAACTCTGTGAGTTGAATGCACACATCACAAAGCACTTTCTGAGAATGATTCTGTCTGGTTATTATACGAAGATATTTCCTTTTCTGCAATTGTCCTCAAATCGCTTGAAATCTCCACCTGAAAATGCCACAGCAAGAGTGTTTCAAATCTGCTCTCTCTAAAGCAAGGTTCAACTCTGTGAGTTGAATACACACAACACAAAAAAGTTACTGAGAACTCTTCTTAGTCTAGCATGAAAGGAAGAAACCCCGTTTGCAACGAAGGCCTCAAAGAGGTCCAAATATCCACTTGCAGACATAACAAGCAGAGTGTTTCTAAACTGCTCTAAGAAAAGAAAGGTTAAACTCTGTGAGTTGAAGGCACACATCACAAAGTAGTTTCTGAGAATGATTCTGTCTAGTTTTTATTTGAAGATATTTCCTTTTCTACTGTTGGCATCAAATCGCTTGAAATCTCCACTTGCAAACTCCACAAAAAGAGTGTTTCAAATCTGCTCTGTGTAAAGGGACGTTCCACTCTGTGAGTTGAATACACACAGCACAAAGAAGTTACTGAGAATTCTTCTGTCTAGCATGAAATGAAGAAATCCCGTTTCCAACGAAGGCCTCAATGCGGTCCATATATACACTTGCAGACTTTACAAACAGAGTGTTTCCAAACTGCTCTATGAAAAGAAAGGTTAAACTATGTGAGTTGAACGCACACATCACAAAGAATTTTCTGAGAATGATTCTGTCTGGTTTTTATTTGAAGATATTTCCCTTTCTACAGTTGGCATCAAATGGCTAGAAATCTCCACTTGCAAATTCCGCCAAAAAGTGTTTCAAATGTGCACTGTCTAAAGGGACGTTCCACTCTGTGAGTTGAATGCACACAACACAAAGAATTTACTGAGAATTCTTCCGTCTAGCATTCAATGAAGAAATCCCGTTTCCAACGAAGGCCTCAAACAGGTCAATATATCCAATTGCAGACATTACAAACAGTGTGTTTCCAAACTCCTCTACGAAAAGAAAGGTTAAACTCTGTGAGTTGAACGCACACATCACAAAGCACTTTCTGAGAATGATTCTGTCTGGTTATTATACGAAGATATTTCTTTTTCTGCAATTGTCCTCAAATCGCTTGAAATCTCCACCTGAAAATGCCACAGCAAGAGTGTTTCAAATCTGCTCTCTCTAAAGCAAGGTTCAACTCTGTGAGTTGAATACACACAACACAAAAAAGTTACTGAGAACTCTTCTTAGTCTAGCATTAAAGGAAGAAACCCCGTTTGCAACGAAGGCCTCAAAGAGGTCCAAATATCAACTTGCAGACATAACAAGCAGAGTGTTTCTAAGCTGCTCTCAGAAAAGAAAGGTTAAACTCGGTGAGTTGAAGGCACACATCACAAAGTAGTTTCTGAGAATGATTCTGTCTAGTTTTTATTTGAACATACTTCCTTTTCTACTGTTGGCATCAAATCGCTTGAAATCTCCACTTGCAAACTCCACAAAAAGAGTGTTTCAAATCTGCTCTGTGCAAAGGGACGTTCCACTCTGTGAGTTGAATACACACAGCACAAAGAAGTTACTGAGAATTCTTCTGTCTAGCATGAAATGAAGAAATCCCGTTTCCAACGAAGGCCTCAATGCGGTCCATATATCCACTTGCAGACTTTACAAACAGAGTGTTTCCAAACTGCTCTATGAAAAGAAAGGTTAAACTATGTGAGTTGAACGCACACATCACAAAGAATTTTCTGAGAATGATTCTGTCTGGTTTTTATTTGAAGATATTTCCCTTTCTACTGTTGGCATCAAATGGCTAGAAATCTCCACTTGCAAATTCCGCAAAAAGAGTGTTTCAAATCTGCTCTGTCTAAAGGGACGTTCCACTCTGTGAGTTGAATGCACACAACACAAAGAATTTACTGAGATTTCTTCCGTCTAGCATTCAATGAAGAAATCCCGTTTCCAACGGAAGCCTCAAACAGGTCCATATATCCAATTGCAGACTTTACAAACAGTGTGTTTCCAAGCTCCTCTATGAAAAGAAAGGTTAAACTCTGTGAGTTGAACGCACACATCACAAAGCACTTTCTGAGAATGATTCTGTCTGGTTATTATACGAAGATATTTCCTTTTCTGCAATTGTCCTCAAATCGCTTGAAATCTCCACCTGAAAATTCCACAGCAAGAGTGTTTCAAATCTGCTCTCTCTAAAGCAAGGTTCAACTCTGTGAGTTGAATACACACAACACAAAAAAGTTACTGAGAACTCTTCTTAGTCTAGCATGAAAGGAAGAAACCCCGTTTGCAACGAAGGCCTCAAAGAGGTCCAAATATCCACTTGCAGACATAACAAGCAGAGTGTTTCTAAACTGCTCTAAGAAAAGAAAGGTTGAACTCTGTGAGTTGAAGGCACACATCACAAAGTAGTTTCTGAGAATGATTCTGTCTAGTTTTTATTTGAAGATATTTCCTTTTCTACTGTTGGCATCAAATCGCTTAAAATCTCCACTTGCAAATTCCACAAAAAGAGTGTTTCAAATCTGCTCTGTGCAAAGGGACGTTCCACTCTGTGAGTTGAATACACACAGCACAAAGAAGTTACTGAGAATTCTTCTGTCTAGCATGAAATGAAGAAATCCCGTTTCCAACGAAGGCCTCAATGCGGTCCATATATCCACTTGCAGACTTTACAAACAGAGTGTTTCCAAACTGCTCTATGAAAAGAAAGGTTAAACTATGTGAGTTGAACGCACACATCACAAAGAATTTTCTGAGAATGATTCTGTCTGGTTTTTATTTGAAGATATTTCCCTTTCTACTGTTGGCATCAAATGGCTAGAAATCTCCACTTGCAAATTCCGCAAAAAGAGTGTTTCAAATCTGCTCTGTCTAAAGGAACGTTCCACTCTGTGAGTTGAATGCACACAACACAAAGAATTTACTGAGAATTCTTCCGTCTAGCATTCAATGAAGAAATCCCGTTTCCAACGAAGGCCTCAAACAGGTCCATATATCCAATTGCAGACTTTACAAACAGTGTGTTTCCAAACTCCTTTATGAAAAGAAAGGTTAACTCTGTGAGTTGAATGCACACATCACAAAGCACTTTCTGATAATGATTCTGTCTAGTTTTTGTTTGCAGATATTTCCTTTTCTACTGTTGGCATCAAATCGCTTGAAATCTCCACTTGCAAATTCCACAAAAAGAGTGTTTCAAATCTGCTCTGTGTAAAGGGACGTTCCAATCTGTGAGTTGAATACACACAACACAAAGAAGTTACTGAGAATTCTTCTGTCTAGCATGAAATGAAGAAATCCCGTTTCCAACGAAGGCCTCAAAGCGGTCCATATATCCACTTGCAAACATTACCAACAGAGTGTTCCCAAACTGCTCTATGAAAAGAAAGGTTAAACTATGTGAGTTGAACGCACACATCACAAAGAATTTTCTGAGAATGATTCTGTCTGGTTTTTATTTGAAGATATTTCCCTTTCTACTGTTGGCATCAAATGGCTAGAAATCTCCACTTGCAAATTCCGCAAAAAGAGTGTTTCAAATCTGCTCTGTCTAAAGGGACGTTCCACTCTGTGAGTTGAATGCACACAACACAAAGAATTTACTGAGAATTCTTCCGTCTAGCATTCAATGAAGAAAACCCGTTTCCAACGAAGGCCTCAAACAGGTCCATATATCCACTTGCAGAGTTTACAAACAGTGTGTTTCCAAACTCCTCTATGAAAAGAAAGGTTAAACTCTGTGAGTGGAACGCACACATCACAAAGCACTTTCTGAGAATGATTCTGTCTGGTTATTATACGAAGATATTTCCTTTTCTGCAATTGTCCTCAAAACGCTTGAAATCTCCACCTGAAAATGCCACAGCAAGAGTGTTTCAAATCTGCTCTCTCTAAAGCAAGGTTCAACTCTGTGAGTTGAATACACACAACACAAAAAAGTTACTGAGAACTCTTCTTAGTCTAGCATGAAAGGAAGAAACCCCGTTTGCAACGAAGGCCTCAAAGAGGTCCAAATATCCACTTGCAGACATAACAAGCAGAGTGTTTCTAAACTGCTCTAAGAAAAGAAAGGTTGAACTCTGTGAGTTGAAGGCACACATCACAAAGTAGTTTCTGAGAATGATTCTGTCTAGTTTTTATTTGAAGATATTTCCTTTTCTACTGTTGGCAACAAATCGCTTGAAATCTCCACTTGCAAATTCCACAAAAAGAGTGTTTCAAATCTGCTCTGTGCAAAGGGACGTTCCACTCTGTGAGTTGAATACACACAGCACAAAGAAGTTACTGAGAATTCTTCTGTCTAGCATGAAATGGAGAAATCCCGTTTCCAACGAAGGCCTCAATGCGGTCCATATATCCACTTGCAGACTTTACAAACAGAGTGTTTCCAAACTGCTCTATGAAAAGAAAGGTTAAACTATGTGAGTTGAACGCACACATCACAAAGAATTTTCTGAGAATGATTCTGTCTGGTTTTTATTTGAAGATATTTCCCTTTCTACTGTTGGCATCAAATGGCTAGAAATCTCCACTTGCAAATTCCGCAAAAAGAGTGTTTCAAATCTGCTCTGTCTTAAGGGACGTTCCACTCTGTGAGTTGAATGCACACAACACAAAGAATTTACTGAGAATTCTTCCGTCTAGCATTCAATGAAGAAATCCCGTTTCCAACGAAGGCCTCAAACAGGTCCATATATCCAATTGCAGACTTTACAAACAGTGTGTTTCCAAACTCCTCTATGAAAAGAAAGGTTAAACTCTGTGAGTTGAACGCACACATCACAAAGCACTTTCTGAGAATGATTCTGTCTGGTTATTATACGAAGATATTTCCTTTTCTGCAATTGTCCTCAAATCGTTTGAAATCTCCACCTGAAAATGCCACAGCGAGAGTGTTTCAAATCTGCTCTCTCTAAAGCAAGGTTCAACTCTGTGAGTTGAATACACACAACACAAAAAAGTTACTGAGAACTCTTCTTAGTCTAGCATTAAAGGAAGAAACCCCGTTTGCAACGAAGGCCTCAAAGAGGTCCAAATATCCACTTGCAGACATAACAAGCAGAGTGTTTCTAAACTGCTCTAAGAAAAGAAAGGTTAAACTCTGTGAGTTGAAGGCACACATCACAAAGTAGTTTCTGAGAATGATTCTGTCTAGTTTTTATTTGAAGATATTTCCTTTTCTACTGTTGGCATCAAATCGCTTGAAATCTCCACTTGCAAACTCCACAAAAAGAGTGTTTCAAATCTGCTCTGTGCAAAGGGACGTTCCACTCTGTGAGTTGAATACACACAGCACAAAGAAGTTACTGAGAATTCTTCTGTCTAGCACGAAATGAAGAAATCCCGTTTCCAACGAAGGCCTCAATGCGGTCCATATATCCACATGCAGACTTTACAAACAGAGTGTTTCCAAACTGCTCTGTGAAAGAAAGGTTAAACTATGTGAGTTGAACGCACACATCACAAAGAATTTTCTGAGGATGATTCTGTCTAGTTTTTATTTGAAGATATTTCCCTTTCTACTGTTGGCATCAAATGGCTAGAAATCTCCACTTGCAAATTCCGCAAAAAGAGTGTTTCAAATCTGCTCTGTCTAAAGGGACGTTCCACTCTGTGAGTTGAATGCACACAACACAAAGAATTTACTGAGAATTCTTCCGTCTAGCATTATATGACAAAATCCCGTTTCCAACGAAGGCCTCAAACAGGTCCATATATCCACTTGCAGACTTTACAAACAGTGTGTTTCCAAACTCCTCTATGAAAAGAAAGGTTAAACTCTGTGAGTTGAACGCACACTATCACAAAGCACTTTCTGAGAATGATTCTGTCTGGTTATTATACGAAGATATTTCCTTTTCTGCAATTGTCCTCAAATCGCTTGAAATCTCCACCTGAAAATGCCACAGCAAGAGTGTTTCAAATCTGCTCTCTCTAAAGCAAGGTTCAACTCTGTGAGTTGAATACACACAACACAAAAAAGTTACTGAGAACTCTTCTTAGTCTAGCATTAAAGGAAGAAACCCCGTTTGCAACGAAGGCCTCAAAGAGGTCCAAATATCCACTTGCAGACATAACAAGCAGAGTGTTTCTAAGCTGCTCTAAGAAAAGAAAGGTTAAACTCTGTGAGTTGAAGGCACACATCACAAAGTAGTTTCTGAGAATGATTCTGTCTAGTTTTTATTTGAAGATATTTCCTTTTCTACTGTTGGCATCAAATCGCTTGAAATCTCCACTTGCAAACTCCACAAAAAGAGTGTTTCAAATCTGCTCTGTGTAAAGGGACGTTCCACTCTGTGAGTTGAATACACACAGCACAAAGAAGTTACTGAGAATTCTTCTGTCTAGCATGAAATGAAGAAATCCCGTTTCCAACGAAGGCCTCAATGCGGTCCATATATACACTTGCAGACTTTACAAACAGAGTGTTTCCAAACTGCTCTATGAAAAGAAAGGTTAAACTATGTGAGTTGAACGCACACATCACAAAGAATTTTCTGAGAATGATTCTGTCTGGTTTTTATTTGAAGATATTTCCCTTTCTACTGTTGGCATCAAATGGCTAGAAATCTCCACTTGCAAATTCCGCCAAAAAGTGTTTCAAATCTGCACTGTCTAAAGGGACGTTCCACTCTGTGAGTTGAATGCACACAACACAAAGAATTTACTGAGAATTCTTCCGTCTAGCATTCAATGAAGAAATCCCGTTTCCAACGAAGGCCTCAAACAGGTCCATATATCCAATTGCAGACATTACAAACAGTGTGTTTCCAAACTCCTCTACGAAAAGAAAGGTTAAACTCTGTGAGTTGAATGCACACATCACAAAGCACTTTCTGAGAATGATTCTGTCTAGTTTTTATTTGAAGATATTTCCTTTTCTACTGTTGGCATCAAATCGCTTGAAATCTCCACTTGCAAACTCCACAAAAAGAGTGTTTCAAATCTGCTCTGTGTAAAGGGACGTTCCACTCTGTGAGTTGAATACACACAGCACAAAGAAGTTACTGAGTATTCTTCTGTCTAGCATGAAATGAAGAAATCCCGTTTCCAACGAAGGCCTCAATGCGGTCCATATATCCACTTGCAGACTTTACAAACAGAGTGTTTCCAAACTGCTCTATGAAAAGAAAGGTTAAACTATGTGAGTTGAACGCACACATCACAAAGAATTTTCTGAGAATGATTCTGCCTGGTTTTTATTTGAAGTATATTTCCCTTTCTACTGTTGGCATCAAATGGCTAGAAATCTCCACTTGCAAATTCCGCAAAAAGAGTGTTTCAAATCTGCTCTGTCTAAAGGGACGTTCCACTCTGTGAGTTGAATGCACACAACACAAAGAATTTACTGAGAATTCTTCCGTCTAGCATTCAATGAAGAAATCCCGTTTCCAACGAAGGCCTCAAACAGGTCCATATATCCACTTGCAGAGTTTACAAACAGTGTGTTTCCAAACTCCTCTATGAAAAGAAAGGTTAAACTCTGTGAGTGGAACGCACACATCACAAAGCACTTTCTGAGAATGATTCTGTCTGGTTATTATACGAAGATATTTCCTTTTCTGCAATTGTCCTCAAATCGCTTGAAATCTCCACCTGAAAATGCCACAGCAAGAGTGTTTCAAATCTGCTCTCTCTAAAGCAAGGTTCAACTCTGTGAGTTGAATACACACAACACAAAAAAGTTACTGAGAACTCTTCTTAGTCTAGCATGAAAGGAAGAAACCCCGTTTGCAACGAAGGCCTCAAAGAGGTCCAAATATCCACTTGCAGACATAACAAGCAGAGTGTTTCTAAACTGCTCTAAGAAAAGAAAGGTTAAACTCTGTGAGTTGAAGGCACACATCACAAAGTAGTTTCTGAGAATGATTCTGTCTAGTTTTTATTTGAAGATATTTCCTTTTCTACTGTTGGCATCAAATCGCTTGAAATCTCCACTTGCAAACTCCACAAAAAGAGTGTTTCAAATCTGCTCTGTGTAAAGGGACGTTCCACTCTGTGAGTTGAATACACACAGCACAAAGAAGTTACTGAGAATTCTTCTGTCTAGCATGAAATGAAGAAATCCCGTTTCCAACGAAGGCCTCAATGCGGTCCATATATCCACTTGCAGACTTTACAAACAGAGTGTTTCCAAACTGCTCTATGAAAAGAAAGGTTAAACTATGTGAGTTGAACGCACACATCACAAAGAATTTTCTGAGAATGATTCTGTCTGGTTTTTATTTGAAGATATTTCCCTTTCTACTGTTGGCATCAAATGGCTAGAAATCTCCACTTGCAAATTCCGCAAAAAGAGTGTTTCAAATCTGCTCTGTCTAAAGGGACGTTCCACTCTGTCAGTTGAATGCACACAACACAAAGAATTTACTGAGAATTCTTCCGTCTAGCATTCAATGAAGAAATCCCGTTTCCAAAGAAGGCCTCAAACAGGTCCATATATCCAATTGCAGACTTTACAAACAGTGTGTTTCCAAACTCCTCTATGAAAAGAAAGGTTAAACTCTGTGAGTTGAACGCACACATCACAAAGCACTTTCTGAGAATGATTCTGTCTGGTTATTATACGAAGATATTTCCTTTTCTGCAATTGTCCTCAAATCGCTTGAAATCTCCACCTGAAAATGCCACAGCAAGAGTGTTTCAAATCTGCTCTCTCTAAAGCAAGGTTCAACTCTGTGAGTTGAATACACACAACACAAAAAAGTTACTGAGAACTCTTCTTAGTCTAGCATGAAAGGAAGAAACCCCGTTTGCAACGAAGGCCTCAAAGAGGTCCAAATATCCACTTGCAGACATAACAAGCAGAGTGTTTCTAAACTGCTCTAAGAAAAGAAAGGTTAAACTCTGTGAGTTGAAGGCACACATCACAAAGTAGTTTCTGAGGATGATTCTGTCTAGTTTTTATTTGAAGATATTTCCTTTTCTACTGTTGGCATAAAATCGCTTGAAATCTCCACTTGCAAACTCCACAAAAAGAGTGTTTCAAATCTGCTCTGTGTAAAGGGACGTTCCACTCTGTGAGTTGAATACACACAGCACAAAGAAGTTACTGAGAATTCTTCTGTCTAGCATGAAATGAAGAAATCCCGTTTCCAACGAAGGCCTCAATGCGGTCCATAGATCCACTTGCAGACTTTACAAACAGAGTGTTTCCAAACTGCTCTATGAAAAGAAAGGTTAAACTATGTGAGTTGAACGCACACATCACAAAGAATTTTCTGAGAATGATTCTGCCTGGTTTTTATTTGAAGATATTTCCCTTTCTACTGTTGGCATCAAATGGCTAGAAATCTCCACTTGCAAATTCCGCAAAAAGAGTGTTTCAAATCTGCTCTGTCTAAAGGGACGTTCCACTCTGTGAGTTGAATGCACACAACACAAAGAATTTACTGAGAATTCTTCCGTCTAGCATTCAATGAAGAAATCCCGTTTCCAACGAAGGCCTCAAACAGGTCCATATATCCACTTGCAGACTTTACAAACAGTGTGTTTCCAAACTCCTCTATGAAAAGAAAGGTTAAACTCTGTGAGTGGAACGCACACATCACAAAGCACTTTCTGAGAATGATTCTGTCTGGTTATTATACGAAGATATTTCTTTTTCTGCAATTGTCCTCAAATCGCTTGAAATCTCCACCTGAAAATGCCACAGCAAGAGTGTTTCAAATCTGCTCTCTCTAAAGCAAGGTTCAACTCTGTGAGTTGAATACACACAGCACAAAGAAGTTACTGAGAATTCTTCTGTCTAGCATGAAATGAAGAAATCCTGTTTCCAACGAAGGCCTCAATGCGGTCCATATATCCACTTGCAGACTTTACAAACAGAGTGTTTCCAAACTGCTCTATGAAAAGAAAGGTTAAACTATGTGAGTTGAACGCACACATCACAAAGAATTTTCTGAGAATGATTCTGTCTGGTTTTTATTTGAAGATATTTCCCTTTCTACTGTTGGCATCAAATGGCTAGAAATCTCCACTTGCAAATTCCGCAAAAAGAGTGTTTCAAATCTGCTCTGTCTAAAGGGACGTTCCACTCTGTGAGTTGAATGCACACAACACAAAGAATTTACTGAGAATTCTTCCGTCTAGCATTCAATGAAGAAATCCCGTTTCCAACGAAGGCCTCAAACAGGTCCATATATCCACTTGCAGACTTTACAAACAGTGTGTTTCCAAACTCCTCTATGGAAAGAAAAGTTAAACTCTGTGAGTTGAACGCACACATCACAAAGCACTTTCTGAGAATGATTCTGTCTGGTTATTATACGAAGATATTTCCTTTTCTGCAATTGTCCTCAAATCGCTTGAAATCTCCACCTGAAAATGCCACAGCTAGAGTGTTTCAAATCTGCTCTCTCTAAAGCAAGGTTCAACTCTGTGAGTTGAATACACACAACACAAAAAAGTTACTGAGAACTCTTTAGTCTAGCATGAAAGGAAGAAACCCCGTTTGCAACGAAGGCCTCAAAGAGGTCCAAATATCCACTTGCAGACATAACAAGCAGAGTGTTTCTAAACTGCTCTAAGAAAAGAAAGGTTAAACTCTGTGAGTTGAAGGCACACATCACAAAGTAGTTTCTGAGAATGATTCTGTCTAGTTTTTATTTGAAGATATTTCCTTTTCTACTGTTGGCATCAAATCGCTTGAAATCTCCACTTGCAAACTCCACAAAAAGAGTGTTTCAAATCTGCTCTGTGCAAAGGGACGTTCCACTCTGTGAGTTGAATACACACAGCACAAAGAAGTTACTGAGAATTCTTCTGTCTAGCATGAAATGAAGAAATCCCGTTTCCAACGAAGGCCTCAATGCGGTCCATATATCCACTTGCAGACTTTACAAACAGAGTGTTTCCAAACTGCTCTATGAAAAGAAAGGTTAAACTATGTGAGTTGAACGCACACATCACAAAGAATTTTCTGAGAATGATTCTGTCTGGTTTTTATTTGAAGATATTTCCCTTTCTACTGTTGGCATCAAATGGCTAGAAATCTCCACTTGCAAATTCCGCAAAAAGAGTGTTTCAAATCTGCTCTGTCTAAAGGGACGTTCCACTCTGTGAGTTGAATGCACACAACACAAAGAATTTACTGAGAATTCTTCCGTCTAGCATTCAATGAAGAAATCCCGTTTCCAACGAAGGCCTCAAACAGGTCCATATATCCAATTGCAGACTTTACAAACAGTGTGTTTCCAAACTCCTCTATGAAAAGAAAGGTTAAACTCTGTGAGTTGAACGCACACATCACAAAGCACTTTCTGAGAATGATTCTGTCTGGTTGTTATACGAAGATATTTCCTTTTCTGCAATTGTCCTCAAATCGCTTGAAATCTCCACCTGAAAATGCCACAGCAAGAGTGTTTCAAATCTGCTCTCTCTAAAGCAAGGTTCAACTCTGTGAGTTGAATACACACAACACAAAAATGTTACTGAGAACTCTTCTTAGTCTAGCTTTAAAGGAAGAAACCCCGTTTGCAACGAAGGCCTCAAAGAGGTCCAAATATCCACTTGCAGACATAACAAGCAGAGTGTTTCTAAACTGCTCTAAGAAAAGAAAGGTTAAACTCTGTGAGTTGAAGGCACACATCACAAAGTAGTTTCTGAGAATGATTCTGTCTAGTTTTTATTTGAAGATATTTCCTTTTCTACTGTTGGCATCAAATCGCTTGAAATCTCCACTTGCAAACTCCACAAAAAGAGTGTTTCAAATCTGCTCTGTGTAAAGGGACGTTCCACTCTGTGAGTTGAATACACACAGCACAAAGAAGTTACTGAGAATTCTTCTGTCTAGCATGAAATGAAGAAATCCCGTTTCCAACGAAGGCCTCAATGCGGTCCATATATCCACTTGCAGACTTTACAAACAGAGTGTTTCCAAACTGCTCTATGAAAAGAAAGGTTAAACTATGTGAGTTGAACGCACACATCACAAAGAATTTTCTGAGAATGATTCTGTCTGGTTTTTATTTGAAGATATTTCCCTTTCTACTGTTGGCATCAAATGGCTAGAAATCTCCACTTGCAAATTCCGCAAAAAGAGTGTTTCAAATCTGCTCTGTCTAAAGGGACGTTCCACTCTGTGAGTTGAATGCACACAACACAAAGAATTTACTGAGAATTCTTCCGTCTAGCATTCAATGAAGAAATCCCGTTTCCAACGAAGGCCTCAAACAGGTCCATATATCCACTTGCAGACTTTACAAACAGTGTGTTTCCAAACTCCTCTATGAAAAGAAAGGTTAAACTCTGTGAGTGGAACGCACACATCACAAAGCACTTTCTGAGAATGATTCTGTCTGGTTATTATACGAAGATATTTCCTTTTCTGCAATTGTCCTCAAATCGCTTGAAATCTCCACCTGAAAATGCCACAGCAAGAGTGTTTCAAATCTGCTCTCTCTAAAGCAAGGTTCAACTCTGTGAGTTGAATACACACAACACAAAAAAGTTACTGAGAACTCTTCTTAGTCTAGCATGAAAGGAAGAAACCCCGTTTGCAACGAAGGCCTCAAAGAGGTCCAAATATCCACTTGCAGACATAACAAGCAGAGTGTTTCTAAACTGCTCTAAGAAAAGAAAGGTTGAACTCTGTGAGTTGAAGGCACACATCACAAAGTAGTTTCTGAGAATGATTCTGTCTAGTTTTTATTTGAAGATATTTCCTTTTCTACTGTTGGCAACAAATCGCTTGAAATCTCCACTTGCAAATTCCACAAAAAGAGTGTTTCAAATCTGCTCTGTGCAAAGGGACGTTCCACTCTGTGAGTTGAATACACACAGCACAAAGAAGTTACTGAGAATTCTTCTGTCTAGCATGAAATGAAGAAATCCCGTTTCCAATGAAGGCCTCAATGCGGTCCATAAATCCACTTGCAGACTTTAGAAACAGAGTGTCTCCAAACTGCTCTATGAAAGAAAGGTTAAACTATGTGAGTTGAACGCACACATCACAAAGAATTTTCTGAGGATGATTCTGTCTGGTTTTTATTTGAAGATATTTCCCTTTCTACTGTTGGCCATCAAATGGCTAGAAATCTCCACTTGCAAATTCCGCAAAAAGAGTGTTTCAAATCTGCTCTGTCTAAAGGGACGTTCCACTCTGTGAGTTGAATGCACACAACACAAAGAATTTACTGAGAATTCTTCCGTCTAGCATTCAATGAAGAAATCCCGTTTCCAACGAAGGCCTCAAACAGGTCCATATATCCAATTGCAGACTTTACAAACAGTGTGTTTCCAAACTCCTCTATGAAAAGAAAGGTTAAACTCTGTGAGTTGAACGCACACATCACAAAGCACTTTCTGAGAATGATTCTGTCTGGTTATTATACGAAGATATTTCCTTTTCTGCAATTGTCCTCAAATCGCTTGAAATCTCCACCTGAAAATGCCACAGCAAGAGTGTTTCAAATCTGCTCTCTCTAAAGCAAGGTTCAACTCTGTGAGTTGAATACACACAACACAAAAAAGTTACTGAGAACTCTTCTTAGTCTAGCATGAAAGGAAGAAACCCCGTTTGCAACGAAGGCCTCAAAGAGGTCCAAATATCCACTTGCAGACATAACAAGCAGAGTGTTTCTAAACTGCTCTAAGAAAAGAAAGGTTAAACTCTGTGAGTTGAAGGCACACATCACAAAGTAGTTTCTGAGAATGATTCTGTCTAGTTTTTATTTGAAGATATTTCCTTTTCTACTGTTGGCATCAAATCGCTTGAAATCTCCACTTGCAAACTCCACAAAAAGAGTGTTTCAAATCTGCTCTGTGCAAAGGGACGTTCCACTCTGTGAGTTGAATACACACAGCACAAAGAAGTTACTGAGAATTCTTCTGTCTAGCATGAAATGAAGAAATCCCGTTTCCAACGAAGGCCTCAATGCGGTCCATATATCCACTTGCAGACTTTACAAACAGAGTGTTTCCAAACTGCTCTATGAAAAGAAAGGCTATACTATGTGAGTTGAACGCACACATCACAAAGAATTTTCTGAGAATGATTCTGTCTGGTTTTTATTTGAAGATATTTCCCTTTCTACTGTTGGCATCAAATGGCTAGAAATCTCCACTTGCAAATTCCGCAAAAAGAGTGTTTCAAATCTGCTCTGTCTAAAGGGACGTTCCACTCTGTGAGTTGAATGCACACAACACAAAGAATTTACTGAGAATTCTTCCGTCTAGCATTCAATGAAGAAATCCCGTTTCCAACGAAGGCCTCAAACAGGTCCATATATCCACTTGCAGAGTTTACAAACAGTGTGTTTCCAAACTCCTCTATGAAAAGAAAGGTTAAACTCTGTGAGTGGAACGCACACATCACAAAGCACTTTCTGAGAATGATTCTGTCTGGTTATTATACGAAGATATTTCCTTTTCTGCAATTGTCCTCAAAACGCTTGAAATCTCCACCTGAAAATGCCACAGCAAGAGTGTTTCAAATCTGCTCTCTCTAAAGCAAGGTTCAACTCTGTGAGTTGAATACACACAACACAGAAAAGTTACTGAGAACTCTTCTTAGTCTAGCATGAAAGGAAGAAACCCCGTTTGCAACGAAGGCCTCAAAGAGGTCCAAATATCCACTTGCAGACATAACAAGCAGAGTGTTTCTAAACTGCTCTAAGAAAAGAAAGGTTAAACTCTGTGAGTTGAAGGCACACATCACAAAGTAGTTTCTGAGAATGATTCTGTCTAGTTTTTATTTGAAGATATTTCCTTTTCTACTGTTGGCATCAAATCGCTTGAAATCTCCACTTGCAAACTCCACAAAAAGAGTGTTTCAAATCTGCTCTGTGTAAAGGGACGTTCCACTCTGTGAGTTGAATACACACAGCACAAAGAAGTTACTGAGAATTCTTCTGTCTAGCATGAAATGAAGAAATCCCGTTTCCAACGAAGGCCTCAATGCGGTCCATATATCCACTTGCAGACTTTACAAACAGAGTGTTTCCAAACTGCTCTATGAAAAGAAAGGTTAAACTATGTGAGTTGAACGCACACATCACAAAGAATTTTCTGAGAATGATTCTGTCTGGTTTTTATTTGAAGATATTTCC
Organism: Homo sapiens; assembly: GCF_000001405.40. Classification (NCBI taxonomy): domain Eukaryota; kingdom Metazoa; phylum Chordata; class Mammalia; order Primates; family Hominidae; genus Homo; species Homo sapiens. The sequence goes on along the minus strand of NC_000007.14, from coordinate 60,022,970 downwards.
CTTTCTACTGTTGGCATCAAATGGCTAGAAATCTCCACTTGCAAATTCCGCAAAAAGAGTGTTTCAAATCTGCTCTGTCTAAAGGGACGTTCCACTCTGTGAGTTGAATGCACACAACACAAAGAATTTACTGAGAATTCTTCGGTCTAGCATTCAATGAAGAAATCCCGTTTCCAACGAAGGCCTCAAAGAGGTCCATATATCCACTTGCAGACTTTACAAACAGTGTGTTTCCAAACTCCTCTATGAAAAGAAAGGTTAAACTCTGTGAGTTGAACGCACACATCACAAAGCACTTTCTGAGAATGATTCTGTCTGGTTATTATACGAAGATATTTCCTTTTCTGCAATTGTCCTCAAATCGCTTGAAATCTCCACCTGAAAATGCCACAGCAAGAGTGTTTCAAATCTGCTCTCTCTAAAGCAAGGTTCAACTCTGTGAGTTGAATACACACAACACAAAAAAGTTACTGAGAACTCTTCTTAGTCTAGCATGAAAGGAAGAAACCCCGTTTGCAACGAAGGCCTCAAAGAGGTCCAAATATCCACTTGCAGACATAACAAGCAGAGTGTTTCTAAACTGCTCTAAGAAAAGAAAGGTTAAACTCTGTGAGTTGAAGGCAGACATCACAAAGTAGTTTCTGAGAATGATTCTGTCTAGTTTTTATTTGAAGATATTTCCTTTTCTACTGTTGGCATCAAATCGCTTGAAATCTCCACTTGCAAACTCCACAAAAAGAGTGTTTCAAATCTTCTCTGTGTAAAGGAACGTTCCACTCTGTGAGTTGAATACACACAGCACAAAGAAGTTACTGAGAATTCTTCTGTCTAGCATGAAATGAAGAAATCCCGTTTCCAACGAAGGCCTCAATGCGGTCCATATATCCACTTGCAGACTTTACAAACAGAGTGTTTCCAAACTGCTCTATGAAAAGAAAGGTAAAACTATGTGAGTTGAACGCACACATCACAAAGAATTTTCTGAGAATGATTCTGTCTGGTTTTTATTTGAAGATATTTCCCTTTCTACTGTTGGCATCAAATGGCTAGAAATCTCCACTTGCAAATTCCGCAAAAAGAGTGTTTCAAATCTGCTCTGTCTAAAGGGACGTTCCACTCTGTGAGTTGAATGCACACAACACAAAGAATTTACTGAGAATTCTTCCGTCTAGCATTCAATGAAGAAATCCCGTTTCCAAAGAAGGCCTCAAACAGGTCCATATATCCAATTGCAGACTTTACAAACAGTGTGTTTCCAAACTCCTCTATGAAAAGAAAGGTTAAACTCTGTGAGTTGAACGCACACATCACAAAGCACTTTCTGAGAATGATTCTGTCTGGTTATTATACGAAGATATTTCCTTTTCTGCAATTGTCCTCAAATCGCTTGAAATCTCCACCTGAAAATGCCACAGCAAGAGTGTTTCAAATCTGCTCTCTCTAAAGCAAGGTTCAACTCTGTGAGTTGAATACACACAACACAAAAAAGTTACTGAGAACTCTCTTAGTCTAGCATGAAAGGAAGAAACCCCGTTTGCAACGAAGGCCTCAAAGAGGTCCAAATATCCACTTGCAGACATAACAAGCAGAGTGTTTCTAAACTGCTCTAAGAAAAGAAAGGTTAAACTCTGTGAGTTGAAGGCACACATCACAAAGTAGTTTCTGAGAATGATTCTGTCTAGTTTTTATTTGAAGATATTTCCTTTTCTACTGTTGGCATCAAATCGCTTGAAATCTCCACTTGCAAACTCCACAAAAAGAGTGTTTCAAATCTGCTCTGTGTAAAGGGACGTTCCACTCTGTGAGTTGAATACACACAGCACAAAGAAGTTACTGAGAATTCTTCTGTCTAACATGAAATGAAGAAATCCCGTTTCCAACGAAGGCCTCAATGCGGTCCATATATCCACTTGCAGACTTTACAAACAGAGTGTTTCCAAACTGCTCTATGAAAAGAAAGGTTAAACTATGTGAGTTGAACGCACACATCACAAAGAATTTTCTGAGAATGATTCTGTCTGGTTTTTATTTGAAGATATTTCCCTTTCTACTGTTGGCATCAAATGGCTAGAAATCTCCACTTGCAAATTCCGCAAAAAGAGTGTTTCAAATCTGCTCTGTCTAAAGGGACGTTCCACTCTGTCAGTTGAATGCACACAACACAAAGAATTTACTGAGAATTCTTCCGTCTAGCATTCAATGAAGAAATCCCGTTTCCAACGAAGGCCTCAAACAGGTCCATATATCCACTTGCAGACTTTACAAACAGTGTGTTTCCAAACTCCTCTATGAAAAGAAAGGTTAAACTCTGTGAGTGGAACGCACACATCACAAAGCACTTTCTGAGAATGATTCTGTCTGGTTGTTATACGAAGATATTTCCTTTTCTGCAATTGTCCTCAAATCGCTTGAAATCTCCACCTGAAAATGTCACAGCAAGAGTGTTTCAAATCTGCTCTCTCTAAAGCAAGGTTCAACTCTGTGAGTTGAATACACACAACACAGAAAAGTTACTGAGAACTCTTCTTAGTCTAGCATGAAAGGAAGAAACCCCGTTTGCAACGAAGGCCTCAAAGAGGTCCAAATATCCACTTGCAGACATAACAAGCAGAGTGTTTCTAAACTGCTCTAAGAAAAGAAAGGTTAAACTCTGTGAGTTGAAGGCACACATCACAAAGTAGTTTCTGAGAATGATTCTGTCTAGTTTTTATTTGAAGATATTTCCTTTTCTACTGTTGGCATCAAATCGCTTGAAATCTCCACTTGCAAACTCCACAAAAAGAGTGTTTCAAATCTGCTCTGTGTAAAGGGACGTTCCACTCTGTGAGTTGAATACACACAGCACAAAGAAGTTACTGAGAATTCTTCTGTCTAGCATGAAATGAAGAAATCCCGTTTCCAACGAAGGCCTCAATGCGGTCCATATATCCACTTGCAGACTTTACAAACAGAGTGTTTCCAAACTGCTCTATGAAAAGAAAGGTTAAACTATGTGAGTTGAACGCACACATCACAAAGAATTTTCTGAGAATGATTCTGTCTGGTTTTTATTTGAAGATATTTCCCTTTCTACTGTTGGCATCAAATGGCTCGAAATCTCCACTTGCAAATTCCGCAAAAAGAGTGTTTCAAATCTGCTCTGTCTAAAGGGACGTTCCACTCTGTGAGTTGAATGCACACAACACAAAGAATTTACTGAGAATTCTTCCGTCTAGCATTCAATGAAGAAATCCCGTTTCCAACGAAGGCCTCAAACAGGTCCATATATCCAATTGCAGACTTTACAAACAGTGTGTTTCCAAACTCCTCTATGAAAAGAAAGGTTAAACTCTGTGAGTTGAACGCACACATCACAAAGCACTTTCTGAGAATGATTCTGTCTGGTTATTATACGAAGATATTTCCTTTTCTGCAATTGTACTCAAATCGCTTGAAATCTCCACCTGAAAATGCCACAGCAAGAGTGTTTCAAATCTGCTCTCTCTAAAGCAAGGTTCAACTCTGTGAGTTGAATACACACAACACAAAAAAGTTACTGAGAACTCTTCTTAGTCTAGCATGAAAGGAAGAAACCCCGTTTGCAACGAAGGCCTCAAAGAGGTCCAAATATCCACTTGCAGACATAACAAGCAGAGTGTTTCTAAACTGCTCTAAGAAAAGAAAGGTTAAACTCTGTGAGTTGAAGGCACACATCACAAAGTAGTTTCTGAGAATGATTCTGTCTAGTTTTTATTTGAAGATATTTCCTTTTCTACTGTTGGCATCAAATCGCTTGAAATCTCCACTTGCAAATTCCACAAAAAGAGTGTTTCAAATCTGCTCTGTGTAAAGGAACGTTCCACTCTGTGAGTTGAATACACACAGCACAAAGAAGTTACTGAGAATTCTTCTGTCTAGCATGAAATGAAGAAATCCCGTTTCCAACGAAGGCCTCAATGCGGTCCATATATCCACTTGCAGACTTTACAAACAGAGTGTTTCCAAACTGCTCTATGAAAAGAAAGGTTAAACTATGTGAGTTGAACGCACACATCACAAAGAATTTTCTGAGAATGATTCTGTCTGGTTTTTATTTGAAGATGTTTCCCTTTCTACTGTTGGCATCAAATGGCTAGAAATCTCCACTTGCAAATTCCGCAAAAAGAGTGTTTCAAATCTGCTCTGTCCAAAGGGACGTTCCACTCTGTCAGTTGAATGCACACAACACAAAGAATTTACTGAGAATTCTTCCGTCTAGCATTCAATGAAGAAATCCCGTTTCCAACGAAGGCCTCAAAGAGGTCCATATATCCACTTGCAGACTTTACAAACAGTGTGTTTCCAACTCCTCTATGAAAAGAAAGGTTAAACTCTGTGAGTTGAACGCACACATCACAAAGCACTTTCTGAGAATGATTCTGTCTGGTTATTATACGAAGATATTTCCTTTTCTGCAATTGTCCTCAAATCGCTTGAAATCTCCACCTGAAAATGCCACAGCAAGAGTGTTTCAAATCTGCTCTCTCTAAAGCAAGGTTCAACTCTGTGAGTTGAATACACACAACACAAAAAAGTTACTGAGAACTCTTCTTAGTCTAGCATGAAAGGAAGAAACCCCGTTTGCAACGAAGGCCTCAAAGAGGTCCAAATATCCACTTGCAGACATAACAAGCAGAGTGTTTCTAAACTGCTCTAAGAAAAGAAAGGTTAAACTCTGTGAGTTGAAGGCACACATCACAAAGTAGTTTCTGAGAATGGTTCTGTCTAGTTTTTATTTGAAGATATTTCCTTTTCTACTGTTGGCATCAAATCGCTTGAAATCTCCACTTGCAAATTCCACAAAAAGAGTGTTTCAAATCTGCTCTGTGTAAAGGGACGTTCCACTCTGTGAGTTGAATACACACAGCACAAAGAAGTTACTGAGAATTCTTCTGGCTAGCATGAAATGAAGAAATCCCGTTTCCAACGAAGGCCTCAATGAGGTCCATATATCCACTTGCAGACTTTACAAACAGAGTGTTTCCAAACTGCTCTATGAAAAGAAAGGTTAAATTATGTGAGTTGAACGCACACATCACAAAGAATTTTCTGAGAATGATTCTGTCTGGTTTTTATTTGAAGATATTTCCCTTTCTACTGTTGGCATCAAATGGCTAGAAATCTCCACTTGCAAATTCCGCAAAAAGAGTGTTTCAAATCTGCTCTGTCTAAAGGGACGTTCCACTCTGTGAGTTGAATGCACACAACACAAAGAATTTACTGAGAATTCTCCGTCTAGCATTCAATGAAGAAATCCCGTTTCCAACGAAGGCCTCAAACAGGTCCATATATCCACTTGCAGACTTTACAAACAGTGTGTTTCCAAACTCCTCTATGAAAAGAAAGGTTAAACTCTGTGAGTGGAACGCACACATCACAAAGCACTTTCTGAGAATGATTCTGTCTGGTTGTTATACGAAGATATTTCCTTTTCTGCAATTGTCCTCAAATCGCTTGAAATCTCCACCTGAAAATGCCACAGCAAGAGTGTTTCAAATCTGCTCTCTCTAAAGCAAGGTTCAACTCTGTGAGTTGAATACACACAACACAAAAAAGTTACTGAGAACTCTTCTTAGTCTAGCATGAAAGGAAGAAACCCCGTTTGCAACGAAGGCCTCAAAGAGGTCCAAATATCCACTTGCAGACATAACAAGCAGAGTGTTTCTAAACTGCTCTAAGAAAAGAAAGGTTAAACTCTGTGAGTTGAAGGCACACATCACAAAGTAGTTTCTGAGAATGATTCTGTCTAGTTTTTATTTGAAGATATTTCCTTTTCTACTGTTGGCATCAAATCGCTTGTAATCTCCACTTGCAAATTCCACAAAAAGAGTGTTTCAAATCTGCTCTGTGCAAAGGGACGTTCCACTCTGTGAGTTGAATACACACAGCACAAAAAAGTTACTGAGAATTCTTCTGTCTAGCATGAAATGAAGAAATCCCGTTTCAAACGAAGGCCTCAATGCGGTCCATATATCCACTTGCAGACTTTACAAACAGAGTGTTTCCAAACTGCTCTATGAAAAGAAAGGTTAAACTATGTGAGTTGAACGCACACATCACAAAGAATTTTCTGAGAATGATTCTGTCTGGTTTTTATTTGAAGATATTTCCCTTTCTACTGTTGGCATCAAATGGCTAGAAATCTCCACTTGCAAATTCCGCAAAAAGAGTGTTTCAAATCTGCTCTGTCTAAAGGGACGTTCCACTCTGTCAGTTGAATGCACACAACACAAAGAATTTACTGAGAATTCTTCCGTCTAGCATTCAATGAAGAAATCCCGTTTCCAACGAAGGCCTCAAACAGGTCCATATATCCACTTGCAGAGTTTACAAACAGTGTGTTTCCAAACTCCTCTATGAAAAGAAAGGTTAAACTCTGTGAGTGGAACGCACACATCACAAAGCACTTTCTGAGAATGATTCTGTCTGGTTATTATACGAAGATATTTCCTTTTCTGCAATTGTCCTCAAATCGCTTGAAATCTCCACCTGAAAATGCCACAGCAAGAGTGTTTCAAATCTGCTCTCTCTAAAGCAAGGTTCAACTCTGTGAGTTGAATACACACAACACAAAAAAGTTACTGAGAACTCTTCTTAGTCTAGCATGAAAGGAAGAAACCCCGTTTGCAACGAAGGCCTCAAAGAGGTCCAAATATCCACTTGCAGACATAACAAGCAGAGTGTTTCTAAACTGCTCTAAGAAAAGAAAGGTTAAACTCTGTGAGTTGAAGGCACACATCACAAAGTAGTTTCTGAGAATGATTCTGTCTAGTTTTTATTTGAATATATTTCTTTTTCTACTGTTGGCATCAAATCGCTTGAAATCTCCACTTGCAAATTCCACAAAAAGAGTGTTTCAAATCTGCTCTGTGTAAAGGGACGTTCCACTCTGTGAGTTGAATACACACAGCACAAAGAAGTTACTGAGAATTCTTCTGTCTAGCATGAAATGAAGAAATCCCGTTTCCAACGAAGGCCTCAATGCGGTCCATATATCCACTTGCAGACTTTACAAACAGAGTGTTTCCAAACTGCTCTATGAAAAGAAAGGTTAAACTATGTGAGTTGAACGCACACATCACAAAGAATTTTCTGAGAATGATTCTGTCTGGTTTTTATTTGAAGATATTTCCCTTTCTACTGTTGGCATCAAATTGCTAGAAATCTCCACTTGCAAATTCCGCAAAAAGAGTGTTTCAAATCTGCTCTGTCTAAAGGGACGTTCCACTCTGTGAGTTGAATGCACACAACACAAAGAATTTACTGAGAATTCTTCCGTCTAGCATTCAATGAAGAAATCCCGTTTCCAACGAAGGCCTCAAACAGGTCCATATATCCACCTGCAGACTTTACTAACAGTGTGTTTCCAAACTCCTCTATGAAAAGAAAGGTTAAACTCTGTGAGTTGAACGCACACATCACAAAGCACTTTCTGAGAATGATTCTGTCTGGTTATTATACGAAGATATTTCCTTTTCTGCAATTGTCCTCAAATCGCTTGAAATCTCCACCTGAAAATGCCACAGCAAGAGTGTTTCAAATCTGCTCTCTCTAAAGCAAGGTTCAACTCTGTGAGTTGAATACACACAACACAAAAAAGTTACTGAGAACACTTCTTAGTCTAGCATGAAAGGAAGAAACCCCGTTTGCAACGAAGGCCTCAAAGAGGTCCAAATATCCACTTGCAGACATAACAAGCAGAGTGTTTCTAAACTGCTCTCAGAAAAGAAAGGTTAAACTCTGTGAGTTGAAGGCACACATCACAAAGTAGGTTCTGAGAATGATTCTGTCTAGTTTTTATTTGAAGATATTTCCTTTTCTACTGTTGGCATCAAATCGCTTGAAATCTCCACTTGCAAACTCCACAAAAAGAGTGTTTCAAATCTGCTCTGTGTAAAGGGACGTTCCACTCTGTGAGTTGAATACACACAGCACAAAGAAGTTACTGAGAATTCTTCTGTCTAGCATGAAATGAAGAAATCCCGTTTCCAACGAAGGCCTCAATGCGGTCCATATATCCACTTGCAGACTTTACAAACAGAGTGTTTCCAAACTGCTCTATGAAAAGAAAGGTTAAACTATGTGAGTTGAATGCACACATCACAAAGAATTTTCTGAGAATGATTCTGTCTGGTTTTTATTTGAAGATATTTCCCTTTCTACTGTTGGCATCAAATGGCTAGAAATCTCCACTTGCAAATTCCGCAAAAAGAGTGTTTCAAATCTGCTCTGTCTAAAGGGACGTTCCACTCTGTGAGTTGAATGCACACAACACAAAGAATTTACTGAGAATTCTTCCGTCTAGCATTCAATGAAGAAATCCCGTTTCCAACGAAGGCCTCAAACAGGTCCATATATCCACTTACAGACTTTACAAACAGTGTGTTTCCAAACTCCTCTATGAAAAGAAAGGTTAAACTCTGTGAGTGGAACGCACACATCACAAAGCACTTTCTGAGAATGATTCTGTCTGGTTATTATACGAAGATATTTCTTTTTCTGCAATTGTCCACAAATCGCTTGAAATCTCCACCTGAAAATGTCACAGCAAGAGTGTTTCAAATCTGCTCTCTCTAAAGCAAGGTTCAACTCTGTGAGTTGAATACACACAACATAAAAAAGTTACTGAGAACTCTTCTTAGTCTAGCATTAAAGGAAGAAATCCCGTTTGCAACGAAGGCCTCAAAGAGGTCCAAATATCCACTTGCAGACATAACAAGCAGAGTGTTTCTAAACTGCTCTAAGAAAAGAAAGGTTAAACTCTGCGAGTTGAAGGCACACATCACAAAGTAGTTTCTGAGAATGATTCTGTCTAGTTTTTATTTGAAGATATTTCCTCTTCTACTGTTGGCATCAAATCGCTTGAAATCTCCACTTGCAAATTCCACAAAAAGAGTGTTTCAAATCTGTTCTGTGTAAAGGGACGTTGCACTCTGTGAGTTGAATACACACAGCATAAAGAAGTTACTGAGAATTCTTCTGTCTAGCATGAAATGAAGAAATCCCGTTTCCAACGAAGGCCTCAATGCGGTCCATATATCCACTTGCAGACTTTACAAACAGAGTGTTTCCAAACTGCTCTATGAAAAGAAAGGTTAAACTATGTGAGTTGAACGCACACATCACAAAGAATTTTCTGAGAATGATTCTGTCTGGTTTTTATTTGAAGATATTTCCCTTTCTACTGTTGGCATCAAATGGCTAGAAATCTCCACTTGCAAATTCCGCAAAAAGAGTGTTTCAAATCTGCTCTGTCTAAAGGGACGTTCCACTCTGTGAGTTGAATGCACACAACACAAAGAATTTACTGAGAATCCTTCCGTCTAGCATTCAATGAAGAAATCCCGTTTCCAACGAAGGCCTCAAACAGGTCCATATATCCAATTGCAGACTTTACAAACAGTGTGTTTCCAAACTCCTCTATGAAAAGAAAGGTTAAACTCTGTGAGTTGAACGCACACATCACAAAGCACTTTCTGAGAATGATTCTGTCTGGTTATTATACGAAGATATTTCCTTTTCTGCAATTGTCCTCAAATCGCTTGAAATCTCCACCTGAAAATTCCACAGCGAGAGTGTTTCAAATCTGCTCTCTCTAAAGCAAGGTTCAACTCTGTGAGTTGAATACACACAACACAAAAAAGTTACTGAGAACTCTTCTTAGTGTAGCATTAAAGGAAGAAACCCCGTTTGCAACGAAGGCCTCAAAGAGGTCCAAATATCCACTTGCAGACATAACAAGCAGAGTGTTTCTAAACTGCTCTAAGAAAAGAAAGGTTAAACTCTGTGAGTTGAAGGCACACATCTCAAAGTAGTTCCTGAGAATGATTCTGTCTAGTTTTTATTTGAAGATATTTCCTTTTCTATTGTTGGCATCAAATCGCTTGAAATCTCCACTTGCAAACTCCACAAAAAGAGTGTTTCAAATCTGCTCTGTGCAAAGGGACGTTCCACTCTGTGAGTTGAATACACACAGCACAAAGAAGTTACTGAGAATTCTTCTGTCTAGCATGAAATGAAGAAATCCCGTTTCCAACGAAGGCCTCAATGCGGTCCATATATCCACTTGCAGACTTTACAAACAGAGTGTTTCCAAACTGCTCTATGAAAAGAAAGGTTAAACTATGTGAGTTGAACGCACACATCACAAATAATTTTCTGAGAATGATTCTGTCTGGTTTTTATTTGAAGATATTTCCCTTTCTACTGTTGGCATCAAATGGCTAGAAATCTCCACTTGCAAATTCCGCAAAAAGAGTGTTTCAAATCTGCTCTGTCTAAAGGGACGTTCCACTCTGTGAGTTGAATGCACACAACACAAAGAATTTACTGAGAATTCTTCCGTCTAGCATTCAATGAAGAAATCCCGTTTCCAACGAAGGCCTCAAACAGGTCCATATATCCAATTGCAGACTTTACAAACAGTGTGTTTCCAAACTCCTCTATGAAAAGAAAGGTTAAACTCTGTGAGTTGAACGCACACATCACAAAGCACTTTCTGAGAATGATTCTGTCTGGTTGTTATACGAAGATATTTCCTTTTCTGCAATTGTCCTCAAATCGCTTGAAATCTCCACCTGAAAATGCCACAGCAAGAGTGTTTCAAATCTGCTCTCTCTAAAGCAAGGTTCAACTCTGTGAGTTGAATACACACAACACAAAAAAGTTACTGATTACTCTTCTTAGTCTAGCATTAAAGGAAGAAACCCCGTTTGCAACGAAGGCCTCAAAGAGGTCCAAATATCCACTTGCAGACATAACAAGCAGAGTGTTTCTAAACTGCTCTAAGAAAAGAAAGGTTAAACTCTGTGAGTTGAAGGCACACATCACAAAGTAGTTTCTAAATGATTCTGTCTAGTTTTTATTTGAAGATATTTCCTTTTCTACTGTTGGCATCAAATCGCTTGAAATATCCACTTGCAAACTCCACAAAAAGAGTGTTTCAAATCTGCTCTGTGCAAAGGGACGTTCCACTCTGTGAGTTGAATACACACAGCACAAAGAAGTTACTGAGAATTCTTGTCTAGCATGAAATGAAGAAATCCCGTTTCCAACGAAGGCCTCAATGCGGTCTATATATCCACTTGCAGACATCACAAACAGAGTGTTTCCAAACTGCTCTATGAAAAGAAAGGTTAAACTATGTGAGTTGAACGCACACATCACAAAGAATTTTCTGAGAATGATTCTGTCTGGTTTTTATTTGAAGATATTTCCCTTTCTACTGTTGGCATCAAATGGCTAGAAATCTCCACTTGCAAATTCCGCAAAAAGAGTGTTTCAAATCTGCTCTGTCTAAAGGGACGTTCCACTCTGTGAGTTGAATGCACACCACACAAAGAATTTACTGAGAATTCTTCCGTCTAGCATTCAATGAAGAAATCCCGTTTCCAACGGAGGCCTCAAACAGGTCCATATATCCAATTGCAGACTTTACAAACAGTGTGTTTCCAAGCTCCTCTATGAAAAGAATGGTTAAACTCTGTGAGTTGAACGCACACATCACAAAGCACTTTCTGAGAATGATTCTGTCTGGTTATTATACGAAGATATTTCCTTTTCTGCAATTGTCCTCAAATCGCTTGAAATCTCCACCTGAAAATGCCACAGCGAGAGTGTTTCAAATCTGCTCTCTCTCAAGCAAGGTTCAACTCTGTGAGTTGAATACACACAACACAAAAAAGTTACTGAGAACTCTTCTTAGTCTAGCATTAAAGGAAGAAACCCCGTTTGCAACGAAGGCCTCAAAGAGGTCCAAATATCCACTTGCAGACATAACAAGCAGAGTGTTTCTAAACTGCTCTAAGAAAAGAAAGGTTAAACTCTGTGAGTTGAAGGCACACATCACAAAGTAGTTTCTGAGAATGATTCTGTCTAGTTTTTATTTGAAGATATTTCCTTTTCTACTGTTGGCATCAAATCGCTTGAAATCTCCACTTGCAAACTCCACAAAAAGAGTGTTTCAAATCTTCTCTGTGTAAAGGGACGTTCCACTCTGTGAGTTGAATACACACAGCACAAAGAAGTTACTGAGAATTCTTCTGTCTAGCATGAAATGAAGAAATCCCGTTTCCAACGAAGGCCTCAATGCGGTCCATATATCCACTTGCAGACTTTACAAACAGAGTGTTTCCAAACTGCTCTATGAAAAGAAAGGTTAAACTATGTGAGTTGAACGCACACATCACAAAGAATTTTCTGAGAATGATTCTGTCTGGTTTTTATTTGAAGATATTTCCCTTTCTACTGTTGGCATCAAATGGCTAGAAATCTCCACTTGCAAATTCCGCAAAAAGAGTGTTTCAAATCTGCTCTGTCTAAAGGGACGTTCCACTCTGTGAGTTGAATGCACACAACACAAAGAATTTACTGAGAATTCTTCCGTCTAGCATTCAATGAAGAAATCCCGTTTCCAACGAAGGCCTCAAAGAGGTCCATATATCCACTTGCAGACTTTACAAACAGTGTGTTTCCAAACTCCTCTATGAAAAGAAAGGTTAAACTCTGTGAGTGGAACGCACACATCACAAAGCACTTTCTGAGAATGATTCTGTCTGGTTATTATACGAAGATATTTCCTTTTCTGCAATTGTCCTCAAATCGCTTGAAATCTCCACCTGAAAATGCCACAGCAAGAGTGTTTCAAATCTGCTCTCTCTAAAGCAAGGTTCAACTCTGTGAGTTGAATACACACAACACAAAAAAGTTACTGAGAACTCTTCTTAGTCTAGCATGAAAGGAAGAAACCCCGTTTGCAACGAAGGCCTCAAAGAGGTCCAAATATCCACTTGCAGACATAACAAGCAGAGTGTTTCTAAACTGCTCTAAGAAAAGAAAGGTTAAACTCTGTGAGGTGAAGGCACACATCACAAAGTAGTTTCTGAGAATGATTCTGTCTAGTTTTTATTTGAAGATATTTCCTTTTCTACTGTTGGCATCAAATCGCTTGAAATCTCCACTTGCAAATTCCACAAAAAGAGTGTTTCAAATCTGCTCTGTGTAAAGGAACGTTCCACTCTGTGAGTTGAATACACACAGCACAAAGAAGTTACTGAGAATTCTTCTGTCTAGCATGAAATGAAGAAATCCCGTTTCCAACGAAGGCCTCAATGCGGTCCATATATCCACTTGCAGACTTTACAAACAGAGTGTTTCCAAACTGCTCTATGAAAAGAAAGGTTAAACTATGTGAGTTGAACGCACACATCACAAAGAATTTTCTGAGAATGATTCTGTCTGGTTTTTATTTGAAGATATTTCCCTTTCTACTGTTGGCATCAAATGGCTAGAAATCTCCACTTGCAAATTCCACAAAAAGAGTGTTTCAAATCTGCTCTGTCTAAAGGGACGTTCCACTCTGTGAGTTGAATGCACACAACACAAAGAATTTACTGAGAATTCTTCCGTCTAGCATTCAATGAAGAAATCCCGTTTCCAACGAAGGCCTCAAACAGGTCCATATATCCAATTGCAGACTTTACAAACAGTGTGTTTCCAAACTCCTCTATGAAAAGAAAGGTTAAACTCTGTGAGTTGAACGCACACATCACAAAGCACTTTCTGAGAATGATTCTCTCTGGTTATTATACGAAGATATTTCCTTTTCTGCAATTGTCCTCAAATCGCTTGAAATCTCCACCTGAAAATGCCACAGCAAGAGTGTTTCAAATCTGCTCTCTCTAAAGCAAGGTTCAACTCTGTGAGTTGAATACACACAACACAAAAAAGTTACTGAGAACTCTTCTTAGTCTAGCATGAAAGGAAGAAACCCCGTTTGCAACGAAGGCCTCAAAGAGGTCCAAATATCCACTTGCAGACATAACAAGCAGAGTGTTTCTAAACTGCTCTAAGAAAAGAAAGGTTAAACTCTGTGAGTTGAAGGCACACATCACAAAGTAGTTTCTGAGAATGATTCTGTCTAGTTTTTATTTGAAGATATTTCCTTTTCTACTGTTGGCATCAAATCGCTTGAAATCTCCACTTGCAAACTCCACAAAAAGAGTGTTTCAAATCTGCTCTGTGCAAAGGGACGTTCCACTCTGTGAGTTGAATACACACAGCACAAAGAAGTTACTGAGAATTCTTCTGTCTAGCATGAAATGAAGAAATCCCGTTTCCAACGAAGGCCTCAATGCGGTCCATAGATCCACTTGCAGACTTTACAAACAGAGTGTTTCCAAACTGCTCTATGAAAAGAAAGGTTAAACTATGTGAGTTGAACGCACACATCACAAAGAATTTTCTGAGAATGATTCTGTCTGGTTTTTATTTGAAGATATTTCCCTTTCTACTGTTGGCATCAAATGGCTAGAAATCTCCACTTGCAAATTCCGCAAAAAGAGTGTTTCAAATCTGCTCTGTCTAAAGGGACGTTCCACTCTGTGAGTTGAATGCACACCACACAAAGAATTTACTGAGAATTCTTCCGTCTAGCATTCAATGAAGAAATCCCGTTTCCAACGAAGGCCTCAAAGAGGTCCATATATCCACTTGCAGAGTTTACAAACAGTGTGTTTCCAAACTCCTCTATGAAAAGAAAGGTTAAACTCTGTGAGTGGAACGCACACATCACAAAGCACTTTCTGAGAATGATTCTGTCTGGTTATTATACGAAGATATTTCCTTTTCTGCAATTGTCCTCAAATCGCTTGAAATCTCCACCTGAAAATGCCACAGCAAGAGTGTTTCAAATCTGCTCTCTCTAAAGCAAGGTTCAACTCTGTGAGTTGAATACACACAACACAAAAAAGTTACTGAGAACTCTTCTTAGTCTAGCATGAAAGGAAGAAACCCCGTTTGCAACGAAGGCCTCAAAGAGGTCCAAATATCCACTTGCAGACATAACAAGCAGAGTGTTTCTAAACTGCTCTAAGAAAAGAAAGGTTAAACTCTGTGAGTTGAAGGCACACATCACAAAGCACTTTCTGAGAATGATTCTGTCTGGTTGTTATACGAAGATATTTCCTTTTCTACTGTTGGCATCAAATCGCTTGAAATCTCCACTTGCAAACTCCACAAAAAGAGTGTTTCAAATCTGCTCTGTGCAAAGGGACGTTCCACTCTGTGAGTTGAATACACACAGCACAAAGAAGTTACTGAGAATTCTTCTGTCTAGCATGAAATGAAGAAATCTCGTTTCCAACGAAGGCCTCAATGCGGTCCATATATCCACTTGCAGACTTTACAAACAGAGTGTTTCCAAACTGCTCTATGAAAAGAAAGGTTAAACTATGTGAGTTGAACGCACACATCACAAAGAATTTTCTGAGAATGATTCTGTCTGGTTTTTATTTGAAGATATTTCCCTTTCTACTGTTGGCATCAAATGGCTAGAAATCTCCACTTGCAAATTCCGCAAAAAGAGTGTTTCAAATCTGCTCTGTCTTAAGGGACGTTCCACTCTGTCAGTTGAATGCACACAACACAAAGAATTTACTGAGAATTCTTCCGTCTAGCATTCAATGAAGAAATCCCGTTTCCAACGAAGGCCTCAAACAGGTCCATATATCCAATTGCAGACTTTACAAACAGTGTGTTTCCAAACTCCTCAATGAAAAGAAAGGTTAAACTCTGTGAGTTGAACGCACACATCACAAAGCACTTTCTGAGAATGATTCTGTCTGGTTGTTATACGAAGATATTTCCTTTTCTGCAATTGTCCTCAAATCGCTTGAAATCTCCACCTGAAAATGCCACAGCAAGAGTGTTTCAAATCTGCTCTCTCTAAAGCAAGGTTCAACTCTGTGAGTTGAATACACACAACACAAAAAAGTTACTGAGAACTCTTCTTAGTCTAGCATGAAAGGAAGAAACCCCGTTTGCAACGAAGGCCTCAAAGAGGTCCAAATATCCACTTGCAGACATAACAAGCAGAGTGTTTCTAAACTGCTCTATGAAAAGAAAGGTTAAACTCTGTGAGTTGAAGGCACACATCACAAAGTAGTTTCTGAGAATGATTCTGTCTAGTTTTTATTTGAAGATATTTCCTTTTCTACTGTTGGCATCAAATCGCTTGAAATCTCCACTTGCAAACTCCACAAAAAGAGTGTTTCAAATCTGCTCTGTGTAAAGGGACGTTCCACTCTGTGAGTTGAATACACACAGCACAAAGAAGTTACTGAGAATTCTTCTGTCTAGCATGAAATGAAGAAATCCCGTTTCCAACGAAGGCCTCAATGCGGTCCATATATCCACTTGCAGACTTTACAAACAGAGTGTTTCCAAACTGCTCTATGAAAAGAAAGGTTAAACTATGTGAGTTGAACGCACACATCACAAAGAATTTTCTGAGAATGATTCTGTCTGGTTTTTATTTGAAGATATTTCCCTTTCTACTGTTGGCATCAAATGGCTAGAAATCTCCACTTGCAAATTCCGCAAAAAGAGTGTTTCAAATCTGCTCTGTCTAAAGGGACGTTCCACTCTGTCAGTTGAATGCACACAACACAAAGAATTTACTGAGAATTCTTCCGTCTAGCATTCAATGAAGAAATCCCGTTTCCAACGAAGGCCTCAAACAGGTCCATATATCCACTTGCAGACTTTACAAACAGTGTGTTTCCAAACTCCTCTATGAAAAGAAAGGTTAAACTCTGTGAGTTGAACGCACACATCACAAAGCACTTTCTGAGAATGATTCTGTCTGGTTATTATACGAAGATATTTCCTTTTCTGCAATTGTCCTCAAATCGCTTGAAATCTCCACCTGAAAATGCCACAGCAAGAGTGTTTCAAATCTGCTCTCTCTAAAGCAAGGTTCAACTCTGTGAGTTGAATACACACAACACAAAAAAGTTACTGAGAACTCTTCTTAGTCTAGCATTAAATGAAGAAACCCCGTTTGCAACAAAGGCCTCAAAGAGGTCCAAATATCCACTTGCAGACATAACAAGCAGAGTGTTTCTAAACTGCTCTAAGAAAAGAAAGGTTAAACTCTGTGAGTTTAAGGCACACATCACAAAGTAGTTTCTGAGAATGATTCTGTCTAGTTTTTATTTGAAGATATTTCCTTTTCTTCTGTTGGCATCAAATCGCTTGAAATCTCCACTTGCAAATTCCACAAATAGAGTGTTTCAAATCCGCTCTGTGTAAAGGGACGTTCCACTCTGTGAGTTGAATACACACAGCACAAAGAAGTTACTGAGAATTCTTCTGTCTAGCATGAAATGAAGAAATCCCGTTTCCAACGAAGGCCTCAATGCGGTCCATATATCCACTTGCAGACTTTACAAACAGAGTGTTTCCAAACTGCTCTATGAAAAGAAAGGTTAAACTATGTGAGTTGAACGCACACATCACAAAGAATTTTCTGAGAATGATTCTGTCTGGTTTTTATTTGAAGATATTTCCCTTTCTACTGTTGGCATCAAATGGCTAGAAATCTCCACTTGCAAATTCCGCAAAAAGAGTGTTTCAAATCTGCTCTGTCTAAAGGGACGTTCCACTCTGTGAGTTGAATGCACACCACACAAAGAATTTACTGAGAATTCTTCCGTCTAGCATTCAATGAAGAAATCCCGTTTCCAACGAAGGCCTCAAACAGGTCCATATATCCAATTGCAGACTTTACAAACAGTGTGTTTCCAAACTCCTCTATGAAAAGAAAGGTTAAACTCTGTGAGTTGAACGCACACATCACAAAGCACTTTCTGAGAATGATTCTGTCTGGTTATTATACGAAGATATTTCCTTTTCTGCAATTGTCCTTAAATCGCTTGAAATCTCCACGTGAAAATGCCACAGCAAGAGTGTTTCATATCTGCTCTCTCTAAAGCAAGGTTCAACTCTGTGAGTTGAATACACACAACACAAAAAAGTTACTGAGAACTCTTCTTAGTCTAGCATGAAAGGAAGAAACCCCGTTTGCAACGAAGGCCTCAAAGTAGGTCCAAATATCCACTTGCAGACATAACAAGCAGAGTGTTTCTAAACTGCTCTAAGAAAAGAAAGGTTAAACTCTGTGAGTTGAAGGCACACATCACAAAGTAGTTTCTGAGAATGATTCTGTCTAGTTTTTATTTGAAGATATTTCCTTTTCTACTGTTGGCATCAAATCGCTTGAAATCTCCACTTGCAAACTCCACAAAAAGAGTGTTTCAAATCTGCTCTGTGTAAAGGGACGTTCCACTCTGTGAGTTGAATACACACAGCACAAAGAAGTTACTGAGAATTCTTCTGTCTAGCATGAAATGAAGAAATCCCGTTTCCAACGAAGGCCTCAATGCGGTCCATAGATCCACTTGCAGACTTTACAAACAGAGTGTTTCCAAACTGCTCTATGAAAAGAAAGGTTAAACTATGTGAGTTGAACGCACACATCACAAAGAATTTTCTGAGAATGATTCTGTCTGGTTTTTATTTGAAGATATTTCCCTTTCTACTGTTGGCATCAAATGGCTAGAAATCTCCACTTGCAAATTCCGCAAAAAGAGTGTTTCAAATCTGCTCTGTCTAAAGGGACGTTCCACTCTGTGAGTTGAATGCACACAACACAAAGAATTTACTGAGAATTCTTCCGTCTAGCATTCAATGAAGAAATCCCGTTTCCAATGAAGGCCTCAAACACGTCCATATATCCACTTGCAGACTTTACAAACAGTGTGTTTCCAAACTCCTCTATGAAAAGAAAGGTTAAACTCTGTGAGTTGAACGCACACATCACAAAGCACTTTCTGAGAATGATTCTGTCTGGTTATTATACGAAGATATTTCCTTTTCTGCAATTGTCCTCAAATCGCTTGAAATCTCCACCTGAAAATGCCACAGCAAGAGTGTTTCAAATCTGCTCTCTCTAAAGCAAGGTTCAACTCTGTGAGTTGAATACACACAACACAAAAAAGTTACTGAGAACTCTTCTTAGTCTAGCATGAAAGGAAGAAACCCCGTTTGCAACGAAGGCCTCAAAGAGGTCCAAATATCCACTTGCAGACATAACAAGCAGAGTGTTTCTAAACTGCTCTAAGAAAAGAAAGGTTAAACTCTGTGAGTTGAAGGCACACATCACAAAGTAGTTTCTGAGAATGATTCTGTCTATTTTTTATTTGAAGATATTTCCTTTTCTACTGTTGGCATCAAATCGCTTGAAATCTCCACTTGCAAACTCCACAAAAAGAGTGTTTCAAATCTGCTCTGTGCAAAGGGACGTTCCACTCTGTGAGTTGAATACACACAGCACAAAGAAGTTACTGAGAATTCTTCTGTCTAGCATGAAATGAAGAAATCCCGTTTCCAACGAAGGCCTCAATGCGGTCCATATATCCACTTGCAGACTTTACAAACAGAGTGTTTCCAAACTGCTCTATGAAAAGAAAGGTTAAACTATGTGAGTTGAACGCACACATCACAAAGAATTTTCTGAGAATGATTCTGTCTGGTTTTTATTTGAAGATATTTCCCTTTCTACTGTTGGCATCAAATGGCTAGAAATCTCCACTTGCAAATTCCGCAAAAAGAGTGTTTCAAATCTGCTCTGTCTAAAGGGACGTTCCACTCTGTGAGTTGAATGCACACAACACAAAGAATTTACTGAGAATTCTTCCGTCTAGCATTCAATGAAGAAATCCCGTTTCCAACGAAGGCCTCAAACACGTCCATATATCCACTTGCAGACTTTACAAACAGTGTGTTTCCAAACTCCTCTATGAAAAGAAAGGTTAAACTCTGTGAGTTGAACGCACACATCACAAAGCACTTTCTGAGAATGATTCTTTCTGGTTATTATACGAAGATATTTCCTTTTCTGCAATTGTCCTCAAATGGCTTGAAATCTCCACCTGAAAATGTCACAGCAAGAGTGTTTCAAATCTGCTCTCTCTAAAGCAAGGTTCAACTCTGTGAGTTGAATACACACAACACAAAAAAGTTACTGAGAACTCTTCTTAGTCTAGCATGAAAGGAAGAAACCCCGTTTGCAACGAAGGCCTCAAAGAGGTCCAAATATCCACTTGCAGACATAACAAGCAGAGTGTTTCTAAACTGCTCTAAGAAAAGAAAGGTTAAACTCTGTGAGTTGAAGGCACACATCACAAAGTAGTTTCTGAGAATGATTCTGTCTAGTTTTTATTTGAAGATATTTCCTTTTCTACTGTTGGCATCAAATCGCTTGAAATCTCCACTTGCAAATTCCACAAAAAGAGTGTTTCAAATCTGCTCTGTGTAAAGGGACGTTCCACTCTGTGAGTTGAATACACACAGCACAAAGAAGTTACTGAGAATTCTTCTGTCTAGCATGAAATGAAGAAATCCCGTTTCCAACGAAGGCCTCAATGCGGTCTATATATCCACTTGCAGACTTTACAAACAGAGTGTTTCCAAACTACTCTATGAAAAGAAAGGTTAAACTATGTGAGTTGAACGCACACATCACAAAGAATTTTCTGAGAATGATTCTGTCTGGTTTTTATTTGAAGATATTTCCCTTTCTACTGTTGGCATCAAATGGCTAGAAATCTCCACTTGCAAATTCCGCAAAAAGAGTGTTTCAAATCTGCTCTGTCTAAAGGGACGTTCCACTCTGTGAGTTGAATGCACACAACACGAAGAATTTACTGAGAATTCTTCCGTCTAGCATTCAATGAAGAAATCCCGTTTCCAACGAAGGCCTCAAACAGGTCCATATATCCAATTGCAGACGTTACAAACAGTGTGTTTCCAAACTCCTCTATGAAAAGAAAGATTAAACTCTGTGAGTTGAACGCACACATCACAAAGCACTTTCTCAGAATGATTCTGTCTGGTTGTTATACGAAGATATTTCCTTTTCTGCAATTGTCCTCAAATCGCTTGAAATCTCCACCTGAAAATGCCACAGCAAGAGTGTTTCAAATCTGCTCTCTCTAAAGCAAGGTTCAACTCTGTGAGTTGAATACACACAACACAAAAAAGTTACTGAGAACTCTTCTTAGTCTAGCATGAAAGGAAGAAACCCCGTTTGCAACGAAGGCCTCAAAGAGGTCCAAATATCCACTTGCAGACATAACAAGCAGAGTGTTTCTAAACTGCTCTAAGAAAAGAAAGGTTAAACTCTGTGAGTTGAAGGCACACATCACAAAGTAGTTTCTGAGAATGATTCTGTCTAGTTTTTATTTGAAGATATTTCCTTTTCTACTGTTGGCATCAAATCGCTTGAAATCTCCACTTGCAAACTCCACAAAAAGAGTGTTTCAAATCTGCTCTATGTAAAGGGACGTTCCACTCTGTGAGTTGAATACACACAGCACAAAGAAGTTACTGAGAATTCTTCTGTCTAGCATGAAATGAAGAAATCCCGTTTCCAACGAAGGCCTCAATGCGGTCCATATATCCACTTGCAGACTTTACAAACAGAGTGTTTCCAAACTGCTCTATGAAAAGAAAGGTTAAACTATGTGAGTTGAACGCACACATCACAAAGAATTTTACTGAGAATGATTATCTGTCTGGTTTTTATTTGAAGATATTTCCCTTTCTACTGTTGGCATCAAATGGCTAGTAAATCTCCACTTGCAAATTCCGCAAAAAGAGTGTTTCAAATCTGCTCTGTCTAAAGGGACGTTCCACTCTGTGAGTTGAATGCACACCACACAAAGAATTTACTGAGAATTCTTCCGTCTAGCATTATATGATAAATTCCCGTTTCCAACGAAGGCCTCAAACAGGTCCATATATCCACTTGCAGACTTTACAAACAGTGTGGTTCCAAACTCCACTATGAAAAGAAAGGTTAAACTCTGTGAGTTGAACGCACACATCACAGAGCACTTTCTGAGAATGATTCTGTCTGGTTATTAAACGAAGATATTTCCTTTTCTGCAATTGTCCTCAAATCGCTTGAAATCTCCACCTGAAAATGCCACAGCAAGAGTGTTTCAAATCTGCTCTCTCTAAAGCAAGGTTCAACTCTGTGAGTTGAATACACACAACACAAAAAAGTTACTGAGAACTCTTCTTAGTCTAGCATTAAAGGAAGAAATCCCGTTTGCAACGAAGGCCTCAAAGAGGTCCAAATATCCACTTGCAGACATAAGAAGCAGAGTGTTTCTAAACTGCTCTAAGAAAAGAAAGGTTAAACTCTGTGAGTTGAACGCACACATCACAAAGCACTTTCTGAGAATGATTCTGTCTCGTTTTTATTTGCAGATATTTCCTTTTCTACTGCTGGCATCAAATCGCTTGAAATCTCCACTTGCAAATTCCAGAAAAAGAGTGTTTCAAATCTGCTCTGTCTAAAGGGACGTTCCACTCTGTGAGTTGAATAAACACAACACAAAGAAGTTACTGAGAATTCTTCTGTCTAGCATGAAATGAAGAAATCCCGTTTCCAACGAAGGCCTCAATGCGGTCCATATATCCACTTGCAGACTTTACAAACAGAGTGTTTCCAAACTGCTCTATGAAAAGAAAGGCTATACTATGTGAGTTGAACGCACACATCACAAAGAATTTTCTGAGAATGATTTCTGTCTGGTTTTTATTTGAAGATATTTCCCTTTCTACTGTTGGCATCAAATGGCTAGAAATCTCCACTTGCAAATACCGCAAAAAGAGTGTTTCAAATCTGCTCTGTCTAAAGGGACGTTCCACTCTGTGAGTTGAATGCACACAACACAAAGAATTTACTGAGAATTCTTCCGTCTAGCATTCAATGAAGAAATCCCGTTTCCAACGAAGGCCTCAAACAGGTCCATATATCCAATTGCAGACTTTACAAACAGTGTGTTTCCAAACTCCTTTATGAAAAGAAAGGTTAACTCTGTGAGTTGAATGCACACATCACAAAGCACTTTCTGATAATGATTCTGTCTAGTTTTTGTTTGCAGATATTTCCTTTTCTACTGTTGGCATCAAATCGCTTGAAATCTCCACTTGCAAACTCCACAAAAAGAGTGTTTCAAATCTGCTCTGTGTAAAGGGACGTTCCACTCTGTGAGTTGAATACACACAGCACAAAGAAGTTACTGAGAATTGTTCTGTCTAGCATGAAATGAAGAAATCCCGTTTCCAACGAAGGCCTCAAAGCGGTCCATTTATCCACTTGCAGACATTACCAACAGAGTGTTCCCAAACTGCTCTATGAAAAGAAAGGTTAAACTATGTGAGTTGAACGCACACATCCCAAAGAATTTTCTGAGAATGATTCTGTCTGGTTTTTATTTGAAGATATTTCCCTTTCTACTGTTGGCATCAAATGGCTAGAAATCTCCACTTGCAAATTCCGCAAAAAGAGTGTTTCAAATCTGCTCTGTCTAAAGGGACGTTCCACTCTGTGAGTTGAATGCACACAACACAAAGAATTTACTGAGAATTCTTCCGTCTAGCATTCAATGAAGAAATCCCGTTTCCAACGGAGGCCTCAAACAGGTCCATATATCCAATTGCAGACTTTACAAACAGTGTGTTTCCAAACTCCTCTATGAAAAGAAAGGTTAAACTCTGTGAGTTGAACGCACACATCACAAAGCACTTTCTGAGAATGATTCTGTCTGGTTATTATACGAAGATATTTCCTTTTCTGCAATTGTCCTCAAATCGCTTGAAATCTCCACCTGAAAATGCCACAGCAAGAGTGTTTCAAATCTGCTCTCTCTAAAGCAAGGTTCAACTCTGTGAGTTGAATACACACAACACAAAAAAGTTACTGAGAACTCTTCTTAGTCTAGCATGAAAGGAAGAAACCCCGTTTGCAACGAAGGCCTCAAAGAGGTCCAAATATCCACTTGCAGACATAACAAGCAGAGTGTTTCTAAACTGCTCTAAGAAAAGAAAGGTTAAACTCTGTGAGTAAAAGGCACACATCACAAAGTAGTTTCTGAGAATGATTCTGTCTAGTTTTTATTTGAGGATATTTCCTTTCCTACTGTTGGCATCAAATCGCTTGAAATCTCCACTTGCAAACTCCACAAAAAGAGTGTTTCAAATCTGCTCTGTGCAAAGGGACGTTCCACTCTGTGAGTTGAATACACACAGCACAAGGAAGTTACTGAGAATTCTTCTGTCTAGCATGAAATGAAGAAATCCCGTTTCCAACGAAGGCCTCAATGCGGTCCATATATCCACTTGCAGACTTTACAAACAGAGTGTTTCCAAACTGCTCTATGAAAAGAAAGGTTAAACTATGTGAGCTGAACGCACACATCACAAAGAATTTTCTGAGAATGATCTGTCTGGTTTTTATTTGAAGATATTTCCCTTTCTACTGTTGGCATCAAATGGCTAGAAATCTCCACTTGCAAATTCCGCAAAAAGAGTGTTTCAAATCTGCTCTGTCTAAAGGGACGTTCCACTCTGTGAGTTGAATGCACACAACACAAAGAATTTACTGAGAATTCTTTCCGTCTAGCATTCAATGAAGAAATCCCGTTTCCAACGAAGGCCTCAAACAGGTCCATATATCCACTTGCAGACTTTACAAACAGTGTGTTTCCAAACTCCTCTATGAAAAGAAAGGTTAAACTCTGTGAGTGGAACGCACACATCACAAAGCTCTTTCTGAGAATGATTCTGTCTGGTTATTATACGAAGATATTTCCTTTTCTGCAATTGTCCTCAAATCGCTTGAAATCTCCACCTGAAAATGCCACAGCAAGAGTGTTTCAAATCTGCTCTCTCTAAAGCAAGGTTCAACTCTGTGAGTTGAATACACACAACACAAAAAAGTTACTGAGAACTCTTCTTAGTCTAGCATGAAAGGAAGAAACCCCGTTTGCAACGAAGGCCTCAAAGAGGTCCAAATATCCACTTGCAGACATAACAAGCAGAGTGTTTCTAAACTGCTCTAAGAAAAGAAAGGTTAAACTCTGTGAGTTAAAGGCACACATCACAAAGTAGTTTCTGAGAATGATTCTGTCTAGTTTTTATTTGAAGATATTTCCTCTTCTACTGTTGGCATCAAATCGCTTGAAATCTCCACTAGCAAACTCCACAAAAAGAGTGTTTCAAATCTGCTCTGTGCAAAGGGACGTTCCACTCTGTGAGTTGAATACACACAGCACAAAGAAGTTACTGAGAATTCTTCTGTCTAGCATGAAATGAAGAAATCCCGTTTCCAACGAAGGCCTCAATGCGGTCCATATATCCACTTGCAGACTTTACAAACAGAGTGTTTCCAAACTGCTCTGTGAAAAGAAAGGTTAAACTATGTGAGTTGAACGCACACATCACAAAGAATTTTCTGAGAATGATTCTGTCTGGTTTTTATTTGAAGATATTTCCCTTTCTACTGTTGGCATCAAATGGCTAGAAATCTCCACTTGCAAATTCCGCAAAAAGAGTGTTTCAAATCTGCTCTGACTAAAGGGACGTTCCACTCTGTGAGTTGAATGCACACAACACAAAGAATTTACTGAGAATTCTTCCGTCTAGCATTCAATGAAGAAATCCCGTTTCCAACGAAGGCCTCAAACAGGTCCATATATCCAATTGCAGACTTTACAAACAGTGTGTTTCCAAACTCCTCTATGGAAAGAAAGGTTAAACTCTGTGAGTTGAACGCACACATCACAAAGCACTTTCTGAGAGTGATTCTGTCTGGTTATTATACGAAGATATTTCCTTTTCTGCAATTGTCCTCAAATCGCTTGAAATCTCCACCTGAAAATGCCACAGCAAGAGTGTTTCAAATCTGCTCTCTCTAAAGCAAGGTTCAACTCTGTGAGTTGAATACACACAACACAAAAAAGTTACTGAGAACTCTTCTTAGTCTAGCATGAAAGGAAGAAACCCCGTTTGCAACGAAGGCCTCAAAGAGGTCCAAATATCCACTTGCAGACATAACAAGCAGAGTGTTTCTAAACTGCTCTCAGAAAAGAAAGGTTAAACTCTGTGAGTTGAAGGCACACATCACAAAGTAGTTTCTGAGAATGATTCTGTCTAGTTTTTATTTGAAGATATTTCCTTTTCTACTGTTGGCATCAAATCGCTTGAAATCTCCACTTGCAAACTCCACAAAAAGAGTGTTTCAAATCTGCTCTGTGCAAAGGGACGTTCCACTCTGTGAGTTGAATACACACAGCACAAAGAAGTTACTGAGAATTCTTCTGTCTAGCATGAAATGAAGAAATCCCGTTTCCAACGAAGGCCTCAATGCGGTCCATATATCCACTTGCAGACTTTACAAACAGAGTGTTTCCAAACTGCTCTATGAAAAGAAAGGTTAAACTATGTGAGTTGAACGCACACATCACAAAGAATTTTCTGAGAATGATTCTGTCTGGTTTTTATTTGAAGATATTTCCCTTTCTACTGTTGGCATCAAATGGCTAGAAATCTCCACTTGCAAATTCCGCAAAAAGAGTGTTTCAAATCTGCTCTGTCTAAAGGGACGTTCCACTCTGTGAGTTGAATGCACACAACACAAAGAATTTACTGAGAATTCTTCCGTCTAGCATTATATGATAAAATCCCGTTTCCAACGAAGGCCTCAAACAGGTCCATATATCCACTTGCAGACTTTACAAACAGTGTGTTTCCAAACTCCTCTATGAAAAGAAAGGTTAAACTCTGTGAGTTGAACGCACACATCACAAAGCACTTTCTGAGAATGATTCTGTCTGGTTATTATACGAAGATATTTCCTTTTCTGCAATTGTCCTCAAATCGCTTGAAATCTCCACCTGAAAATGCCACAGCAAGAGTGTTTCAAATCTGCTCTCTCTAAAGCAAGGTTCAACTCTGTGAGTTGAATACACACAACACAAACAAGTTACTGAGAACTCTTCTTAGTCTAGCATGAAAGGAAGAAACGCCGTTTGCAACGAAGTCCTCAAAGAGGTCCAAATATCCACTTGCAGACATAACAAGCAGAGTGTTTCTAAACTGCTCTAAGAAAAGAAAGGTTGAACTCTGTGAGTTGAAGGCACACATCACAAAGTAGTTTCTGAGAATGATTCTGTCTAGTTTTTATTTGAAGATATTTCCTTTTCTACTGTTGGCATCAAATCGCTTGAAATCTCCACTTGCAAACTCCACAAAAAGAGTGTTTCAAATCTGCTCTGTGCAAAGGGACGTTCCACTCTGTGAGTTGAATACACACAGCACAAAGAAGTTACTGAGAATTCTTCTGTCTAGCATGAAATGAAGAAATCCCGTTTCCAACGAAGGCCTCAA
Source organism: Homo sapiens (assembly GCF_000001405.40). NCBI lineage: Eukaryota > Metazoa > Chordata > Mammalia > Primates > Hominidae > Homo > Homo sapiens. Next base: position 59,995,871 of record NC_000007.14, on the reverse strand, counting down.
TGCGGTCCATATATCCACTTGCAGACTTTACAAACAGAGTGTTTCCAAACTGCTCTATGAAAAGAAAGGTTAAACTATGTGAGTTGAACGCACACATCACAAAGAATTTGCTGAGAATGATTCTGTCTGGTTTTTATTTGAAGATATTTCCCTTTCTACTGTTGGCATCAAATGGCTAGAAATCTCCACTTGCAAATTCCGCAAAAAGAGTGTTTCAAATCTGCTCTGTCTAAAGGGACGTTCCACTCTGTGAGTTGAATGCACACAACACAAAGAATTTACTGAGAATTCTTCCGTCTAGCATTCAATGAAGAAATCCCGTTTCCAACGAAGGCCTCAAACAGGTCCATATATCCACTTGCAGACTTTACAAACAGTGTGTTTCCAAGCTCCTCTATGAAAAGAAAGGTTAAACTCTGTGAGTTGAACGCACACATCACAAAGCACTTTCTGAGAATGATTCTGTCTGGTTATTATACGAAGATATTTCCTTTTCTGCAATTGTCCTCAAATCGCTTGAAATCTCCACCTGAAAATGCCACAGCAAGAGTGTTTCAAATCTGCTCTCTCTAAAGCAAGGTTCAACTCTGTGAGTTGAATACACACAACACAAAAAAGTTACTGAGAACTCTTCTTAGTCTAGCATGAAAGGAAGAAACGCCGTTTGCAACAAAGGCCTCAAAGAGGTCCAAATATCCACTTGCAGACATAACAAGCAGAGTGTTTCTAAACTGCTCTAAGAAAAGAAAGGTTAAACACTGTGAGTTGAAGGCACACATCACAAAGTAGTTTCTGAGAATGATTCTGTCTAGTTTTTATTTGAAGATATTTCCTTTTCTACTGTTGGCATCAAATCGCTTGAAATCTCCACTTGCAAACTCCACAAAAAGAGTGTTTCAAATCTGCTCTGTGCAAAGGGACGTTCCACTCTGTGAGTTGAATACACACAGCACAAAGAAGTTACTGAGAATTCTTCTGTCTAGCATGAAATGAAGAAATCCCGTTTCCAACGAAGGCCTCAATGCGGTCCATATATCCACTTGCAGACTTTACAAACAGAGTGTTTCCAAACTGCTCTATGAAAAGAAAGGTTAAACTATGTGAGTTGAACGCACACATCACAAAGAATTTTCTGAGAATGATTCTGTCTGGTTTTTATTTGAAGATATTTCCCTTTCTACTGTTGGCATCAAATGGCTAGAAATCTCCACTTGCAAATTCCGCAAAAAGAGTGTTTCAAATCTGCTCTGTCTAAAGGGACGTTCCACTCTGTCAGTTGAATGCACACAACACAAAGAATTTACTGAGAATTCTTCCGTCTAGCATTCAATGAAGAAATCCCGCTTCCAACGAAGGCCTCAAACAGGTCCATATATCCAATTGCAGACTTTACAAACAGTGTGTTTCCAAACTCCTCTATGAAAAGAAAGGTTAAACTCTGTGAGTTGAACGCACACATCACAAAGCACTTTCTGAGAATGATTCTGTCTGGTTATTATACGAAGATATTTCCTTTTCTGCAATTGTCCTCAAATCGCTTGAAATCTCCACCTGAAAATGCCACAGCAAGAGTGTTTCAAATCTGCTCTCTCTAAAGCAAGGTTCAACTCTGTGAGTTGAATACACACAACACAAAAAAGTTACTGAGAACTCTTCTTAGTCTAGCATGAAAGGAAGAAACCCCGTTTGCAACGAAGGCCTCAAAGAGGTCCAAATATCCACTTGCAGACATAACAAGCAGAGTGTTTCTAAACTGCTCTAAGAAAAGAAAGGTTAAACTCTGTGAGTTGAAGGCACACATCACGAAGTAGTTTCTGAGAATGATTCTGTCTAGTTTTTATTTGAAGATATTTCCTTTTCTACTGTTGGCATCAAATCGCTTGAAATCTCCACTTGCAAACTCCACAAAAAGAGTGTTTCAAATCTGCTCTGTGCAAAGGGACGTTCCACTCTGTGAGTTGAATACACACAGCACAAAGAAGTTACTGAGAATTCTTCTGTCTAGCATGAAATGAAGAAATCCCGTTTCCAACGAAGGCCTCAATGCGGTCCATATATCCACTTGCAGACTTTACAAACAGAGTGTTTCCAAACTGCTCTATGAAAAGAAAGGTTAAACTATGTGAGTTGAACGCACACATCACAAAGAATTTTCTGAGAATGATTCTGTCTGGTTTTTATTTGAAGATATTTCCCTTTCTACTGTTGGCATCAAATGGCTAGAAATCTCCACTTGCAAATTCCGCAAAAAGAGAGTTTCAAATCTGCTCTGTCTAAAGGGACGTTCCACTCTGTGAGTTGAATGCACACAACACAAAGAATTTACTGAGAATTCTTCCGTCTAGCATTCAATGAAGAAATCCCGTTTCCAACGAAGGCCTCAAACAGGTCCATATATCCAATTGCAGACTTTACAAACAGTGTGTTTCCAAACTCCTCTATGAAAAGAAAGGTTAAACTCTGTGAGTTGAACGCACACATCACAAAACACTTTCTGAGAATGATTCTGTCTGGTTATTATACGAAGATATTTCCTTTTCTGCAATTGTCCTCAAATCGCTTGAAATCTCCACCTGAAAATGCCACAGCAAGAGTGTTTCAAATCTGCTCTCTCTAAAGCAAGGTTCAACTCTGTGAGTTGAATACACACAACACAAAAAAGTTACTGAGAACTCTTCTTAGTCTAGCATTAAAGGAAGAAACGCCGTTTGCAACGAAGGCCTCAAAGAGGTCCAAATATCCACTTGCAGACATAACAAGCAGAGTGTTTCTAAACTGCTCTAAGAAAAGAAAGGTTAAACTCTGTGAGTTGAAGGCACACATCACAAAGTAGTTTCTGAGAATGATTCTGTCTAGTTTTTATTTGAAGATATTTCCTTTTCTACTGTTGGCATCAAATCGCTTGAAATCTCCACTTGCAAATTCCACAAAAAGAGTGTTTCAAAACTGCTCTGTGCAAAGGGACGTTCCACTCTGTGAGTTGAATACACACAGCACAAAGAAGTTACTGAGAATTCTTCTGTCTAGCATGAAATGAAGAAATCCCGTTTCCAACGAAGGCCTCAATGCGGTCCATATATCCACTTGCAGACTTTACAAACAGAGTGTTTCCAAACTGCTCTATGAAAAGAAAGGTTAAACTATGTGAGTTGAACGCACACATCACAAAGAATTTTCTGAGAATGATTCTGTCTGGTTTTTATTTGAAGATATTTCCCTTTCTACTGTTGGCATCAAATGGCTAGAAATCTACACTTGCAAATTCCGCAAAAAGAGTGTTTCAAATCTGCTCTCTCTAAAGGGACGTTCCACTCTGTCAGTTGAATGCACACAACACAAAGAATTTACTGAGAATTCTTCCGTCTAGCATTCAATGAAGAAATCCCGTTTCCAACGAAGGCCTCAAACAGGTCCATATATCCAATTGCAGACTTTACAAACAGTGTGTTTCCAAACTCCTCTATGAAAAGAAAGGTTAAACTCTGTGAGTTGAACGCACACATCACAAAGCACTTTCTGAGAATGATTCTGTCTGGTTGTTATACGAAGATATTTCCTTTTCTGCAATTGTCCTCAAATCGCTTGAAATCTCCACCTGAAAATGCCACAGCAAGAGTGTTTCAAATCTGCTCTCTCTAAAGCAAGGTTCAACTCTGTGAGTTGAATACACACAACACAAAAAAGTTACTGAGAACTCTTCTTAGTCTAGCATGAAAGGAAGAAACCCCGTTTGCAACGAAGGCCTCAAAGAGGTCCAAATATCCACTTGCAGACATAACAAGCAGAGTGTTTCTAAACTGCTCTAAGAAAAGAAAGGTTAAACTCTGTGAGTTGAAGGCACACATCACAAAGTAGTTTCTGAGAATGATTCTGTCTAGTTTTTATTTGAAGATGTTTCCTTTTCTACTGTTGGCATCAAATCGCTTGAAATCTCCACTTGCAAACTCCACAAAAAGAGTGTTTCAAATCTGCTCTGTGTAAAGGGACGTTCCACTCTGTGAGTTGAATACACACAGCACAAAGAAGTTACTGAGAATTCTTCTGTCTAGCATGAAATGAAGAAATCCCGTTTCCAACGAAGGCCTCAATGCGGTCCATATATCCACTTGCAGACTTTACAAACAGAGTGTTTCCAAACTGCTCTATGAAAAGAAAGGTTAAACTATGTGAGTTGAACGCACACATCACAAAGAATTTTCTGAGAATGATTCTGTCTGGTTTTTATTTGAAGATATTTCCCTTTCTACTGTTGGCATCAAATGGCTAGAAATCTCCACTTGCAAATTCCGCAAAAAGAGTGTTTCAAATCTGCTCTGTCTAAAGGGTCGTTCCACTCTGTCAGTTGAATGCACACAACACAAAGAATTTACTGAGAATTCTTCCGTCTAGCATTCAATGAAGAAATCCCGTTTCCAACGAAGGCCTCAAACAGGTCCATATATCCAATTGCAGACTTTACAAACAGTGTGTTTCCAAACTCCTCTATGAAAAGAAAGGTTAAACTCTGTGAGTTGAACGCACACATCACAAAGCACTTTCTGAGAATGATTCTGTCTGGTTATTATACGAAGATATTTCCTTTTCTGCAATTGTCCGCAAATCGTTTGAAATCTCCACCTGAAAATGCCACAGCAAGAGTGTTTCAAATCTGCTCTCTCTAAAGCAAGGTTCAACTCTGTGAGTTGAATACACACAACACAAAAAAGTTACTGAGAACTCTTCTTAGTCTAGCATGAAAGGAAGAAACCCCGTTTGCAACGAAGGCCTCAAAGAGGTCCAAATATCCACTTGCAGACATAACAAGCAGAGTGTTTCTAAACTGCTCTATGAAAAGAAAGGTTAAACTCTGTGAGTTGAAGGCACACATCACAAAGTAGTTTCTGAGAATGATTCTGTCTAGTTTTTATTTGAAGATATTTCCTTTTCTACTGTTGGCATCAAATCGCTTGAAATCTCCACTTGCAAACTCCACAAAAAGAGTGTTTCAAATCTGCTCTGTGTAAAGGGACGTTCCACTCTGTGAGTTGAATACACACAGCACAAAGAAGTTACTGAGAATTCTTCTGTCTAGCATGAAATGAAGAAATCCCGTTTCCAACGAAGGCCTCAATGCGGTCCATATATCCACTTGCAGACTTTACAAACAGAGTGTTTCCAAACTGCTCTATGAAAAGAAAGGTTAAACTATGTGAGTTGAACGCACACATCACAAAGAATTTTCTGAGAATGATTCTGTCTGGTTTTTATTTGAAGATATTTCCCTTTCTACTGTTGGCATCAAATGGCTAGAAATCTCCACTTGCAAATTCCGCAAAAAGAGTGTTTCAAATCTGCTCTGTCTAAAGGGACGTTCCACTCTGTCAGTTGAATGCACACAACACAAAGTATTTACTGAGAATTCTTCCGTCTAGCATTCAATGAAGAAATCCCGTTTCCAACGAAGGCCTCAAACAGGTCCATATATCCAATTGCAGACTTTACAAACAGTGTGTTTCCAAACTCCTCTATGAAAAGAAAGGTTAAACTCTGTGAGTGGAACGCACACATCACAAAGCACTTTCTGAGAATGATTCTGTCTGGTTGTTATACGAAGATATTTCCTTTTCTGCAATTGTCCTCAAATCGCTTGAAATCTCCACCTGAAAATACCACAGCAAGAGTGTTTCAAATCTGCTCTCTCTAAAGCAAGGTTCAACTCTGTGAGTTGAATACACACAACACAAAAAAGTTACTGAGAACTCTTCTTAGTCTAGCATGAAAGGAAGAAACCCCGTTTGCAACGAAGGCCTCAAAGAGGTCCAAATATCCACTTGCAGACATAACAAGCAGAGTGTTTCTAAACTGCTCTAAGAAAAGAAAGGTTAAACTCTGTGAGTTGAAGGCACACATCACAAAGTAGTTTCTGAGAATGATTCTGTCTAGTTTTTATTTGAAGATATTTCCTTTTCTACTGTTGGCATCAAATCGCTTGAAATCTCCACTTGCAAACTCCACAAAAAGAGTGTTTCAAATCTGCTCTGTGTAAAGGGACGTTCCACTCTGTGAGTTGAATACACACAGCACAAAGAAGTTACTGAGAATTCTTCTGTCTAGCATGAAATGAAGAAATCCCGTTTCCAACGAAGGCCTCAATGCGGTCCATATATCCACTTGCAGACTTTACAAACAGAGTGTTTCCAAACTGCTCTATGAAAAGAAAGGTTATACTATTGTGAGTTGAACGCACACATCACAAAGAATTTTCTGAGAATGATTCTGCCTGGTTTTTATTTGAAGATATTTCCCTTTCTACAGTTGGCATCAAATGGCTAGAAATCTCCATTTGCAAATTCCGCAAAAAGAGTGTTTCAAATCTGCTCTGTCTAAAGGGACGTTCCACTCTGTGAGTTGAATGCACACAACACAAAGAATTTACTGAGAATTCTTCCGTCTAGCATTCAATGAAGAAATCCCGTTTCCAACGAAGGCCTCAAACAGGTCCATATATCCACTTGCAGACTTTACAAACAGTGTGTTTCCAAACTCCTCTATGAAAAGAAAGGTTAAACTCTGTGAGTGGAACGCACACATCACAAAGCACTTTCTGAGAATGATTCTGTCTGGTTATTATACGAAGATATTTCCTTTTCTGCAATTGTCCTCAAAACGATTGAAATCTCCACCTGAAAATGCCACAGCAAGAGTGTTTCAAATCTGCTCTCTCTAAAGCAAGGTTCAACTCTGTGAGTTGAATACACACAACACAGAAATGTTACTGAGAACTCTTCTTAGTCTAGCATGAAAGGAAGAAACCCCGTTTGCAACGAAGGCCTCAAAGAGGTCCAAATATCCACTTGCAGACATAACAAGCAGAGTGTTTCTAAACTGCTCTAAGAAAAGAAAGGTTAAACTCTGTGAGTTGAAGGCACACATCACAAAGTAGTTTCTGAGAATGATTCTGTCTAGTTTTTATTTGAAGATATTTCCTTTTCTACTGTTGGCATCAAATCGCTTGAAATCTCCACTTGCAAATTCCACAAAAAGAGTGTTACAAATCTGCTCTGTGCAAAGGGACGTTCCACTCTGTGAGTTGAATACACACAGCACAAAGAAGTTACTGAGAATTCTTCTGTCTAGCATGAAATGAAGAAATCCCGTTTCCAACGAAGGCCTCAATGCGGTCCATATATCCACTTGCAGACTTTACAAACAGAGTGTTTCCAAACTGCTCTATGAAAAGAAAGGTTAAACTATGTGAGTTGAACGCACACATCACAAAGAATTTTCTGAGAATGATTCTGTCTGGTTTTTATTTGAAGATATTTCCCTTTCTACTGTTGGCATCAAATGGCTAGAAATCTCCACTTGCAAATTCCGCAAAAAGAGTGTTTCAAATCTGCTCTGTCTAAAGGGACGTTCCACTCTGTGAGTTGAATGCACACAACACAAAGAATTTACTGAGAATTCTTCCGTCTAGCATTCAATGAAGAAATCCCGTTTCCAACGAAGGCCTCAAAGAGGTCCATATATCCACTTGCAGACTTTACAAACAGTGTGTTTCCAAACTCCTCTATGAAAAGAAAGGTTAAACTCTGTGAGTTGAACGCACACATCACAAAGCACTTTCTGAGAATGATTCTGTCTGGTTATTATACGAAGATATTTCCTTTTCTGCAATTGTCCTCAAATCGCTTGAAATCTCCACCTGAAAATGCCACAGCAAGAGTGTTTCAAATCTGCTCTCTCTAAAGCAAGGTTCAACTCTGTCAGTTGAATACACACAACACAAAAAAGTTACTGAGAACTCTTCTTAGTCTAGCATGAAAGGAAGAAACCCCGTTTGCAACGAAGGCCTCAAAGAGGTCCAAATATCCACTTGCAGACATAACAAGCAGAGTGTTTCTAAAGTGCTCTAAGAAAAGAAAGGTTAAACTCTGTGAGTTGAAGGCACACATCACAAAGTAGTTTCTGAGAATGATTCTGTCTAGTTTTTATTTGAAGATATTTCCTTTTCTACTGTTGGCATCAAATCGCTTGAAATCTCCACTTGCAAACTCCACAAAAAGAGTGTTTCAAATCTGCTCTGTGTAAAGGGACGTTCCACTCTGTGAGTTGAATACACACAGCACAAAGAAGTTACTGAGAATTCTTCTGTCTAGCATGAAATGAAGAAATCCCGTTTCCAACGAAGGCCTCAATGCGGTCCATATATCCACTTGCAGACTTTACAAACAGAGTGTTTCCAAACTGCTCTATGAAAAGAAAGGTTAAACTATGTGAGTTGAACGCACACATCACAAAGAATTTTCTGAGAATGATTCTGTCTGGTTTTTATTTGAAGATATTTCCCTTTCTACTGTTGGCATCAAATGGCTAGAAATCTCCACTTGCAAATTCCGCAAAAAGAGTGTTTCAAATCTGCTCTGTCTAAAGGGACGTTCCACTCTGTGAGTTGAATGCACACAACACAAAGAATTTACTGAGAATTCTTCCGTCTAGCATTCAATGAAGAAATCCCGTTTCCAACAAAGGCCTCAAACAGGTCCATATATCCACTTGCAGAGTTTACAAACAGTTTGTTTCCAAACTCCTCTATGAAAAGAAAGGTTAAACTCTGTGAGTGGAACGCACACATCACAAAGCACTTTCTGAGAATGATTCTGTCTGGTTATTATACGAAGATATTTCCTTTTCTGCAATTGTCCTCAAATCGCTTGAAATCTCCACCTGAAAATGCCACAGCAAGAGTGTTTCAAATCTGCTCTCTCTAAAGCAAGGTTCAACTCTGTGAGTTGAATACACACAACACAAAAAAGTTACTGAGAACTCTTCTTAGTCTAGCATTAAAGGAAGAAACCCCGTTTGCAACGAAGGCCTCAAAGAGGTCCAAATATCCACTTGCAGACATAACAAGCAGAGTGTTTCTAAACTGCTCTAAGAAAATAAAGGTTAAACTCTGTGAGTTGAAGGCACACATCACAAAGTAGTTCCTGAGAATGATTTCTGTCTAGTTTTTATTTGAAGATATTTCCTTTTCTACTGTTGGCGTCAAATCGCTTGAAATCTCCACTTGCAAATTCCACAAAAAGAGTGTTTCAAAGAGTGTTTCAAATCTGCTCTGTGCAAAGGGACGTTCCACTCTGTGAGTTGAATACACACAGCACAAAGAAGTTACTGAGAATTCTTCTGTCTAGCATGAAATGAAGAAATCCCGTTTCCAACGAAGGCCTCAATGCGGTCCATATATCCACTTGCAGACTTTACAAACAGAGTGTTTCCAAACTGCTCTATGAAAAGAAAGGTTAAACTATGTGAGTTGAACGCACACATCACAAAGAATTTTCTGAGAATGATTCTGTCTGGTTTTTATTTGAAGATATTTCCCTTTCTACTGTTGGCATCAAATGGCTAGAAATCTCCACTTGCAAATTCCGCAAAAAGAGTGTTTCAAATCTGCTCTGTCTAAAGGGACGTTCCACTCTGTCAGTTGAATGCACACAACACAAAGAATTTACTGAGAATTCTTCCGTCTAGCAGTCAATGAAGAAATCCCGTTTCCAACGAAGGCCTCAAACAGGTCCATATATCCAATTGCAGACTTTACAAACAGTGTGTTTCCAAACTCCTCTATGAAAAGAAAGGTTAAACTCTGTGAGTTGAACGCACACATCACAAAGCACTTTCTGAGAATGATTCTGTCTGGTTGTTATACGAAGATATTTCCTTTTCTGCAATTGTCCTCAAATCGCTTGAAATCTCCACCTGAAAATGCCACAGCAAGAGTGTTTCAAATCTGCTCTCTCTAAAGCAAGGTTCAACTCTGTGAGTTGAATACACACAACACAAAAAAGTTACTGAGAACTCTTCTTAGTCTAGCATGAAAGGAAGAAACCCCGTTTGCAACGAAGGCCTCAAAGAGGTCCAAATATCCACTTGCAGACATAACAAGCAGAGTGTTTCTAAACTGCTCTAAGAAAAGAAAGGTTAAACTCTGTGAGTTGAAGGCACACATCACAAAGTACTTTCTGAGAATGGTTCTGTCTAGTTTTTATTTGAAGATATTTCCTTTTCTACTGTTGGCATCAAATCGCTTGAAATCTCCACTTGCAAATTCCACAAAAAGAGTGTTTCAAATCTGCTCTGTGCAAAGGGACGTTCCACTCTGTGAGTTGAATACACACAGCACAAAAGAAGTTACTGAGAATTCTTCTGTCTAGCATGAAATGAAGAAATCCCGTGTCCAACGAAGGCCTCAATGCGGTCCATATATCCACTTGCAGACTTTACAAACAGAGTGTTTCCAAACTGCTCTATGAAAAGAAAGGTTAAACTATGTGAGTTGAACGCACACATCACAAAGAATTTTCTGAGAATGATTCTGTCTGGTTTTTATTTGAAGATATTTCCCTTTCTACTGTTGGCATCAAATGGCTAGAAATCTCCACTTGCAAATTCCGCAAAAAGAGTGTTTCAAATCTGCTCTGTCTAAAGGGACGTTCCACTCTGTCAGTTGAATGCACACAACACAAAGAATTTACTGAGAATTCTTCCGTCTAGCATTCAATGAAGAAATCCCGTTTCCAACGAAGGCCTGAAACAGGTCCATATATCCAATTGCAGACTTTACAAACAGTGTGTTTCCAAACTCCTCTATGAAAAGAAAGGTTAAACTCTGTGAGTTGAACGCACACATCACAAAGCACTTTCTGAGAATGATTCTGTCTGGTTATTATACGAAGATATTTCCTTTTCTGCAATTGTCCTCAAATCGCTTGAAATCTCCACCTGAAAATGCCACAGCAAGAGTGTTTCAAATCTGCTCTCTCTAAAGCAAGGTTCAACTCTGTGAGTTGAATACACACAACACAAAAAAGTTACTGAGAACTCTTCTTAGTCTAGCATGAAAGGAAGAAACCCCGTTTACAACGAAGGCCTCAAAGAGGTCCAAATATCCACTTGCAGACATAACAAGCAGAGTGTTTCTAAACTGCTCTAAGAAAAGAAAGGTTAAACTCTGTGAGTTGAAGGCACACATCACAAAGTAGTTTCTGAGAATGATTCTGTCTAGTTTTTATTTGAAGATATTTCCTTTTCTACTGTTGGCATCAAATCGCTTGAAATCTCCACTTGCAAACTCCACAAGAAGAGTGTTTCAAATCTGCTCTGTCTAAAGGGACGTTCCACTCTGTGAGTTGAATACACACAGCACAAAGAAGTTACTGAGAATTCTTCTGTCTAGCATGAAATGAAGAAATCCCGTTTCCAACGAAGGCCTCAATGCGGTCCATATATCCACTTGCAGACTTTACAAACAGAGTGTTTCCAAACTGCTCTATGAAAAGAAAGGTTAAACTATGTGAGTTGAACGCACACATCACAAAGAATTTTCTGAGAATGATTCTGTCTGGTTTTTATTTGAAGATATTTCCCTTTCTACAGTTGGCATCAAATGGCTAGAAATCTCCACTTGCAAATTCCGCAAAAAGAGTGTTTCAAATCTGCTCTGTCTAAAGGGACGTTCCACTCTGTCAGTTGAATGCACACAACACAAAGAATTTACTGAGAATTCTTCCGTCTAGCATTCAATGAAGAAATCCCGTTTCCAACGAAGGCCTCAAACAGGTCCATATATCCACTTGCAGACTTTACAAACAGTGTGTTTCCAAACTCCTCTATGAAAAGAAAGGTTAAACTCTGTGAGTGGAACGCACACATCACAAAGCACTTTCTGAGAATGATTCTGTCTGGTTGTTATACGAAGATATTTCCTTTTCTGCAATTGTCCTCAAATCGCTTGAAATCTCCACCTGAAAATGCCACAGCAAGAGTGTTTCAAATCTGCTCTCTCTAAAGCAAGGTTCAACTCTGTGAGTTGAATACACACAACACAAAAAAGTTACTGAGAACTCTTCTTAGTCTAGCATGAAAGGAAGAAACCCCGTTTGCAACGAAGGCCTCAAAGAGGTCCAAATATCCACTTGCAGACATAACAAGCAGAGTGTTTCTAAACTGCTCTAAGAAAAGAAAGGTTAAACTCTGTGAGTTGAAGGCACACATCACAAAGTAGTTTCTGAGAATGATTCTGTCTAGTTTTTATTTGAAGATATTTCCTTTTCTACTGTTGGCATCAAATCGCTTGAAATCTCCACTTGCAAACTCCACAAAAAGAGTGTTTCAAATCTGCTCTGTGCAAAGGGACGTTCCACTCTGTGAGTTGAATACACACAGCACAAAGAAGTTACTGAGAATTCTTCTGTCTAGCATGAAATGAAGAAATCCCGTTTCCAACGAAGGCCTCAATGCGGTCCATATATCCACTTGCAGACTTTACAAACAGAGTGTTTCCAAACTGCTCTATGAAAAGAAAGGTTAAACTATGTGAGTTGAACGCACACATCACAAAGAATTTTCTGAGAATGATTCTGTCTGGTTTTTATTTGAAGATATTTCCCTTTCTACTGTTGGCATCAAATGGCTAGAAATCTCCACTTGCAAATTCCGCAAAAAGAGTGTTTCAAATCTGCTCTGTCTAAAGGGACGTTCCACTCTGTGAGTTGAATGCACACAACACAAAGAATTTACTGAGAATTCTTCCGTCTAGCATTCAATGAAGAAATCCCGTTTCCAACGGAGGCCTCAAAGAGGTCCATATATCCAATTGCAGACTTTACAAACAGTGTGTTTCCAAACTCCTCTATGAAAAGAAAGGTTAAACTCTGTGAGTCGAACGCACACATCACAAAGCACTTTCTGAGAATGATTCTGTCTGGTTATTATACGAAGATATTTCCTTTTCTGCAATTGTCCTCAAATCGCTTGAAATCTCCACCTGAAAATGCCACAGCAAGAGTGTTTCAAATCTGCTCTCTCTAAAGCAAGGTTCAACTCTGTGAGTTGAATACACACAACACAAAAAAGTTACTGAGAACTCTTCTTAGTCTAGCATGAAAGGAAGAAACCCCATTTGCAACGAAGGCCTCAAAGAGGTCCAAATATCCACTTGCAGACATAACAAGCAGAGTGTTTCTAAACTGCTCTAAGAAAAGAAAGGTTAAACTCTGTGAGTTGAAGGCACACATCACAAAGTAGTTTCTGAGAATGATTCTGTCTAGTTTTTATTTGAAGATATTTCCTTTTCAACTGTTGGCATCAAATCGCTTGAATTCTCCACTTTCAAATTCCACAAAAAGAGTGTTTCAAAACTGCTCTGTGTAATGGGACATTCCAATCTGTCAGTTGAATACACACAACACAAAGAAGTTACTGAGAATTCTTCTGTCTAGCATGAAATTAAGAAATCCCGTTTCCAACGAAGTCCTCAAAGCGGTCCATATATCCACTTGCAGACATTACCAACAGAGTGTTTCCAAACTGGTGTATGAAAAGAAAGGTTAAACTATGTGAGTTGAACGCACACATCACAAAGAATTTTCTGAGGATGATTCTGTCTAGTTTTTATTTGAAGATATTTCCCTTTCTACCGTTGGCATCAAATGGCTAGAAATCTCCACTTGCAAATTCTGCAAAAAGAGTGTTTCAAATCTGCTCTGTCTAAAGGGACGTTCCACTCTGTGAGTTGAATGCACACAACACAAAGAATTTACTGAGAATTCTTCCGTCTAGCATTCAATGAAGAAATCCCGTTTCCAACGAAGGCCTTAAACAGGTCCAAATATCCAATTGCAGACTTTACAAACAGTGTGTTTCCAAACTCCTCTATGAAAAGAAAGGTTAAACTCTGTGAGTTGAACGCACACATCACAAAGCACTTTCTGAGAATGATTCTGTCTGGTTATTATACGAAGATATTTCCTTTTCTGCAATTGTCTTCAAGTCGCTTGAAATCTCCACCTGAAAATGCCACAGCAAGAGTGTTTCAAATCTGCTCTCTCTAAAGCAAGGTTCAACTCTGTGAGTTGAATACACACAACACAAAAAAGTTACTGAGAACTCTTCTTAGTCTAGCATGAAAGGAAGAAACCCCGTTTGCAACGAAGGCCTCAAAGAGGTCCAAATATCCACTTGCAGACATAACAAGCAGAGTGTTTCTAAACTGCTCTAAGAAAAGAAAGGTTAAACTCTGTGAGTTGAAGGCACACATCACAAAGTAGTTTCTGAGAATGATTCTGTCTAGTTTTTATTTGAAGATATTTCCTTTTCTACTGTTGGCATCAAATCGCTTGAAATCTCCACTTGCAAATTCCACAAAAAGAGTGTTTCAAATCTGCTCTGTGCAAAGGGACGTTCCACTCTGTGAGTTGAATACACACAGCACAAAGAAGTTACTGAGAATTCTTCTGTCTAGCATGAAATGAAGAAATCCCGTTTCCAACGAAGGCCTCAATGCGGTCCATATATCCACTTGCAGACTTTACAAACAGAGTGTTTCCAAACTGCTCTATGAAAAGAAAGGTTAAACTATGTGAGTTGAACGCACACATCACAAAGAATTTTCTGAGAATGATTCTGTCTGGTTTTTATTTGAAGATATTTCCCTTTCTACTGTTGGCATCAAATGGCTAGAAATCTCCACTTGCAAATTCCGCAAAAAGAGTGTTTCAAATCTGCTCTGTCTAAAGGGACGTTCCACTCTGTGAGTTGAATGCACACAACACAAAGAATTTACTGAGATTCCTTCCGTCTAGCATTCAATGAAGAAATCCCGTTTCCAACGAAGGCCTCAAACAGGTCCATATATCCAATTGCAGAATTTACAAACAGTGTGTTTCCAAACTCCTCTATGAAAAGAAAGGTTAAACTCTGTGAGTTGAACGCACACATCACAAAGCACTTTCTGAGAATGATTCTGTCTGGTTATTATACGAAGATATTTCCTTTTCTGCAATTGTCCTCAAAACGCTTGAAATCTCCACCTGAAAATGCCACAGCAAGAGTGTTTCAAATCTGCTCTCTCTAAAGCAAGGTTCAACTCTGTGAGTTGAATACACACAACACAAAAAAGTTACTGAGAACTCTTCTTAGTCTAGCATGAAAGGAAGAAACCCCGTTTGCAACGAAGGCCTCAAAGAGGTCCAAATATCCACTTGCAGACATAACAAGCAGAGTGTTTCTAAACTGCTCTAAGAAAAGAAAGGTTAAACTCTGTGAGTTGAAGGCACACATCACAAAGTAGTTTCTGAGAATGATTCTGTCTAGTTTTTATTTGAAGATACTTCCTTTTCTACTGTTGGCATCAAATCGCTTGAAATCTCCACTTGCAAACTCCACAAAAAGAGTGTTTCAAATCTGCTCTGTGCAAAGGGACGTTCCACTCTGTGAGTTGAATACACACAGCACAAAGAAGTTACTGAGAATTCTTCTGTCTAGCATGAAATGAAGAAATCCCGTTTCCAACGGAGGCCTCAATGCGGTCCATATATCCACTTGCAGACTTTACAAACAGAGTGTTTCCAAACTGCTCTATGAAAAGAAAGGTTAAACTATGTGAGTTGAACGCACACATCACAAAGAATTTTCTGAGAATGATTCTGTCTGGTTTTTATTTGAAGATATTTCCCTTTCTACTGTTGGCATCAAATGGCTAGAAATCTCCACTTGCAAATTCCGCAAAAAGAGTGTTTCAAATCTGCTCTGTCTAAAGGGACGTTCCACTCTGTGGGTTGAATGCACACAACACAAAGAATTTACTGAGAATTCTTCCGTCTAGCATTCAATGAAGAAATCCCGTTTCCAAAGAAGGCCTCAAACAGGTCCATATATCCAATTGCAGACTTTACAAACAGTGTGTTTCCAAACTCCTCTATGAAAAGAAAGGTTAAACTCTGTGAGTTGAACGCACACATCACAAAGCACTTTCTGAGAATGATTCTGTCTGGTTATTATACGAAGATATTTCCTTTTCTGCAATTGTCCTCAAATCGCTTGAAATCTCCACCTGAAAATGCCACAGCAAGAGTGTTTCAAATCTGCTCTCTCTAAAGCAAGGTTCAACTCTGTGAGTTGAATACACACAACACAAAAAAGTTACTGAGAACTCTTCTTAGTCTAGCATGAAAGGAAGAAACCCCGTTTGCAACGAAGGCCTCAAAGAGGTCCAAATATCCACTTGCAGACATAACAAGCAGAGTGTTTCTAAACTGCTCTAAGAAAAGAAAGGTTAAACTCTGTGAGTTGAAGGCACACATCACAAAGTAGTTTTTGAGAATGATTCTGTCTAGTTTTTATTTGAAGATATTTCCTTTTCTACTGTTGGCATCAAATCGCTTGAAATCTCCACTTGCAAACTCCACAAAAAGAGTGTTTCAAATCCGCTCTGTGCAAAGGGACGTTCCACTCTGTGAGTTGAATACACACAGCACAAAGAAGTTACTGAGAATTCTTCTGTCTAGCATGAAATGAAGGAAATCCCGTTTCCAACGAAGGCCTCAATGCGGTCCATATATCCACTTGCAGACTTTACAAACAGAGTGTTTCCAAACTGCTCTATGAAAAGAAAGGTTAAACTATGTGAGTTGAACGCACACATCACAAAGAATTTTCTGAGAATGATTCTGTCTGGTTTTTATTTGAAGATATTTCCCTTTCTACAGTTGGCATCAAATGGCTAGAAATCTCCACTTGCAAATTCCGCCAAAAAGTGTTTCAAATGTGCACTGTCTAAAGGGACGTTCCACTCTGTGAGTTGAATGCACACAACACAAAGAATTTACTGAGAATTCTTCCGTCTAGCATTCAATGAAGAAATCCCGTTTCCAACGAAGGCCTCAAACAGGTCCATATATCCAATTGCAGACTTTACAAACAGTGTGTTTCCAAACTCCTCTATGAAAAGAAAGGTTAAACTCTGTGAGTTGAACGCACACAACACAAAGCACTTTCTGAGAATGATTCTGTCTGGTTGTTATAGGAAGATATTTCCTTTTCTGCAATTGTCCTCAAATCGCTTGAAATCTCCACCTGAAAATGCCACAGCAAGAGTGTTTCAAATCTGCTCTCTCTAAAGCAAGGTTCAACTCTGTGAGTTGAATACACACAACACAAAAAAGTTACTGAGAACTCTTCTTAGTCTAGCATGAAAGGAAGAAACCCCGTTTGCAACGAAGGCCTCAAAGAGGTCCAAATATCCACTTGCAGACATAACAAGCAGAGTGTTTCTAAACTGCTCTAAGAAAAGAAAGGTTAAACTCTGTGAGTTGAAGGCACACATCACAAAGTAGTTTCTGAGAATGATTCTGTCTAGTTTTTATTTGAAGATATTTCCTTTTCTACTGTTGGCATCAAATCGCTTGAAATCTCCACTTGCAAATTCCACAAAAAGAGTGTTTCAAATCTGCTCTGTGCAAAGGGACGTTCCACTCTGTGAGTTGAATACACACAGCACAAAGAAGTTACTGAGAATTCTTCTGTCTAGCATGAAATGAAGAAATCCCGTTTCCAACGAAGGCCTCAATGCGGTCCATATATCCACTTGCAGACTTTACAAACAGAGTGTTTCCAAACTGCTCTATGAAAAGAAAGGTTAAACTATGTGAGTTGAACGCACACATCACAAAGAATTTTCTGAGAATGATTCTGTCTGGTTTTTATTTGAAGATATTTCCCTTTCTACTGTTGGCATCAAATGGCTAGAAATCTCCACTTGCAAATTCCTCAAAAAGAGTGTTTCAAATCTGCTCTGTCTAAAGGGACGTTCCACTCTGTGAGTTCAATGCACACAACACAAAGAATTTACTGAGAATTCTTCCGTCTAGCATTCAATGAAGAAATCCCGTTTCCAACGGAGGCCTCAAACAGGTCCATATATCCAATTGCAGACTTTACAAACAGTGTGTTTCCAAGCTCCTCTATGAAAAGAAAGGTTAAACTCTGTGAGTTGAACGCACACATCACAAAGCACTTTCTGAGAATGATTCTGTCTGGTTATTATACGAAGATATTTCTTTTTCTGCAATTGTCCTCAAATCGCTTGAAATCTCCACCTGAAATTTCCACAGCAAGAGTGTTTCAAATCTGCTCTCTCTAAAGCAAGGTTCAACTCTTTGAGTTGAATACACACAACACAAAAAACTTACTGAGAACTCTTCTTAGTCTAGCATTAAAGGAAGAAACCCCGTTTGCAACGAAGGCCTCAAAGAGGTCCAAATATCCACTTGCAGACATAACAAGCAGAGTGTTTCTAAACTGCTCTAAGAAAAGAAAGGTTAAACTCTGTGAGTTGAAGGCACACATCACAAAGTAGTTTCTGAGAATGATTCTGTCTAGTTGTTATTTGAAGATATTTCATTTTCTACTGTTGGCATCAAATCGCTTGAAATCTCCACTTGCAAACTCCACAAAAAGAGTGTTTCAAATCTGCTCTGTGTAAAGGGACGTTCCACTCTGTGAGTTGAATACACACAGCACAAAGAAGTTACTGAGAATTCTTCTGTCTAGCATGAAATGAAGAAATCCCGTTTCCAACGAAGGCCTCAATGCGGTCCATATATCCACTTGCAGACTTTACAAACAGAGTGTTTCCAAACTGCTCTATGAAAAGAAAGGTTAAACTATGTGAGTTGAACGCACACATCACAAAGAATTTTGTGAGAATGATTCTGTATGGTTTTTATTTGAAGATATTTCCCTTTCTACTGTTGGCATCAAATGGCTAGAAATCTCCACTTGCAAATTCCGCAAAAAGAGTGTTTCAAATCTGCTCTGTCTAAAGGGACGTTCCACTCTGTGAGTTGAATGCACACAACACAAAGAATTTACTGAGAATTCTTCCGTCTAGCATTCAATGAAGAAATCCCGTTTCCAACGAAGGCCTCAAACAGGTCCATATATCCACTTGCAGACTTTACAAACAGTGTGTTTCCAAACTCCTCTATGAAAAGAAAGGTTAAACTCTGTGAGTGGAACGCACACATCACAAAGCACTTTCTGAGAATGATTCTGTCTGGTTATTATACGAAGATATTTCCGTTTCTGCAATTGTCCTCAAATCGCTTGAAATCTCCACCTGAAAATGCCACAGCCAGAGTGTTTCAAATCTGCTCTCTCTAAAGCAAGGTTCAACTCTGTGAGTTGAATACACACAACACAAAAAAGTTACTGAGAACTCTTCTTAGTCTAGCATGAAAGGAAGAAACCCCGTTTGCAACGAAGGCCTCAAAGAAGGTCCAAATATCCACTTGCAGACATAACAAGCAGAGTGTTTCTAAACTGCTCTAAGAAAAGAAAGGTTAAACTCTGTGAGTTGAAGGCAGACATCACAAAGTAGTTTCTGAGAATGATTCTGTCTAGTTTTTATTTGAAGATATTTCCTTTTCTACTGTTGGCATCAAATCGCTTGAAATCTCCACTTGCAAATTCCACAAAAAGAGTGTTTCAAATCTGCTCTGTGCAAAGGGACGTTCCACTCTGTGAGTTGAATACACACAGCACAAAGAAGTTACTGAGAATTCTTCTGTCTAGCATGAAATGAAGAAATCCCGTTTCCAACGAAGGCCTCAATGCGGTCCATATATCCACTTGCAGACTTTACAAACAGAGTGTTTCCAAACTGCTCTATGAAAAGAAAGGTTAAACTATGTGAGTTGAACGCACACATCACAAAGAATTTTCTGAGAATGATTCTGTCTGGTTTTTATTTGAAGATGTTTCCCTTTCTACTGTTGGCATCAAATGGTTAGAAATCTCCACTTGCAAATTCCGCAAAAAGAGTGTTTCAAATCTGCTCTGTCTAAAGGGACGTTCCACTCTGTCAGTTGAATGCACACAACACAAAGAATTTACTGAGAATTCTTCCGTCTAGCATTCAATGAAGAAATCCCGTTTCCAACGAAGGCCTCAAACAGGTCTATATATCCAATTCCAGACTTTACAAACAGTGTGTTTCCAAACTCCTCTATGGAAAGAAAGGTTAAACTCTGTGAGTTGAACGCACACATCACAAAGCACTTTCTGAGAATGATTCTGTCTGGTTATTATACGAAGATATTTCCTTTTCTGCAATTGTCCTCAAATCGCTTGAAATCTCCACCTGAAAATGCCACAGCAAGAGTGTTTCAAATCTGCTCTCTCTAAAGCAAGGTTCAACTCTGTGAGTTGAATACACACAACACAAAAAAGTTACTGAGAACTCTTCTTAGTCTAGCATGAAAGGAAGAAACCCCGTTTGCAACGAAGGCCTCAAAGAGGTCCAAATATCCACTTGCAGACATAACAAGCAGAGTGTTTCTAAACTGCTCTAAGAAAAGAAAGGTTAAACTCTGTGAGTTGAAGGCACACATAACAAAGCAGTTTCTGAGAATGATTCTGTCTAGTTTTTATTTGAAGATATTTCCTTTTCTACTGTTGGCATCAAATCGCTTGAAATCTCCACTTGCAAACTCCACAAAAAGAGTGTTTCAAATCTGCTCTGTGTAAAGGGACGTTCCACTCTGTGAGTTGAATACACACAGCACAAAGAAGTTACTGAGAATTCTTCTGTCTAGCATGAAATGAAGAAATCCCGTTTCCAACGAAGGCCTCAAAGCGGTCCATATATCCACTTGCAGACATTACCAACAGAGTGTTCCCAAACTGCTCTATGAAAAGAAAGGTTAAACTATGTGAGTTGAACGCACACATCACAAAGAATTTTCTGAGAATGATTCTGTCTAGTTTTTATTTGAAGATATTTCCCTTTATACTGTTGGCATCAAATGGCTAGAAATCTCCACTTGCAAATTCCGCAAAAAGAGTGTTTCAAATCTGCTCTGTCTAAAGGGTCGTTCCACTCTGTGAGTTGAATGCACACAACACAAAGAATTTACTGAGAATTCTTCCGTCTAGCATTATATGATAAAATCCCGTTTCCAACGAAGGCCTTAAACAGGTCCATATATCCAATTGCAGACTTTACAAACAGTGTGTTTCCAAACTCCTCTATGAAAAGAAAGGTTAAACTCTGTGAGTTGAACGCACACATCACAAAGCACTTTCTGAGAATGATTCTGTCTAGTTTTTTTTTGCAGATATTTCCTTTTCTACTGTTGGCATCAAATCGCTTGAAATCTCCACTTGCAAATTCCACAAAAAGAGTGTTTCAAATCTGCTCTGTGTAAAGGGACGTTCCACTCTGTGAGTTGAATACACACAGCACAAAGAAGTTACTGAGAATTCTTCTGGCTAGCATGAAATGAAGAAATCCCGTTTCCAACGAAGGCCTCAATGAGGTCCATATATCCACTTGCAGACGTTACAAACAGAGTGTTTCCAAACTGCTCTATGAAAAGAAAGGTTAAATTATGTGAGTTGAACGCACACATCACAAAGAATTTTCTGAGAATGATTCTGTCTGGTTTTTATTTGAAGATATTTCCCTTTCTACTGTTGGCATCAAATGGCTAGAAATCTCCACTAGCAAATTCCGCAAAAAGAGTGTTTCAAATCTGCTCTGTCTAAAGGGACGTTCCACTCTGTGAGTTGAATGCACACAACACAAAGAATTTACTGAGAATTCTTCCGTCTAGCATTCAATGAAGAAATCCCGTTTCCAACGAAGGCCTCAAACAGGTCCATATATCCACTTGCAGACTTTACAAACAGAGTGTTTCCAAACTGCTCTATGAAAAGAAAGGTTAAACTATGTGAGTTGAACGCACACATCACAAAGAATTTTCTGAGAATGATTCTGTCTGGTTATTATACGAAGATATTTCCTTTTCTGCAATTGTCCTCAAATCGCTTGAAATCTCCACCTGAAAATGCCACAGCAAGAGTGTTTCAAATCTGCTCTCTCTAAAGCAAGGTTCAACTCTGTGAGTTGAATACACACAACACAAAAAAGTTACTGAGAACTCTTCTTAGTCTAGCATGAAAGGAAGAAACCCCGTTTGCAACGAAGGCCTCAAAGAGGTCCAAATATCCACTTGCAGACATAACAAGCAGAGTGTTTCTAAGCTGCTCTAAGAAAAGAAAGGTTAAACTCTGTGAGTTGAAGGCACACATCACAAAGTAGTTTCTGAGAATGATTCTGTCTAGTTTTTATTTGAAGATATTTCCTTTTCTACTGTTGGCATCAAATCGCTTGAAATCTCCACTTGCAAACTCCACAAAAAGAGTGTTTCAAATCTGCTCTGTGCAAAGGGACGTTCCACTCTGTGAGTTGAATACACACAGCACAAAGAAGTTACTGAGAATTCTTCTGTCTAGCATGAAATGAAGAAATCCCGTTTCCAACGAAGGCCTCAATGCGGTCCATATATCCACTTGCAGACTTTACAAACAGAGTGTTTCCAAACTGCTCTATGAAAAGAAAGGTTAAACTATGTGAGTTGAACGCACACATCACAAAGAATTTTCTGAGAATGATTCTGTCTGGTTTTTATTTGAAGATATTTCCCTTTCTACTGTTGGCATCAAATGGCTAGAAATCTCCACTTGCAAATTCCGCAAAAAGAGTGTTTCAAATCTGCTCTGTCTAAAGGGACGTTCCACTCTGTGAGTTGAATGCACACAACACAAAGAATTTACTGAGAATTCTTCCGTCTAGCATTCAATGAAGAAATCCCGTTTCCAACGAAGGCCTCAAACAGGTCCATATATCCAATTGCAGACTTTACAAACAGTGTGTTTCCAAACTCCTCTATGAAAAGAAAGATTAAACTCTGTGAGTTGAACGCACACATCACAAAGCACTTTCTGAGAATGATTCTGTCTGGTTGTTATACGAAGATATTTCCTTTTCTGCAATTGTCCTCAAATCGCTTGAAATCTCCACCTGAAAATGCCACAGCAAGAGTGTTTCAAATCTGCTCTCTCTAAAGCAAGGTTCAACTCTGTGAGTTGAATACACACAACACAAAAAAGTTACTGAGAACTCTTCTTAGTCTAGCATTAAAGGAAGAAACCCCGTTTGCAACGAAGGCCTCAAAGAGGTCCAAATATCCACTTGCAGACATAACAAGCAGAGTGTTTCTAAACTGCTCTAAGAAAAGAAAGGTTAAACTCTGTGAGTTGAAGGCACACATCACAAAGTAGTTTCTGAGAATGATCTGTCTAGTTTTTATTTGAAGATATTTCCTTTTCTACTGTTGGCATCAAATCGCTTGAAATCTCCACTTGCAAATTCCACAAAAAGTGTGTTTCAAAACTGCTCTGTGCAAAGGGACGTTCTACTCTGTGAGTTGAATACACACAGCACAAAGAAGTTACTCAGAATTCTTCTGTCTAGCATGAAATGAAGAAATCCCGTTTCCAACGAAGGCCTCAATGCGGTCCATATATCCACTTGCAGACTTTACAAACAGAGTGTTTCCAAACTGCTCTATGAAAAGAAAGGTTAAACTATGTGAGTTGAACGCACACATCACAAAGAATTTTCTGAGAATGATTCTGTCTGGTTTTTATTTGAAGATATTTCCCTTTCTACTGTTGGCATCAAATGGCTAGAAATCTCCACTTGCAAATTCCGCAAAAAGAGTGTTTCAAATCTGCTCTGTCTAAAGGGACGTTCCACTCTGTGAGTTGAATGCACACAACACAAAGAATTTACTGAGAATTCTTCCGTCTAGCATTCAATGAAGAAATCCCGTTTCCAACGAAGGCCTCAAACAGGTCCATATATCCACTTGCAGACTTTACAAACAGTGTGTTTCCAAACTCCTCTATGAAAAGAAAGGTTAAACTCTGTGAGTGGAACGCACACATCACAAAACACTTTCTGAGAATGATTCTGTCTGGTTATTATACGAAGATATTTCCTTTTCTGCAATTGTCCTCAAATCGCTTGAAATCTCCACCTGAAAATGCCACAGCAAGAGTGTTTCAAATCTGCTCTCTCTAAAGCAAGGTTCAACTCTGTGAGTTGAATACACACAACACAAAAAAGTTACTGAGAACTCTTCTTAGTCTAGCATGAAAGGAAGAAACCCCGTTTGCAACGAAGGCCTCAAAGAGGTCCAAATATCCACTTGCAGACATAACAAGCAGAGTGTTTCTAAACTGCTCTAAGAAAAGAAAGGTTAAACTCTGTGAGTTGAAGGCACACATCACAAAGTAGTTTCTGAGAATGATTCTGTCTAGTTTTTATTTGAAGATATTTCCTTTTCTACTGTTGGCATCAAATCGCTTGAAATCTCCACTTGCAAACTCCACAAAAAGAGTGTTTCAAATCTGCTCTGTGCAAAGGGACGTTCCACTCTGTGAGTTGAATACACACAGCACAAAGAAGTTACTGAGAATTCTTCTGTCTAGCATGAAATGAAGAAATCCCGTTTCCAACGAAGGCCTCAATGCGGTCCATATATCCACTTGCAGACTTTACAAACAGAGTGTTTCCAAACTGCTCTATGAAAAGAAAGGTTAAACTATGTGAGTTGAACGCACACATCACAAAGAATTTTCTGAGAATGATTCTGTCTGGTTTTTATTTGAAGATATTTCCCTTTCTACTGTTGGCATCAAATGGCTAGAAATCTCCACTTGCAAATTCCGCAAAAAGAGTGTTTCAAATCTGCTCTGTCTAAAGGGACGTTCCACTCTGTGAGTTGAATGCACACAACACAAAGAATTTACTGAGAATTCTTCCGTCTAGCATTCAATGAAGAAATCCCGTTTCCAACGAAGGCCTCAAACAGGTCCATATATCCACTTGCAGAGTTTACAAACAGTGTGTTTCCAAACTCCTCTATGAAAAGAAAGGTTAAACTCTGTGAGTGGAACGCACACATCACAAAGCACTTTCTGAGAATGATTCTGTCTGGTTGTTATACGAAGATATTTCCTTTTCTGCAATTGTCCTCAAATCGCTTGAAATCTCCACCTGAAAATGCCACAGCAAGAGTGTTTCAAATCTGTTCTCTCTAAAGCAAGGTTCAACTCTGTGAGTTGAATACACACAACACAAAAAAGTTACTGAGAACTCTTCTTAGTCTAGCATGAAAGGAAGAAACCCCGTTTGCAACGAAGGCCTCAAAGAGGTCCAAATATCCACTTGCAGACATAACAAGCAGAGTGTTTCTAAACTGCTCTAAGAAAAGAAAGGTTAAACTCTGTGAGTTGAAGGCACACATCACAAAGTAGTTTCTGAGAATGATTCTGTCTAGTTTTTATTTGAAGATATTTCCTTTTCTACTGTTGGCATCAAATCGCTTGAAATCTCCACTTGCAAAGTCCACAAAAAGAGTGTTTCAAATCTGCTCTGTGCAAAGGGACGTTCCACTCTGTGAGTTGAATACACACAGCACAAAGAAGTTACTGAGAATTCTTCTGTCTAGCATGAAATGAAGAAATCTCGTTTCCAACGAAGGCCTCAATGCGGTCCATATATCCACTTGCAGACTTTACAAACAGAGTGTTTCCAAACTGCTCTATGAAAAGAAAGGTTAAACTATGTGAGTTGAACGCACACATCACAAAGAATTTTCTGAGAATGATTCTGTCTGGTTTTTATTTGAAGATATTTCCCTTTCTACTGTTGGCATCAAATGGCTAGAAATCTCCACTTGCAAATTCCGCAAAAAGAGTGTTTCAAATCTGCTCTGTCTAAAGGGACGTTCCACTCTGTGAGTTGAATGCACACAACACAAAGAATTTACTGAGAATTCTTCCGTCTAGCAGTCAATGAAGAAATCCCGTTTCCAACGAAGGCCTCAAACAGGTCCATATATCCACTTGCAGACTTTACAAACAGTGTGTTTCCAAACTCCTCTATGAAAACAAAGGTTAAACTCTGTGAGTTGAACGCACACATCACAAAGCACTTTCTGAGAATGATTCTGTCTGGTTGTTATACGAAGATATTTCCTTTTCTGCAATTGTCCTCAAATCGCTTGAAATCTCCACCTGAAAATGCCACAGCAAGAGTGTTTCAAATCTGCTCTCTCTAAAGCAAGGTTCAACTCTGTGAGTTGAATACACACAACACAAAAAAGTTACTGAGAACTCTTCTTAGTCTAGCGTGAAAGGAAGAAACCCCGTTTGCAACGAAGGCCTCAAAGAGGTCCAAATATCCACTTGCAGACATAACAAGGAGAGTGTTTCTAAACTGCTCTAAGAAAAGAAAGGTTAAACTCTGTGAGTTGAAGGCACACATCACAAAGTAGTTTCTGAGAATGATTCTGTCTAGTTTTTATTTGAAGATATTTCCTTTTCTACTGTTGGCATCAAATCGCTTGAAATCTCCACTTGCAAACTCCACAAAAAGAGTGTTTCAAATCTGCTCTGTGCAAAGGGATGTTCCACTCTGTGAGTTGAATACACACAGCACAAAGAAGTTACTGAGAATTCTTCTGTCTAGTATGAAATGAAGAAATCCCGTTTCCAACGAAGGCCTCAATGCGGTCCATATATCCACTTGCAGACTTTACAAACAGAGTGTTTCCAAACTGCTCCATGAAAAGAAAGGTTAAACTATGTGAGTTGAACGCACACATCACAAAGAATTTTCTGAGAATGATTCTGTCTGGTTTTTATTTGAAGATATTTCCCTTTCTACTGTTGGCATCAAATGGCTAGAAATCTCCACTTGCAAATTCCGCAAAAAGAGTGTTTCAAATCTGCTCTGACTAAAGGGACGTTCCACTCTGTGAGTTGAATGCACACAACACAAAGAATTTACTGAGAATTCTTCCGTCTAGCATTCAATGAAGAAATCCCGTTTCCAACGAAGGCCTCAAACAGGTCCATATATCCAATTGCAGACTTTACAAACAGTGTGTTTCCAAACTCCTCTATGAAAAGAAAGGTTAAACTCTGTGAGTTGAACGCACACATCACAAAGCACTTTCTGAGAATGATTCTGTCTGTTTATTATACGAAGATATTTCCTTTTCTGCAATTGTCCTCAAATCGCTTGAAATCTCCACCTGAAAATGCCACAGCAAGAGTGTTTCAAATCTGCTCTCTCTAAAGCAAGGTTCAACTCTGTGAGTTGAATACACACAACACAAAAAAGTTACTGAGAACTCTTCTTAGTCTAGCATTAAATGAAGAAACCCCGTTTGCAACGAAGGCCTCAAAGAAGTCCAAATATCCACTTGCAGACATAACAAGCAGAGTGTTTCTAAACTGCTCTAAGAAAAGAAAGGTTAAACTCTGTGAGTTGAAGGCACACATCACAAAGTAGTTTCTGAGAATGATTCTGTCTAGTTTTTATTTGAAGATATTTCCTTTTCTACTGTTGGCATCAAATCGCTTGAAATCTCCACTTGCAAACTCCACAAAAAGAGTGTTTCAAATCTGCTCTGTGTAAAGGGACGTTCCACTCTGTGAGTTGAATACACACAGCACAAAGAAGTTACTGAGAATTCTTCTGTCTAGCATGAAATGAAGAAATCCCGTTTCCAACGAAGGGCCTCAATGCGGTCCATATATCCACTTGCAGACTTTACAAACAGAGTGTTTCCAAACTGCTCTATGAAAAGAAAGGTTAAACTATGTGAGTTGAACGCACACATCACAAAGAATTTTCTGAGAATGATTCTGCCTGGTTTTTATTTGAAGATATTTCCCTTTCTACTGTTGGCATCAAATGGCTAGAAATCTCCACTTGCAAATTCCGCAAAAAGAGTGTTTCAAATCTGCTCTGTCTAAAGGGACGTTCCACTCTGTCAGTTGAATGCACACAACACAAAGAATTTACTGAGAATTCTTCCGTCTAGCATTCAATGAAGAAATCCCGTTTCCAACGAAGGCCTCAAACAGGTCCATATATCCACTTGCAGACTTTACAAACAGTGTGTTTCCAAACTCCTCTATGAAAAGAAAGGTTAAACTCTGTGAGTGGAACGCACACATCACAAAGCACTTTCTGAGAATGATTCTGTCTGGTTATTATACGAAGATAATTCCTTTTCTGCAATTGTCCTCAAAACGATTGAAATCTCCACCTGAAAATGCCACAGCAAGAGTGTTTCAAATCTGCTCTCTCTAAAGCAAGGTTCAACTCTGTGAGTTGAATACACACAACACAGAAAAGTTACTGAGAACTCTTCTTAGTGTAGCATGAAAGGAAGAAACCCCGTTTGCAACGAAGGCCTCAAAGAGGTGCAAATATCCACTTGCAGACATAACAAGCAGAGTGTTTCTAAACTGCTCTAAGAAAAGAAAGGTTAAACTCTGTGAGTTGAAGGCACACATCACAAAGTAGTTTCTGAGAATGATTCTGTCTAGTTTTTATTTGAAGATATTTCCTTTTCTACTGTTGGCATCAAATCGCTTGAAATCTCCACTTGCAAACTCCACAAAAAGAGTGTTTCAAATCTGCTCTGTGCAAAGGGACGTTCCACTCTGTGAGTTGAATACACACAGCACAAAGAAGTTACTGAGAATTCTTCTGTCTAGCATGAAATGAAGAAATCCCGTTTCCAACGAAGGCCTCAATGCGGTCCATAGATCCACTTGCAGACTTTACAAACAGAGTGTTTCCAAACTGCTCTATGAAAAGAAAGGTTAAACTATGTGAGTTGAACGCACACATCACAAAGAATTTTCTGAGAATGATTCTGCCTGGTTTTTATTTGAAGTATATTTCCCTTTCTACTGTTGGCATCAAATGGCTAGAAATCTCCACTTGCAAATTCCGCAAAAAGAGTGTTTCAAATCTGCTCTGTCTAAAGGGACGTTCCACTCTGTGAGTTGAATGCACACAACACAAAGAATTTACTGAGAATTCTTCCGTCTAGCATTCAATGAAGAAATCCCGTTTCCAACGAAGGCCTCAAACAGGTCCATATATCCAATTGCAGACTTTACAAACAGTGTGTTTCCAAACTCCTCTATGAAAAGAAAGGTTAAACTATGTGAGTTGAACGCACACATCACAAAGAATTTTCTGAGAATGATTCTGTCTGGTTTTTATTTGAAGATATTTCCCTTTCTACTGTTGGCATCAAATGGCTAGAAATCTCCACTTGCAAATTCCGCAAAAAGAGTGTTTCAAATCTGCTCTGTCTAAAGGGACGTTCCACTCTGTGAGTTGAATGCACACAACACAAAGAATTTACTGAGAATTCTTCCGTCTAGCATTCAATGAAGAAATCCCGCTTCCAACGAAGGCCTCAAACAGGTCCATATATCCACTTGCAGACTTTACAAACAGTGTGTTTCCAAACTCCTCTATGAAAAGAAAGGTTAAACTCTGTGAGTTGAACGCACACATCACAAAGCACTTTCTGAGAATGATTCTGTCTGGTTATTATACGAAGATATTTCCTTTTCTGCAATTGTCCTCAAATCGCTTGAAATCTCCACCTGAAAATGCCACAGCGAGAGTGTTTCAAATCTGCTCTCTCTAAAGCAAGGTTCAACTCTGTGAGTTGAATACACACAACACAAAAAAGTTACTGAGAACTCTTCTTAGTCTAGCATGAAAGGAAGAAACCCCGTTTGCAACGAAGGCCTCAAAGAGGTCCAAATATCCACTTGCAGACATAACAAGCAGAGTGTTTCTAAACTGCTCTAAGAAAAGAAAGGTTAAACTCTGTGAGTTGAAGGCACACATCACAAAGTAGTTTCTGAGAATGATTCTGTCTAGTTTTTATTTGAAGATATTTCCTTTTCTACTGTTGGCATCAAATCGCTTGAAATCTCCACTTGCAAACTCCACAAAAAGAGTGTTTCAAATCTGCTCTGTGTAAAGGGACGTTCCACTCTGTGAGTTGAATACACACAGCACAAAGAAGTTACTGAGAATTCTTCTGTCTAGCATGAAATGAAGAAATCCCGTTTCCAACGAAGGCCTCAATGCGGTCCATATATCCACTTGCAGACTTTACAAACAGAGTGTTTCCAAACTGCTCTATGAAAAGAAAGTTTAAACTATGTGAGTTGAACGCACACATCACAAAGAATTTTCTGAGAATTATTCTGTCTGGTTTTTATTTGAAGATATTTCCCTTTCTACTGTTGGCATCAAATGGCTAGAAATCTCCACTTGCAAATTCCGCAAAAAGAGTGTTTCAAATCTGCTCTGTCTAAAGGGACGTTCCACTCTGTGAGTTGAATGCACACAACACAAAGAATTTACTGAGAATTCTTCCGTCTAGCATTCAATGAAGAAATCCCGTTTCCAACGAAGGCCTCAAACAGGTCCATATATCCACTTGCAGACTTTACAAACAGTGTGTTTCCAAACTCCTCTATGAAAAGAAAGGTTAAACTCTGTGAGTTGAACGCACACATCACAAAGCACTTTCTGAGAATGATTCTGTCTGGTTATTATACGAAGATATTTCCTTTTCTGCAATTGTCCTCAAATCGCTTGAAATCTCCACCTGAAAATGCCACAGCAAGAGTGTTTCAAATCTGCTCTCTCTAAAGCAAGGTTCAACTCTGTGAGTTGAATACACACAACACAAAAAAGTTACTGAGAACTCTTCTTAGTCTAGCATGAAAGGAAGAAACCCCGTTTGCAACGAAGGCCTCAAAGAGGTCCAAATATCCACTTGCAGACATAACAAGCAGAGTGTTTCTAAACTGCTCTAAGAAAAGAAAGGTTAAACTCTGTGAGTTGAAGGCACACATCACAAAGTAGTTTCTGAGAATGATTCTGTCTAGTTTTTATTTGAAGATATTTCCTTTTCTACTGTTGGCATCAAATCGCTTGAAATCTCCACTTGCAAACTCCACAAAAAGAGTGTTTCAAATCTGCTCTGTGTAAAGGGACGTTCCACTCTGTGAGTTGAATACACACAGCACAAAGAAGTTACTGAGAATTCTTCTGTCTAGCATGAAATGAAGAAATCCCGTTTCCAACGAAGGCCTCAATGCGGTCCATAGATCCACTTGCAGACTTTACAAACAGAGTGTTTCCAAACTGCTCTATGAAAAGAAAGGTTAAACTATGTGAGTTGAACGCACACATCACAAAGAATTTTCTGAGAATGATTCTGTCTGGTTTTTATTTGAAGATATTTCCCTTTCTACTGTTGGCATCAAATGGCTAGAAATCTCCACTTGCAAATTCCGCAAAAAGGGTGTTTCAAATCTGCTCTGTCTAAAGGGACGTTCCACTCTGTGAGTTGAATGCACACAACACAAAGAATTTACTGAGAATTCTTCTGTCTAGCATTCAATGAAGAAATCCCGTTTCCAACGAAGGCCTCAAACAGGTCCATATATCCAATTGCAGACTTTACAAACAGTGTGTTTCCAAACTCCTCTATGAAAAGAAAGGTTAAACTCTGTGAGTTGAACGCACACATCACAAAGCACTTTCTGAGAATGATTCTGTCTGGTTATTATACGAAGATATTTCCTTTTCTGCAATTGTCCTCAAATCGCTTGAAATCTCCACCTGAAAATGCCACAGCAAGAGTGTTTCAAATCTGCTCTCTCTAAAGCAAGGTTCAACTCTGTGAGTTGAATACACACAACACAAAAAAGTTACTGAGAACTCTTCTTAGTCTAGCATTAAAGGAAGAAACCCCGTTTGCAACGAAGGCCTCAAAGAGGTCCAAATATCCACTTGCAGACATAACAAGCAGAGTGTTTCTAAACTGCTCTAAGAAAAGAATGGTTAAACTCTGTGAGTTGAAGGTACACATCACAAAGTAGTTTCTGAGAATGATTCTGTCTAGTTTTTATTTGAAGATATTTCCTTTTCTACTGTTGGCATCAAATCGCTTGAAATCTCCACTTGCAAATTCCACAAAAAGAGTGTTTCAAATCTGCTCTGTGCAAAGGGACGTTCCACTCTGTGAGTTGAATACACACAGCACAAAGAAGTTACTGAGAATTCTTCTGTCTAGCATGAAATGAAGAAATCCCGTTTCCAACGAAGGCCTCAATGCGGTCCATATATCCACTTGCAGACTTTACAAACAGAGTGTTTCCAAACTGCTCTATGAAAAGAAAGGTTAAACTATGTGAGTTGAACGCACACATCACAAAGAATTTTCTGAGAATGATTCTGTCTGGTTTTTATTTGAAGATATTTCCCTTTCTACTGTTGGCATCAAATGGCTAGAAATCTCCACTTGCAAATTCCGCAAAAAGAGTGTTTCAAATCTGCTATGTCTAAAGGGACGTTCCACTCTGTGAGTTGAATGCACACAACACAAAGAATTTACTGAGAATTCTTCCGTCTAGCATTCAATGAAGAAATCCCGTTTCCAACGAAGGCCTCAAACAGGTCCATATATCCACTTGCAGACTTTACAAACAGTGTGTTTCCAAACTCCTCTATGAAAAGAAAGGTTAAACTCTGTGAGTTGAACGCACACATCACAAAGCACTTTCTGAGAATGATTCTGTCTGGTTATTATACGAAGATATTTCCTTTTCTGCAATTGTCCTCAAATCGCTTGAAATCTCCACCTGAAAATGCCACAGCAAGAGTGTTTCAAATCTGCTCTCTCTAAAGCAAGGTTCAACTCTGTGAGTTGAATACACACAACACAAAAAAGTTACTGAGAACTCTTCTTAGTCTAGCATGAAAGGAAGAAACCCCGTTTGCAACGAAGGCCTCAAAGAGGTCCAAATATCCACTTGCAGACATAACAAGCAGAGTGTTTCTAAACTGCTCTAAGAAAAGAAAGGTTAAACTCTGTGAGTTGAAGGCAGACATCACAAAGTAGTTTCTGAGAATGATTCTGTCTAGTTTTTATTTGAAGATATTTCCTTTTCTACTGTTGGCATCAAATCGCTTGAAATCTCCACTTGCAAACTCCACAAAAAGAGTGTTTCAAATCTGCTCTGTGCAAAGGGACGTTCCACTCTGTGAGTTGAGTACACACAGCACAAAGAAGTTACTGAGAATTCTTCTGTCTAGCATGAAATGAAGAAATCCCGTTTCCAACGAAGGCCTCAATGCGGTCCATATATCCACTTGCAGACTTTACAAACAGAGTGTTTCCAAACTGCTCTATGAAAAGAAAGGTAAAACTATGTGAGTTGAACGCACACATCACAAAGAATTTTCTGAGAATGATTCTGTCTGGTTTTTATTTGAAGATATTTCCCTTTCTACTGTTGGCATCAAATGGCTAGAAATCTCCACTTGCAAATTCCGCAAAAAGAGTGTTTCAAATCTGCTCTGTCTAAAGGGACGTTCCACTCTGTGAGTTGAATGCACACAACACAAAGAATTTACTGAGAATTCTTCCGTCTAGCATTCAATGAAGAAATCCCGTTTCCAACGAAGGCCTCAAACAGGTCCATATATCCACTTGCAGAGTTTACAAACAGTGTGTTTCCAAACTCCTCTATGAAAAGAAAGGTTAAACTCTGTGAGTGGAACGCACACATCACAAAGCACTTTGCTGAGAATGATTCTGTCTGGTTATTATACGAAGATATTTCCTTTTCTGCAATTGTCCTCAAATCGCTTGAAATCTCCACCTGAAAATGCCACAGCAAGAGTGTTTCAAATCTGCTCTCTCTAAAGCAAGGTTCAACTCTGTGAGTTGAATACACACAACACAAAAAAGTTACTGAGAACTCTTCTTAGTCTAGCATGAAAGGAAGAAACCCCGTTTGCAACGAAGGCCTCAAAGAGGTCCAAATATCCACTTGCAGACATAACAAGCAGAGTGTTTCTAAACTGCTCTAAGAAAAGAAAGGTTAAACTCTGTGAGTTGAAGGCACACATCACAAAGTAGTTTCTGAGAATGATTCTGTCTAGTTTTTATTTGAAGATATTTCCTTTTCTACTGTTGGCATCAAATCGCTTGAAATCTCCACTTGCAAATTCCACAAAAAGAGTGTTTCAAATCTGCTCTGTGTAAAGGGACGTTCCACTCTGTGAGTTGAATACACACAGCACAAAGAAGTTACTGAGAATTCTTCTGTCTAGCATGAAATGAAGAAATCCCGTTTCCAACGAAGGCCTCAATGCGGTCCATAGATCCACTTGCAGACTTTACAAACAGAGTGTTTCCAAACTGCTCTATGAAAAGAAAGGTTAAACTATGTGAGTTGAACGCACACATCACAAAGAATTTTCTGAGAATGATTCTGTCTGGTTTTTATTTGAAGATATTTCCCTTTCTACTGTTGGCATCAAATGGCTAGAAATCTCCACTTGCAAATTCCGCAAAAAGAGTGTTTCAAATCTGCTCCGTCTAAAGGGACGTTCCACTCTGTCAGTTGAATGCACACAACACAAAGAATTTACTGAGAATTCTTCCGTCTAGCATTCAATGAAGAAATCCCGTTTCCAACGAAGGCCTCAAACAGGTCCATATATCCAATTGCAGACTTTACAAACAGTGTGTTTCCAAACTCCTCTATGAAAAGAAAGGTTAAACTCTGTGAGTTGAACGCACACATCACAAAGCACTTTCTGAGAATGATTCTGTCTGGTTATTATACGAAGATATTTCCTTTTCTGCAATTGTCCTCAAATCGCTTGAAATCTCCACCTGAAAATGCCACAGCAAGAGTGTTTCAAATCTGCTCTCTCTAAAGCAAGGTTCAACTCTGTGAGTTGAATACACACAACACAAAAAAGTTACTGAGAACTCTTCTTAGTCTAGCATGAAAGGAAGAAACCCCGTTTGCAACGAAGGCCTCAAAGAGGTCCAAATATCCACTTGCAGACATAACAAGCAGAGTGTTTCTAAACTGCTCTAAGAAAAGAAAGGTTAAACTCTGTGAGTTGAAGGCACACATCACAAAGTAGTTTCTGAGAATGATTCTGTCTAGTTTTTATTTGAAGATATTTCCTTTTCTACTGTTGGCATCAAATCGCTTGAAATCTCCACTTGCAAATTCCACAAAAAGAGTGTTTCAAATCTGCTCTGTGTAAAGGAACGTTCCACTCTGTGAGTTGAATACACACAGCACAAAGAAGTTACTGAGAATTCTTCTGTCTAGCATGAAATGAAGAAATCCCGTTTCCAACGAAGGCCTCAATGCGGTCCATATATCCACTTGCAGACTTTACAAACAGAGTGTTTCCAAACTGCTCTATGAAAAGAAAGGTTAAACTATGTGAGTTGAACGCACACATCACAAAGAATTTTCTGAGAATGATTCTGTCTGGTTTTTATTTGAAGATATTTCCCTTTCTACTGTTGGCATCAAATGGCTAGAAATCTCCACTTGCAAATTCCGCAAAAAGAGAGTTTCAAATCTGCTCTGTCTAAAGGGACGTTCCACTCTGTGAGTTGAATGCACACAACACAAAGAATTTAAAAGAGAATTCTTCCGTCTAGCATTCAATGAAGAAATCCCGTTTCCAACGAAGGCCTCAAACAGGTCCATAAATCCAATTGCAGACATTACAAACAGTGTGTTTCCAAACTCCTCTATGAAAAGAAAGGTTAAACTCTGTGAGTTGAACGCACACATCACAAAGCACTTTCTGAGAATGATTCTGTCTGGTTATTATACGAAGATATTTCCTTTTCTGCAATTGTCCTCAAATCGCTTGAAATCTCCACCTGAAAATTCCACAGCGAGAGTGTTTCAAATCTGCTCTCTCTAAAGCAAGGTTCAACTCTGTGAGTTGAATACACACAACACAAAAAAGTTACTGAGAACTCTTCTTAGTCTAGCATTAAAGGAAGAAACCCCGTTTGCAACGAAGGCCTCAAAGAGGTCCAAATATCCACTTGCAGACATAACAAGCAGAGTGTTTCTAAACTGCTCTAAGAAAAGAAAGGTTAAACTCTGTGAGTTGAAGGCACACATCACAAAGTAGTTTCTGAGAATGATTCTGTCTAGTTTTTATTTGAAGATATTTCCTTTTCTACTGTTGGCCTCAAATCGCTTGAAATCTCCACTTGTAAACTCCACAAAAAGAGTGTTTCAAATCTGCTCTGTGCAAAGGGACGTTCCACTCTGTGAGTTGAATACACACAGCACAAAGAAGTTACTGAGAATTCTTCTGTCTAGCATGAAATGAAGAAATCCCGTTTCCAACGAAGGCCTCAATGCGGTCCATAGATCCACTTGCAGACTTTACAAACAGAGTGTTTCCAAACTGCTCTATGAAAAGAAAGGTTAAACTATGTGAGTTGAACGCACACATCACAAAGAATTTTCTGAGAATGATTCTGTCTGGTTTTTATTTGAAGATATTTCCCTTTCTACTGTTGGCATCAAATGGCTAGAAATCTCCACTTGCAAATTCCGCAAAAAGAGTGTTTCAATTCTGCTCTGTCTAAAGGGACGTTCCACTCTGTGAGTTGAATGCACACAACACAAAGAATTTACTGAGAATTCTTCCGTCTAGCATTCAATGAAGAAATCCCGTTTCCAACGAAGGCCTCAAACAGGTCCATATATCCAATTGCAGACTTTACAAACAGTGTGTTTCCAAACTCCTCTATGAAAAGAAAGGTTAAACTCTGTGAGTTGAACGCACACATCACAAAGCACTTTCTGAGAATGATTCTGTCTGGTTGTTATACGAAGATATTTCCTTTTCTGCAATTGTCCTCAAATCGCTTGAAATCTCCACCTGAAAATGCCACAGCAAGAGTGTTTCAAATCTGCTCTCTCTAAAGCAAGGTTCAACTCTGTGAGTTGAATACACACAACACAATAAAGTTACTGAGAACTCTTCTTAGTCTAGCATTAAAGGAAGAAACCCCGTTTGCAACGAAGGCCTCAAAGAGGTCCAAATATCCACTTGCAGACATAACAAGCAGAGTGTTTCTAAACTGCTCTAAGAAAAGAAAGGTTAAACTCTGTGAGTTGAAGGCACACATCACAAAGTAGTTTCTGAGAATGATTCTGTCTAGTTTTTATTTGAAGATATTTCCTTTTCTACTGTTGGCATCAAATCGCTTGAAATCTCCACTTGCAAATTCCACAAAAAGTGTGTTTCAAATCTGCTCTGTGCAAAGGGACGTTCTACTCTGTGAGTTGAATACACACAGCACAAAGAAGTTACTCAGAATTCTTCTGTCTAGCATGAAATGAAGAAATCCCGTTTCCAACGAAGGCCTCAATGCGGTCCATATATCCACTTGCAGACTTTACAAACAGAGTGTTTCCAAACTGCTCTATGAAAAGAAAGGTTAAACTATGTGAGTTGAACGCACACATCACAAAGAATTTTCTGAGAATGATTCTGTCTGGTTTTTATTTGAAGATATTTCCCTTTCTACTTTTGGCATCAAATGGCTAGAAATCTCCACTTGCAAATTCCGCAAAAAGAGTGTTTCAAATCTGCTCTGTCTAAAGGGACTGCTCCACTCTGTCAGTTGAATGCACACAACACAAAGAATTTACTGAGACTTCTCCTCCGTCTAGCATTCAATGAAGAAAACCCGTTTCCAACGAAGGCCTCAAACAGGTCCATATATCCACTTGCAGAGTTTACAAACAGTGTGTTTCCAAACTCCTCTATGAAAAGAAAGGTTAAACTCTGTGAGTGGAACGCACACATCACAAAGCACTTTCTGAGAATGATTCTGTCTGGTTATTATACGAAGATATTTCCTTTTCTGCAATTGTCCTCAAATCGCTTGAAATCTCCACCTGAAAATGCCACAGCAAGAGTGTTTCAAATCTGCTCTCTCTAAAGCAAGGTTCAACTCTGTGAGTTGAATACACACAACACAAAAAAGTTACTGAGAACTCTTCTTAGTCTAGCATGAAAGGAAGAAACCCCGTTTGCAACGAAGGCCTCAAAGAGGTCCAAATATCCACTTGCAGACATAACAAGCAGAGTGTTTCTAAACTGCTCTAAGAAAAGAAAGGTTAAACTCTGTGAGTTGAAGGCACACATCACAAAGTAGTTTCTGAGAATGATTCTGTCTAGTTTTTATTTGAAGATATTTCCTTTTCTACTGTTGGCATCAAATCGCTTGAAATCTCCACTTGCAAACTCCACAAAAAGGGTGTTTCAAATCTGCTCTGTGTAAAGGGACGTTCCACTCTGTGAGTTGAATACACACAGCACAAAGAAGTTACTGAGAATTCTTCTGTCTAGCATGAAATGAAGAAATCCCGTTTCCAACGAAGGCCTCAATGCGGTCCATATATCCACTTGCAGACTTTACAAACAGAGTGTTTCCAAACTGCTCTATGAAAAGAAAGGTTAAACTATGTGAGTTGAACGCACACATCACAAAGAATTTTCTGAGAATGATTCTGTCTGGTTTTTATTTGAAGATATTTCCCTTTCTACTGTTGGCATCAAATGGCTAGAAATCTCCACTTGCAAATTCCGCAAAAAGAGTGTTTCAAATCTGCTCTGTCTAAAGGGACGTTCCACTCTGTGAGTTGAATGCACACAACACAAAGAATTTACTGAGAATTCTTCCGTCTAGCAGTCAATGAAGAAATCCCGTTTCCAACGAAGGCCTCAAACAGGTCCATATATCCAATTGCAGACTTTACAAACAGTGTGTTTCCAAACTCCTCTATGAAAAGAAAGGTTAAACTCTGTGAGTTGAACGCACACATCACAAAGCACTTTCTGAGAATGATTCTGTCTGGTTGTTATACGAAGATATTTCCTTTTCTGCAATTGTCCTCAAATCGCTTGAAATCTCCACCTGAAAATGCCACAGCAAGAGTGTTTCAAATCTGCTCTCTCTAAAGCAAGGTTCAACTCTGTGAGTTGAATACACACAACACAAAAAAGTTACTGAGAACTCTTCTTAGTCTAGCATGAAAGGAAGAAACCCCGTTTGCAACGAAGGCCTCAAAGAGGTCCAAATATCCACTTGCAGACATAACAAGCAGAGTGTTTCTAAACTGCTCTAAGAAAAGAAAGGTTAAACTCTGTGAGTTGAAGGCACACATCACAAAGTAGTTTCTGAGAATGATTCTGTCTAGTTTTTATTTGAAGATATTTCCTTTTCTACTGTTGGCATCAAATCGCTTGAAATCTCCACTTGCAAACTCCACAAAAAGAGTGTTTCAAATCTGCTCTGTGCAAAGGGACGTTCCACTCTGTGAGTTGAATACACACAGCACAAAGAAGTTACTGAGAATTCTTCTGTCTAGCATGAAATGAAGAAATCCCGTTTCCAACGAAGGCCTCAATGCGGTCCATATATCCACTTGCAGACTTTACAAACAGAGTGTTTCCAAACTGCTCTATGAAAAGAAAGGTTAAACTATGTGAGTTGAACGCACACATCACAAAGAATTTTCTGAGAATGATTCTGTCTGGTTTTTATTTGAAGATATTTCCCTTTCTACTGTTGGCATCAAATGGCTAGAAATCTCCACTTGCAAATTCCGCAAAAAGAGTGTTTCAAATCTGCTCTGTCTAAAGGGACGTTCCACTCTGTGAGTTGAATGCACACAACACAAAGAATTTACTGAGAATTCTTCCGTCTAGCATTCAATGAAGAAATCCCGTTTCCAACGAAGGCCTCAAACAGGTCCATATATCCAATTGCAGACTTTACAAACAGTGTGTTTCCAAACTCCTCTATGAAAAGAAAGGTTAAACTCTGTGAGTTGAACGCACACATCACAAAGCACTTTCTGAGAATGATTCTGTCTGGTTATTATACGAAGATATTTCCTTTTCTGCAATTGTCCTCAAATCGCTTGAAATCTCCACCTGAAAATGCCACAGCAAGAGTGTTTCAAATCTGCTCTCTCTAAAGCAAGGTTCAACTCTGTGAGTTGAATACACACAACACAAAAAAGTTACTGAGAACTCTTCTTAGTCTAGCATGAAAGGAAGAAACCCCGTTTGCAACGAAGGCCTCAAAGAGGTCCAAATATCCACTTGCAGACATAACAAGCAGAGTGTTTCTAAACTGCTCTAAGAAAAGAAAGGTTAAACTCTGTGAGTTGAAGGCACACATCACAAAGTAGTTTCTGAGAATGATTCTGTCTAGTTTTTATTTGAAGATATTTCCTTTTCTACTGTTGGCATCAAATCGCTTGAAATCTCCACTTGCAAACTCCACAAAAAGAGTGTTTCAAATCTGCTCTGTGCAAAGGGACGTTCCACTCTGTGAGTTGAGTACACACAGCACAAAGAAGTTACTGAGAATTCTTCTGTCTAGCATGAAATGAAGAAATCCCGTTTCCAACGAAGGCCTCAATGCGGTCCATATATCCACTTGCAGACTTTACAAACAGAGTGTTTCCAAACTGCTCTATGAAAAGAAAGGTTAAACTATGTGAGTTGAACGCACACATCACAAAGAATTTTCTGAGAATGATTCTGTCTGGTTTTTATTTGAAGATATTTCCCTTTCAACTGTTGGCATCAAATGGCTAGAAATCTCCACTTGCAAATTCCGCAAAAAGAGTGTTTCAAATCTGCTCTGTCTAAAGGGACGGTTCCACTCTGTGAGTTGAATGCACACAACACAAAGAATTTACTGAGAATTCTTCCGTCTAGCATTCAATGTAGAAATCCCGTTTCCAACGAAGGCCTCAAACAGGTCCATATATCCAATTGCAGACTTTACAAACAGTGTGTTTCCAAACTCCTCTATGAAAAGAAAGGTTAAACTCTGTGAGTTGAACGCACACATCACAAAGCACTTTCTGAGAATGATTCTGTCTGGTTATTATACGAAGATATTTCCTTTTCTGCAATTGTCCTCAAATCGCTTGAAATCTCCACCTGAAAATGCCACAGCAAGAGTGTTTCAAATCTGCTCTCTCTAAAGCAAGGTTCAACTCTGTGAGTTGAATACACACAACACAAAAAAGTTACTGAGAAGTCTTCTTAGTCTAGCATTAAAGGAAGAAATCCCGTTTGCAACGAAGGCCTCAAAGAGGTCCAAATATCCACTTGCAGACATAAGAAGCAGAGTGTTTCTAAACTGCTCTAAGAAAAGAAAGGTTAAACTCTGTGAGTTGAACGCACACATCACAAAGCACTTTCTGAGAATGATTCTGTCTAGTTTTTATTTGAAGATATTTCCTTTTCTACTGTTGGCATCAAATCGCTTGAAATCTCCACTTGCAAATTCCACAAAAAGAGTGTTTCAAATCTGCTCTGTGCAAAGGGACGTTCCACTCTGTGAGTTGAATACACACAGCACAAAGAAGTTGCTGAGAATTCTTCTGTCTAGCATGAAATGAAGAAATCCCGTTTCCAACGAAGGCCTCATTGCGGTCCATATATCCACTTGCAGACTTTACAAACAGAGTGTTTCCAAACTGCTCTATGAAAAGAAAGGTTAAACTATGTGAGTTGAACGCACACATCACAAAGAATTTTCTGAGAATGATTCTGTCTGGTTTTTATTTGAAGATATTTCCCTTTCTACTGTTGGCATCAAATGGCTAGAAATCTCCACTTGCAAATTCCGCAAAAAGCGTGTTTCAAATCTGCTCTGTCTAAAGGGACGTTCCACTCTGTGAGTTGAATGCACACAATACAAAGAATTTACTGAGAATTCTTCGGTCTAGCATTCAATGAAGAAATCCCGTTTCCAACGAAGGCCTCAAACAGGTCCATATATCCACTTGCAGTCATTACAAACAGTGTGTTTCCAAACTCCTCTATGAAAAGAAAGGTTAAACTCTGTGAGTTGAACGCACACATCACAAAGCACTTTCTGAGAATGATTCTGTCTGGTTATT
The DNA here is from genome assembly GCF_000001405.40 of Homo sapiens. NCBI lineage: Eukaryota > Metazoa > Chordata > Mammalia > Primates > Hominidae > Homo > Homo sapiens. Next base: position 59,954,495 of record NC_000007.14, on the reverse strand, counting down.
ATACGAAGATATTTCCTTTTCTGCAATTGTCCTCAAATCGCTTGAAATCTCCACCTGAAAATGCCACAGCAAGAGTGTTTCAAATCTGCTCTCTCTAAAGCAAGGTTCAACTCTGTGAGTTGAATACACACAACACAAAAAAGTTACTGAGAACTCTTCTTAGTCTAGCATGAAAGGAAGAAACCCCGTTTGCAACGAAGGCCTCAAAGAGGTCCAAATATCCACTTGCAGACATAACAAGCAGAGTGTTTCTAAACTGCTCTAAGAAAAGAAAGGTTAAACTCTGTGAGTTGAAGGCACACATCACAAAGTAGTTTCTGAGAATGATTCTGTCTAGTTTTTATTTGAAGATATTTCCTTTTCTACTGTTGGCATCAAATCGCTTGAAATCTCCACTTGCAAATTCCACAAAAAGTGTGTTTCAAATCTGCTCTGTGCAAAGGGACGTTCCACTCTGTGAGTTGAATACACACAGCACAAAGAAGTTACTCAGAATTCTTCTGTCTAGCATGAAATGAAGAAATCCCGTTTCCAACGAAGGCCTCAATGCGGTCCATATATCCACTTGCAGACTTTACAAACAGAGTGTTTCCAAACTGCTCTATGAAAAGAAAGGTTAAACTATGTGAGTTGAACGCACACATCACAAAGAATTTTCTGAGAATGATTCTGTCTGGTTTTTATTTGAAGATGTTTCCCTTTCTACTGTTGGCATCAAATGGCTAGAAATCTCCACTTGCAAATTCCGCAAAAAGAGTGTTTCAAATCTGCTCTGTCTAAAGGGACGTTCCACTCTGTGAGTTGAATGCACACAACACAAAGAATTTACTGAGAATTCTTCCGTCTAGCATTCAATGAAGAAATCCCGTTTCCAACGAAGGCCTCAAACAGGTCCATATATCCACTTGCAGACTTTACAAACAGTGTGTTTCCAAACTCCTCTATGAAAAGAAAGGTTAAACTCTGTGAGTTGAACGCACACATCACAAAGCACTTTCTGAGAATGATTCTGTCTGGTTATTATACGAAGATATTTCCTTTTCTGCAATTGTCCTCAAATCGCTTGAAATCTCCACCTGAAAATGCCACAGCAAGAGTGTTTCAAATCTGCTCTCTCTAAAGCAAGGTTCAACTCTGTGAGTTGAATACACACAACACAAAAAAGTTACTGAGAACTCTTCTTAGTCTAGCATGAAAGGAAGAAACCCCGTTTGCAACGAAGGCCTCAAAGAGGTCCAAATATCCACTTGCAGACATAACAAGCAGAGTGTTTCTAAACTGCTCTAAGAAAAGAAAGGTTAAACTCTGTGAGTTGAAGGCAGACATCACAAAGTAGTTTCTGAGAATGATTCTGTCTAGTTTTTATTTGAAGATATTTCCTTTTCTACTGTTGGCATCAAATCGCTTGAAATCTCCACTTGCAAACTCCACAAAAAGAGTGTTTCAAATCTGCTCTGTGCAAAGGGACGTTCCACTACTGTGAGTTGAGTACACACAGCACAAAGAAGTTACTGAGAATTCTTCTGTCTAGCATGAAATGAAGAAATCCCGTTTCCAACGAAGGCCTCAATGCGGTCCATATATCCACTTGCAGACTTTACAAACAGAGTGTTTCCAAACTGCTCTATGAAAAGAAAGGTTAAACTATGTGAGTTGAACGCACACATCACAAAGAATTTTCTGAGAATGATTCTGTCTGGTTTTTATTTGAAGATATTTCCCTTTCTACTGTTGGCATCAAATGGCTAGAAATCTCCACTTGCAAATTCCGCAAAAAGAGTGTTTCAAATCTGCTCTGTCTAAAGGGACGTTCCACTCTGTCAGTTGAATGCACACAACACAAAGAATTTACTGAGAATTCTTCCGTCTAGCATGCAATGAAGAAATCCCGTTTCCAACGAAGGCCTCAAACAGGTCCATATATCCAATTGCAGACTTTACAAACAGTGTGTTTCCAAACTCCTCTATGAAAAGAAAGGTTAAACTCTGTGAGTTGAACGCACACATCACAAAGCACTTTCTGAGAATGATTCTTTCTGGTTATTATACGAAGATATTTCCTTTTCTGCAATTGTCCTCAAATCGCTTGAAATCTCCACCTGAAAATGTCACAGCAAGAGTGTTTCAAATCTGCTCTCTCTAAAGCAAGGTTCAACTCTGTGAGTTGAATACACACAACACAAAAAAGTTACTGAGAACTCTTCTTAGTCTAGCATGAAAGAAGAAACCCCGTTTGCAACGAAGGCCTCAAAGAGGTCCAAATATCCACTTGCAGACATAACAAGCAGAGTGTTTCTAAACTGCTCTAAGAAAAGAAAGGTTAAACTCTGTGAGTTGAAGGCACACATCACAAAGTAGTTTCTGAGAATGATTCTGTCTAGTTTTTATTTGAAGATATTTCCTTTTCTACTGTTGGCATCAAATCGCTTGAAATATCCACTTGCAAACTCCACAAAAAGAGTGTTTCAAATGTGCTCTGTGCAAAGGGACGTTCCACTATGTGAGTTGAATACACACAGCACAAAGAAGTTACTGAGAATTCTTCTGTCTAGCATGAAATGAAGAAATCCCGTTTCCAACGAAGGCCTCAATGCGGTCTATATATCCACTTGCAGACATCACAAACAGAGTGTTTCCAAACTGCTCTATGAAAAGAAAGGTTAAACTATGTGAGTTGAACGCACACATCACAAAGAATTTTCTGAGAATGATTCTGTCTGGTTTTTATTTGAAGATATTTCCCTTTCTACTGTTGGCATCAAATGGCTAGAAATCTCCACTTGCAAATTCCGCAAAAAGAGTGTTTCAAATCTGCTCTGTCTAAAGGGACGTTCCACTCTGTGAGTTGAATGCACACAACACAAAGAATTTACTGAGAATTCTTCCGTCTAGCATTCAATGAAGAAATCCCGTTTCCAACGAAGGCCTCAAACAGGTCCATATATCCACTTGCAGAGTTTACAAACAGTGTGTTTCCAAACTCCTCTATGAAAAGAAAGGTTAAACTCTGTGAGTGGAACGCACACATCACAAAGCACTTTCTGAGAATGATTCTGTCTGGTTATTATACGAAGATATTTCCTTTTCTGCAATTGTCCTCAAAACGCTTGAAATCTCCATCTGAAAATGCCACAGCAAGAGTGTTTCAAATCTCCTCTCTCTAAAGCAAGGTTCAACTCTGTGAGTTGAATACACACAACACAAAAAAGTTACTGAGAACTCTTCTTAGTCTAGCATTAAAGGAAGAAACCCCGTTTGCAACGAAGGCCTCAAAGAGGTCCAAATATCCACTTGCAGACATAACAAGCAGAGTGTTTCTAAACTGCTCTAAGAAAAGAAAGGTTAAACTCTGTGAGTTGAAGGCACACATCACAAAGTAGTTTCTGAGAATGATTCTGTCTAGTTTTTATTTGAAGATATTTCCTTTTCTACTGTTGGCATCAAATCGCTTGAAATCTCCACTTGCAAACTCCACAAAAAGAGTGTTTCAAATCTGCTCTGTTGAAAGGGACGTTCCACTCTGTGAGTTGAATACACACAGCACAAAGAAGTTACTGAGAATTCTTCTGTCTAGCATGAAATGAAGAAATCCCGTTTCCAACGAAGGCCTCAATGCGGTCCATATATCCACTTGCAGACTTTACAAACAGAGTGTTTCCAAACTGCTCTATGAAAAGAAAAGTTAAACTATGTGAGTTGAACGCACACATCACAAAGAATTTTCTGAGAATGATTCTGTCTGGTTTTTATTTGAAGATATTTCCCTTTCTACTGTTGGCATCAAATGGCTAGAAATCTCCACTTGCAAATTCCGCAAAAAGAGTGTTTCAAATCTGCTCTGTCTAAAGGGACGTTCCACTCTGTGAGTTGAATGCACACAACACAAAGAATTTACTGAGAATTCTTCCGTCTAGCATTCAATGAAGAAATCCCGTTTCCAACGAAGGCCTCAAACACGTCCATATATCCACTTGCAGACTTTACAAACAGTGTGTTTCCAAACTCCTCTATGAAAAGAAAGGTTAAACTCTGTGAGTTGAACGCACACATCACAAAGCACTTTCTGAGAATGATTCTTTCTGGTTATTATACGAAGATATTTCCTTTTCTGCAATTGTCCTCAAATCGCTTGAAATCTCCACCTGAAAATGTCACAGCAAGAGTGTTTCAAATCTGCTCTCTCTAAAGCAAGGTTCAACTCTGTGAGTTGAATACACACAACACAAAAAAGTTACTGAGAACTCTTCTTAGTCTAGCATGAAAGAAGAAACCCCGTTTGCAACGAAGGCCTCAAAGAGGTCCAAATATCCACTTGCAGACATAACAAGCAGAGTGTTTCTAAACTGCTCTAAGAAAAGAAAGGTTAAACTCTGTGAGTTGAAGGCACACATCACAAAGTAGTTTCTGAGAATGATTCTGTCTGGTTTTTATTTGAAGATATTTCCCTTTCTACTGTTGGCATCAAATGGCTAGAAATCTCCACTTGCAAATTCCACAAAAAGAGTGTTTCAAATCTGCTCTGTCTAAAGGGACGTTCCACTCTGTCAGTTGAATGCACACAACACAAAGAATTTACTGAGAATTCTTCCGTCTAGCATTCAATGAAGAAATCCCGTTTCCAACGAAGGCCTCAAACAGGTCCATATATCCAATTGCAGACTTTACAAACAGTGTGTTTCCACACTCATCTATGAAAAGAAAGGTTAAACTCTGTGAGTTGAACGCACACATCACAAAGCACTTTCTGAGAATGATTCTGTCTGGTTATTATACGAAGATATTTCCTTTTCTGCAATTGTCCTCAAATCGCTTGAAATCTCCACCTGAAAATTCCACAGCGAGAGTGTTTCAAATCTGCTCTCTCTAAAGCAAGGTTCAACTCTGTGAGTTGAATACACACAACACAGAAAAGTTACTGAGAACTCTTCTTAGTCTAGCATGAAAGGAAGAAACCCCGTTTGCAACGAAGGCCTCAAAGAGGTCCAAATATCCACTTGCAGACATAACAAGCAGAGTGTTTCTAAACTGCTCTAAGAAAAGAAAAGGTTAAACTCTGTGAGTTGAAGGCACACATCACAAAGTAGTTTCTGAGAATGATTCTGTCTAGTTTTTATTTGAAGATATTTCCTTTTCTACTGTTGGCATCAAATCGCTTGAAATCTCCACTTGCAAACTCCACAAAAAGAGTGTTTCAAATCTGCTCTGTGCAAAGGGACGTTCCACTCTGTGAGTTGAATACACACAGCACAAAGAAGTTACTGAGAATTCTTCTGTCTAGCATGAAATGAAGAAATCCCGTTTCCAACGAAGGCCTCAATGCGGTCCATATATCCACTTGCAGACTTTACAAACAGAGTGTTTCCAAACTGCTCTATGAAAAGAAAGGTTAAACTATGTGAGTTGAACGCACACATCACAAAGAATCTTCTGAGAATGATTCTGTCTGGTTTTTATTTGAAGATGTTTCCCTTTCTACTGTTGGCATCAAATGGCTAGAAATCTCCACTTGCAAATTCCGCAAAAAGAGTGTTTCAAATCTGCTCTGTCTAAAGGGACGTTCCACTCTGTCAGTTGAATGCACACAACACAAAGAATTTACTGAGAATTCTTCCGTCTAGCATTCAATGAAGAAATCCCGTTTCCAACGAAGGCCTCAAACAGGTCCATATATCCACTTGCAGACTTTACAAACAGAGTGTTTCCAAACTCCTCTATGAAAAGAAAGGTTAAACTATGTGAGTTGAACGCACACATCACAAAGAATTTTCTGAGAATGATTCTGTCTGGTTATTATACGAAGATATTTCCTTTTCTGCAATTGTCCTCAAATCGCTTGAAATCTCCACCTGAAAATGCCACAGCAAGAGTGTTTCAAATCTGCTCTCTCTAAAGCAAGGTTCAACTCTGTGAGTTGAATACACACAACACAAAAAAGTTACTGAGAACTCTTCTTAGTCTAGCATTAAAGGAAGAAACCCCGTTTGCAACGAAGGCCTCAAAGAGGTCCAAATATCCACTTGCAGACATAACAAGCAGAGTGTTTCTAAACTGCTCTAAGAAAAGAAAGGTTAAACTCTGTGAGTTGAAGGCACACATCACAAAGTAGTTCCTGAGAATGATTCTGTCTAGTTTTTATTTGAAGATATTTCCTTTTCTACTGTTGGCATCAAATCGCTTGAAATCTCCACTTGCAAACTCCACAAAAAGAGTGTTTCAAATCTGCTCTGTGCAAAGGGACGTTCCACTCTGTGAGTTGAATACACACAGCACAAAGAAGTTACTGAGAATTCTTCTGTCTAGCATGAAATGAAGAAATCCCGTTTCCAACGAAGGCCTCAATGCGGTCCATATATCCACTTGCAGACTTTACAAACAGAGTGTTTCCAAACTGCTCTATGAAAAGAAAGGTTAAACTATTTGAGTTGAACGCACACATCACAAAGAATTTTCTGAGAATGATTCTGTCTGGTTTTTATTTGAAGATATTTCCCTTTCTACTGTTGGCATCAAATGGCTAGAAATCTCCACTTGCAAATTCCGCAAAAAGAGTGTTTCAAATCTGCTCTGTCTAAAGGGACGTTCCACTCTGTCAGTTGAATGCACACAACACAAAGTATTTACTGAGAATTCTTCCGTCTAGCATTCAATGAAGAAATCCCGTTTCCAACGAAGGCCTCAAACAGGTCCATATATCCAATTGCAGACTTTACAAACAGTGTGTTTCCAAACTCCTCTATGAAAAGAAAGGTTAAACTCTGTGAGTTGAACGCACACATCACAAAGCACTTTCTGAGAATGATTCTGTCTGGTTATTATACGAAGATATTTCCTTTTCTGCAATTGTCCTCAAATCGCTTGAAATCTCCACCTGAAAATGCCACAGCAAGAGTGTTTCATATCTGCTCTCTCTAAAGCAAGGTTCAACTCTGTTAGTTGAATACACACAACACAAAAAAGTTACTGAGAACTCTTCTTAGTCTAGCATGAAAGGAAGAAACCCCGTTTGCAACGAAGGCCTCAAAGAGGTCCAAATATCCACTTGCAGACATAACAAGCAGAGTGTTTCTAAACTGCTCTAAGAAAAGAAAGGTTAAACTCTGTGAGTTGAAGGCACACATCACAAAGTAGTTTCTGAGAATGATTCTGTCTAGTTTTTATTTGAAGATATTTCCTTTTCTACTGTTGGCATCAAATCGCTTGAAATCTCCACTTGCAAATTCCACAAAAAGAGTGTTTCAAATCTGCTCTGTGCAAAGGGACGTTCCACTCTGTGAGTTGAATACACACAGCACAAAGAAGTTACTGAGAATTCTTCTGTCTAGCATGAAATGAAGAAATCCCGTTTCCAACGAAGGCCTCATTGCGGTCCGTATATCCACTTGCAGACTTTACAAACAGACTGTTTCCAAACTGCTCTATGAAAAGAAAGGTTAAACTATGTGAGTTGAACGCACACATCACAAAGAATTTTCTGAGAATGATTCTGTCTGGTTTTTATTTGAAGATATTTCCCTTTCTACTGTTGGCATCAAATGGCTAGAAATCTCCACTTGCAAATTCCGCAAAAAGAGTGTTTCAAATCTGCTCTGTCTAAAGGGACGTTCCACTCTGTGAGTTGAATGCACACAACACAAAGAATTTACTGAGAATTCTTCCGTCTAGCATTCAATGAAGAAATCCCGTTTCCAACGAAGGCCTCAAACAGGTCCATATATCCACTTGCAGACTTTACAAACAGTGTGTTTCCAAACTCCTCTATGAAAAGAAAGGTTAAACTCTGTGAGTGGAACGCACACATCACAAAGCACTTTCTGAGAATGATTCTGTCTGGTTATTATACGAAGATATTTCCTTTTCTGCAATTGTCCTCAAATCGCTTGAAATCTCCACCTGAAAATGCCACAGCAAGAGTGTTTCAAATCTGCTCTCTCTAAAGCAAGGTTCAACTCTGTGAGTTGAATACACACAACACAAAAAAGTTACTGAGAACTCTTCTTAGTCTAGCATGAAAGGAAGAAACCCCGTTTGCAACGAAGGCCTCAAAGAGGTCCAAATATCCACTTGCAGACATAACAAGCAGAGTGTTTCTAAACTGCTCTAAGAAAAGAAAGGTTAAACTCTGTGAGTTGAAGGCACACATCACAAAGTAGTTTCTGAGAATGATTCTGTCTAGTTTTTATTTGAAGATATTTCCTTTTCTACTGTTGGCATCAAATCGCTTGAAATCTCCACTTGCAAACTCCACAAAAAGAGTGTTTCAAATCTGCTCTGTGCAAAGGGATGTTCCACTCTGTGAGTTGAATACACACAGCACAAAGAAGTTACTGAGAATTCTTCTGTCTAGTATGAAATGAAGAAATCCCGTTTCCAACGAAGGCCTCAATGCGGTCCATATATCCACTTGCAGACTTTACAAACAGAGTGTTTCCAAACTGCTCCATGAAAAGAAAGGTTAAACTATGTGAGTTGAACGCACACATCACAAAGAATTTTCTGAGAATGATTCTGTCTGGTTTTTATTTGAAGATATTTCCCTTTCCACTGTTGGCATCAAATGGCTAGAAATCTCCACTTGCAAATTCCGCAAAAAGACTGTTTCAAATCTGCTCTGTCTAAAGGGACGTTCCACTCTGTGAGTTGAATGCACACAACACAAAGAATTTACTGAGAATTCTTCCGTCTAGCATTCAATGAAGAAATCCCGTTTCCAACGAAGGCCTCAAACAGGTCCATATATCCAATTGCAGATTTTACAAACAGTGTGTTTCCAAACTCCTCTATGAAAAGAAAGGTTAAACTCTGTGAGTTGAACGCACACATCACAAAGTACTTTCTGAGAATGATTCCGTCTGGTTATTATACGAAGATATTTTCTTTTCTGCAATTGTCCTCAAATCGCTTGAAATCTCCACCTGAAAATGCCACAGCAAGAGTGTTTCAAATCTGCTCTCTCTAAAGCAAGGTTCAACTCTGTGAGTTGAATACACACAACACAAAAAAGTTACTGAGAACTCTCTTAGTCTAGCATGAAAGGAAGAAACCCCGTTTGCAACGAAGGCCTCAAAGAGGTCCAAATATCCACTTGCAGACATAACAAGCAGAGTGTTTCTAAACTGCTCTAAGAAAAGAAAGGTTAAACTCTGTGAGTTGAAGGCACACATCACAAAGTAGTTTCTGAGAATGATTCTGTCTAGTTTTTATTTGAAGATATTTCCTTTTCTACTGTTGGCATCAAATCGCTTGAAATCTCCACTTGCAAACTCCACAAAAAGAGTGTTTCAAATCTGCTCTGTGCAAAGGGACGTTCCACTCTGTGAGTTGAATACACACAGCACAAAGAAGTTACTGAGAATTCTTCTGTCTAGCATGAAATGAAGAAATCCCGTTTGCAACGAAGGCCTCAATGCGGTCCATATATCCACTTGCAGACTTTACAAACAGAGTGTTTCCAAACTGCTCTATGAAAAGAAAGGTTATACTATGTGAGTTGAACGCACACATCACAAAGAATTTTCTGAGAATGATTCTGTCTGGTTTTTATTTGAAGATATTTCCCTTTCTACTGTTGGCATCAAATGGCTAGAAATCTCCACTTGCAAATTCCGCAAAAAGAGTGTTTCAAATCTGCTCTGTCTAAAGGGACGTTCCACTCTGTGAGTTGAATGCACACCACACAAAGAATTTACTGAGAATTCTTCCGTCTAGCATTCAATGAAGAAATCCCGTTTCCAACGAAGGCCTCAAACAGGTCCATATATCCAATTGCAGACTTTACAAACAGTGTGTTTCCAAACTCCTCTATGAAAAGAAAGGTTAAACTCTGTGAGTTGAACGCACACATCACAAAGCACTTTCTGAGAATGATTCTGTCTGGTTATTATACGAAGATATTTCCTTTTCTGCAATTGTCCTCAAATCGCTTGAAATCTCCACCTGAAAATGTCACAGCAAGAGTGTTTCAAATCTGCTCTCTCTAAAGCAAGGTTCAACTCTGTGAGTTGAATACACACAACACAGAAAAGTTACTGAGAACTCTTCTTAGTCTAGCATGAAAGGAAGAAACCCCGTTTGCAACGAAGGCCTCAAAGAGGTCCAAATATCCACTTGCAGACATAACAAGCAGAGTGTTTCTAAACTGCTCTAAGAAAAGAAAGGTTAAACTCTGTGAGTTGAAGGCACACATCACAAAGTAGTTTCTGAGAATGATTCTGTCTAGTTTTTATTTGAAGATATTTCCTTTTCTACTGTTGGCAACAAATCGCTTGAAATCTCCACTTGCAAAGTCCACAAAAAGAGTGTTTCAAATCTGCTCTGTGTAAAGGGACGTTCCACTCTGTGAGTTGAATACACACAGCACAAAGAAGTTACTGAGAATTCTTCTGTCTAGCATGAAATGAAGAAATCCCGTTTCCAACGAAGGCCTCAATGCGGTCCATATATCCACTTGCAGACTTTACAAACAGAGTGTTTCCAAACTGCTCTATGAAAAGAAAGGTTAAACTATGTGAGTTGAACGCACACATCACAAAGAATTTTCTGAGAATGATTCTGTCTGGTTTTTATTTGAAGATATTTCCCTTTCTACTGTTGGCATCAAATGGCTAGAAATCTCCACTTGCAAATTCCGCAAAAAGAGTGTTTCAAATCTGCTCTGTCTAAAGGGACGTTCCACTCTGTGAGTTGAATGCACACAACACAAAGAATTTACTGAGAATTCTTCCGTCTAGCATTCAATGAAGAAATCCCGTTTCCAACGAAGGCCTCAAACAGGTCCATATATCCACTTGCAGACTTTACAAACAGTGTGTTTCCAAACTCCTCTATGAAAAGAAAGGTTAAACTCTGTGAGTTGAACGCACACATCACAAAGCACTTTCTGAGAATGATTCTGTCTGGTTATTATACGAAGATATTTCCTTTTCTGCAATTGTCCTCAAATCGCTTGAAATCTCCACCTGAAAATGCCACAGCAAGAGTGTTTCAAATCTGCTCTCTCTAAAGCAAGGTTCAACTCTGTGAGTTGAATACACACAACACAAAAAAGTTACTGAGAACTCTTCTTAGTCTAGCATGAAAGGAAGAATCCCCGTTTGCAACGAAGGCCTCAAAGAGGTCCAAATATCCACTTGCAGACATAACAAGCAGAGTGTTTCTAAACTGCTCTAAGAAAAGAAAGGTTAAACTCTGTGAGTTGAAGGCACACATCACAAAGTAGTTTCTGAGAATGATTCTGTCTAGTTTTTATTTGAAGATATTTCCTTTTCTACTGTTGGCATCAAATCGCTTGAAATCTCCACTTGCAAATTCCACAAAAAGAGTGTTTCAAATCTGCTCTGTGCAAAGGGACGTTCCACTCTGTGAGTTGAATACACACAGCACAAAGAAGTTACTGAGAATTCTTCTGTCTAGCATGAAATGAAGAAATCCCGTTTCCAACGAAGGCCTCAATGCGGTCCATATATCCACTTGCAGACTTTACAAACAGAGTGTTTCCAAACTGCTCTATGAAAAGAAAGGTTAAACTCTGTGAGTTGAACGCACACATCACAAAGAATTTTCTGAGAATGATTCTGTCTGGTTTTTATTTGAAGATATTTCCCTTTCTACTGTTGGCATCAAATGGCTAGAAATCTCCACTTGCAAATTCCGCAAAAAGAGTGTTTCAAATCTGCTCTGTCTAAAGGGACGTTCCACTCTGTGAGTTGAATGCACACAACACAAAGAATTTACTGAGAATTCTTCCGTCTAGCATTCAATGAAGAAATCCCGTTTCCAACGAAGGCCTCAAACAGGTCCATATATCCACTTGCAGAGTTTACAAACAGTGTGTTTCCAAACTCCTCTATGAAAAGAAAGGTTAAACTCTGTGAGTGGAACGCACACATCACAAAGCACTTTCTGAGAATGATTCTGTCTGGTTATTATACGAAGATATTTCCTTTTCTGCAATTGTCCTCAAATCGCTTGAAATCTCCACCTGAAAATGCCACAGCAAGAGTGTTTCAAATCTGCTCTCTCTAAAGCAAGGTTCAGCTCTGTGAGTTGAATACACACAACACAAAAAAGTTACTGAGAACTCTTCTTAGTCTAGCATGAAAGGAAGAAACCCCGTTTGCAACGAAGGCCTCAAAGAGGTCCAAATATCCACTTGCAGACATAACAAGCAGAGTGTTTCTAAACTGCTCTAAGAAAAGAAAGGTTAAACTCTGTGAGTTGAAGGCACACATCACAAAGTAGTTTCTGAGAATGATTCTGTCTAGTTTTTATTTGAAGATATTTCCTTTTCTACTGTTGGCATCAAATCGCTTGAAATCTCCAATTACAAACTCCACAAAAAGAGTGTTTCAAATCTGCTCTGTGCAAAGGGACGTTCCACTCTGTGAGTTGAATACACACAGCACAAAGAAGTTACTGAGAATTCTTCTGTCTAGCATGAAATGAAGAAATCCCGTTTCCAACGAAGGCCTCAATGCGGTCCATATATCCACTTGCAGACTTTACAAACAGAGTGTTTCCAAACTGCTCTATGAAAAGAAAGGTTAAACTATGTGAGTTGAACGCACACATCACAAAGAATTTTCTGAGAATGATTCTGTCTGGTTTTTATTTGAAGATATTTCCCTTTCTACTGTTGGCATCAAATGGCTAGTAAATCTCCACTTGCAAATTCCGCAAAAAGAGTGTTTCAAATCTGCTCTGTCTAAAGGGACGTTCCACTCTGTGAGTTGAATGCACACCACACAAAGAATTTACTGAGAATTCTTCCGTCTAGCATTCAATGAAGAAATCCCGTTTCCAACGAAGGCCTCAAACAGGTCCATATATCCAATTGCAGACTTTACAAACAGTGTGTTTCCAAACTCCTCTATGAAAAGAAAGGTTAAACTCTGTGAGTTGAACGCACACATCACAAAGCACTTTCTGAGAATGATTCTGTCTGGTTGTTATACGAAGATATTTCCTTTTCTGAAATTGTCCTCAAATCGCTTGAAATCTCCACCTGAAAATGCCACAGCAAGAGTGTTTCAAATCTGCTCTCTCTAAAGCAAGGTTCAGCTCTGTGAGTTGAATACACACAACACAAAAAAGTTACTGAGAACTCTTCTTAGTCTAGCATTAAAGGAAGAAACCCCGTTTGCAACGAAGGCCTCAAAGAGGTCCAAATATCCACTTGCAGACATAACAAGCAGAGTGTTTCTAAACTGCTCTAAGAAAAGAAAGGTTAAACTCTGTGAGTTGAAGGCACACATCACAAAGTAGTTTCTGAGAATGATTCTGTCTAGTTTTTATTTGAAGATATTTCCTTTTCTACTGTTGGCATCAAATCGCTTGAAATCTCCACTTGCAAACTCCACAAAAAGAGTGTTTCAAATCTGCTCTGTGCAAAGGGACGTTCCACTCTGTGAGTTGAATACACACAGCACAAAGAAGTTACTGAGAATTCTTCTGTCTAGCATGAAATGAAGAAATCCCGTTTCCAACGAAGGCCTCAATGCGGTCCATATATCCACTTGCAGACTTTACAAACAGAGTGTTTCCAAACTGCTCTATGAAAAGAAAGGTTAAACTATGTGAGTTGAACGCACACATCACAAAGAATTTTCTGAGAATGATTCTGTCTGGTTTTTATTTGAAGATATTTCCCTTTCTACTGTTGGCATCAAATGGCTAGAAATCTCCACTTGCAAATTCCGCAAAAAGAGTGTTTCAAATCTGCTCTGTCTAAAGGGACGTTCCACTCTGTGAGTTGAATGCACACAACACAAAGAATTTACTGAGAATTCTTCCGTCTAGCATTCAATGAAGAAATCCCGTTTCCAACGAAGGCCTCAAACAGGTCCATATATCCAATTGCAGACTTTACAAACAGTGTGTTTCCAAACTCCTCTATGAAAAGAAAGGTTAAACTCTGTGAGTTGAACGCACACAACACAAAGCACTTTCTGAGAATGATTCTGTCTGGTTGTTATACGAAGATATTTCCTTTTCTGCAATTGTCCTCAAATCGCTTGAAATCTCCACCTGAAAATGCCACAGCAAGAGTGTTTCAAATCTGCTCTCTCTAAAGCAAGGTTCAACTCTGTGAGTTGAATACACACAACACAAAAATGTTACTGAGAACTCTTCTTAGTCTAGCATGAAAGGAAGAAACCCCGTTTGCAACGAAGGCCTCAAAGAGGTCCAAATATCCACTTGCAGACATAACAAGCAGAGTGTTTCTAAACTGCTCTAAGAAAAGAAAGGTTAAACTCTGTGAGTTGAAGGCACACATCACAAAGTAGTTTCTGAGAATGATTCTGTCTAGTTTTTATTTGAAGATATTTCCTTTTCTACTGTTGGCATCAAATCGCTTGAAATCTCCACTTGCAAACTCCACAAAAAGAGTGTTTCAAATCTGCTCTGTGTAAAGGGACGTTCCACTCTGTGAGTTGAATACACACAGCACAAAGAAGTTACTGAGAATTCTTCTGTCTAGCATGAAATGAAGAAATCCCGTTTCCAACGAAGGCCTCAATGCGGTCCATATATCCACTTGCAGACTTTACAAACAGAGTGTTTCCAAACTGCTCTATGAAAAGAAAGGTTAAACTATGTGAGTTGAACGCACACATCACAAAGAATTTTCTGAGAATGATTCTGTCTGGTTTTTATTTGAAGATATTTCCCTTTCTACTGTTGGCATCAAATGGCTAGAAATCTCCACTTGCAAATTCCGCAAAAAGAGTGTTTCAAATCTGCTCTGTCTAAAGGGACGTTCCACTCTGTGAGTTGAATGCACACAACACAAAGAATTTACTGAGAATTCTTCCGTCTAGCATTCAATGAAGAAATCCCGTTTCCAACGAAGGCCTCAAACAGGTCCATATATCCAATTGCAGACTTTACAAACAGTGTGTTTCCAAACTCCTTTATGAAAAGAAAGGTTAACTCTGTGAGTTGAATGCACACATCACAAAGCACTTTCTGATAATGATTCTGTCTAGTTTTTGTTTGCAGATATTTCCTTTTCTACTGTTGGCATCAAATCGCTTGAAATCTCCACTTGCAAATTCCACAAAAAGAGTGTTTCAAATCTGCTCTGTGTAAAGGGACGTTCCAATCTGTGAGTTGAATACACACAACACAAAGAAGTTACTGAGAATTCTTCTGTCTAGCATGAAATGAAGAAATCCCGTTTCCAACGAAGGCCTCAAAGCGGTCCATATATCCACTTGCAGACATTACCAACAGAGTGTTCCCAAACTGCTCTATGAAAAGAAAGGTTAAACTATGTGAGTTGAACGCACACATCACAAAGAATTTTCTGAGAATGATTCTGTCTGGTTTTTATTTGAAGATATTTCCCTTTCTACTGTTGGCATCAAATGGCTAGAAATCTCCACTTGCAAATTCCGCAAAAAGAGTGTTTCAAATCTGCTCTGTCTAAAGGGACGTTCCACTCTGTGAGTTGAATGCACACAACACAAAGAATTTACTGAGAATTCTTCCGTCTAGCATTCAATGAAGAAATCCCGTTTCCAACGAAGGCCTCAAACAGGTCCATATATCCACTTGCAGACTTTACAAACAGTGTGTTTCCAAACTCCTCTATGAAAAGAAAGGTTAAACTCTGTGAGTGGAACGCACACATCACAAAGCACTTTCTGAGAATGATTCTGTCTGGTTATTATACGAAGATATTTCCTTTTCTGCAATTGTCCTCAAAACGCTTGAAATCTCCACCTGAAAATGCCACAGCAAGAGTGTTTCAAATCTGCTCTCTCTAAAGCAAGGTTCAACTCTGTGAGTTGAATACACACAACACAAAAAAGTTACTGAGAACTCTTCTTAGTCTAGCATGAAAGGAAGAAACCCCGTTTGCAACGAAGGCCTCAAAGAGGTCCAAATATCCACTTGCAGACATAACAAGCAGAGTGTTTCTAAACTGCTCTAAGAAAAGAAAGGTTAAACTCTGTGAGTTGAAGGCACACATCACAAAGTAGTTTCTGAGAATGATTCTGTCTAGTTTTTATTTGAAGATATTTCCTTTTCTACTGTTGGCATCAAATCGCTTGAAATCTCCACTTGCAAACTCCACAAAAAGAGTGTTTCAAATCTGCTCTGTGCAAAGGGACGTTCCACTCTGTGAGTTGAATACACACAGCACAAAGAAGTTACTGAGAATTCTTCTGTCTAGCATGAAATGGAGAAATCCCGTTTCCAACGAAGGCCTCAATGCGGTCCATATATCCACTTGAAGACTTTACAAACAGAGTGTTTCCAAACTGCTCTATGAAAAGAAAGGTTAAACTATGTGATTTGAACGCACACATCACAAAGAATTTTCTGAGAATGATTCTGTCTGGTTTTTATTTGAAGATATTTCCCTTTCTACTGTTGGCATCAAATGGCTAGAAATCTCCACTTGCAAATTGCGCAAAAAGAGTGTTTCAAATCTGCTCTGTCTAAAGGGACGTTCCATTCTGTGAGTTGAATGCACACTACACAAAGAATTTACTGAGAATTCTTCCGTCTAGCATTCAATGAAGAAATCCCGTTTCCAACGAAGGCCTCAAACTGGTCCATATATCCACTTGCAGACTTTACAAACAGTGTGTTTCCAAACTCCTCTATGAAAAGAAAGGTTAAACTCTGTGAGTTGAACGCACACATCACAAAGCACTTTCTGAGAATGATTCTGTCTGGTTATTATACGAAGATATTTCCTTTTCTGCAATTGTCCTCAAATCGCTTGAAATCTCCACCTGAAAATGCCACAGCAAGAGTGTTTCAAATCTGCTCTCTCTAAAGCAAGGTTCAACTCTGTGAGTTGAATACACACAACACAAAAAAGTTACTGAGAACTCTTCTTAGTCTAGCATGAAAGGAAGAAACCCCGTTTGCAACGAAGGCCTCAAAGAGGTCCAAATATCCACTTGCAGACATAATAAGCAGAGTGTTTCTAAACTGCTCTAAGAAAAGAAAGGTTAAACTCTGTGAGTTGAAGGCACACATCACAAAGTAGTTTCTGAGAATGATTCTGTCTAGTTTTTATTTGAAGATATTTCCTTTTCTACTGTTGGCATCAAATCGCTTGAAATCTCCACTTGCAAATTCCACAAAAAGAGTGTTTCAAATCTGCTCTGTGTAAAGGGACGTTCCACTCTGTGAGTTGAATACACACAGCACAAAGAAGTTACTGAGAATTCTTCTGTCTAGCATGAAATGAAGAAATCCCGTTTCCAACGAAGGCCTCAATGCGGTCCATATATCCACTTGCAGACTTTACAAACAGAGTGTTTCCAAACTGCTCTATGAAAAGAAAGGTTAAACTATGTGAGTTGAACGCACACATCACAAAGAATTTTCTGAGAATGATTCTGTCTGGTTTTTATTTGAAGATATTTCCCTTTCTACTGTTGGCATCAAATGGCTAGAAATCTCCACTTGCAAATTCCGCAAAAAGAGTGTTTCAAATCTGCTCTGTCTAAAGGGACGTTCCACTCTGTGAGTTGAATGCACACAACACAAAGAATTTACTGAGAATTCTTCCGTCTAGCATTCAATGAAGAAATCCCGTTTCCAACGAAGGCCTCAAACAGGTCCATATATCCAATTGCAGACGTTACAAACAGTGTGTTTCCAAACTCCTCTATGAAAAGAAAGGTTAAACTCTGTGAGTTGAACGCACACATCACAAAGCACTTTC
Organism: Homo sapiens; assembly: GCF_000001405.40. NCBI lineage: Eukaryota > Metazoa > Chordata > Mammalia > Primates > Hominidae > Homo > Homo sapiens. Next base: position 59,936,806 of record NC_000007.14, on the reverse strand, counting down.
TGAGAATGATTCTGTCTGGTTATTATACGAAGATATTTCCTTTTCTGCAATTGTCCTCAAATCGCTTGAAATCTCCACCTGAAAATGCCACAGCAAGAGTGTTTCACATCTGCTCTCTCTAAAGCAAGGTTCAACTCTGTGAGTTGAATACACACAACACAAAAAAGTTACTGAGAACTCTTCTTAGTCTAGCATGAAAGGAAGAAACCCCGTTTGCAACGAAGGCCTCAAAGAGGTCCAAATATCCACTTGCAGACATAACAAGCAGAGTGTTTCTAAACTGCTCTAAGAAAAGAAAGGTTAAACTCTGTGAGTTGAAGGCACACATCACAAAGTAGTTTCTGAAAATGATTCTGTCTAGTTTTTATTTGAAGATATTTCCTTTTCTACTGTTGGCATCAAATCGCTTGAAATCTCCACTTGCAAACTCCACAAAAAGAGTGTTTCAAATCTGCTCTGTGTAAAGGGACGTTCCACTCTGTGAGTTGAATACACACAGCACAAAGAAGTTACTGAGAATTCTTCTGTCTAGCATGAAATGAAGAAATCCCGTTTCCAACGAAGGCCTCAATACAGTCCATATATCCACTTGCAGACTTTACAAACAGAGTGTTTCCAAACTGCTCTATGAAAAGAAAGGTTAAACTATGTGAGTTGAATGCACACATCACAAAGAATTTTCTGAGAATGATTCTGTCTGGTTTTTATTTGAAGATATTTCCCTTTCTACTGTTGGCATCAAATGGCTAGAAATCTCCACTTGCAAATTCCGCAAAAAGAGTGTTTCAAATCTGCTCTGTCTAAAGGGACGTTCCACTCTGTGAGTTGAATGCACACAACACAAAGAATTTACTGAGAATTCTTCCGTCTAGCATTCAATGAAGAAATCCCGTTTCCAAAGAAGGCCTCAAACAGGTCCATATATCCAATTGCAGACTTTACAAACAGTGTGTTTCCAAACTCCTCTATGAAAAGAAAGGTTAAACTCTGTGAGTTGAACGCACACATCACAAAGCACTTTCTGAGAATGATTCTGTCTGGTTATTATACGAAGATATTTCCTTTTCTGCAATTGTCCTCAAATCGCTTGAAATCTCCACCTGAAAATGCCACAGCAAGAGTGTTTCAAATCTGCTCTCTCTAAAGCAAGGTTCAACTCTGTGAGTTGAATACACACAACACAAAAAAGTTACTGAGAACTCTTCTTAGTCTAGCATGAAAGGAAGAAACCCCGTTTGCAACGAAGGCCTCAAAGAGGTCCAAATATCCACTTGCAGACATAACAAGCAGAGTGTTTCTAAACTGCTCTAAGAAAAGAAAGGTTAAACTCTGTGAGTTGAAGGCACACATCACAAAGTAGTTTCTGAGAATGATTCTGTCTAGTTTTTATTTGAAGATATTTCCTTTTCTACTGTTGGCATCAAATCGCTTGAAATCTCCACTTGCAAACTCCACAAAAAGAGTGTTTCAAATCTGCTCTGTGTAAAGGGACGTTCCACTCTGTGAGTTGAATACACACAGCACAAAGAAGTTACTGAGAATTCTTCTGTCTAGCATGAAATGAAGAAATCCCGTTTCCAACGAAGGCCTCAATGCGGTCCATATATCCACTTGCAGACTTTACAAACAGAGTGTTTCCAAACTGCTCTATGAAAAGAAAGGTTAAACTATGTGAGTTGAACGCACACATCACAAAGAATTTTCTGAGAATGATTCTGTCTGGTTTTTATTTGAAGATATTTCCCTTTCTACTGTTGGCATCAAATGGCTAGAAATCTCCACTTGCAAATTCCGCAAAAAGAGTGTTTCAAATCTGCTCTGTCTAAAGGGACGTTCCACTCTGTCAGTTGAATGCACACAACACAAAGAATTTACTGAGAATTCTTCCGTCTAGCATTCAATGAAGAAATCCCGTTTCCAACGAAGGCCTCAAAGAGGTCCATATATCCACTTGCAGACTTTACAAACAGTGTGTTTCCAAACTCCTCTATGAAAAGAAAGGTTAAACTCTGTGAGTTGAACGCACACATCACAAAGCACTTTCTGAGAATGATTCTGTCTGGTTATTATACGAAGATATTTCCTTTTCTGCAATTGTCCTCAAATCGCTTGAAATCTCCACCTGAAAATGCCACAGCAAGAGTGTTTCAAATCTGCTCTCTCTAAAGCAAGGTTCAACTCTGTGAGTTGAATACACACAACACAAAAAAGTTACTGAGAACTCTTCTTAGTCTAGCATGAAAGGAAGAAACCCCGTTTGCAACGAAGGCCTCAAAGAGGTCCAAATATCCACTTGCAGACATAACAAGCAGAGTGTTTCTAAACTGCTCTAAGAAAAGAAAGGTTAAACTCTGTGAGTTGAAGGCACACATCACAAAGCAGTTTCTGAGAATGATTCTGTCTAGTTTTTATTTGAAGATATTTCCTTTTCTACTGTTGGCATCAAATCGCTTGAAATCTCCACTTGCAAACTCCACAAAAAGAGTGTTTCAAATCTGCTCTGTGTAAAGGGACGTTCCACTCTGTGAGTTGAATACACACAGCACAAAGAAGTTACTGAGAATTCTTCTGTCTAGCATGAAATGAAGAAATCCCGTTTCCAACGAAGGCCTCAATGCGGTCCATATATCCACTTGCAGACTTTACAGAGTGTTTCCAAACTGCTCTATGAAAAGAAAGGTTAAACTATGTGAGTTGAACGCACACATCACAAAGAATTTTCTGAGAATGATTCTGTCTGGTTTTTATTTGAAGATATTTCCCTTTCTACTGTTGGCATCAAATGGCTAGAAATCTCCACTTGCAAATTCCGCAAAAAGAGTGTTTCAAATCTGCTCTGTCTAAAGGGACGTTCCACTCTGTGAGTTGAATGCACACAACACAAAGAATTTACTGAGAATTCTTCCGTCTAGCATTCAATGAAGAAATCCCGTTTCCAACGAAGGCCTCAAACAGGTCCATATATCCAATTGCAGACTTTACAAACAGTGTGTTTCCAAACTCCTCTATGAAAAGAAAGGTTAAACTCTGTGAGTTGAACGCACACATCACAAAGCACTTTCTGAGAATGATTCTGTCTGGTTATTATACGAAGATATTTCCTTTTCTGCAATTGTCCTCAAATCGCTTGAAATCTCCACCTGAAAATGCCACAGCAAGAGTGTTTCAAATCTGCTCTCTCTAAAGCAAGGTTCAACTCTGTGAGTTGAATACACACAACACAAAAAAGTTACTGAGAACTCTTCTTAGTCTAGCATGAAAGGAAGAAACCCCGTTTGCAACGAAGGCCTCAAAGAGGTCCAAATATCCACTTGCAGACATAACAAGCAGAGTGTTTCTAAACTGCTCTAAGAAAAGAAAGGTTAAACTCTGTGAGTTGAAGGCACACATCACAAAGTAGTTTCTGAGAATGATTCTGTCTAGTTTTTATTTGAAGATATTTCCTTTTCTACTGTTGGCATCAAATCGCTTGAAATCTCCACTTGCAAATTCCACAAAAAGAGTGTTTCAAATCTGCTCTGTGCAAAGGGACGTTCCACTCTGTGAGTTGAATACACACAGCACAAAGAAGTTACTGAGAATTCTTCTGTCTAGCATGAAATGAAGAAATCCCGTTTCCAACGAAGGCCTCAATGCGGTCCATATATCCACTTGCAGACTTTACAAACAGAGTGTTTCCAAACTGCTCTATGAAAAGAAAGGTTAAACTATGTGAGTTGAACGCACACATCACAAAGAATTTTCTGAGAATGATTCTGTCTGGTTTTTATTTGAAGATATTTCCCTTTCTACTGTTGGCATCAAATGGCTAGAAATCTCCACTTGCAAATTCCGCAAAAAGAGTGTTTCAAATCTGCTCTGTCTAAAGGGACGTTCCACTCTGTGAGTTGAATGCACACAACACAAAGAATTTACTGAGAATTCTTCCGTCTAGCATTCAATGAAGAAATCCCGTTTCCAACGAAGGCCTCAAACAGGTCCATATATCCAATTGCAGACTTTACAAACAGTGTGTTTCCAAACTCCTCTATGAAAAGAAAGGTTAAACTCTGTGAGTTGAACGCACACAACACAAAGCACTTTCTGAGAATGATTCTGTCTGGTTATTATACGAAGATATTTCCTTTTCTGCAATTGTTCTCAAATCGCTTGAAATCTCCACCTGAAAATTCCACAGCGAGAGTGTTTCAAATCTGCTCTCTCTAAAGCAAGGTTCAACTCTGTGAGTTGAATACACACAACACAAAAAAGTTACTGAGAACTCTTCTTAGTCTAGCATGAAAGGAAGAAACCCCGTTTGCAACGAAGGCCTCAAAGAGGTCCAAATATCCACTTGCAGACATAACAAGCAGAGTGTTTCTAAACTGCTCTAAGAAAAGAAAGGTTAAACTCTGTGAGTTGAAGGCACACATCACAAAGTAGTTTCTGAGAATGATTCTGTCTAGTTTTTATTTGAAGATATTTCCTTTTCTACTGTTGGCATCAAATCGCTTGAAATCTCCACTTGCAAACTCCACAAAAAGAGTGTTTCAAATCTGCTCTGTGCAAAGGGACGTTCCACTCTGTGAGTTGAATACACACAGCACAAAGAAGTTACTGAGAATTCTTCTGTGTAGCATGAAATGAAGAAATCCCGTTTCCAACGAAGGCCTCAATGCGGTCCATATATCCACTTGCAGACTTTACAAACAGAGTGTTTCCAAACTGCTCTATGAAAAGAAAGGTTAAACTATGTGAGTTGAACGCACACATCACAAAGAATTTTCTGAGAATGATTCTGTCTGGTTTTTATTTGAAGATATTTCCCTTTCTACTGTTGGCATCAAATGGCTAGAAATCTCCACTTGCAAATTCCGCAAAAAGAGTGTTTCAAATCTGCTCTGTCTAAAGGGACGTTCCACTCTGTGAGTTGAATGCACACAACACAAAGAATTTACTGAGAATTCTTCCGTCTAGCATTCAATGAAGTAAATCCCGTTTCCAACAGAAGGCCTCAAACAGGTCCATATATCCAATTGCAGACTTTACAAACAGTGTGTTTCCAAACTCCTCTATGAAAAGAAAGGTTAAACTCTGTGAGTTGAACGCACACATCTCAAAGCACTTTCTGAGAATGATTCTGTCTGGTTATTATACGAAGATATTTCCTTTTCTGCAATTGTCCTCAAATCGCTTGAAATCTCCACCTGAAAATGCCACAGCAAGAGTGTTTCAAATCTGCTCTCTCTAAAGCAAGGTTCAACTCTGTGAGTTGAATACACACAACACAAAAAAGTTACTGAGAACTCTTCTTAGTCTAGCATTAAAGGAAGAAACCCCGTTTGCAACGAAGGCCTCAAAGAGGTCCAAATATCCACTTGCAGACATAACAAGCAGAGTGTTTCTAAACTGCTCTAAGAAAAGAAAGGTTAAACTCTGTGAGTTGAAGGCACACATCACAAAGTAGTTTCTGAGAATGATTCTGTCTAGTTTTTATTTGAAGATATTTCCTTTTCTACTGTTGGCATCAAATCGCTTGAAATCTCCACTTGCAAACTCCACAAAAAGAGTGTTTCAAATCTGCTCTGTGCAAAGGGACGTTCCATTCTGTGAGTTGAATACACACAGCACAAAGAAGTTACTGAGAATTCTTCTGTCTAGCATGAAATGAAGAAATCCCGTTTCCAACGAAGGCCTCAATGCGGTCCATATATCCACTTGCAGACTTTACAAACAGAGTGTTTCCAAACTGCTCTATGAAAAGAAAGGTTAAACTATGTGAGTTGAACGCACACATCACAAAGAATTTTCTGAGAATGATTCTGTCTGGTTTTTATTTGAAGATATTTCCCTTTCTACTGTTGGCATCAAATGGCTAGAAATCTCCACTTGCAAATTCCGCAAAAAGAGTGTTTCAAATCTGCTCTGTCTAAAGGGACGTTCCACTCTGTCAGTTGAATGCACACAACACAAAGTATTTACTGAGAATTCTTCCGTCTAGCATTCAATGAAGAAATCCCGTTTCCAACGAAGGCCTCAAACAGGTCCATATATCCAATTGCAGACTTTACAAACAGTGTGTTTCCAAACTCCTCTATGAAAAGAAAGGTTAAACTCTGTGAGTTGAACGCACACATCACAAAGCACTTTCTGAGAATGATTCTGTCTGGTTGTTATACGAAGATATTTCCTTTTCTGCAATTGTCCTCAAATCGCTTGAAATCTCCACCTGAAAATGCCACAGCAAGAGTGTTTCAAATCTGCTCTCTCTAAAGCAAGGTTCAACTCTGTGAGTTGAATACACACAACACAAAAAAGTTACTGAGAACTCTTCTTAGTCTAGCATGAAAGGAAGAAACCCCGTTTGCAACGAAGGCCTCAAAGAGGTCCAAATATCCACTTGCAGACATAACAAGCAGAGTGTTTCTAAACTGCTCTAAGAAAAGAAAGGTTAAACTCTGTGAGTTGAAGGCACACATCACAAAGTAGTTTCTGAGAATGATTCTGTCTAGTTTTTATTTGAAGATATTTCCTTTTCTACTGTTGGCATCAAATCGCTTGAAATCTCCACTTGCAAACTCCACAAAAAGAGTGTTTCAAATCTGCTCTGTGCAAAGGGACGTTCCACTCTGTGAGTTGAATACACACAGCACAAAGAAGTTACTGAGAATTCTTCTGTCTAGCATGAAATGAAGAAATCCCGTTTCCAACGAAGGCCTCAATGCGGTCCATATATCCACTTGCAGACTTTACAAACAGAGTGTTTCCAAACTGCTCTATGAAAAGAAAGGTTAAACTATGTGAGTTGAACGCACACATCACAAAGAATTTTCTGAGAATGATTCTGTCTGGTTTTTATTTGAAGATATTTCCCTTTCTACTGTTGGCATCAAATGGCTAGAAATCTCCACTTGCAAATTCCGCAAAAAGAGTGTTTCAAATCTGCTCTGTCTAAAGGGACGTTCCACTCTGTGAGTTGAATGCACACAACACAAAGAATTTACTGAGAATTCTTCCGTCTAGCATTCAATGAAGAAATCCCGTTTCCAACGAAGGCCTCAAAGAGGTCCATATATCCACTTGCAGACTTTACAAACAGTGTGTTTCCAAACTCCTCTATGAAAAGAAAGGTTAAACTCTGTGAGTGGAATGCACACATCACAAAGCACTTTCTGAGAATGATTCTGTCTGGTTATTATACGAAGATATTTCCTTTTCTGCAATTGTCCTCAAATCGCTTGAAATCTCCACCTGAAAATGCCACAGCAAGAGTGTTTCAAATCTGCTCTCTCTAAAGCAAGGTTCAACTCTGTGAGTTGAATACACACAACACAAAAAAGTTACTGAGAACTCTTCTTAGTCTAGCATGAAAGGAAGAAACCCCGTTTGCAACGAAGGCCTCAAAGAGGTCCAAATATCCACTTGCAGACATAACAAGCAGAGTGTTTCTAAACTGCTCTAAGAAAAGAAAGGTTAAACTCTGTGAGTTGAAGGCACACATCACAAAGTAGTTTCTGAGAATGATTCTGTCTAGTTTTTATTTGAAGATATTTCCTTTTCTACTGTTGGCATCAAATCGCTTGAAATCTCCACTTGCAAACTCCACAAAAAGAGTGTTTCAAATCTGCTCTGTGCAAAGGGACGTTCCACTCTGTGAGTTGAATACACACAGCACAAAGAAGTTACTGAGAATTCTTCTGTCTAGCATGAAATGAAGAAATCCCGTTTCCAACGAAGGCCTCAATGCGGTCCATAGATCCACTTGCAGACTTTACAAACAGAGTGTTTCCAAACTGCTCTATGAAAAGAAAGGTTAAACTATGTGAGTTGAACGCACACATCACAAAGAATTTTCTGAGAATGATTCTGTCTGGTTTTTATTTGAAGATATTTCCCTTTCTACTGTTGGCATCAAATGGCTAGAAATCTCCACTTGCAAATTCCGCAAAAAGAGTGTTTCAAATCTGCTCTGTCTAAAGGGACGTTCCACTCTGTCAGTTGAATGCACACAACACAAAGAATTTACTGAGAATTCTTCCGTCTAGCATGCAATGAAGAAATCCCGTTTCCAACGAAGGCCTCAAACAGGTCCATATATCCAATTGCAGACTTTACAAACAGTGTGTTTCCAAACTCCTCTATGAAAAGAAAGGTTAAACTCTGTGAGTTGAACGCACACATCACAAAGCACTTTCTGAGAATGATTCTGTCTGGTTATTATACGAAGATATTTCCTTTTCTGCAATTGTCCTCAAATCGCTTGAAATCTCCACCTGAAAATTCCACAGCAAGAGTGTTTCAAATCTGCTCTCTCTAAAGCAAGGTTCAACTCTGTGAGTTGAATACACACAACACAAAAAAGTTGCTGAGAACTCTTCTTAGTCTAGCATTAAAGGAAGAAACCCCGTTTGCAACGAAGGCCTCAAAGAGGTCCAAATATCCACTTGCAGACATAACAAGCAGAGTGTTTCTAAACTGCTCTAAGAAAAGAAAGGTTAAACTCTGTGAGTTGAAGGCACACATCACAAAGTAGTTTCTGAGAATGATTCTGTCTAGTTTTTATTTGAAGATATTTCCTTTTCTACTGTTGGCATCAAATCGCTTGAAATCTCCACTTGCAAACTCCACAAAAAGAGTGTTTCAAATCTGCTCTGTGCAAAGGGACGTTCCACTCTGTGAGTTGAATACACACAGCACAAAGAAGTTACTGAGAATTCTTCTGTCTAGCATGAAATGAAGAAATCCCGTTTCCAACGAAGGCCTCAATGCGGTCCATATATCCACTTGCAGACTTTACAAACAGAGTGTTTCCAAACTGCTCTATGAAAAGAAAGGTTAAACTATGTGAGTTGAACGCACACATCACAAAGAATTTTCTGAGAATGATTCTGTCTGGTTTTTATTTGAAGATATTTCCCTTTCTACTGTTGGCATCAAATGGCTAGAAATCTCCACTTGCAAATTCCGCAAAAAGAGTGTTTCAAATCTGCTCTGTCTAAAGGGACGTTCCACTCTGTGAGTTGAATGCACACAACACAAAGAATTTACTGAGAATTCTTCCGTCTAGCATTCAATGAAGAAATCCCGTTTCCAACGAAGGCCTCAAACAGGTCCATATATCCAATTGCAGACTTTACAAACAGTGTGTTTCCAAACTCCTCTATGAAAAGAAAGGTTAAACTCTGTGAGTTGAACGCACACATCACAAAGCACTTTCTGAGAATGATTCTGTCTGGTTATTATACGAAGATATTTCCTTTTCTGCAATTGTCCTCAAATCGCTTGAAATCTCCACCTGAAAATGCCACAGCAAGAGTGTTTCAAATCTGCTCTCTCTAAAGCAAGGTTCAACTCTGTGAGTTGAATACACACAACACAAAAAAGTTACTGAGAACTCTTCTTAGTCTAGCATGAAAGGAAGAAACCCCGTTTGCAACGAAGGCCTCAAAGAGGTCCAAATATCCACTTGCAGACATAACAAGCAGAGTGTTTCTAAACTGCTCTAAGAAAAGAAAGGTTAAACTCTGTGAGTTGAAGGCACACATCACAAAGTAGTTTCTGAGAATGATTCTGTCTAGTTTTTATTTGAAGATATTTCCTTTTCTACTGTTGGCATCAAATCGCTTGAAATTTCCACTTGCAAATTCCACAAAAAGAGTGTTTCAAATCTGCTCTGTGCAAAGGGACGTTCCACTCTGTGAGTTGAATACACACAGCACAAAGAAGTTACTGAGAATTCTTCTGTCTAGCATGAAATGAAGAAATCCCGTTTCCAACGAAGGCCTCAATGCGGTCCATATATCCACTTGCAGACTTTACAAACAGAGTGTTTCCAAACTGCTCTATGAAAAGAAAGGTTAAACTATGTGAGTTGAACGCACACATCACAAAGAATTTTCTGAGAATGATTCTGTCTGGTTTTTATTTGAAGATATTTCCCTTTCTACTGTTGGCATCAAATGGCTAGAAATCTCCACTTGCAAATTCCGCAAAAAGTGTGTTTCAAATCTGCTCTGTCTAAAGTGACGTTCCACTCTGTGAGTTGAATGCACACAACACAAAGAATTTACTGAGAATTCTTCCGTGTAGCATTCAATGAAGAAATCCCGTTTCCAACGAAGGCCTCAAACAGGTCCATATATCCACTTGCAGACTTTACAAACAGTGTGTTTCCAAACTCCTCTATGAAAAGAAAGGTTAAACTCTGTGAGTTGAACGCACACATCACAAAGCACTTTCTGAGAATGATTCTGTCTGGTTATTATACGAAGATATTTCCTTTTCTGCAATTGTCCTCAAAACGCTTGAAATCTCCACCTGAAAATGCCACAGCAAGAGTGTTTCAAATCTGCTCTCTCTAAAGCAAGGTTCAACTCTGTGAGTTGAATACACACAACACAAAAAAGTTACTGAGAACTCTTCTTAGTCTAGCATGAAAGGAAGAAACCCCGTTTGCAACGAAGGCCTCAAAGAGGTCCAAATATCCACTTGCAGACATAACAAGCAGAGTGTTTCTAAACTGCTCTATGAAAAGAAAGGTTAAACTCTGTGAGTTGAAGGCACACATCACAAAGTAGTTTCTGAGAATGATTCTGTCTAGTTTTTATTTGAAGATATTTCCTTTTCTACTGTTGGCATCAAATCGCTTGAAATTTCCACTTGCAAATTCCACAAAAAGAGTGTTTCAAATCTGCTCTGTGCAAAGGGACGTTCCACTCTGTGAGTTGAATACACACAGCACAAAGGAGTTACTGAGAATTCTTCTGTCTAGCATGAAATGAAGAAATCCCGTTTCCAACGAAGGCCTCAATGCGGTCCATATGTCCACTTGCAGACTTTACAAACAGAGTGTTTCCAAACTGCTCTATGAAAAGAAAGGTTAAACTATGTGAGTTGAACGCACACATCACAAAGAATTTTCTGAGAATGATTCTGTCTGGTTTTTATTTGAAGATATTTCCCTTTCTACTGTTGGCATCAAATGGCTAGAAATCTCCACTTGCAAATTCCGCAAAAAGAGTGTTTCAAATCTGCTCTGTCTAAAGGGACGTTCCATTCTGTGAGTTGAATGCACACAACACAAAGAATTTACTGAGAACCCTTCCGTCTAGCATTCAATGAAGAAATCCCGTTTCCAACGAAGGCCTCAAACAGGTCCATATATCCAATTGCAGACTTTACAAACAGTGTGTTTCGAAACTCCTCTATGGAAAGAAAGGTTAAACTCTGTGAATTGAACGCACACATCACAAAGCAATTTCTGAGAATGATTCTGTCTGGTTATTATACGAAGATATTTCCTTTTCTGCAATTGTCCTCAAATCGCTTGAAATCTCCACCTGAAAATGCCACAGCAAGAGTGTTTCAAATCTGCTCTCTCTAAAGCAAGGTTCAACTCTGTGAGTTGAATAAACACAACACAAAAAAGTTACTGAGAACTCTTCTTAGTCTAGCATGAAAGGAAGAAACCCCGTTTGCAACGAAGGCCTCAAAGAGGTCCAAATATCCACTTGCAGACATAACAAGCAGAGTGTTTCTAAACTGCTCTAAGAAAAGAAAGGTTAAACTCTGTGAGTTGAAGGCACACATCACAAAGTAGTTTCTGAGAATGATTCTGTCTAGTTTTTATTTGAAGATATTTCATTTTCTACTGTTGGCATCAAATCGCTTGAAATCTCCACTTGCAAACTCCACAAAAAGAGTGTTTCAAATCTGCTCTGTGTAAAGAGACGTTCCACTCTGTGAGTTGAATACACACAGCACAAAGAAGTTACTGAGAATTCTTCTGTCTAGCATGAAATGAAGAAATCCCGTTTCCAACGAAGGCCTCAATGCGGTCCATAGATCCACTTGCAGACTTTACAAACAGAGTGTTTCCAAACTGCTCTATGAAAAGAAAGGTTAAACTATGTGAGTTGAACGCACACATCACAAAGAATTTTCTGAGAATGATTCTGTCTGGTTTTTATTTGAAGATATTTCCCTTTCTACTGTTGGCATCAAATGGCTAGAAATCTCCACTTGCAAATTCCGCAAAAAGAGTGTTTCAAATCTGCTCTGTCTAAAGGGACGTTCCACTCTGTGAGTTGAATGCACACAACACAAAGAATTTACTGAGAATTCTTCCGTCTAGCATTCAATGAAGAAATCCCGTTTCCAACGAAGGCCTCAAACAGGTCCATGTATCCACCTGCAGACTTTACAAACAGTGTGTTTCCAAACTCCTCTATGAAAAGAAAGGTTAAACTCTGTGAGTTGAACGCACACATCACAAAGCACTTTCTGAGAATGATTCTGTCTGGTTATTATACGAAGATATTTCCTTTTCTGCAATTGTCCTCAAATCGCTTGAAATCTCCACCTGAAAATGCCACAGCAAGAGTGTTTCAAATCTGCTCTCTCTAAAGCAAGGTTCAACTCTGTGAGTTGAATACACACAACACAAAAAAGTTACTGAGAACACTTCTTAGTCTAGCATGAAAGGAAGAAACCCCGTTTGCAACGAAGGCCTCAAAGAGGTCCAAATATCCACTTGCAGACATAACAAGCAGAGTGTTTCTAAACTGCTCTAAGAAAAGAAAGGTTAAACTCTGTGAGTTGAAGGCACACATCACAAAGTAGTTTCTGAGAATGATTCTGTCTAGTTTTTATTTGAAGATATTTCCTTTTCTACTGTTGGCATCAAATCGCTTGAAATCTCCACTTGCAAACTCCACAAAAAGAGTGTTTCAAATCTGCTCTGTGTAAAGGGACGTTCCACTCTGTGAGTTGAATACACACAGCACAAAGAAGTTACTGAGAATTCTTCTGTCTAGCATGAAATGAAGAAATCCCGTTTCCAACGAAGGCCTCAATGCGGTCCATATATCCACTTGCAGACTTTACAAACAGAGTGTTTCCAAACTGCTCTATGAAAAGAAAGGTTAAACTATGTGAGTTGAACGCACACATCACAAAGAATTTTCTGAGAATGATTCTGTCTGGTTTTTATTTGAAGATATTTCCCTTTCTACTGTTGGCATCAAATGGCTAGAAATCTCCACTTGCAAATTCCGCAAAAAGAGTGTTTCAAATCTGCTCTGTCTAAAGGGACGTTCCACTCTGTCAGTTGAATGCACACAACACAAAGAATTTACTGAGAATTCTTCCGTCTAGCATTCAATGAAGAAATCCCGTTTCCAACGAAGGCCTCAAACAGGTCCATATATCCACTTGCAGACTTTACAAACAGTGTGTTTCCAAACTCCTCTATGAAAAGAAAGGTTAAACTCTGTGAGTGGAACGCACACATCACAAAGCACTTTCTGAGAATGATTCTGTCTGGTTATTATACGAAGATATTTCCTTTTCTGCAATTGTCCTCAAATCGCTTGAAATCTCCACCTGAAAATGCCACAGCAAGAGTGTTTCAAATCTGCTCTCTCTAAAGCAAGGTTCAACTCTGTGAGTTGAATACACACAACACAAAAAAGTTACTGAGAACTCTCTTAGTCTAGCATGAAAGGAAGAAACCCCGTTTGCAACGAAGGCCTCAAAGAGGTCCAAATATCCACTTGCAGACATAACAAGCAGAGTGTTTCTAAACTGCTCTAAGAAAAGAAAGGTTAAACTCTGTGAGTTGAAGGCACACATCACAAAGTAGTTTCTGAGAATGATTCTGTCTAGTTTTTATTTGAAGATATTTCCTTTTCTACTGTTGGCATCAAATCGCTTGAAATCTCCACTTGCAAATTCCACAAAAAGAGTGTTTCAAATCTGCTCTGTGCAAAGGGACGTTCCACTCTGTGAGTTGAATACACACAGCACAAAGAAGTTACTGAGAATTCTTCTGTCTAGCATGAAATGAAGAAATCCCGTTTCCAACGAAGGCCTCAATGCGGTCCATATATCCACTTGCAGACTTTACAAACAGAGTGTTTCCAAACTGCTCTATGAAAAGAAAGGTTAAACTATGTGAGTTGAACGCACACATCACAAAGAATTTTCTGAGAATGATTCTGTCTGGTTTTTATTTGAAGATATTTCCCTTTCTACTGTTGGCATCAAATGGCTAGAAATCTCCACTTGCAAATTCCGCAAAAAGAGTGTTTCAAATCTGCTCTGTCTAAAGGGACGTTCCACTCTGTGAGTTGAATGCACACAACACAAAGAATTTACTGAGAATTCTTCCGTCTAGCATTCAATGAAGAAATCCCGTTTCCAACGAAGGCCTCAAACAGGTCCATATATCCAATTGCAGACTTTACAAACAGTGTGTTTCCAAACTCCTCTATGAAAAGAAAGGTTAAACTCTGTGAGTTGAACGCACACATCACAAAGCACTTTCTGAGAATGATTCTGTCTGGTTATTATACGAAGATATTTCCTTTTCTGCAATTGTCCTCAAATCGCTTGAAATCTCCACCTGAAAATGCCACAGCAAGAGTGTTTCAAATCTGCTCTCTCTAAAGCAAGGTTCAACTCTGTGAGTTGAATACACACAACACAAAAAAGTTACTGAGAACTCTTCTTAGTCTAGCATGAAAGGAAGAAACCCCGTTTGCAACGAAGGCCTCAAAGAGGTCCAAATATCCACTTGCAGACATAACAAGCAGAGTGTTTCTAAACTGCTCTAAGAAAAGAAAGGTTAAACTCTGTGAGTTGAAGGCACACATCACAAAGTAGTTTCTGAGAATGATTCTGTCTAGTTTTTATTTGAAGATATTTCCTTTTCTACTGTTGGCATCAAATCGCTTGAAATCTCCACTTGCAAATTCCACAAAAAGAGTGTTTCAAATCTGCTCTGTGCAAAGGGACGTTCCACTCTGTGAGTTGAATACACACAGCACAAAGAAGTTACTGAGAATTCTTCTGTCTAGCATGAAATGAAGAAATCCCGTTTCCAAAGAAGGCCTCAATGCGGTCCATATATCCACTTGCAGACTTTACAAACAGAGTGTTTCCAAACTGCTCTATGAAAAGAAAGGTTAAACTATGTGAGTTGAACGCACACATCACAAAGAATTTTCTGAGAATGATTCTGTCTGGTTTTTATTTGAAGATATTTCCCTTTCTACTGTTGGCATCAAATGGCTAGAAATCTCCACTTGCAAATTCCGCAAAAAGAGTGTTTCAAATCTGCTCTGTCTAAAGGGACGTTCCACTCTGTGAGTTGAATGCACACAACACAAAGAATTTACTGAGAATTCTTCCGTCTAGCATTCAATGAAGAAATCCCGTTTCCAACGAAGGCCTCAAACAGGTCCATATATCCAATTGCAGACTTTACAAACAGTGTGTTTCCAAACTCCTCTATGAAAAGAAAGGTTAAACTCTGTGAGTTGAACGCACACATCACAAAGCACTTTCTGAGAATGATTCTGTCTGGTTGTTATACGAAGATATTTCCTTTTCTGCAATTGTCCTCAAATCGCTTGAAATCTCCACCTGAAAATGCCACAGCAAGAGTGTTTCAAATCTGCTCTCTCTAAAGCAAGGTTCAACTCTGTGAGTTGAATACACACAACACAAAAAAGTTACTGAGAACTCTTCTTAGTCTAGCATGAAAGGAAGAAACCCCGTTTGCAACGAAGGCCTCAAAGAGGTCCAAATATCCACTTGCAGACATAACAAGCAGAGTGTTTCTAAACTGCTCTAAGAAAAGAAAGGTTAAACTCTGTGAGTTGAAGGCACACATCACAAAGTAGTTTCTGAGAATGATTCTGTCTAGTTTTTATTTGAAGATATTTCCTTTTCTACTGTTGGCATCAAATCGCTTGAAATCTCCACTTGCAAACTCCACAAAAAGAGTGTTTCAAATCTGCTCTGTGCAAAGGGACGTTCCACTCTGTGAGTTGAATACACACAGCACAAAGAAGTTACTGAGAATTCTTCTGTCTAGCATGAAATGAAGAAATCCCGTTTCCAACGAAGGCCTCAATGCGGTCCATATATCCACTTGCAGACTTTACAAACAGAGTGTTTCCAAACTGCTCTATGAAAAGAAAGGTTAAACTATGTGAGTTGAACGCACACATCACAAAGAATTTTCTGAGAATGATTCTGTCTGGTTTTTATTTGAAGATATTTCCCTTTGCACTGTTGGCATCAAATGGCTAGAAATCTCCACTTGCAAATTCCGCAAAAAGAGTGTTTCAAATCTGCTCTGTCTAAAGGGACGTTCCACTCTGTGAGTTGAATGCACACAACACAAAGAATTTACTGAGAATTCTTCCGTCTAGCATTCAATGAAGAAATCCCGTTTCCAACGAAGGCCTCAAACAGGTCCATATATCCACTTGCAGACTTTACAAACAGTGTGTTTCCAAACTCCTCTATGAAAAGAAAGGTTAAACTCTGTGAGTTGAATGCACACATCACAAAGCACTTTCTGAGAATGATTCTGTCTGGTTATTATACGAAGATATTTCCTTTTCTGCAATTGTCCTCAAAACGCTTGAAATCTCCACCTGAAAATGCCACAGCAAGAGTGTTTCAAATCTGCTCTCTCTAAAGCAAGGTTCAACTCTGTGAGTTGAATACACACAACACAAAAAAGTTACTGAGAACTCTTCTTAGTCTAGCATTAAAGGAAGAAACCCCGTTTGCAACGAAGGCCTCAAAGAGGTCCAAATATCCACTTGCAGACATAACAAGCAGAGTGTTTCTAAACTGCTCTAAGAAAAGAAAGGTTAAACTCTGTGAGTTGAAGGCACACATCACAAAGTAGTTTCTGAGAATGATTCTGTCTAGTTTTTATTTGAAGATATTTCCTTTTCTACTGTTGGCATCAAATCGCTTGAAATCTCCACTTGCAAACTCCACAAAAAGAGTGTTTCAAATCTGCTCTGTGTAAAGGGACGTTCCACTCTGTGAGTTGAATACACACAGCACAAAGAAGTTACTGAGAATTCTTCTGTCTAGCATGAAATGAAGAAATCCCGTTTCCAACGAAGGCCTCAATGCGGTCCATATATCCACTTGCAGACTTTACAAACAGAGTGTTTCCAAACTGCTCTATGAAAAGAAAGGTTAAACTATGTGAGTTGAACGCACACATCACAAAGAATTTTCTGAGAATGATTCTGTCTGGTTTTTATTTGAAGATATTTCCCTTTCTACTGTTGGCATCAAATGGCTAGAAATCTCCACTTGCAAATTCCGCAAAAAGAGTGTTTCAAATCTGCTCTGTCTAAAGGGACGTTCCACTCTGTGAGTTGAATGCACACAACACAAAGAATTTACTGAGAATTCTTCCGTCTAGCATTCAATGAAGAAATCCCGTTTCCAACGAAGGCCTCAAACAGGTCCATATATCCAATTGCAGACATTACAAATAGTGTGTTTCCAAACTCCTCTATGAAAAGAAAGGTTAAACTCTGTGAGTTGAACGCACACATCACAAAGCACTTTCTGAGAATGATTCTGTCTGGTTATTATACGAAGATATTTCCTTTTCTGCAATTGTCCTCAAAACGCTTGAAATCTCCATCTGAAAATGCCACAGCAAGAGTGTTTCAAATCTCCTCTCTCTAAAGCAAGGTTCAACTCTGTGAGTTGAATACACACAACACAAAAAAGTTACTGAGAACTCTTCTTAGTCTAGCATGAAAGGAAGAAACCCCGTTTGCAACGAAGGCCTCAAAGAGGTCCAAATATCCACTTGCAGACATAACAAGCAGAGTGTTTCTAAACTGCTCTAAGAAAAGAAAGGTTAAACTCTGTGAGTTGAAGGCACACATCACAAAGTAGTTTCTGAGAATGATTCTGTCTAGTTTTTATTTGAAGATATTTCCTTTTCTACTGTTGGCATCAAATCGCTTGAAATCTCCACTTGCAAACTCCACAAAAAGAGTGTTTCAAATCTGCTCTGTGTAAAGGGACGTTCCACTCTGTGAGTTGAATACACACAGCACAAAGAAGTTACTGAGAATTCTTCTGTCTAGCATGAAATGAAGAAATCCCGTTTCCAACGAAGGCCTCAATGCGGTCCATATATCCACTTGCAGACTTTACAAACAGAGTGTTTCCAAACTGCTCTATGAAAAGAAAGGTTAAACTATGTGAGTTGAACGCACACATCACAAAGAATTTTCTGAGAATGATTCTGTCTGGTTTTTATTTGAAGATATTTCCCTTTCTACTGTTGGCATCAAATGGCTAGAAATCTCCACTTGCAAATTCCGCAAAAAGAGTGTTTCAAATCTGCTCTGTCTAAAGGGACGTTCCACTCTGTGAGTTGAATGCACACAACACAAAGAATTTACTGAGAATTCTTCCGTCTAGCATTCAATGAAGAAATCCCGTTTCCAACGAAGTCCTCAAACAGGTCCATATATCCACTTGCAGACTTTACAAACAGTGTGTTTCCAAACTCCTCTATGAAAAGAAAGGTTAAACTCTGTGAGTGGAACGCACACATCACAAAGCACTTTCTGAGAATGATTCTGTCTGGTTATTATACGAAGATATTTCCTTTTCTGCAATTGTC
This sequence comes from Homo sapiens, assembly GCF_000001405.40. NCBI lineage: Eukaryota > Metazoa > Chordata > Mammalia > Primates > Hominidae > Homo > Homo sapiens. The sequence goes on along the minus strand of NC_000007.14, from coordinate 59,918,358 downwards.
CTCAAATCGCTTGAAATCTCCACCTGAAAATGCCACAGCAAGAGTGTTTCAAATCTGCTCTCTCTAAAGCAAGGTTCAACTCTGTGAGTTGAATACACACAACACAAAAAAGTTACTGAGAACTCTTCTTAGTCTAGCATTAAAGGAAGAAACCCCGTTTGCAACGAAGGCATCAAAGAGGTCCAAATATACACTTGCAGACATAACAAGCAGAGTGTTTCTAAACTGCTCTAAGAAAAGAAAGGTTAAACTCTGTGAGTTGAAGGCACACATCACAAAGTAGTTTCTGAGAATGATTCTGTCTAGTTTTTATCTGAAGATATTTCCTTTTCTACTGTTGGCATCAAATCGCTTGAAATCTCCACTTGCAAACTCCACAAAAAGAGTGTTTCAAATCTGCTCTGTGTAAAGGGACGTTCCACTCTGTGAGTTGAATACACACAGCACAAAGAAGTTACTGAGAATTCTTCTGTCTAGCATGAAATGAAGAAATCCCGTTTCCAACGAAGGCCTCAATGCGGTCCATATATCCACTTGCAGACTTTACAAACAGAGTGTTTCCAAACTGCTCTATGAAAAGAACGGTTAAACTATGTGAGTTGAAAGCACACATCACAAAGAATTTTCTGAGAATGATTCTGTCTGGTTTTTATTTGAAGATATTTCCCTTTCTACTGTTGGCATCAAATGGCTAGAAATCTCCACTTGCAAATTCCGCAAAAAGAGTGTTTCAAATCTGCTCTGTCTAAAGGGACGTTCCACTCTGTGAGTTGAATGCACACAACACAAAGAATTTACAGAGATTTCTTCCGCCTAGCATTCAATGAAGAAATCCCGTTTCCAACGAAGGCCTCAAACAGGTCCATATATCCAATTGCAGACTTTACAAACAGTGTGTTTCCAAACTCCTCTATGAAAAGAAAGGTTAAACTCTGTGAGTTGAACGCACACATCACAAAGCACTTTCTGAGAATGATTCTGTCTGGTTATTATACGAAGATATTTCCTTTTCTGCAATTGTCCTCAAATCGCTTGAAATCTCCACCTGAAAATGCCACAGCAAGAGTGTTTCAAATCTGCTCTCTCTAAAGCAAGGTTCAACTCTGTGAGTTGAATACACACAACACAAAAAAAGTTACTGAGAACTCTTCTTAGTCTAGCATGAAAGGAAGAAACCCCGTTTGCAACGAAGGCCTCAAAGAGGTCCAAATATCCACTTGCAGACATAACAAGCAGAGTGTTTCTAAACTGCTCTAAGAAAAGAAAGGTTAAACTCTGTGAGTTGAAGGCACACATCACAAAGTAGTTTCTGAGAATGATTCTGTCTAGTTTTTATTTGAAGATATTTCCTTTTCTACTGTTGGCATCAAATCGCTTGAAATCTCCACTTGCAAACTCCACAAAAAGAGTGTTTCAAATCTGCTCTGTGTAAAGGGACGTTCCACTCTGTGAGTTGAATACACACAGCACAAAGAAGTTACTGAGAATTCTTCTGTCTAGCATGAAATGAAGAAATCCCGTTTCCAACGAAGGCCTCAATGCGGTCCATATATCCACTTGCAGACTTTACAAACAGAGTGTTTCCAAACTGCTCTATGAAAAGAAAGGTTAAACTATGTGAGTTGAACGCACACATCACAAAGAATTTTCTGAGAATGATTCTGTCTGGTTTTTATTTGAAGATATTTCCCTTTCTACTGTTGGCATCAAATGGCTAGAAATCTCCACTTGCAAATTCCGCAAAAAGAGTGTTTCAAATCTGCTCTGTCTAAAGGGACGTTCCACTCTGTGAGTTGAATGCACACAACACAAAGAATTTACTGAGAATTCTTCCGTCTAGCATTCAATGAAGAAATCCCGTTTCCAACGAAGGCCTCAAACAGGTCCATATATCCAATTGCAGACTTTACAAACAGTGTGTTTCCAAACTCCTCTATGAAAAGAAAGGTTAAACTCTGTGAGTTGAACGCACACATCACAAAGCACTTTCTGAGAATGATTCTGTCTGGTTATTATACGAAGATATTTCCTTTTCTGCAATTGTCCTCAAATCGCTTGAAATCTCCACCTGAAAATGCCACAGCAAGAGTGTTTCAAATCTGCTCTCTCTAAAGCAAGGTTCAACTCTGTGAGTTGAATACACACAACACAAAAAAGTTACTGAGAACTCTTCTTAGTCTAGCATGAAAGGAAGAAACCCCGTTTGCAACGAAGGCCTCAAAGAGGTCCAAATATCCACTTGCAGACATAACAAGCAGAGTGTTTCTAAACTGCTCTAAGAAAAGAAAGGTTAAACTCTGTGAGTTGAAGGCACACATCACAAAGTAGTTTCTGAGAATGATTCTGTCTAGTTTTTATTTGAAGATATTTCCTTTTCTACTGTTGGCATCAAATCGCTTGAAATCTCCACTTGCAAACTCCACAAATAGAGTGTTTCAAATCTGCTCTGTGTAAAGGGACGTTCCACTCTGTGAGTTGAATACACACAGCACAAAGAAGTTACTGAGAATTCTTCTGTCTAGCATGAAATGAAGAAATCCCGTTTCCAACGAAGGCCTCAATGCGGTCCATATATCCACTTGCAGACTTTACAAACAGAGTGTTTCCAAACTGCTCTATGAAAAGAAAGGTTAAACTATGTGAGTTGAATGCACACATCACAAAGAATTTTCTGAGAATGATTCTGTCTGGTTTTTATTTGAAGATATTTCCCTTTCTACTGTTGGCATCAAATGGCTAGAAATCTCCACTTGCAAATTCCGCAAAAAGAGTGTTTCAAATCTGCTCTGTCTAAAGGGACGTTCCACTCTGTGAGTTGAATGCACACAACACAAAGAATTTACTGAGAATTCTTCCGTCTAGCATTCAATGAAGAAATCCCGTTTCCAACGAAGGCCTCAAACAGGTCCATATATCCAATTGCAGACTTTACAAACAGTGTGTTTCCAAACTCCTCTATGAAAAGAAAGGTTAAACTCTGTGAGTTGAACGCACACATCACAAAGCACTTTCTGAGAATGATTCTGTCTGGTTATTATACGAAGATATTTCCTTTTCTGCAATTGTCCTCAAATCGCTTGAAATCTCCACCTGAAAATTCCACAGCGAGAGTGTTTCAAATCTGCTCTCTCTAAAGCAAGGTTCAACTCTGTGAGTTGAATACACACAACACAGAAAAGTTACTGAGAACTCTTCTTAGTCTAGCATTAAAGGAAGAAACCCCGTTTGCAACGAAGGCCTCAAAGAGGTCCAAATATCAACTTGCAGACATAACAAGCAGAGTGTTTCTAAGCTGCTCTCAGAAAAGAAAGGTTAAACTCGGTGAGTTGAAGGCACACATCACAAAGTAGTTTCTGAGAATGATTCTGTCTAGTTTTTATTTGAAGATACTTCCTTTTCTACTGTTGGCATCAAATCGCTTGAAATCTCCACTTGCAAACTCCACAAAAAGAGTGTTTCAAATCTGCTCTGTGCAAAGGGACGTTCCACTCTGTGAGTTGAATACACACAGCACAAAGAAGTTACTGAGAATTCTTCTGTCTAGCATGAAATGAAGAAATCCCGTTTCCAACGAAGGCCTCAATGCGGTCCATATATCCACTTGCAGACTTTACAAACAGAGTGTTTCCAAACTGCTCTATGAAAAGAAAGGTTAAACTATGTGAGTTGAACGCACACATCACAAAGAATTTTCTGAGAATGATTCTGCCTGGTTTTTATTTGAAGATATTTCCCTTTCTACTGTTGGCATCAAATGGCTAGAAATCTCCACTTGCAAATTCCGCAAAAAGAGTGTTTCAAATCTGCTCTGTCTAAAGGGACGTTCCACTCTGTGAGTTGAATGCACACAACACAAAGAATTTACTGAGAATTCTTCCGTCTAGCATTCAATGAAGAAATCCCGTTTCCAACGAAGGCCTCAAACAGGTCCATATATCCACTTGCAGACTTTACAAATAGTGTGTTTCCAAACTCCTCTATGAAAAGAAAGGTTAAACTCTGTGAGTGGAACGCACACATCACAAAGCACTTTCTGAGAATGATTCTGTCTGGTTATTATACGAAGATATTTCCTTTTCTGCAATTGTCCTCAAATCGCTTGAAATCTCCACCTGAAAATGCCACAGCAAGAGTGTTTCAAATCTGCTCTCTCTAAAGCAAGGTTCAACTCTGTGAGTTGAATACACACAACACAAAAAAGTTACTGAGAACTCTTCTTAGTCTAGCATGAAAGGAAGAAACCCCGTTTGCAACGAAGGCCTCAAAGAGGTCCAAATATCCACTTGCAGACATAATAAGCAGAGTGTTTCTAAACTGCTCTAAGAAAAGAAAGGTTAAACTTTGTGAGTTGAAGGCACACATCACAAAGAAGTTTCTGAGAATGATTCTGTCTAGTTTTTATTTGAAGATATTTCCTTTTCTACTGTTGGCATCAAATCGCTTGAAATCTCCACTTGCAAATTCCACAAAAAGAGTGTTTCAAATCTGCTCTGTGCAAAGGGACGTTCCACTCTGTGAGTTGAATACACACAGCACAAAGAAGTTACTGAGAATTCTTCTGTCTAGCATGAAATGAAGAAATCCCGTTTCCAACGAAGGCCTCAATGCGGTCCATATATCCACTTGCAGACTTTACAAACAGAGTGTTTCCAAACTGCTCTATGAAAAGAAAGGTTAAACTATGTGAGTTGAACGCACACATCAAAAAGAATTTTCTGAGAATGATTCTCTCTGGTTTTTATTTGAAGATATTTCCCTTTCTACTGTTGGCATCAAATGGCTAGAAATCTCCACTTGCAAATTCCGCAAAAAGAGTGTTTCAAATCTGCTCTGTCTAAAGGGACGTTCCACTCTGTGAGTTGAATGCACACAACACAAAGAATTTACTGAGAATTCTTCCGTCTAGCATTCAATGAAGAAATCCCGTTTCCAACGAAGGCCTCAAACAGGTCCATATATCCACTTGCAGACTTTACAAACAGTGTGTTTCCAAACTCCTCTATGAAAAGAAAGGTTAAACTCTGTGAGTGGAACGCACACATCACAAAGCACTTTCTGAGAATGATTCTGTCTGGTTGTTATACGAAGATATTTCCTTTTCTGCAATTGTCCTCAAATCGCTTGAAATCTCCACCTGAAAATACCACAGCAAGAGTGTTTCAAATCTGCTCTCTCTAAAGCAAGGTTCAACTCTGTGAGTTGAATACACACAACACAAAAAAGTTACTGAGAACTCTTCTTAGTCTAGCATGAAAGGAAGAAACCCCGTTTGCAACGAAGGCCTCAAAGAGGTCCAAATATCCACTTGCAGACATAACAAGCAGAGTGTTTCTAAACTGCTCTAAGAAAAGAAAGGTTAAACTCTGTGAGTTGAAGGCACACATCACAAAGTAGTTTCTGAGAATGATTCTGTCTAGTTTTTATTTGAAGATATTTCCTTTTCTACTGTTGGCATCAAATCGCTTGAAATCTCCACTTGCAAACTCCACAAAAAGAGTGTTTCAAATCTGCTCTGTGTAAAGGGACGTTCCACTCTGTGAGTTGAATACACACAGCACAAAGAAGTTACTGAGAATTCTTCTGTCTAGCATGAAATGAAGAAATCCCGTTTCCAACGAAGGCCTCAATGCGGTCCATATATCCACTTGCAGACTTTACAAACAGAGTGTTTCCAAACTGCTCTATGAAAAGAAAGGTTAAACTATGTGAGTTGAATGCACACATCACAAAGAATTTTCTGAGAATGATTCTGTCTGGTTTTTATTTGAAGATATTTCCCTTTCTACTGTTGGCATCAAATGGCTAGAAATCTCCACTTGCAAATTCCGCAAAAAGAGTGTTTCAAATCTGCTCTGTCTAAAGGGACGTTCCACTCTGTGAGTTGAATGCACACAACACAAAGAATTTACTGAGAATTCTTCCGTCTAGCATTCAATGAAGAAATCCCGTTTCCAACGAAGGCCTCAAACAGGTCCATATATCCACTTGCAGAGTTTACAAACAGTGTGTTTCCAAACTCCTCTATGAAAAGAAAGGTTAAACTCTGTGAGTGGAACGCACACATCACAAAGCACTTTCTGAGAATGATTATCTGTCTGGTTATTATACGAAGATATTTCCTTTTCTGCAATTGTCCTCAAATCGCTTGAAATCTCCACCTGAAAATGCCACAGCAGGAGTGTATCAAATCTGCTCTCTCTAAAGCAAGGTTCAACTCTGTGAGTTGAATACACACAACACAAAAAAGTTACTGAGAACTCTTCTTAGTCTAGCATGAAAGGAAGAAATCCCGTTTGCAACGAAGGCCTCAAAGAGGTCCAAATATCCACTTGCAGACATAACAAGCAGAGTGTTTCTAAACTGCTCTAAGAAAAGAAAGGTTAAACTCTGTGAGTTGAAGGCACACATTACAAAGTAGTTTCTGAGAATGATTCTGTCTAGTTTTTATTTGAAGATATTTCCTTTTCTACTGTTGGCATCAAATCGCTTGAAATCTCCACTTGCACACTCCACAAAAAGTGTGTTTCATATCTGCTCTGTGTAAAGGGACGTTCCACTCTGTGAGTTGAATACACACAGCACAAAGAAGTTACTGAGAATTCTTCTGTCTAGCATGAAATGAAGAAATCCCGTTTCCAACGAAGGCCTCAATGCGGTCCATATATCCACTTGCAGACTTTACAAACAGAGTGTTTCCAAACTGCTCTATGAAAAGAAAGGTTAAACTATGTGAGTTGAACGCACACATCACAAAGAATTTTCTGAGAATGATTCTGCCTGGTTTTTATTTGAAGATATTTCCCTTTCTACTGTTGGCATCAAATGGCTAGAAATCTCCACTTGCAAATTCCGCAAAAAGAGTGTTTCAAATCTGCTCTGTCTAAAGGGACGTTCCACTCCGTCAGTTGAATGCACACAACACAAAGAATTTACTGAGAATTCTTCCGTCTAGCATTCAATGAAGAAATCCCGTTTCCAACGAAGGCCTCAAACAGGTCCATATATCCACTTGCAGACTTTACAAACAGTGTGTTTCCAAACTCCTCTATGAAAAGAAAGGTTAAACTCTGTGAGTTGAACGCACACATCACAAAGCACTTTCTGAGAATGATTCTGTCTGGTTATTATACGAAGATATTTTCCTTTTCTGCAATTGTCCTCAAATCGCTTGAAATCTCCACCTGAAAATGTCACAGCAAGAGTGTTTCAAATCTGCTCTCTCTAAAGCAAGGTTCAACTCTGTGAGTTGAATACACACAACACAAAAAAGTTACTGAGAACTCTTCTTAGTCTAGCATGAAAGGAAGAAACCCCGTTTGCAACGAAGGCCTCAAAGAGGTCCAAATATCCACTTGCAGACATAACAAGCAGAGTGTTTCTAAACTGCTCTAAGAAAAGAAAGGTTAAACTCTGTGAGTTGAAGGCACACATCACAAAGTAGTTTCTGAGAATGATTCTGTCTAGTTTTTATTTGAAGATATTTCCTTTTCTACTGTTGGCATCAAATCGCTTGAAATCTCCACTTGCAAACTCCACAAAAAGAGTGTTTCAAATCTGCTCTGTGTAAAGGGACGTTCCACTCTGTGAGTTGAATACACACAGCACAAAGAAGTTACTGAGAATTCTTCTGTCTAGCATGAAATGAAGAAATCCCGTTTCCAACGAAGGCCTCAATGCGGTCCATATATCCACTTGCAGACTTTACAAACAGAGTGTTTCCAAACTGCTCTATGAAAAGAAAGGTTAAACTATGTGAGTTGAACGCACACATCACAAAGAATTTTCTGAGAATGATTCTGTCTGGTTTTTATTTGAAGATATTTCCCTTTCTACTGTTGGCATCAAATGGCTAGAAATCTCCACTTGTAAATTCCGCAAAAAGAGTGTTTCAAATCTGCTCTGTCTAAAGGGACGTTCCACTCTGTCAGTTGAATGCACACAACACAAAGAATTTACTGAGAATTCTTCCGTCTAGCATTCAATGAAGAAATCCCGTTTCCAATGAAGGCCTCAAACAGGTCCATATATCCAATTGCAGACTTTACAAACAGTGTGTTTCCAAACTCCTCTATGAAAAGAAAGGTTAAACTCTGTGAGTTGAACGCACACATCACAAAGCACTTTCTGAGAATGATTCTGTCTAGTTTTTATTTGAAGATATTTCCCTTTGTACTGTTGGCATCAAATGGCTAGAAATCTCCACTTGCAACTTCCGCAAAAAGAGTGTTTCAAATCTGCTCTGTCTAAAGGGACGTTCCACTCTGTGAGTTGAATGCACACAACACAAAAAAGTTACTGAGAACTCTTCTTAGTCTAGCATGAAAGGAAGAAACCCCGTTTGCAACGAAGGCCTCAAAGAGGTCCAAATATCCACTTGCAGACATAACAAGCAGAGTGTTTCTAAACTGCTCTAAGAAAAGAAAGGTTAAACTCTGTGAGTTGAAGGCACACATCACAAAGTAGTTTCTGAGAATGATTCTGTCTAGTTTTTATTTGAGAATTTCCTTTTCTACTGTTGGCATCAAATCGCTTGAAATCTCCACTTGCAAACTCCACAAAAAGAGTGTTTCAAATCTGCTCTGTGTAAAGGGACGTTCCACTCTGTGAGTTGAATACACACAGCACAAAGAAGTTACTGAGAATTCTTCTGTCTAGCATGAAATGAAGAAATCCCGTTTCCAACGAAGGCCTCAATGCGGTCCATATATCCACTTGCAGACTTTACAAACAGAGTGTTTCCAAACTGCTCTATGAAAAGAAAGGTTAAACTATGTGAGTTGAACGCACACATCACAAAGAATTTTCTGAGAATGATTCTGTCTGGTTTTTATTTGAAGATATTTCCCTTTCTACTGTTGGCATCAAATGGCTAGAAATCTCCACTTGCAAATTCCGCAAAAAGAGTGTTTCAAATCTGCTCTGTCTAAAGGGACGTTCCACTCTGTCAGTTGAATGCACACAACACAAAGTATTTACTGAGAATTCTTCCGTCTAGCATGCAATGAAGAAATCCCGTTTCCAACGAAGGCCTCAAACAGGTCCATATATCCAATTGCAGACTTTACAAACAGTGTGTTTCCAAACTCCTCTATGAAAAGAAAGGTTAAACTCTGTGAGTTGAACGCACACATCACAAAGCACTTTCTGAGAATGATTCTGTCTGGTTATTATACGAAGATATTTCCTTTTCTGCAATTGTCCTCAAATCGCTTGAAATCTCCACCTGAAAATGCCACAGCAAGAGTGTTTCAAATCTGCTCTCTCTAAAGCAAGGTTCAACTCTGTGAGTTGAATACACACAACACAAAAAAGTTACTGAGAACTCTTCTTAGTCTAGCATGAAAGGAAGAAACCCCGTTTGCAACGAAGGCCTCAAAGAGGTCCAAATATCCACTTGCAGACATAACAAGCAGAGTGTTTCTAAGCTGCTCTAAGAAAAGAAAGGTTAAACTCTGTGAGTTGAAGGCACACATCACAAAGTAGTTTCTGAGAATGATTCTGTCTAGTTTTTATTTGAAGATACTTCCTTTTCTACTGTTGGCATCAAATCGCTTGAAATCTCCACTTGCAAACTCCACAAAAAGAGTGTTTCAAATCTGCTCTGTGCAAAGGGACGTTCCACTCTGTGAGTTGAATACACACAGCACAAAGAAGTTACTGAGAATTCTTCTGTCTAGCATGAAATGAAGAAATCCCGTTTCCAACGAAGGCCTCAATGCGGTCCATATATCCACTTGCAGACTTTACAAACAGAGTGTTTCCAAACTGCTCTATGAAAAGAAAGGTTAAACTCTGTGAGTTGAACGCACACATCACAAAGCACTTTCTGAGAATGATTCTGTCTGGTTATTATACGAAGATATTTCCTTTTCTGCAATTGTCCTCAAATCGCTTGAAATCTCCACCTGAAAATGCCACAGCAAGAGTGTTTCAAATCTGCTCTCTCTAAAGCAAGGTTCAACTCTGTGAGTTGAATACACACAACACAAAAAAGTTACTGAGAACTCTTCTTAGTCTAGCATGAAAGGAAGAAACCCCGTTTGCAACGAAAGCCTCAAAGAGGTCCAAATATCCACTTGCAGACATAACAAGCAGAGTGTTTCTAAACTGCTCTAAGAAAAGAAAGGTTAAACTCTGTGAGTTGAAGGCACACATCACAAAGTAGTTTCTGAGAATGATTCTGTCTAGTTTTTATTTGAAGATATTTCCTTTTCTACTGTTGGCATCAAATCGCTTGAAATCTCCACTTGCAAATTCCACAAAAAGAGTGTTACAAATCTGCTCTGTGCAAAGGGACGTTCCACTCTGTGAGTTGAATACACACAGCACAAAGAAGTTACTGAGAATTCTTCTGTCTAGCATGAAATGAAGAAATCCCGTTTCCAACGAAGGCCTCAATGCGGTCCATATATCCACTTGCAGACTTTACAAACAGAGTGTTTCCAAACTGCTCTATGAAAAGAAAGGTTAAACTATGTGAGTTGAACGCACACATCACAAAGAATTTTCTGAGAATGATTCTGTCTGGTTTTTACTTGAAGATATTTCCCTTTCTACTGTTGGCATCAAATGGCTAGAAATCTCCACTTGCAAATTCCACATAAAGAGTGTTTCAAATCTGCTCTGTCTAAAGGGACGTTCCACTCTGTGAGTTGAATGCACACAACACAAAGAATTTACTGAGAATTCTTCCGTCTAGCATTCAATGAAGAAATCCCGTTTCCAACGAAGGCCTCAAACAGGTCCATATATCCACTTGCAGACTTTACAAACAGTGTGTTTCCAAACTCCTCTATGAAAAGAAAGGTTAAACTCTGTGAGTTGAACGCACACATCACAAAGCACTTTCTGAGAATGATTCTGTCTGGTTATTATACGAAGATATTTCCTTTTCTGCAATTGTCCTCAAATCGCTTGAAATCTCCACCTGAAAATGCCACAGCAAGAGTGTTTCAAATCTGCTCTCTCTAAAGCAAGGTTCAACTCTGTGAGTTGAATACACACAACACAAAAAAGTTACTGAGAACTCTTCTTAGTCTAGCATGAAAGGAAGAAACCCCGTTTGCAACGAAGGCATCAAAGAGGTCCAAATATCCACTTGCAGACATAACAAGCAGAGTGTTTCTAAACTGCTCTAAGAAAAGAAAGGTTAAACTCTGTGAGTTGAAGGCACACATCACAAAGTAGTTTCTGAGAATGATTCTGTCTAGTTTTTATTTGAAGATATTTCCTTTTCTACTGTTGGCATCAAATCGCTTGAAATCTCCACTTGCAAACTCCACAAAAAGAGTGTTTCAAATCTGCTCTGTGCAAAGGGACGTTCCACTCTGTGAGTTGAATACACACAGCACAAAGAAGTTACTGAGAATTCTTCTGTCTAGCATGAAATGAAGAAATCCCGTTTCCAACGAAGGCCTCAATGCGGTCCATATATCCACTTGCAGACTTTACAAACAGAGTGTTTCCAAACTGCTCTATGAAAAGAAAGGTTAAACTATGTGAGTTGAACGCACACATCACAAAGAATTTTCTGAGAATGATTCTGTCTGGTTTTTATTTGAAGATATTTCCCTTTCTACTGTTGGCATCAAATGGCTAGAAATCTCCACTTGCAAATTCCGCAAAAAGAGTGTTTCAAATCTGCTCTGTCTAAAGGGACGTTCCACTCTGTGAGTTGAATGCACACCACACAAAGAATTTACTGAGAATTCTTCCGTCTAGCATTCAATGAAGAAAACCCGTTTCCAACGAAGGCCTCAAACAGGTCCATATATCCAATTGCAGACTTTACAAACAGTGTGTTTCCAAACTCCTCTATGAAAAGAAAGGTTAAACTCTGTGAGTTGAACGCACACATCACAAAGCACTTTCTGAGAATGATTCTGTCTGGTTGTTATACGAAGATATTTCCTTTTCTGCAATTGTCCTCAAATCGCTTGAAATCTCCACCTGAAAATGCCACAGCAAGAGTGTTTCAAATCTGCTCTCTCTAAAGCAGGGTTCAACTCTGTGAGTTGAATACACACAACACAAAAATGTTACTGAGAACTCTTCTTAGTCTAGCATTAAAGGAAGAAACCCCGTTTGCAACGAAGGCCTCAAAGAGGTCCAAATATCCACTTGCAGACATAACAAGCAGAGTGTTTCTAAACTGCTCTAAGAAAAGAAAGGTTAAACTCTGTGAGTTGAAGGCACACATCACAAAGTAGTTTCTGAGAATGATTCTGTCTAGTTTATATTGGAAGATATTTCCTTTTCTACTGTTGGCATCAAATCGCTTGAAATCTCCACTTGCAAACTCCACAAAAAGAGTGTTTCAAATCTGCTCTGTGTAAAGGGACGTTCCACTCTGTGAGTTGAATACACACAGCACAAAGAAGTTACTGAGAATTCTTCTGTCTAGCATGAAATGAAGAAATCCCGTTTCCAACGAAGGCCTCAATGCGGTCCATATATCCACTTGCAGACTTTACAAACAGAGTGTTTCCAAACTGCTCTATGAAAAGAAAGGTTAAACTATGTGAGTTGAACGCACACATCACAAAGAATTTTCTGAGAATGATTCTGTCTGGTTTTTATTTGAAGATATTTCCCTTTCTACTGTTGGCATCAATGGCTAGAAATCTCCACTTGCAAATTCCGCAAAAAGAGTGTTTCAAATCTGCTCTGTCTAAAGGGACGTTCCACTCTGTCAGTTGAATGCACACAACACAAAGAATTTACTGAGAATTCTTCCGTCTAGCATGCAATGAAGAAATCCCGTTTCCAACGAAGGCCTCAAACAGGTCCATATATCCAATTGCAGACTTTACAAACAGTGTGTTTCCAAACTCCTCTATGAAAAGAAAGGTTAAACTCTGTGAGTTGAACGCACACATCACAAAGCACTTTCTGAGAATGATTCTGTCTGGTTATTATACGAAGATATTTCCTTTTCTGCAATTGTCCTCAAATCGCTTGAAATCTCCACCTGAAAATGCCACAGCAAGAGTGTTTCAAATCTGCTCTCTCTAAAGCAAGGTTCAACTCTGTGAGTTGAATACACACAACACAAAAAAGTTACTGAGAACTCTTCTTAGTCTAGCATGAAAGGAAGAAACCCCGTTTGCAACGAAGGCCTCAAAGAGGTCCAAATATCCACTTGCAGACATAACAAGCAGAGTGTTTCTAAACTGCTCTAAGAAAAGAAAGGTTAAACTCTGTGAGTTGAAGGCACACATCACAAAGTAGTTTTTGAGAATGATTCTGTCTAGTTTTTATTTGAAGATATTTCCTTTTCTACTGTTGGCATCAAATCGCTTGAAATCTCCACTTGCAAACTCCACAAAAAGAGTGTTTCAAATCCGCTCTGTGCAAAGGGACGTTCCACTCTGTGAGTTGAATACACACAGCACAAAGAAGTTACTGAGAATTCTTCTGTCTAGCATGAAATGAAGAAATCCCGTTTCCAACGAAGGCCTCAATGCGGTCCATATATCCACTTGCAGACTTTACAAACAGAGTGTTTCCAAACTGCTCTATGAAAAGAAAGGTTAAACTATGTGAGTTGAACGCACACATCACAAAGAATTTTCTGAGAATGATTCTGTCTGGTTTTTATTTGAAGATATTTCCCTTTCTACTGTTGGCATCAAATGGCTAGAAATCTCCACTTGCAAATTCCGCAAAAAGAGTGTTTCAATTCTGCTCTGTCTAAAGGGACGTTCCACTCTGTGAGTTGAATGCACACAACACAAAGAATTTACTGAGAATTCTTCCGTCTAGCATTCAATGAAGAAATCCCGTTTCCAACGAAGGCCTCAAACAGGTCCATATATCCAATTGCAGACTTTACAAACAGTGTGTTTCCAAACTCCTCTATGAAAAGAAAGGTTAAACTCTGTGAGTTGAACGCACACATCACAAAGCACTTTCTGAGAATGATTCTGTCTGGTTATTATACGAAGATATTTCCTTTTCTGCAATTGTCCTCAAATCGCTTGAAATCTCCACCTGAAAATGCCACAGCAAGAGTGTTTCAAATCTGCTCTCTCTAAAGCAAGGTTCAACTCTGTGAGTTGAATACACACAACACAAAAAAGTTACTGAGAACTCTTCTTAGTCTAGCATGAAATTAAGGAATCCCGTTTGCAACGAAGGCCTCAAAGAGGTCCAAATATCCACTTGCAGACATAACAAGCAGAGTGTTTCTAAACTGCTCTAAGAAAAGAAAGGTTAAACTCTGTGAGTTGAAGGCACACATCACAAAGTAGTTTCTGAGAATGATTCTGTCTAGTTTTTATTTGAAGATATTTCCTTTTCTACTGTTGGCATCAAATCGCTTGAAATCTCCACTTGCAAACTCCACAAAAAGAGTGTTTCAAATCTGCTCTGTGTAAAGGGACGTTCCACTCTGTGAGTTGAATACACACAGCACAAAGAAGTTACTGAGAATTCTTCTGTCTAGCATGAAATGAAGAAATCCCGTTTCCAACGAAGGCCTCAATGCGGTCCATATATCCACTTGCAGACTTTACAAACAGAGTGTTTCCAAACTGCTCTATGAAAAGAAAGGTTAAACTATGTGAGTTGAATGCACACATCACAAAGAATTTTCTGAGAATGATTCTGTCTGGTTTTTATTTGAAGATATTTCCCTTTCTACTGTTGGCATCAAATGGCTAGAAATCTCCACTTGCAAATTCCGCAAAAAGAGTGTTTCAAATCTGCTCTGTCTAAAGGGACGTTCCACTCTGTGAGTTGAATGCACACAACACAAAGAATTTACTGAGAATTCTTCCGTCTAGCATTCAATGAAGAAATCCCGTTTCCAACGAAGGCCTCAAACAGGTCCATATATCCACTTGCAGACTTTACAAACAGTGTGTTTCCAAACTCCTCTATGAAAAGAAAGGTTAAACTCTGTGAGTGGAACGCACACATCACAAAGCACTTTCTGAGAATGATTCTGTCTGGTTGTTATACGAAGATATTTCCTTTTCTGCAATTGTCCTCAAATCGCTTGAAATCTCCACCTGAAAATGCCACAGCAAGAGTGTTTCAAATCTGCTCTCTCTAAAGCAAGGTTCAACTCTGTGAGTTGAATACACACAACACAAAAAAGATACTGAGAACTCTTCTTAGTCTAGCATGAAAGGAAGAAACCCCGTTTGCAACGAAGGCCTCAAAGAGGTCCAAATATCCACTTGCAGACATAACAAGCAGAGTGTTTCTAAACTGCTCTAAGAAAAGAAAGGTTAAACTCTGTGAGTTGAAGGCACACATCACAAAGTAGTTTCTGAGAATGATTCTGTCTTGTTTTTATTTGAAGATATTTCCTTTTCTACTGTTGGCATCAAATCGCTTGAAATCTCCACTTGCAAACTCCACAAAAAGGGTGTTTCAAATCTGCTCTGTGTAAAGGGACGTTCCACTCTGTGAGTTGAATACACACAGCACAAAGAAGTTACTGAGAATTCTTCTGTCTAGCATGAAATGAAGAAATCCCGTTTCCAACGAAGGCCTCAATGCGGTCCATATATCCACTTGCAGACTTTACAAACAGAGTGTTTCCAAACTGCTCTATGAAAAGAAAGGTTAAACTATGTGAGTTGAACGCACACATCACAAAGAATTTTCTGAGAATGATTCTGTCTGGTTTTTATTTGAAGATATTTCCCTTTCTACTGTTGGCATCAAATGGCTAGAAATCTCCACTTGCAAATTCCGCAAAAAGAGTGTTTCAAATCTGCTCTGTCTAAAGGAACGTTCCACTCTGTGAGTTGAATGCACACAACACAAAGAATTTACTGAGAATTCTTCCGTCTAGCATTCAATGAAGAAATCCCGTTTCCAACGAAGGCCTCAAACAGGTCCATATATCCAATTGCAGACTTTACAAACAGTGTGTTTCCAAACTCCTTTATGAAAAGAAAGGTTAACTCTGTGAGTTGAATGCACACATCACAAAGCACTTTCTGATAATGATTCTGTCTAGTTTTTGTTTGCAGATATTTCCTTTTCTACTGTTGGCATCAAATCGCTTGAAATCTCCACTTGCAAATTCCACAAAAAGAGTGTTTCAAATCTGCTCTGTGTAAAGGGACGTTCCAATCTGTGAGTTGAATACACACAACACAAAGAAGTTACTGAGAATTCTTCTGTCTAGCATGAAATGAAGAAATCCCGTTTCCAACGAAGGCCTCAAAGCGGTCCATATATCCACTTGCAGACATTACCAACAGAGTGTTCCCAAACTGCTCTATGAAAAGAAAGGTTAAACTATGTGAGTTGAACGCACACATCACAAAGAATTTTCTGAGAATGATTCTGTCTGGTTTTTATTTGAAGATATTTCCCTTTCTACTGTTGGCATCAAATGGCTAGAAATCTCCACTTGCAAATTCCGCAAAAAGAGTGTTTCAAATCTGCTCTGTCTAAAGGGACGTTCCACTCTGTGAGTTGAATGCACACAACACAAAGAATTTACTGAGAATTCTTCCGTCTAGCATTCAATGAAGAAATCCCGTTTCCAACGAAGGCCTCAAACAGGTCCATATATCCACTTGCAGAGTTTACAAACAGTTTGTTTCCAAACTCCTCTATGAAAAGAAAGGTTAAACTCTGTGAGTGGAACGCACACATCACAAAGCACTTTCTGAGAATGATTCTGTCTGGTTATTATAGGAAGATATTTCCTTTTCTGCAATTGTCCTCAAATCGCTTGAAATCTCCACCTGAAAATGCCACAGCAAGAGTGTTTCAAATCTGCTCTCTCTAAAGCAAGGTTCAACTCTGTGAGTTGAATACACACAACACAAAAAAGTTACTGAGAACTCTTCTTAGTCTAGCATGAAAGGAAGAAACCCCGTTTGCAACGAAGGCCTCAAAGAGGTCCAAATATCCACTTGCAGACATAACAAGCAGAGTGTTTCTAAACTGCTCTAAGAAAAGAAAGGTTAAACTCTGTGAGTTGAAGGCACACATCACAAAGTAGTTTCTGAGAATGATTCTGTCTAGTTTTTATTTGAAGATATTTCCTTTTCTACTGTTGGCATCAAATCGCTTGAAATCTCCACTTGCAAACTCCACAAAAAGAGTGTTTCAAATCTGCTCTGTGCAAAGGGACGTTCCACTCTGTGAGTTGAATACACACAGCACAAAGAAGTTACTGAGAATTCTTCTGTCTAGCATGAAATGAAGAAATCCCGTTTCCAACGAAGGCCTCAATGCGGTCCATATATCCACTTGCAGACTTTACAAACAGAGTGTTTCCAAACTGCTCTATGAAAAGAAAGGTTAAACTATGTGAGTTGAACGCACACATCACAAAGAATTTTCTGAGAATGATTCTGTCTGGTTTTTATTTGAAGATATTTCCCTTTCTACTGTTGGCATCAAATGGCTAGAAATCTCCACTTGCAAATTCCGCAAAAAGAGTGTTTCAAATCTGCTCTGTCTAAAGGGACGTTCCACTCTGTCAGTTGAATGCACACAACACAAAGAATTTACTGAGAATTCTTCCGTCTAGCATTCAATGAAGAAATCCCGTTTCCAACGAAGGCCTCAAACAGGTCCATATATCCAATTGCAGACTTTACAAACAGTGTGTTTCCACACTCCTCTATGAAAAGAAAGGTTAAACTCTGTGAGTTGAACGCACACATCACAAAGCACTTTCTGAGAATGATTCTGTCTGGTTATTATACGAAGATATTTCCTTTTCT
Source organism: Homo sapiens (assembly GCF_000001405.40). Lineage (NCBI taxonomy): Eukaryota > Metazoa > Chordata > Mammalia > Primates > Hominidae > Homo > Homo sapiens. The sequence continues at coordinate 59,900,653 of NC_000007.14, read as the reverse complement.
GCAATTGTCCTCAAATCGCTTGAAATCTCCACCTGAAAATGCCACAGCAAGAGTGTTTCAAATCTGCTCTCTCTAAAGCAAGGTTCAACTCTGTGAGTTGAATACACACAACACAAAAAGTTACTGAGAACTCTTCTTAGTCTAGCATGAAAGGAAGAAACCCCGTTTGCAACGAAGGCCTCAAAGAGGTCCAAATATCCACTTGCAGACATAACAAGCAGAGTGTTTCTAAAGTGCTCTAAGAAAAGAAAGGTTAAACTCTGTGAGTTGAAGGCACACATCACAAAGTAGTTTCTGAGAATGATTCTGTCTAGTTTTTATTTGAAGATATTTCCTTTTCTACTGTTGGCATCAAATCGCTTGAAATCTCCACTTGCAAACTCCACAAAAAGAGTGTTTCAAATCTGCTCTGTGCAAAGGGACGTTCCACTCTGTGAGTTGAATACACACAGCACAAAGAAGTTACTGAGAATTCTTCCCTCTAGCATTCAATGAAGAAATCCCGTTTCCAACGAAGGCCTCAAACAGGTCCATATATCCACTTGCAGACTTTACAAAAAGAGTGTTTCCAAACTGCTCTATGAAAAGAAAGGTTAAACTATGTGAGTTGAACGCACACATCACAAAGAATTTTCTGAGAATGATTCTGTCTGGTTTTTATTTGAAGATATTTCCCTTTCTACTGTTGGCATCAAATGGCTAGAAATCTCCACTTGCAAATTCCGCAAAAAGAGTGTTTCAAATCTGCTCTGTCTAAAGGGACGTTCCACTCTGTCAGTTGAATGCGCACAACACAAAGTATTTACTGAGAATTCTTCCGTCTAGCATGCAATGAAGAAATCCCGTTTCCAACGAAGGCCTCAAACAGGTCCATATATCCAATTGCAGACTTTACAAACAGTGTGTTTCCAAACTCCTCTATGAAAAGAAAGGTTAAACTCTGTGAGTTGAACGCACACATCACAAAGCACTTTCTGAGAATGATTCTGTCTGGTTGTTATACGAAGATATTTCCTTTTCTGCAATTGTCCTCAAATCGCTTGAAATCTCCACCTGAAAATGCCACAGCAAGAGTGTTTCAAATCTGCTCTCTCTAAAGCAAGGTTCAGCTCTGTGAGTTGAATACACACAACACAAAAAAGTTACTGAGAACTCTTCTTAGTCTAGCATTAAAGGAAGAAACCCCGTTTGCAACGAAGGCCTCAAAGAGGTCCAAATATCCACTTGCAGACATAACAAGCAGAGTGTTTCTAAACTGCTCTAAGAAAAGAAAGGTTAAACTCTGTGAGTTGAAGGCTCACATCACAAAGTAGTTTCTGAGAATGATTCTGTCTAGTTTTTATTTGAAGATATTTCCTTTTCTACTGTTGGCATCAAATCGCTTGAAATCTCCACTTGCAAATTCCACAAAAAGAGTGTTTCAAATCTGCTCTGTGCAAAGGGACGTTCCACTCTGTGAGTTGAATACACACAGCACAAAGAAGTTACTGAGAATTCTTCTGTCTAGCATGAAATGAAGAAATCCCGTTTCCAAAGAAGGCCTCAATGCGGTCCATATATCCACTTGCAGACTTTACAAAGAGAGTGTTTCCAAACTGCTCTATGAAAAGAAAGGTTAAACTATGTGAGTTGAACGCACACATCACAAAGAATTTTCTGAGAATGATTCTGTCTGGTTTTTATTTGAAGATATTTCCCTTTCTACTGTTGGCATCAAATGGCTAGAAATCTCCACTTGCAAATTCCGCAAAAAGAGTGTTTCAAATCTGCTCTGTCTAAAGGGACGTTCCACTCTGTGAGTTGAATGCACACAACACAAAGAATTTACTGAGAATTCTTCCGTCTAGCATTCAATGAAGAAATCCCGTTTCCAACGAAGGCCTCAAACAGGTCCATATATCCAATTGCAGACTTTACAAACAGTGTGTTTCCAAACTCCTCTATGAAAAGAAAGGTTAAACTCTGTGAGTTGAACGCACACAACACAAAGCACTTTCTGAGAATGATTCTGTCTGGTTATTATACGAAGATATTTCCTTTTCTGCAATTGTCCTCAAATCGCTTGAAATCTCCACCTGAAAATGCCACAGCAAGAGTGTTTCAAATCTGCTCTCTCTAAAGCAAGGTTCAACTCTGTGAGTTGAATACACACAACACAAAAAAGTTACTGAGAACTCTTCTTAGTCTAGCATGAAAGGAAGAAACCCCGTTTGCAACGAAGGCCTCAAAGAGGTCCAAATATCCACTTGCAGACATAACAAGCAGAGTGTTTCTAAACTGCTCTAAGAAAAGAAAGGTTAAACTCTGTGAGTTGAAGGCACACATCACAAAGTAGTTTCTGAGAATGATTCTGTCTAGTTTTTATTTGAAGATATTTCCTTTTCTACTGTTGGCATCAAATCGCTTGAAATCTCCACTTGCAAATTCCACAAAAAGAGTGTTTCAAATCTGCTCTGTGCAAACGGACGTTCCACTCTGTGAGTTGAATACACACAGCACAAAGAAGTTACTGAGAATTCTTCTGTCTAGCATGAAATGAAGAAATCCCGTTTCCAACGAAGGCCTCAATGCGGTCCATATATCCACTTTCAGACTTTACAAACAGAGTGTTTCCAAACTGCTCTATGAAAAGAAAGGTTAAACTATGTGAGTTGAATGCACACATCACAAAGAATTTTCTGAGAATGATTCTGTCTGGTTTTTATTTGAAGATATTTCCCTTTCTACTGTTGGCATCAAATGGCTAGAAATCTCCACTTGCAAATTCCGCAAAAAGAGTGTTTCAAATCTGCTCTGTCTAAAGGGACGTTCCACTCTGTGAGTTGAATGCACACAACACAAAGAATTTACTGAGAATTCTTCCGTCTAGCATTCAATGAAGAAATCCCGTTTCCAACGAAGGCCTCAAACAGGTCCATATATCCAATTGCAGACTTTACAAACAGTGTGTTTCCAAACTCCTCTATGAAAAGAAAGGTTAAACTCTGTGAGTTGAACGCACACATCACAAAGCACTTTCTGAGAATGATTCTGTCTGGTTATTATACGAAGATATTTCCTTTTCTGCAATTGTCCTCAAATCGCTTGAAATCTCCACCTGAAAATGCCACAGCAAGAGTGTTTCAAATCTGCTCTCTCTAAAGCAAGGTTCAACTCTGTGAGTTGAATACACACAACACAAAAAAGTTACTGAGAACTCTTCTTAGTCTAGCATGAAAGGAAGAAACCCCGTTTGCAACGAAGGCCTCAAAGAGGTCCAAATATCCACTTGCAGACATAACAAGCAGAGTGTTTCTAAACTGCTCTAAGAAAAGAAAGGTTAAACTCTGTGAGTTGAAGGCACACATCACAAAGTAGTTTCTGAGAATGATTCTGTCTAGTTTTTATTTGAAGATATTTCCTTTTCTACGGTTGGCATCAAATCGCTTGAAATCTCCACTTGCAAACTCCACAAAAAGAGTGTTTCAAATCTGCTCTGTGTAAAGGGACGTTCCACTCTGTGAGTTGAATACACACAGCACAAAGAAGTTACTGAGAATTCTTCTGTCTAGCATGAAATGAAGAAATCCCGTTTCCAACGAAGGCCTCAATGCGGTCCATATATCCACTTGCAGACTTTACAAACAGAGTGTTTCCAAACTGCTCTATGAAAAGAAAGGTTAAACTATGTGAGTTGAACGCACACATCACAAAGAATTTTCTGAGAATGATTCTGTCTGGTTTTTATTTGAAGATATTTCCCTTTCTACTGTTGGCATCAAATGGCTAGAAATCTCCACTTGCAAATTCCGCAAAAAGAGTGTTTCAAATCTGCTCTGTCTAAAGGGACGTTCCACTCTGTGAGTTGAATGCACACAACACAAAGAATTTACTGAGAATTCTTCCGTCTAGCATTCAATGAAGAAATCCCGTTTCCAACGAAGGCCTCAAACAGGTCCATATATCCAATTGCAGACATTACAAACAGTGTGTTTCCAAACTCCTCTATGAAAAGAAAGGTTAAACTCTGTGAGTTGAACGCACACATCACAAAGCACTTTGCTGAGAATGATTCTGTCTGGTTATTATACGAAGATATTTCCTTTTCTGCAATTGTCCTCAAATCGCTTGAAATCTCCACCTGAAAATGCCACAGCAAGAGTGTTTCAAATCTGCTCTCTCTAAAGCAAGGTTCAACTCTGTGAGTTGAATACACACAACACAAAAAAGTTACTGAGAACTCTTCTTAGTCTAGCATGAAAGGAAGAAACCCCGTTTGCAACGAAGGCCTCAAAGAGGTCCAAATATCCACTTGCAGACATAACAAGCAGAGTGTTTCTAAACTGCTCTAAGAAAAGAAAGGTTAAACTCTGTGAGTTGAAGGCACACATCACAAAGTAGTTTCTGAGAATGATTCTGTCTAGTTTTTATTTGAAGATATTTCCTTTCCTACTGTTGGCATCAAATCGCTTGAAATCTCCACTTGCAAACTCCACAAAAAGAGTGTTTCAAATCTGCTCTGTGCAAAGGGACGTTCCACTCTGTGAGTTGAATACACACAGCACAAGGAAGTTACTGAGAATTCTTCTGTCTAGCATGAAATGAAGAAATCCCGTTTCCAAAGAAGGCCTCAATGCGGTCCATATATCCACTTGCAGACTTTACAAACAGAGTGTTTCCAAACTGCTCTATGAAAAGAAAGGTTAAACTATGTGAGCTGAACGCACACATCACAAAGAATTTTCTGAGAATGATTCTGTCTGGTTTTTATTTGAAGATATTTCCCTTTCTACTGTTGGCATCAAATGGCTAGAAATCTCCACTTGCAAATTCCGCAAAAAGAGTGTTTCAAATCTGCTCTGTCTAAAGGGACGTTCCACTCTGTGAGTTGAATGCACACAACACAAAGAATTTACTGAGAATTCTTCCGCCTAGCATTCAATGAAGAAATCCCGTTTCCAACGAAGGCCTCAAACAGGTCCATATATCCAATTGCAGACTTTACAAACAGTGTGTTTCCAAACTCCTCTATGAAAAGAAAGGTTAAACTCTGTGAGTTGAACGCACACATCACAAAGCACTTTCTGAGAATGATTCTGTCTGGTTATTATACGAAGATATTTCCTTTTCTGCAATTGTCCTCAAATCGCTTGAAATCTCCACCTGAAAATGCCACAGCAAGAGTGTTTCAAATCTGCTCTCTCTAAAGCAAGGTTCAACTCTGTGAGTTGAATACACACAACACAAAAAAGTTACTGAGAACTCTTCTTAGTCTAGCATGAAAGGAAGAAACCCCGTTTGCAACGAAGGCCTCAAAGAGGTCCAAATATCCACTTGCAGACATAACAAGCAGAGTGTTTCTAAACTGCTCTAAGAAAAGAAAGGTTAAACTCTGTGAGTTGAAGGCACACATCACAAAGTAGTTTCTGAGAATGATTCTGTCTAGTTTTTATTTGAAGATATTTCCTTTTCTACTGTTGGCATCAAATCGCTTGAAATCTCCACTTGCAAACTCCACAAAAAGAGTGTTTCAAATCTGCTCTGTGTAAAGGGACGTTCCACTCTGTGAGTTGAATACACACAGCACAAAGAAGTTACTGAGAATTCTTCTGTCTAGCATGAAATGAAGAAATCCCGTTTCCAACGAAGGCCTCAATGCGGTCCATATATCCACTTGCAGACTTTACAAACAGAGTGTTTCCAAACTGCTCTATGAAAAGAAAGGTTAAACTATGTGAGTTGAACGCACACATCACAAAGAATTTTCTGAGAATGATTCTGTCTGGTTTTTATTTGAAGATATTTCCCTTTCTACTGTTGGCATGAAATGGCTAGAAATCTCCACTTGCAAATTCCGCAAAAAGAGTGTTTCAAATCTGCTCTGTCTAAAGGGACGTTCCACTCTGTCAGTTGAATGCACACAACACAAAGAATTTACTGAGAATTCTTCCGTCTAGCATTCAATGAAGAAATCCCGTTTCCAACGAAGGCCTCAAACAGGTCCATATATCCAATTGCAGACTTTACAAACAGTGTGTTTCCAAACTCCTCTATGAAAAGAAAGGTTAAACTCTGTGAGTTGAACGCACACATCACAAAGCACTTTCTGAGAATGATTCTGTCTGGTTATTATACGAAGATATTTCCTTTTCTGCAATTGTCCTCAAATCGCTTGAAATCTCCACCTGAAAATGCCACAGCAAGAGTGTTTCAAATCTGCTCTCTCTAAAGCAAGGTTCAACTCTGTGAGTTGAATACACACAACACAAAAAAGTTACTGAGAACTCTTCTTAGTCTAGCATGAAAGGAAGAAACCCCGTTTGCAACGAAGGCCTCAAAGAGGTCCAAATATCCACTTGCAGACATAACAAGCAGAGTGTTTCTAAACTGCTCTAAGAAAAGAAAGGTTAAACTCTGTGAGTTGAAGGCACACATCACAAAGTAGTTTCTGAGAATGATTCTGTCTAGTTTTTATTTGAAGATATTTCCTTTTCTACTGCTGGCATCAAATCGCTTGAAATCTCCACTTGCAAACTCCACAAAAAGAGTGTTTCAAATCTGCTCTGTGTAAAGGGACGTTCCACTCTGTGAGTTGAATACACACAGCACAAAGAAGTTACTGAGAATTCTTCTGTCTAGCATGAAATGAAGAAATCCCGTTTCCAACGAAGGCCTCAATGCGGTCCATATATCCACTTGCAGACTTTACAAACAGAGTGTTTCCAAACTGCTCTATGAAAAGAAAGGTTAAACTATGTGAGTTGAACGCACTCATCACAAAGAATTTTCTGAGAATGATTCTGTCTGGTTTTTATTTGAAGATATTTCCCTTTCTACTGTTGGCATCAAATGGCTAGAAATCTCCACTTGCAAATTCCGCAAAAAGAGTGTTTCAAATCTGCTCTGTCTAAAGGGACGTTCCACTCTGTGAGTTGAATGCACACAACACAAAGAATTTACTGAGAATTCTTCCGTCTAGCATTCAATGAAGAAATCCCGTTTCCAACGAAGGCCTCAAACAGGTCCATATATCCACTTGCAGAGTTTACAAACAGTGTGTTTCCAAACTCCTCTATGAAAAGAAAGGTTAAACTCTGTGAGTGGAACGCACACATCACAAAGCACTTTCTGAGAATGATTCTGTCTGGTTATTATACGAAGATATTTCCTTTTCTGCAATTGTCCTCAAAACGATTGAAATCTCCACCTGAAAATGCCACAGCAAGAGTGTTTCAAATCTGCTCTCTCTAAAGCAAGGTTCAACTCTGTGAGTTGAATACACACAACACAGAAAAGTTACTGAGAACTCTTCTTAGTCTAGCATGAAAGGAAGAAACCCCGTTTGCAACGAAGGCCTCAAAGAGGTCCAAATATCCACTTGCAGACATAACAAGCAGAGTGTTTCTAAACTGCTCTAAGAAAAGAAAGGTTAAACTCTGTGAGTTGAAGGCACACATCACAAAGTAGTTTCTGAGAATGATTCTGTCTAGTTTTTATTTGAAGATATTTCCTTTTCTACTGTTGGCATCAAATCGCTTGAAATCTCCACTTGCAAACTCCACAAAAAGAGTGTTTCAAATCTGCTCTGTGTAAAGGGACGTTCCACTCTGTGAGTTGAATACACACAGCACAAAGAAGTTACTGAGAATTCTTCTGTCTAGCATGAAATGAAGAAATCCCGTTTCCAACGAAGGCCTCAATGCGGTCCATATATCCACTTGCAGACTTTACAAACAGAGTGTTTCCAAACTGCTCTATGAAAAGAAAGGTTAAACTATGTGAGTTGAACGCACACATCACAAAGAATTTTCTGAGAATGATTCTGTCTGGTTTTTATTTGAAGATATTTCCCTTTCTACTGTTGGCATCAAATGGCTAGAAATCTCCACTTGCAAATTCCGAAAAAAGAGTGTTTCAAATCTGCTCTGTCTAAAGGGACGTTCCACTCTGCTCGAGTTGAATGCACACAACACAAAGAATTTACTGAGAATTCTTCCGTCTAGCATTCAATGAAGAAATCCCGTTTCCAACGAAGGCCTCAAACAGGTCCATATATCCACTTGCAGACTTTACAAACAGTGTGTTTCCAAACTCCTCTATGAAAAGAAAGGTTAAACTCTGTGAGTGGAACGCACACATCACAAAGCACTTTCTGAGAATGATTCTGTCTGGTTATTATACGAAGATATTTCCTTTTCTGCAATTGTCCTCAAATCGCTTGAAATCTCCACCTGAAAATGCCACAGCAAGAGTGTTTCAAATCTGCTCTCTCTAAAGCAAGGTTCAACTCTGTGAGTTGAATACACACAACACAAAAAAGTTACTGAGAACTCTTCTTAGTCTAGCATTAAAGGAAGAAACCCTGTTTGCAACTGAAGGCCTCAAAGAGGTCCAAATATCCACTTGCAGACATAACAAGCAGAGTGTTTCTAAACTGCTCTAAGAAAAGAAAGGTTAAACTCTGTGAGTTGAAGGCACACATCACAAAGTAGTTTCTGAGAATGATTCTGTCTAGTTTTTATTTGAAGATATCTCCTTTTCTACTGTTGGCATCAAATCGCTTGAAATCTCCACTTGCAAATTCCACAAAAAGAGTGTTTCAAATCTGCTCTGTGTAAAGGGACGTTCCCACTCTGTGAGTTGAATACACACAGCACAAAGAAGTTACTGAGAATTCTTCCGTCTTGCATTATATGAAGCAATCCCGTTTCCAACGAAATCCTCCAAGAGGTCCAAATATCCTCTTGCGGACATTACAAACAGAGTGTTTCCAAACTGCTCTATGAAAAGAAAGGTTAAACAATGTGAGTTGAACGCACACATCACAAAGTAGTTTCTGAGAATAATTCTGTCTGGTTTTTATTTGAAGATATTTCCCTTTCTACTGTTGGCATCAAATGGCTAGAAATCTCCACTTGCAAATTCCGCAAAAAGAGTGTTTCAAATCTGCTCTGTCTAAAGGGACGTTCCACTCTGTGAGTTGAATGCACACAACACAAAGAATTTACTGAGAATTCTTCCGTCTAGCATTCAATGAAGAAATCCCGTTTCCAACGAAGGCCTCAAACAGGTCCATATATCCACTTGCAGAGTTTACAAACAGTGTGTTTCCAAACTCCTCTATGAAAAGAAAGGTTAAACTCTGTGAGTGGAACGCACACATCACAAAGCACTTTCTGAGAATGATTCTGTCTGGTTGTTATACGAAGATATTTCCTTTTCTGTAATTGTCCTCAAATCGCTTGAAATCTCCACCTGAAAATGCCACAGCAAGAGTGTTTCAAATCTGCTCTCTCTAAAGCAAGGTTCAACTCTGTGAGTTGAATACACACAACACAAAAAAGTTACTGAGAACTCTTCTTAGTCTAGCATGAAAGGAAGAAACCCCGTTTGCAACGAAGGCCTCAAAGAGGTCCAAATATCCACTTGCAGACATAACAAGCAGAGTGTTTCTAAACTGCTCTAAGAAAAGAAAGGTTAAACTCTGTGAGTTGAAGGCACACATCACAAAGTAGTTTCTGAGAATGATTCTGTCTAGTTTTTATTTGAAGATATTTCCTTTTCTACTGTTGGCATCAAATCGCTTGAAATCTCCACTTGCAAACTCCACAAAAAGAGTGTTTCAAATCTGCTCTGTGCAAAGGGACGTTCCACTCTGTGAGTTGAATACACACAGCACAAAGAAGTTACTGAGAATTCTTCTGTCTAGCATGAAATGAAGAAATCCCGTTTCCAACGAAGGCCTCAATGCGGTCCATATATCCACTTGCAGACTTTACAAACAGAGTGTTTCCAAACTGCTCTATGAAAAGAAAGGTTAAACTATGTGAGTTGAACGCACACATCACAAAGAATTTTCTGAGAATGATTCTGTCTGGTTTTTATTTGAAGATATTTCCCTTTCTACTGTTGACATCAAATGGCTAGAAATCTCCACTTGCAAATTCCGCAAAAAGAGTGTTTCAAATCTGCTCTGTCTAAAGGGACGTTCCACTTCTGTGAGTTCAATGCACACAACACAAAGAATTTACTGAGAATTCTTCTGTCTAGCATTCAATGAAGAAATCCCGTTTCCAACGAAGGCCTCAAACAGGTCCATATATCCAATTGCAGACATTACAAACAGTGTGTTTCCAAACTCCTCTATGAAAAGAAAGGTTAAACTCTGTGAGTTGAACGCACACATCACAAAGCACTTTCTGAGAATGATTCTGTCTGGTTATTATACGAAGATATTTCCTTTTCTGCAATTGTCCTCAAATCGCTTGAAATCTCCACCTGAAAATGCCACAGCAAGAGTGTTTCAAATCTGCTCTCTCTAAAGCAAGGTTCAACTCTGTGAGTTGAATACACACAACACAAAAAAGTTACTGAGAACTCTTCTTAGTCTAGCATGAAAGGAAGAAACCCCGTTTGCAACGAAGGCCTCAAAGAGGTCCAAATATCCACTTGCAGACATAACAAGCAGAGTGTTTCTAAACTGCTCTAAGAAAAGAAAGGTTAAACTCTGTGAGTTGAAGGCACACATCACAAAGTAGTTTCTGAGAATGATTCTGTCTAGTTTTTATTTGAAGATATTTCCTTTTCTACTGTTGGCATCAAATCGCTTGAAATCTCCACTTGCAAACTCCACAAAAAGAGTGTTTCAAATCTGCTCTGTGCAAAGGGACGTTCCACTCTGTGAGTTGAATACACACAGCACAAAGAAGTTACTGAGAATTCTTCTGTCTAGCATGAAATGAAGAAATCCCGTTTCCAACGAAGGCCTCAATGCGGTCCATATATCCACTTGCAGACTTTACAAACAGAGTGTTTCCAAACTGCTCTATGAAAAGAAAGGTTAAACTATGTGAGTTGAACGCACACATCACAAAGAATTTTCTGAGAATGATTCTGTCTGGTTTTTATTTGAAGATATTTCCCTTTCTACTGTTGGCATCAAATGGCTAGAAATCTCCACTTGCAAATTCCGCAAAAAGAGTGTTTCAAATCTGCTCTGTCTAAAGGGACGTTCCACTCTGTGAGTTGAATGCACACAACACAAAGAATTTACTGAGAATTCTTCCGCCTAGCATTCAATGAAGAAATCCCGTTTCCAACGAAGGCCTCAAACAGGTCCATATATCCAATTGCAGACTTTACAAACAGTGTGTTTCCAAACTCCTCTATGAAAAGAAAGGTTAAACTCTGTGAGTTGAACGCACACATCACAAAGCACATTCTGAGAATGATTCTGCCTGGTTATTATACGAAGATATTCCCTTTTCTGCAATTTTCCTCAAATCGCTTGAAATCTCCACCTGAAAATGCCACAGCAAGAGTGTTTCAAATCTGCTCTCTCTAAAGCAAGGTTCAACTCTGTGAGTTGAATACACACAGCACAAAGAAGTTACTGAGAATTCTTCTTAGTCTAGCATTAGAGGAAGAAAACCCGTTTGCAACGAAGGCCTCAAAGAGGTCCAAATATCCACTTGCAGACATAACAAGCAGAGTGTTTCTAAAGTGCTCTAAGAAAAGAAAGGTTAAACTCTGTGAGTTGAAGGCACACATCACAAAGTAGTTTCTGAGAATGATTCTGTCTAGTTTTTATTTGAAGATATTTCCTTTTCTACTGTTGGCATCAAATCGCTTGAAATCTCCACTTGCAAACTCCACAAAAAGAGTGTTTCAAATCTGCTCTGTGTAAAGGGACGTTCCACTCTGTGAGTTGAATACACACAGCACAAAGAAGTTACTGAGAATTCTTCTGTCTAGCATGAAATGAAGAAATCCCGTTTCCAACGAAGGCCTCAGTGCGGTCCATATATCCACTTGCAGACTTTACAAACAGAGTGTTTCCAAACTGCTCTATGAAAAGAAAGGTAAAACTATGTGAGTTGAACGCACACATCACAAAGAATTTTCTGAGAATGATTCTGTCTGGTTTTTATTTGAAGATATTTCCCTTTCTACTGTTGGCATCAAATGGCTAGAAATCTCCACTTGCAAATTCCGCAAAAAGAGTGTTTCAAATCTGCTCTGTCTAAAGGGACGTTCCACTCTGTCAGTTGAATGCACACAACACAAAGTATTTACTGAGAATTCTTCCGTCTAGCATTCAATGAAGAAATCCCGTTTCCAACGAAGGCCTCAAACAGGTCCATATATCCAATTGCAGACTTTACAAACAGTGTGTTTCCAAACTCCTCTATGAAAAGAAAGGTTAAACTCTGTGAGTTGAACGCACACATCACAAAGCACTTTCTGAGAATGATTCTGTCTGGTTGTTATACGAAGATATTTCCTTTTCTGCAATTGTCCTCAAATCGCTTGAAATCTCCACCTGAAAATGCCACAGCAAGAGTGTTTCAAATCTGCTCTCTCTAAAGCAAGGTTCAACTCTGTGAGTTGAATACACACAACACAAAAAAGTTACTGAGAACTCTTCCTCTTTGTCTAGCATGAAAGGAAGAAACCCCGTTTGCAACGAAGGCCTCAAAGAGGTCCAAATATCCACTTGCAGACATAACAAGCAGAGTGTTTCTAAACTGCTCTAAGAAAAGAAAGGTTAAACTCTGTGAGTTGAAGGCACACATCACAAAGTAGTTTCTGAGAATGATTCTGTCTAGTTTTTATTTGAAGATATTTCCTTTTCTACTGTTGGCATCAAATCGCTTGAAATCTCCACTTGCAAACTCCACAAAAAGAGTGTTTCAAATCTGCTCTGTGCAAAGGGACGTTCCACTCTGTGAGTTGAATACACACAGCACAAAGAAGTTACTGAGAATTCTTCTGTCTAGCATGAAATTAAGAAATCCCGTTTCCAACGAAGTCCTCAAAGCGGTCCATATATCCACTTGCAGACATTACCAACAGAGTGTTTCCAGACTGGTCTATGAAAAGAAAGGTTAAACTATGTGAGTTGAACGCACACATCACAAAGAATTTTCTGAGGATGATTCTGTCTGGTTTTTATTTGAAGATATTTCCCTTTCTACTGTTGGCATCAAATGGCTAGAAATCTCCACTTGCAAATTCCGCAAAAAGAGTGTTTCAAATCTGCTCTGTCTAAAGGGACGTTCCACTCTGTGAGTTGAATGCACACAACACAAAGAATTTACTGAGAATTCTTCCGTCTAGCATTCAATGAAGAAATCCCGTTTCCAACGAAGGCCTCAAACAGGTCCATATATCCACTTGCAGACTTTACAAACAGTGTGTTTCCAAACTCCTCTATGGAAAGAAAAGTTAAACTCTGTGAGTTGAACGCACACATCACAAAGCACTTTCTGAGAATGATTCTGTCTGGTTATTATACGAAGATATTTCCTTTTCTGCAATTGTCCTCAAATCGCTTGAAATCTCCACCTGAAAATGCCACAGCAAGAGTGTTTCAAATCTGCTCTCTCTAAAGCAAGGTTCAACTCTGTGAGTTGAATACACACAACATAAAAAAGTTACTGAGAACTCTTCTTAGTCTAGCATGAAAGGAAGAAACCCCGTTTGCAACGAAGGCCTCAAAGAGGTCCAAATATCCACTTGCAGACATAACAAGCAGAGTGTTTCTAAACTGCTCTAAGAAAAGAAAGGTTAAACTCTGTGAGTTGAAGGCACACATCACAAAGTAGTTTCTGAGAATGATTCTGTCTAGTTTTTATTTGAAGATATTTCCTTTTCTACTGTTGGCATCAAATCGCTTGAAATCTCCACTTGCAAACTCCACAAAAAGAGTGTTTCAAATCTGCTCTGTGCAAAGGGACGTTCCACTCTGTGAGTTGAATACACACAGCACAAAGAAGTTACTGAGAATTCTTCTGTCTAGCATGAAATGAAGAAATCCCGTTTCCAACGAAGGCCTCAATGCGGTCCATAGATCCACTTGCAGACTTTACAAACAGAGTGTTTCCAAACTGCTCTATGAAAAGAAAGGTTAAACTATGTGAGTTGAACGCACACATCACAAAGAATTTTCTGAGAATGATTCTGTCTGCTTTTTATTTGAAGATATTTCCCTTTCTACTGTTGGCATCAAATGGCTAGAAATCTCCACTTGCAAATTCCGCCAAAAAGTGTTTCAAATCTGCTCTGTCTAAAGGGACGTTCCACTCTGTGAGTTGAATGCACACAACACAAAGAATTTACTGAGAATTCTTCCGTCTAGCATTCAATGAAGAAATCCCGTTTCCAACGAAGGCCTCAAACAGGTCCATATATCCTCTTGCAGAGTTTACAAACAGTGTGTTTCCAAACTCCTCTATGAAAAGAAAGGTTAAACTGCTGTGAGTGGAACGCACACATCACAAAGCACTTTCTGAGAATGATTCTGTCTGGTTATTATACGAAGATATTTCCTTTTCTGCAATTGTCCTCAAATCGCTTGAAATCTCCACCTGAAAATGCCACAGCAAGAGTGTTTCAAATCTGCTCTCTCTAAAGCAAGGTTCAACTCTGTGAGTTGAATACACACAACACAAAAAAGTTACTGAGAACTCTTCTTAGTCTAGCATGAAAGGAAGAAACCCCGTTTGCAACGAAGGCCTCAAAGAGGTCCAAATATCCACTTGCAGACATAACAAGCAGAGTGTTTCTAAACTGCTCTAAGAAAAGAAAGGTTAAACTCTGTGAGTTGAAGGCACACATCACAAAGTAGTTTCTGAGAATGATTCTGTCTAGTTTTTATTTGAAGATATTTCCTTTTCTACTGTTGGCATCAAATCGCTTGAAATCTCCACTTGCAAACTCCACAAAAAGAGTGTTTCAAATCTGCTCTGTGCAAAGGGACGTTCCACTCTGTGAGTTGAATACACACAGCACAAAGAAGTTACTGAGAATTCTTCTGTCTAGCATGAAATGAAGAAATCCCGTTTCCAACGAAGGCCTCAATGCGGTCCATATATCCACTTGCAGACTTTACAAACAGAGTGTTTCCAAACTGCTCTATGAAAAGAAAGGTTAAACTATGTGAGTTGAACGCACACATCACAAAGAATTTTCTGAGAATGATTCTGTCTGGTTTTTATTTGAAGATATTTCCCTTTCTACTGTTGGCATCAAATGGCTTGAAATCTCCACTTGCAAATTCCGCCAAAAAGTGTTTCAAATCTGCTCTGTCTAAAGGGACGTTCCACTCTGTGAGTTGAATGCACACAACACAAAGAATTTACTGAGAATTCTTCCGTCTAGCATTCAATGAAGAAATCCCGTTTCCAACGAAGGCCTCAAACAGGTCCATATATCCAATTGCAGACATTACAAACAGTGTGTTTCCAAACTCCTCTATGAAAAGAAAGGTTAAACTCTGTGAGTTGAACGCACACATCACAAAGCACTTTCTGAGAATGATTCTGTCTGGTTATTATACGAAGATATTTCCTTTTCTGCAATTGTCCTCAAATCGCTTGAAATCTCCACCAGAAAATTCCACAGCAAGAGTGTTTCAAATCTGCTCTCTCTAAAGCAAGGTTCAACTCTGTGAGTTGAATACACACAACACAAAAAAGTTACTGAGAACTCTTCTTAGTCTAGCATTAAAGGAAGAAACCCCGTTTGCAACGAAGGCCTCAAAGAGGTCCAAATATCAACTTGCAGACATAACAAGCAGAGTGTTTCTAAGCTGCTCTCAGAAAAGAAAGGTTAAACTCGGTGAGTTGAAGGCACACATCACAAAGTAGTTTACTGAGAATGATTCTGTCTAGTTTTTATTTGAAGATACTTCCTTTTCTACTGTTGGCATCAAATCGCTTGAAATCTCCACTTGCAAACTCCACAAAAAGAGTGTTTCAAATCTCCTCTGTGCAAAGGGACGTTCCACTCTGTGAGTTGAATACACACAGCACAAAGAAGTTACTGAGAATTCTTCTGTCTAGCATGAAATGAAGAAATCCCGTTTCCAACGAAGGCCTCAATGCGGTCCATATATCCACTTGCAGACTTTACAAACAGAGTGTTTCCAAACTGCTCTATGAAAAGAAAGGTTAAACTATGTGAGTTGAACGCACACATCACAAAGAATTTTCTGAGAATGATTCTGTCTGGTTTTTATTTGAAGATATTTCCCTTTCTACTGTTGACATCAAATGGCTAGAAATCTCCACTTGCAAATTCCGCAAAAAGAGTGTTTCAAATCTGCTCTGTCTAAAGGGACGTTCCACTCTGTGAGTTCAATGCACACAACACAAAGAATTTACTGAGAATTCTTCCGTCTAGCATTCAATGAAGAAATCCCGTTTCCAACGGAGGCCTCAAACAGGTCCATATATCCAATTGCAGACTTTACAAACAGTGTGTTTCCAAGCTCCTCTATGAAAAGAAAGGTTAAACTCTGTGAGTTGAACGCACACATCACAAAGCACTTTCTGAGAATGATTCTGTCTGGTTATTATACGAAGATATTTCCTTTTCTGCAATTGTCCTCAAATCGCTTGAAATCTCCACCTGAAAATGCCACAGCAAGAGTGTTTCAAATCTGCTCTCTCTAAAGCAAGGTTCAACTCTGTGAGTTGAATACACACAACACAAAAAAGTTACTGAGAACTCTTCTTAGTCTAGCATAAAAGGAAGAAACACCGTTTGCAACGAAGGCCTCAAAGAGGTCCAAATATCCACTTGCAGACATAACAAGCAGAGTGTTTCTAAACTGCTCTAAGAAAAGAAAGGTTAAACTCTGAGTTGAAGGCACACATCACAAAGTAGTTTCTGAGAATGATTCTGTCTAGTTTTTATTTGAAGATATTTCCTTTTCTACTGTTGGCATCAAATCGCTTGAAATCTCCACTTGCAAATTCAACAAAAAGAGTGTTTCAAATCTGCTCTGTGTAAAGGAACGTTCCACTCTGTGAGTTGAATACACACAGCACAAAGAAGTTACTGAGAATTCTTCTGTCTAGCATGAAATGAAGAAATCCCGTTTCCAACGAAGGCCTCAATGCGGTCCATATATCCACTTGCAGACTTTACAAACAGAGTGTTTCCAAACTGCTCTATGAAAAGAAAGGTTAAACTATGTGAGTTGAACGCACACATCACAAAGAATTTTCTGAGAATGATTCTGTCTGGTTTTTATTTGAAGATATTTCCCTTTCTACTGTTGGCATCAAATGGCTAGAAATCTCCACTTGCAACTTCCGCAAAAAGAGTGTTTCAAATCTGCTCTGTCTAAAGGGACGTTCCACTCTGTGAGTTGAATGCACACAACACAAAAAAGTTACTGAGAACTCTTCTTAGTCTAGCATTAAAGGAAGAAACCCCGTTTGCAACGAAGGCCTCAAAGAGGTCCAAATATCCACTTGCAGACATAACAAGCAGAGTGTTTCTAAACTGCTCTAAGAAAAGAAAGGTTAAACTCTGTGAGTTGAAGGCACACATCACAAAGTAGTTTCTGAGAATGATTCTGTCTAGTTTTTATTTGAAGATATTTCCTTTTCTACTGTTGGCATCAAATCGCTTGAAATCTCCACTTGCAAACTCCACAAAAAGAGTGTTTCAAATCTGCTCTGTGTAAAGGGACGTTCCACTCTGTGAGTTGAATACACACAGCACAAAGAAGTTACTGAGAATTCTTCTGTCTAGCATGAAATGAAGAAATCCCGTTTCCAACGAAGGCCTCAATGCGGTCCATATATCCACTTGCAGACTTTACAAACAGAGTGTTTCCAAACTGCTCTATGAAAAGAAAGGTTAAACTATGTGAGTTGAACGCACACATCACAAAGAATTTTCTGAGAATGATTCTGTCTGGTTTTTATTTGAAGATATTTCCCTTTCTACTGTTGGCATCAAATGGCTAGAAATCTCCACTTGCAAATTCCGCAAAAAGAGTGTTTCAAATCTGCTCTGTCTAAAGGGACGTTCCACTCTGTGAGTTGAATGCACACAACACAAAGAATTTACTGAGAATTCTTCCGTCTAGCATTCAATGAAGAAATCCCGTTTCCAACGAAGGCCTCAAACAGGTCCATATATCCACTTGCAGACTTTACAAACAGTGTGTTTCCAAACTCCTCTATGAAAAGAAAGGTTAAACTCTGTGAGTGGAACGCACACATCACAAAGCACTTTCTGAGAATGATTCTGTCTGGTTATTATACGAAGATATTTCCTTTTCTGCAATTGTCCTCAAATCGCTTGAAATCTCCACCTGAAAATGCCACAGCAAGAGTGTTTCAAATCTGCTCTCTCTAAAGCAAGGTTCAACTCTGTGAGTTGAATACACACAACACAAAAAAGTTACTGAGAACTCTTCTTAGTCTAGCATTAAAGGAAGAAAACCCGTTTGCAACGAAGGCCTCAAAGAGGTCCAAATATCCACTTGCAGACATAACAAGCAGAGTGTTTCTAAACTGCTCTAAGAAAAGAAAGGTTAAACTCTGTGAGTTAAAGGCACACATCAGAAAGTAGTTTCTGAGAATGATTCTGTCTAGTTTTTATTTGAAGATATTTCCTTTTCTACTGTTGGCATCAAATCGCTTGAAATCTCCACTTGCAAACTCCACAAAAAGAGTGTTTCAAATCTGCTCTGTGCAAAGGGACGTTCCACTCTGTGAGTTGAATACACACAGCACAAAGAAGATACTGAGAATTCTTCTGTCTAGCATGAAATGAAGAAATCCCGTTTCCAACGAAGGCCTCAATGCGGTCCATATATCCACTTGCAGACTTTACAAACAGAGTGTTTCCAAACTGCTCTATGAAAAGAAAGGTTAAACTATGTGAGTTGAACGCACACATCACAAAGAATTTTCTGAGAATGATTCTCTCTGGTTTTTATTTGAAGATGTTTCCCTTTCTACTGTTGGCATCAAATGGCTAGAAATCTCCACTTGCAAATTCCGCAAAAAGAGTGTTTCAAATCTGCTCTGTCTTAAGGGACGTTCCACTCTGTCAGTTGAATGCACACAACACAAAGAATTTACTGAGAATTCTTCCGTCTAGCATTCAATGAAGAAATCCCGTTTCCAACGAAGGCCTCAAACAGGTCCATATATCCAATTGCAGACTTTACAAACAGTGTGTTTCCAAACTCCTCTATGAAAAGAAAGGTTAAACTCTGTGAGTTGAACGCACACATCACAAAGCACTTTCTGAGAATGATTCTGTCTGGTTATTATACGAAGATATTTCCTTTTCTGCAATTGTCCTCAAATCGCTTGAAATCTCCACCTGAAAATTCCACAGCGAGAGTGTTTCAAATCTGCTCTCTCTAAAGCAAGGTTCAACTCTGTGAGTTGAATACACACAACACAAAAAAGTTACTGAGAACTCTTCTTAGTCTAGCATTAAAGGAAGAAACCCCGTTTGCAACGAAGGCCTCAAAGAGGTCCAAATATCCACTTGCAGACTTTACAAACAGAGTGTTTCCAAACTGCTCTATGAAAAGAAAGGTTAAACTCTGTGAGTTAAAGGCACACATCACAAAGTAGTTTCTGAGAATGATTCTGTCTAGTTTTTATTTGAAGATATTTCCTTTTCTACTGTTGGCATCAAATCGCTTGAAATCTCCACTTGCAAACTCCACAAAAAGAGTGTTTCAAATCTGCTCTGTGCAAAGGGACGTTCCACTCTGTGAGTTGAATACACACAGCACAAAGAAGTTACTGAGAATTCTTCTGTCTAGCATGAAATGAAGAAATCCCGTTTCCAACGAAGGCCTCAATACGGTCCATATATCCACTTGCAGACTTTACAAACAGAGTGTTTCCAAACTGCTCTATGAAAAGAAAGGTTAAACTATGTGAGTTGAACGCACACATCACAAAGAATTTTCTGAGAATGATTCTGTCTAGTTTTTATTTGAAGATATTTCCCTTTGTACTGTTGGCAACAAATGGCTAGAAATCTCCACCTGCAACTTCCGCAAAAAGAGTGTTTCAAATCTGCTCTGTCTAAAGGGACGTTCCACTCTGTGAGTTGAATGCACACAACACAAAAAAGTTACTGAGAACTCTTCTGTCTAGCAGTCAATGAAGAAATCCCGTTTCCAACGAAGGCCTCAAACAGGTCCATATATCCAATTGCAGACTTTACAAACAGTGTGTTTCCAAACTCCTCTATGAAAAGAAAGGTTAAACTCTGTGAGTTGAACCCACACATCACAAAGCACTTTCTGAGAATGATTCTGTCTGGTTATTATACGAAGATATTTCCTTTTCTGCAATTGTCCTCAAATCGCTTGAAATCTCCACCTGAAAATGCCACAGGAAGAGTGTTTCAAATATGCTCTCTCTAAAGCAAGGTTCAACTCTGTGAGTTGAATACACACAACACAAAAAAGTTACTGAGAACTCTTCTTAGTCTAGCATTAAATGAAGAAACCCCGTTTGCAACGAAGGCCTCAAAGAGGTCCAAATATCCACTTGCAGACATAACAAGCAGAGTGTTTCTAAACTGCTCTAAGAAAAGAAAGGTTAAACTCTGTGAGTTGAAGGCACACATCACAAAGTAGTTTCTGAGAATGATTCTGTCTAGTTTTTATTTGAAGATATTTCCTTTTCTACTGTTGGCATCAAATCGCTTGAAATCTCCACTTGCAAATTCCACAAAAAGAGTGTTTCAAATCTGCTCTGTGCAAAGGGACGTTCCACTCTGTGAGTTGAATACACACAGCACAAAGAAGTTACTGAGAATTCTTCTGTCTAGCATGAAATGAAGAAATCCCGTTTCCAACGAAGGCCTCAATGCGGTCCATATATCCACTTGCAGACTTTACAAACAGAGTGTTTCCAAACTGCTCTATGAAAAGAAAGGTTAAACTATGTGAGTTGAACGCACACATCACAAAGAATTTTCTGAGAATGATTCTGTCTGGTTTTTATTTGAAGATATTTCCCTTTCTACTGTTGGCATCAAATGGCTAGAAATCTCCACTTGCAAATTCCGCAAAAAGAGTGTTTCAAATCTGCTCTGTCTAAAGGGACGTTCCACTCTCTGAGTTGAATGCACACAACACAAAGAATTTACTGAGAATTCTTCCGTCTAGCATTCAATGAAGAAATCCCGTTTCCAACGGAGGCCTCAAACAGGTCCATATATCCAATTGCAGACTTTAAAACAGTGTGTTTCCAAACTCCTCTATGAAAAGAAAGGTTAAACTCTGTGAGTTGAACGCACACATCACAAAGCACTTTCTGAGAATGATTCTGTCTGGTTATTATACGAAGATATTTCCTTTTCTGCAATTGTCCTCAAATCGCTTGAAATCTCCACCTGAAAATGCCACAGCAAGAGTGTTTCAAATCTGCTCTCTCTAAAGCAAGGTTCAACTCTGTGAGTTGAATACACACAACACAAAAAAGTTACTGAGAACTCTTCTTAGTCTAGCATTAAAGGAAGAAACCCCGTTTGCAACGAAGTCCTCAAAGAGGTCCAAATATCCACTTGCAGACATAACAAGCAGAGTGTTTCTAAACTGCTCTAAGAAAAGAAAGGTTAAACTCTGTGAGTTAAAGGCACACATCACAAAGTAGTTTCTGAGAATGATTCTGTCTAGTTTTTATTTGAAGATATTTCCTTTTCTACTGTTGGCATCAAATCGCTTGAAATCTCCACTTGCAAACTCCACAAAAAGAGTGTTTCAAATCTGCTCTGTGTAAAGGGACGTTCCACTCTGTGAATTGAATACACACAGCACAAAGAAGTTACTGAGAATTCTTCTGTCTAGCATGAAATGAAGAAATCCCGTTTCCAACGAAGGCCTCAATGCGTTCCATATATCCACTTGCAGACTTTACAAACAGAGTGTTTCCAAACTGCTCTATGAAAAGAAAGGTTAAACTATGTGAGTTGAACGCACACATCACAAAGAATTTTCTGAGAATGATTCTGTCTGGTTTTTATTTGAAGATATTTCCCTTTCTACTGTTGGCATCAAATGGCTAGAAATCTCCACTTGCAAATTCCGCAAAAAGAGTGTTTCAAATCTGCTCTGTCTAAAGGGACGTTCCACTCTGTCAGTTGAATGCACACAACACAAAGAATTTACTGAGAATTCTTCCGTCTAGCATGCAATGAAGAAATCCCGTTTCCAACGAAGGCCTCAAACAGGTCCATATATCCAATTGCAGACTTTACAAACAGTGTGTTTCCAAACTCCTCTATGAAAAGAAAGGTTAAACTCTGTGAGTTGAACGCACACATCACAAAGCACTTTCTGAGAATGATTCTGTCTAGTTTTTATTTGAAGATATTTCCCTTTGTACTGTTGGCATCAAATGGCTAGAAATCTCCACTTGCAACTTCCGCAAAAAGAGTGTTTCAAATCTGCTCTGTCTAAAGGGACGTTCCACTGTGTGAGTTGAATGCACACAACAGAAAGAATTTACTGAGAATTCTTCCGTCTAGCATTCAATGAAGAAATCCCGTTTCCAACGAAGGCCTCAAACAGGTCCATATATCCACTTGCAGACTTTACAAACAGTGTGTTTCCAAACTCCTCTATGAAAAGAAAGGTTAAACTCTGTGAGTGGAACGCACACATCACAAAGCACTTTCTGAGAATGATTCTGTCTGGTTATTATACGGAAGATATTTCCTTTTCTGCAATTGTCCTCAAATCGCTTGAAATCTCCACCTGAAAATGCCACA
This sequence comes from Homo sapiens, assembly GCF_000001405.40. NCBI lineage: Eukaryota > Metazoa > Chordata > Mammalia > Primates > Hominidae > Homo > Homo sapiens. The sequence continues at coordinate 59,878,117 of NC_000007.14, read as the reverse complement.
GCAAGAGTGTTTCAAATCTGCTCTCTCTAAAGCAAGGTTCAACTCTGTGAGTTGAATACACACAACACAAAAAAGTTACTGAGAACTCTTCTTAGTCTAGCATGAAAGGAAGAAACCCCGTTTGCAACGAAGGCCTCAAAGAGGTCCAAATATCCACTTGCAGACATAACAAGCAGAGTGTTTCTAACCTGCTCTAAGAAAAGAAAGGTTAAACTCTGTGAGTTGAAGGCACACATCACAAAGTAGTTTCTGAGAATGATTCTGTCTAGTTTTTATTTGAAGATATTTCCTTTTCTACTGTTGGCATCAAATCGCTTGAAATCTCCACTTGCAAACTCCACAAAAAGAGTGTTTCAAATCTGCTCTGTGCAAAGGGACGTTCCACTCTGTGAGTTGAATACACACAGCACAAAGAAGTTACTGAGAATTCTTCTGTCTAGCATGAAATGAAGAAATCCCGTTTCCAACGAAGGCCTCAATGCGGTCCATATATCCACTTGCAGACTTTACAAACAGAGTGTTTCCAAACTGCTCTATGAAAAGAAAGGTTAAACTATGTGAGTTGAACGCACACATCACAAAGAATTTTCTGAGAATGATTCTGTCTGGTTTTTATTTGAAGATATTTCCCTTTCTACTGTTGGCATCAAATGGCTAGAAAACTCCACTTGCAAATTCCGCAAAAAGAGTGTTTAAAATCTTCTCTGTCTAAAGGGACGTTCCACTCGGTGAGTTGAATGCACACAACACAAAGAATTTACTGAGAATTCTTCCGTCTAGCATTATATGATAAAATCCCGTTTCCAACGAAGGCCTCAAACAGGTCCATATATCCACTTGCAGACTTTACAAACAGTGTGTTTCGAAACTCCTCTATGAAAAGAAAGGTTAAACTCTGTGAGTTGAACGCACACATCACAAAGCACTTTCTGAGAATGATTCTGTCTGGTTATTATACGAAGATATTTCCTTTTCTGCAATTTGTCCTCAAATCGCTTGAAATCTCCACCTGAAAATGCCACAGCAAGAGTGTTTCAAATCTGCTCTCTCTAAAGCAAGGTTCAACTCTGTGAGTTGAATACACACAACACAAAAAAGTTACTGAGAACTCTTCTTAGTCTAGCATGAAAGGAAGAAACCCCGTTTGCAACGAAGGCCTCAAAGAGGTCCAAATATCCACTTGCAGACATAACAAGCAGAGTGTTTCTAAACTGCTCTAAGAAAAGAAAGGTTAAACTCTGTGAGTTGAAGGCACACATCACAAAGTAGTTTCTGAGAATGATTCTGTCTAGTTTTTATTTGAAGATACTTCCTTTTCTACTGTTGGCATCAAATCGCTTGAAATCTCCACTTGCAAACTCCACAAAAAGAGTGTTTCAAATCTGCTCTGTGTAAAGGGACGTTCCACTCTGTGAGTTGAATACACACAGCACAAAGAAGTTACTGAGAATTCTTCTGTCTAGCATGAAATGAAGAAATCCCGTTTCCAACGAAGGCCTCAATGCGGTCCATATATCCACTTGCAGACTTTACAAACAGAGTGTTTCCAAACTGCTCTATGAAAAGAAAGGTTAAACTATGTGAGTTGAACGCACACATCACAAAGAATTTTCTGAGAATGATTCTGTCTGGTTTTTATTTGAAGATATTTCCCTTTCTACTGTTGGCATCAAATGGCTAGAAATCTCCACTTTCAAATTCCGCAAAAAGAGTGTTTCAAATCTGCTCTGTCTAAAGGGACGTTCCACTCTGTGAGTTGAATGCACACAACACAAAGAATTTACTGAGAATTCTTCCGTCTAGCATTCAATGAAGAAATCCCGTTTCCAACGAAGGCCTCAAACAGGTCCATATATCCACTTGCAGACTTTACAAACAGTGTGTTTCCAAACTCCTCTATGAAAAGAAAGGTTAAACTCTGTGAGTTCAACGCACACATCACAAAGCACTTTCTGAGAATGATTCTGTCTGGTTGTTATACGAAGATATTTCCTTTTCTGCAATTGTCCTCAAATCGCTTGAAATCTCCACCTGAAAATGCCACAGCAAGAGTGTTTCAAATCTGCTCTCTCTAAAGCAAGGTTCAACTCTGTGAGTTGAATACACACAACACAAAAAAGTTACTGAGAACTCTTTCTTAGTCTAGCATGAAAGGAAGAAACCCCGTTTGCAACGAAGGCCTCAAAGAGGTCCAAATATCCACTTGCAGACATAACAAGCAGAGTGTTTCTAAACTGCTCTAAGAAAAGAAAGGTTAAACTCTGTGAGTTGAAGGCACACATCACAAAGTAGTTTCTGAGAATGATTCTGTCTAGTTTTTATTTGAAGATATTTCCTTTTCTACTGTTGGCATCAAATCGCTTGAAATCTCCACTTGCAAATTCCGCAAAAAGAGTGTTTCAAATCTGCTCTGTGTAAAGGGACGTTCCACTCTGTGAGTTGAATACACACAGCACAAAGAAGTTACTGAGAATTCTTCTGTCTAGCATGAAATGAAGAAATCCCGTTTCCAACGAAGGCCTCAATGCGGTCCATATATCCACTTGCAGACTTTACAAACAGAGTGTTTCCAAACTGCTCTATGAAAAGAAAGGTTAAACTATGTGAGTTGAACGCACACATCACAAAGAATTTTCTGAGAATGATTCTGTCTGGTTTTTATTTGAAGATATTTCCCTTTCTACTGTTGGCATCAAATGGCTAGAAATCTCCACTTGCAAATTCCGCAAAAAGAGTGTTTCAAATCTGCTCTGTCTGAAGGGACGTTCCACTCTGTCAGTTGAATGCACACAACACAAAGAATTTACTGAGAATTCTTCCGTCTAGCATTCAATGAAGAAATCCCGTTTCCAACGAAGGCCTCAAACAGGTCCATATATCCACTTGCAGACTTTACAAACAGTGTGTTTCCAAACTCCTCTATGAAAGGAAAGGTTAAACTCTGTGAGTTGAACGCACACATCACAAAGCACTTTCTGAGAATGATTCTGTCTGGTTATTATACGAAGATATTTCCTTTTCTGCAATTGTCCTCAAATCGCTTGAAATCTCCACCTGAAAATGCCACAGCAAGAGTGTTTCAAATCTGCTCTCTCTAAAGCAAGGTTCAACTCTGTGAGTTGAATACACACAACACAAAAAAGTTACTGAGAACTCTTCTTAGTCTAGCATGAAAGGAAGAAACCCCGTTTGCAACGAAGGCCTCAAAGAGGTCCAAATATCCACTTGCAGACATAACAAGCAGAGTGTTTCTAAAGTGCTCTAAGAAAAGAAAGGTTAAACTCTGTGAGTTGAAGGCACACATCAGAAAGTAGTTTCTGAGAATGATTCTGTCTAGTTTTTATTTGAAGATATTTCCTTTTCTACTGTTGGCATCAAATCGCTTGAAATATCCACTTGCAAACTCCACAAAAAGAGTGTTTCAAATCTGCTCTGTGCAAAGGGACGTTCCACTATGTGAGTTGAATACACACAGCACAAAGAAGTTACTGAGAATTCTTTCTGTCTAGCATGAAATGAAGAAATCCCGTTTCCAACGAAGGCCTCAATGCGGTCCATATATCCACTTGCAGACTTTACAAACAGAGTGTTTCCAAACTGCTCTATGAAAAGAAAGGTTAAACTATGTGAGTTGAACGCACACATCACAAAGAATTTTCTGAGAATGATTCTGTCTGGTTTTTATTTGAAGATACTTCCCTTTCTACTGTTGGCATCAAATGGCTAGAAATCTCCACTTGCAAATTCCGCAAAAAGAGTGTTTCAAATCTGCTCTGTCTAAAGGGACGTTCCACTCTGTGAGTTGAATGCACACAACACAAAGAATTTACTGAGAATTCTTCCGTCTAGCATTCAATGAAGAAATCCCGTTTCCAACGAAGGCCTCAAAGAGGTCCATATATCCACTTGCAGACTTTACAAACAGTGTGTTTCCAAACTCCTCTATGAAAAGAAAGGTTAAACTCTGTGAGTGGAACGCACACATCACAAAGCACTTTCTGAGAATGATTCTGTCTGGTTATTATACGAAGATATTTCCTTTTCTGCAATTGTCCTCAAATCGCTTGAAATCTCCACCTGAAAATGCCACAGCAAGAGTGTTTCAAATCTGCTCTCTCTAAAGCAAGGTTCAACTCTGTGAGTTGAATACACACAACACAAAAAAGTTACTGAGAACTCTTCTTAGTCTAGCATGAAAGGAAGAAACCCCGTTTGCAACGAAGGCCTCAAAGAGGTCCAAATATCCACTTGCAGACATAACAAGCAGAGTGTTTCTAAACTGCTCTAAGAAAAGAAAGGTTAAACTCTGTGAGTTGAAGGCACACATCACAAAGTAGTTTCTGAGAATGATTCTGTCTAGTTTTTATTTGAAGATATTTCCTTTTCTACTGTTGGCATCAAATCGCTTGAAATCTCCACTTGCAAACTCCACAAAAAGAGTGTTTCAAATCTGCTCTGTGCAAAGGGACGTTCCACTCTGTGAGTTGAATACACACAGCACAAAGAAGTTACTGAGAATTCTTCTGTCTAGCATGAAATGAAGAAATCCCGTTTCCAACGAAGGCCTCAATGCGGTCCATATATCCACTTGCAGACTTTACAAACAGAGTGTTTCCAAACTGCTCTATGAAAAGAAAGGTTAAACTATGTGAGTTGAACGCACACATCACAAAGAATTTTCTGAGAATGATTCTGTCTGGTTTTTATTTGAAGATATTTCCCTTTCTACTGTTGGCATCAAATGGCTAGAAATCTCCACTTGCAAATTCCGCAAAAAGAGTGTTTCAAATCTGCTCTGTCTAAAGGGACGTTCCACTCTGTGAGTTGAATGCACACCACACAAAGAATTTACTGAGAATTCTTCCGTCTAGCATTCAATGAAAAAATCCCCTTTCCAACGAAGGCCTCAAACAGGTCCATATATCCACTTGCAGACTTTACAAACAGTGTGTTTCCAAACTCCTGTATGAAAAGAAAGGTTAAACTCTGTGAGTGGAACGCACACATCACAAAGCACTTTCTGAGAATGATTCTGTCTGGTTGTTATACGAAGATATTTCCTTTTCTGCAATTGTCCTCAAATCGCTTGAAATCTCCACCTGAAAATGCCACAGCAAGAGTGTTTCAAATCTGCTCTCTCTAAAGCAACGTTCAACTCTGTGAGTTGAATACACACAACACAAAAAAGTTACTGAGAACTCTTCTTAGTCTAGCATGAAAGGAAGAAACCCCGTTTGCAAAGAAGGCCTCAAAGAGGTCCAAATATCCACTTGCAGACATAACAAGCAGAGTGTTTCTAAACTGCTCTAAGAAAAGAAAGGTTAAACTCTGTGAGTTGAAGGCACACATCACAAAGTAGTTTCTGAGAATGATTCTGTCTAGTTTTTATTTGAAGATATTTCCTTTTCTACTGTTGGCATCAAATCGCTTGAAATCTCCACTTGCAAATTCCACAAAAAGAGTGTTTCAAATCTGCTCTGTGCAAAGGGACGTTCCACTCTGTGAGTTGAATACACACAGCACAAAGAAGTTACTGAGAATTCTTCTGTCTAGCATGAAATGAAGAAATCCCGTTTCCAACGAAGGCCTCAAAGCGGTCCATATATCCACTTGCAGACATTACCAACAGAGTGTTCCCAAACTGCTCTATGAAAAGAAAGGTTAAACTATGTGAGTTGAACGCACACATCACAAAGAATTTTCTGAGAATGATTCTGTCTGGTTTTTATTTGAAGATATTTCCCTTTCTACTGTTGGCATCAAATGGCTAGAAATCTCCACTTGCAAATTCCGCAAAAAGAGTGTTTCAAATCTGCTCTGTCTAAAGGGACGTTCCACTCTGTGAGTTGAATGCACACAACACAAAGAATTTACTGAGAATTCTTCCGTCTAGCATTCAATGAAGAAATCCCGTTTCCAACGAAGGCCTCAAACAGGTCCATATATCCACTTGCAGACTTTACAAACAGTGTGTTTCCAAACTCCTCTATGAAAAGAAAGGTTAAACTCTGTGAGTGGAACGCACACATCACAAAGCACTTTCTGAGAATGATTCTGTCTGGTTATTATACGAAGATATTTCCTTTTCTGCAATTGTCCTCAAAACGCTTGAAATCTCCACCTGAAAATGCCACAGCAAGAGTGTTTCAAATCTGCTCTCTCTAAAGCAAGGTTCAACTCTGTGAGTTGAATACACACAACACGGAAAAGTTACTGAGAACTCTTCTTAGTCTAGCATGAAAGGAAGAAACCCCGTTTGCAACGAAGGCCTCAAAGAGGTCCAAATATCCACTTGCAGACATAACAAGCAGAGTGTTTCTAAACTGCTCTAAGAAAAGAAAGGTTAAACTCTGTGAGTTGAAGGCACACATCACAAAGTAGTTTCTGAGAATGATTCTGTCTAGTTTTTATTTGAAGATATTTCCTTTTCTACTGTTGGCATCAAATCGCTTGAAATCTCCACTTGCAAACTCCACAAAAAGAGTGTTTCAAATCTGCTCTGTGCAAAGGGACGTTCCACTCTGTGAGTTGAATACACACAGCACAAAGAAGTTACTGAGAATTCTTCTGTCTAGCATGAAATGAAGAAATCCCGTTTCCAACGAAGGCCTCAATGCGGTCCATATATCCACTTGCAGACTTTACAAACAGAGTGTTTCCAAACTGCTCTATGAAAAGAAAGGTTAAACTATGTGAGTTGAACGCACACATCACAAAGAATTTTCTGAGAATGATTCTGTCTGGTTTTTATTTGAAGATATTTCCCTTTCTACTGTTGGCATCAAATGGCTAGAAATCTCCACTTGCAAATTCCGCAAAAAGAGTGTTTCAAATCTGCTCTGTCTAAAGGGACGTTCCACTCTGTGAGTTGAATGCACACAACACAAAGAATTTACTGAGAATTCTTCCGTCTAGCATTCAATGAAGAAATCCCGTTTCCAACGAAGGCCTCAAAGAGGTCCATATATCCACTTGCAGACTTTACAAACAGTGTGTTTCCAAACTCCTCTATGAAAAGAAAGGTTAAACTCTGTGAGTGGAACGCACACATCACAAAGCACTTTCTGAGAATGATTCTGTCTGGTTATTATACGAAGATATTTCCTTTTCTGCAATTGTCCTCAAATCGCTTGAAATCTCCACCTGAAAATGCCACAGCAAGAGTGTTTCAAATCTGCTCTCTCTAAAGCAAGGTTCAACTCTGTGAGTTGAATACACACAACACAAAAAAGTTACTGAGAACTCTTCTTAGTCTAGCATGAAAGGAAGAAACCCCGTTTGCAACGAAGGCCTCAAAGAGGTCCAAATATCCACTTGCAGACATAACAAGCAGAGTGTTTCTAAACTGCTCTAAGAAAAGAAAGGTTAAACTCTGTGAGTTGAAGGCACACATCACAAAGTAGTTTCTGAGAATGATTCTGTCTAGTTTTTATTTGAAGATATTTCCTTTTCTACTGTTGGCATCAAATCGCTTGAAATCTCCACTTGCAAACTCCACAAAAAGAGTGTTTCAAATCTGCTCTGTGCAAAGGGACGTTCCACTCTGTGAGTTGAATACACACAGCACAAAGAAGTTACTGAGAATTCTTCTGTCTAGCATGAAATGAAGAAATCCCGTTTCCAACGAAGGCCTCAATGCGGTCCATATATCCACTTGCAGACTTTACAAACAGAGTGTTTCCAAACTGCTCTATGAAAAGAAAGGTTAAACTATGTGAGTTGAACGCACACATCACAAAGAATTTTCTGAGAATGATTCTGTCTGGTTTTTATTTGAAGATATTTCCCTTTCTACTGTTGGCATCAAATGGCTAGAAATCTCCACTTGCAAATTCCGCAAAAAGAGTGTTTCAAATCTGCTCTGTCTAAAGGGACGTTCCACTCTGTGAGTTGAATGCACACCACACAAAGAATTTACTGAGAATTCTTCCGTCTAGCATTCAATGAAGAAATCCCGTTTCCAACGAAGGCCTCAAACAGGTCCATATATCCAATTGCAGACTTTACAAACAGTGTGTTTCCAAACTCCTCTATGAAAAGAAAGGTTAAACTCTGTGAGTTGAACGCACACATCACAAAGCACTTTCTGAGAATGATTCTGTCTGGTTGTTATACGAAGATATTTCCTTTTCTGCAATTGTCCTCAAATCGCTTGAAATCTCCACCTGAAAATGCCACAGCAAGAGTGTTTCAAATCTGCTCTCTCTAAAGCAAGGTTCAACTCTGTGAGTTGAATACACACAACACAAAAATGTTACTGAGAACTCTTCTTAGTCTAGCATGAAAGGAAGAAACCCCGTTTGCAACGAAGGCCTCAAAGAGGTCCAAATATCCACTTGCAGACATAACAAGCAGAGTGTTTCTAAACTGCTCTAAGAAAAGAAAGGTTAAACTCTGTGAGTTGAAGGCACACATCACAAAGTACTTTCTGAGAATGGTTCTGTCTAGTTTTTATTTGAAGATATTTCCTTTTCTACTGTTGGCATCAAATCGCTTGAAATCTCCACTTGCAAATTCCACAAAAAGAGTGTTTCAAATCTGCTCTGTGCAAACGGACGTTCCAGTCTGTGAGTTGAATACACACAGCACAGAGAAGTTACTGAGAATTCTTCTGTCTAGCATGAAATGAAGAAATCCCGTTTCCAACGAAGGCCTCAATGCGGTCCATAGATCCACTTGCAGACTTTACAAACAGAGTGTTTCCAAACTGCTCTATGAAAAGAAAGGTTAAACTATGTGAGTTGAACGCACACATCACAAAGAATTTTCTGAGAATGATTCTGTCTGGTTTTTATTTGAAGATATTTCCCTTTCTACTGTTGGCATCAAATGGCTAGAAATCTCCACTTGCAAATTCCGCAAAAAGAGTGTTTCAAATCTGCTCTGTCTAAAGGGACGTTCCACTCTGTGAGTTGAATGCACACAACACAAAGAATTTACTGAGAATTCTTCCGTCTAGCAGTCAATGAAGAAATCCCGTTTCCAACGAAGGCCTCAAACAGGTCCATATATCCACTTGCAGACTTTACAAACAGTGTGTTTCCAAACTCCTCTATGAAAAGAAAGGTTAAACTCTGTGAGTGGAACGCACACATCACAAAGCACTTTCTGAGAATGATTCTGTCTGGTTGTTATACGAAGATATTTCCTTTTCTGCAATTGTCCTCAAATCGCTTGAAATCTCCACCTGAAAATGCCACAGCAAGAGTGTTTCAAATCTGCTCTCTCTAAAGCAAGGTTCAACTCTGTGAGTTGAATACACACAACACAAAAAAGTTACTGAGAACTCTTCTTAGTCTAGCATTAAAGGAAGAAACCCCGTTTGCAACGAAGGCCTCAAAGAGGTCCAAATATCCACTTGCAGACATAACAAGCAGAGTGTTTCTAAACTGCTCTAAGAAAAGAAAGGTTAAACTCTGTGAGTTGAAGGCACACATCACAAAGTAGTTTCTGAGAATGATTCTGTCTAGTTTTTATTTGAAGATATTTCCTTTTCTACTGTTGGCATCAAATCGCTTGAAATCTCCACTTGCAAATTCCACAAAAAGAGTGTTTCAAATCTGCTCTGTGCAAAGGGACGTTCCACTCTGTGAGTTGAATACACACAGCACAAAGAAGTTACTGAGAATTCTTCTGTCTAGCATGAAATGAAGAAATCCCGTTTCCAACGAAGGCCTCAATGCGGTCCATATATCCACTTGCAGACTTTACAAACAGAGTGTTTCCAAACTGCTCTATGAAAAGAAAGGTTAAACTATGTGAGTTGAACGCACACATCACAAAGAATTTTCTGAGAATGATTCTGTCTGGTTTTTATTTGAAGATATTTCCCTTTCTACTGTTGGCATCAAATGGCTAGAAATCTCCACTTGCAAATTCCGCAAAAAGAGTGTTTCAAATCTGCTCTGCCTAAAGGGACGTTCTACTCTGTGAGTTGAATGCACACAACACAAAGAATTTACTGAGAATTCTTCCGTCTAGCATTCAATGAAGAAATCCCGTTTCCAACGAAGGCCTCAAACAGGTCCATATATCCACTTGCAGAGTTTACAAACAGTGTGTTTCCAAACTCCTCTATGAAAAGAAAGGTTAAACTCTGTGAGTGGAACGCACACATCACAAAGCACTTTCTGAGAATGATTCTGTCTGGTTATTATACGAAGATATTTCCTTTTCTGCAATTGTCCTCAAATCGCTTGAAATCTCCACCTGAAAATGCCACAGCAAGAGTGTTTCAAATCTGCTCTCTCTAAAGCAAGGTTCAACTCTGTGAGTTGAATACACACAACACAAAAAAGTTACTGAGAACTCTTCTTAGTCTAGCATTAAAGGAAAAAACCCCGTTTGCAACGAAGGCCTCAAAGAGGTCCAAATATCCACTTGCAGACATAACAAGCAGAGTGTTTCTAAACTGCTCTAAGAAAAGAAAGGTTAAACTCTGTGAGTTGAAGGCACACATCACAAAGAATTTTCTGAGAATGATTCTGTCTAGTTTTTATTTGAAGATATTTCCTTTTCTACTGCTGGCATCAAATCGCTTGAAATCTCCACTTGCAAACTCCACAAAAAGAGTGTTTCAAGTCTGCTCTGTGTAAAGGGACGTTCCACTCTGTGAGTTGAATACACACAGCACAAAGAAGTTACTGAGAATTCTTCTGTCTAGCACGAAATGAAGAAATCCCGTTTCCAACGAAGGCCTCAATGCGGTCTATATATCCACTTGCAGACTTTACAAACAGAGTGTTTCCAAACTGCTCTATGAAAAGAAAGGTTAAACTATGTGAGTTGAACGCACACATCACAAAGAATTTTCTGAGAATGATTCTGTCTGGTTTTTATTTGAAGATATTTCCCTTTCTACTGTTGGCATCAAATGGCTAGAAATCTCCACTTGCAAATTCCGCAAAAAGAGTGTTTCAAATCTGCTCTGTCTAAAGGGACGTTCCACTCTGTGAGTTGAATGCACACAACACGAAGAATTTACTGAGAATTCTTCCGTCTAGCATTCAATGAAGAAATCCCGTTTCCAACGAAGGCCTCAAACAGGTCCATATATCCAATTGCAGACTTTACAAACAGTGTGTTTCCAAACTCCTCTATGAAAAGAAAGGTTAAACTCTGTGAGTTGAACGCACACATCACAAAGCACTTTCTGAGAATGATTCTGTCTGGTTGTTATACGAAGATATTTCCTTTTCTGCAATTGTCCTCAAATCGCTTGAAATCTCCACCTGAAAATGCCACAGGAAGAGTGTTTCAAATCTGCTCTCTCTAAAGCAAGGTTCAACTCTGTGAGTTGAATACACACAACACAAAAAAGTTACTGAGAACTCTTCTTAGTCTAGCATGAAAGGAAGAAACCCCGTTTGCAACGAAGGCCTCAAAGAGGTCCAAATATCCACTTGCAGACATAACAAGCAGAGTGTTTCTAAACTGCTCTAAGAAAAGAAAGGTTAAACTCTGTGAGTTGAAGGCACACATCACAAAGTAGTTTCTGAGAATGATTCTGTCTAGTTTTTATTTGAAGATATTTCCTTTTCTACTGTTGGCATCAAATCGCTTGAAATCTCCACTTGCAAACTCCACAAAAAGAGTGTTTCAAATCTGCTCTGTGTAAAGGGACGTTCCACTCTGTGAGTTGAATACACACAGCACAAAGAAGTTACTGAGAATTCTTCTGTCTAGCATGAAATGAAGAAATCCCGTTTCCAACGAAGGCCTCAATGCGGTCCATATATCCACTTGCAGACTTTACAAACAGAGTGTTTCCAAACTGCTCTATGAAAAGAAAGGTTAAACTATGTGAGTTGAACGCACACATCACAAAGAATTTTCTGAGAATGATTCTGTCTGGTTTTTATTTGAAGATATTTCCCTTTCTACTGTTGGCATCAAATGGCTAGAAATCTCCACTTGCAACTTCCGCAAAAAGAGTGTTTCAAATCTGCTCTGTCTAAAGGGACGTTCCACTCTGTGAGTTGAATGCACACAACACAAAAAAGTTACTGAGAACTCTTCTTAGTCTAGCATTAAAGGAAGAAACCCCGTTTGCAACGAAGGCCTCAAAGAGGTCCAAATATCCACTTGCAGACATAAAAAGCAGAGTGTTTCTAAACTGCTCTAAGAAAAGAAAGGTTAAACTCTGTGAGTTGAAGGCACACATCACAAAGTAGTTTCTGAGAATGATTCTGTCTAGTTTTTATTTGAAGATATTTCCTTTTCTACTGTTGGCATCAAATCGCTTGAAATCTCCACTTGCAAACTCCACAAAAAGAGTGTTTCAAATCTGCTCTGTGTAAAGGGACGTTCCACTCTGTGAGTTGAATACACACAGCACAAAGAAGTTACTGAGTATTCTTCTGTCTAGCATGAAATGAAGAAATCCCGTTTCCAACGAAGGCCTCAATGCGGTCCATATATCCACTTGCAGACTTTACAAACAGAGTGTTTCCAAACTGCTCTATGAAAAGAAAGGTTAAACTATGTGAGTTGAACGCACACATCACAAAGAATTTTCTGAGAATGATTCTGTCTGGTTTTTATTTGAAGATATTTCCCTTTCTACTGTTGGCATCAAATGGCTAGAAATCTCCACTTGCAAATTCCGCAAAAAGAGTGTTTCAAATCTGCTCTGTCTAAAGGGACGTTCCACTCTGTGAGTTCAATGCACACAACACAAAGAATTTACTGAGAATTCTTCCGTCTAGCATTCAATGAAGAAATCCCGTTTCCAACGAAGGCCTCAAACAGGTCCATATATCCAATTGCAGACTTTACAAACAGTGTGTTTCCAAACTCCTCTATGAAAAGAAAGGTTAAACTCTGTGAGTGGAACGCACACATCACAAAGCACTTTCTGAGAATGATTCTGTCTGGTTATTATACGAAGATATTTCCTTTTCTGCAATTGTCCTCAAATCGCTTGAAATCTCCACCTGAAAATGCCACAGCAAGAGTGTTTCAAATCTGCTCTCTCTAAAGCAAGGTTCAACTCTGTGAGTTGAATACACACAACACAAAAAAGTTACTGAGAACTCTTCTTAGTCTAGCATGAAAGGAAGAAACCCCGTTTGCAACGAAGGCCTCAAAGAGTTCCAAATATCCACTTGCAGACATAACAAGCAGAGTGTTTCTAAACTGCTCTAAGAAAAGAAAGGTTAAACTCTGTGAGTTGAAGGCACACATCACAAAGTAGTTTCTGAGAATGATTCTGTCTAGTTTTTATTTGAAGATATTTCCTTTTCTACTGTTGGCATCAAATCGCTTGAAATCTCCACTTGCAAACTCCACAAAAAGAGTGTTTCAAATCTGCTCTGTGTAAAGGGACGTTCCACTCTGTGAGTTGAATACACACAGCACAAAGAAGTTACTGAGAATTCTTCTGTCTAGCATGAAATGAAGAAATCCCGTTTCCAACGAAGGCCTCAATGCGGTCCATATATCCACTTGCAGACTTTACAAACAGAGTGTTTCCAAACTGCTCTATGAAAAGAAAGGTTAAACTATGTGAGTTGAACGCACACATCACAAAGAATTTTCTGAGAATGATTCTGTCTGGTTTTTATTTGAAGATATTTCCCTTTCTACTGTTGGCATCAAATGGCTAGAAATCTCCACTTGCAAATTCCGCAAAAAGAGTGTTTCAAATCTGCTCTGTCTAAAGGGACGTTCCACTCTGTGAGTTGAATGCACACAACACAAAGAATTTACTGAGAATTCTTCCGTCTAGCATTCAATGAAGAAATCCCGTTTCCAACGAAGGCCTCAAACAGGTCCATATATCCACTTGCAGACTTTACAAACAGTGTGTTTCCAAACTCCTCTATGAAAAGAAAGGTTAAACTCTGTGAGTTGAACGCACACATCACAAAGCACTTTCTGAGAATGATTCTGTCTGGTTATTATACGAAGATATTTCCTTTTCTGCAATTGTCCTCAAATCGCTTGAAATCTCCACCTGAAAATGCCACAGCAAGAGTGTTTCAAATCTGCTCTCTCTAAAGCAAGGTTCAACTCTGTGAGTTGAATACACACAACACAAAAAAGTTACTGAGAACTCTTCTTAGTCTAGCATGAAAGGAAGAAACCCCGTTTGCAACGAAGGCCTCAAAGAGGTCCAAATATCCACTTGCAGACATAACAAGCAGAGTGTTTCTAAACTGCTCTAAGAAAAGAAAGGTTAAACTCTGTGAGTTGAAGGCACACATCACAAAGTAGTTTCTGAGAATGATTCTGTCTAGTTTTTATTTGAAGATATTTCCTTTTCTACTGTTGGCATCAAATCGCTTGAAATCTCCACTTGCAAATTCCACAAAAAGAGTGTTTCAAATCTTCTCTGTGTAAAGGAACGTTCCACTCTGTGAGTTGAATACACACAGCACAAAGAAGTTACTGAGAATTCTTCTGTCTAGCATGAAATGAAGAAATCCCGTTTCCAACGAAGGCCTCAATGCGGTCCATATATCCACTTGCAGACTTTACAAACAGAGTGTTTCCAAACTGCTCTATGAAAAGAAAGGTAAAACTATGTGAGTTGAACGCACACATCACAAAGAATTTTCTGAGAATGATTCTGTCTGGTTTTTATTTGAAGATATTTCCCTTTCTACTGTTGGCATCAAATGGCTAGAAATCTCCACTTGCAAATTCCGCAAAAAGAGTGTTTCAAATCTGCTCTGTCTAAAGGGACGTTCCACTCTGTCAGTTGAATGCACACAACACAAAGAATTTACTGAGAATTCTTCCGTCTAGCATTCAATGAAGAAATCCCATTTCCAACGAAGGCCTCAAACAGGTCCATATATCCAATTGCAGACTTTACAAACAGTGTGTTTCCAAACTCCTCTATGAAAAGAAAGGTTAAACTCTGTGAGTTGAACGCACACATCACAAAGCACTTTCTGAGAATGATTCTGTCTAGTTTTTATTTGAAGATATTTCCCTTTGTACTGTTGGCATCAAATGGCTAGAAATCTCCACTTGCAACTTCCGCAAAAAGAGTGTTTCAAATCTGCTCTGTCTAAAGGGACGTTCCACTCTGTGAGTTGAATGCACACAACACAAAAAAGTTACTGAGAACTCTTCTTAGTCTAGCATTAAAGGAAGAAACCCCGTTTGCAACGAAGGCCTCAAAGAGGTCCAAATATCCACTTGCAGACATAACAAGCAGAGTGTTTCTAAACTGCTCTAAGAAAAGAAAGGTTAAACTCTGTTAGTTGAAGGCACACATCACAAAGTAGTTTCTGAGAATGATTCTGTCTAGTTTTTATTTGAAGATATTTCCTTTTCTACTGTTGGCATCAAATCGCTTGAAATCTCCACTTGCAAACTCCACAAAAAGAGTGTTTCAAATCCGCTCTGTGCAAAGGGACGTTCCACTCTGTGAGTTGAATACACACAGCACAAAGAAGTTACTGAGAATTCTTCTGTCTAGCATGAAATGAAGAAATCCCGTTTCCAACGAAGGCCTCAATGCGGTCCATATATCCACTTGCAGACTTTACAAACAGAGTGTTTCCAAACTGCTCTATGAAAAGAAAGGTTAAACTATGTGAGTTGAACGCACACATCACAAAGAATTTTCTGAGAATGATTCTGTCTGGTTTTTATTTGAAGATATTTCCCTTTCTACTGTTGGCATCAAATGGCTAGAAATCTCCACTTGCAAATTCCGCAAAAAGAGTGTTTCAAATCTGCTCTGTCTAAAGGGACGTTCCACTCTGTGAGTTGAATGCACACAACACAAAGAATTTACTGAGAATTCTTCCGTCTAGCATTCAATGAAGAAATCCCGTTTCAAACGAAGGCCTCAAACAGGTCCATATATCCAATTGCAGACTTTACAAACAGTGTGTTTCCAAACTCCTCTATGAAAAGAAAGGTTAAACTCTGTGAGTTGAACGCACACATCACAAAGCACTTTCTGAGAATGATTCTGTCTGGTTATTATACGAAGATATTTCCTTTTCTGCAATTGTCCTCAAATCGCTTGAAATCTCCACCTGAAAATGCCACAGCAAGAGTGTTTCAAATCTGCTCTCTCTAAAGCAAGGTTCAACTCTGTGAGTTGAATACACACAACACAAAAAAGTTACTGAGAACTCTTCTTAGTCTAGCATTAAAGGAAGAAACGCCGTTTGCAACGAAGGCCTCAAAGAGGTCCAAATATCCACTTGCAGACATAACAAGCAGAGTGTTTCTAAACTGCTCTAAGAAAAGAAAGGTTAAACTCTGTGAGTTGAAGGCACACATCACAAAGTAGTTTCTGAGAATGATTCTGTCTAGTTTTTATTTGAAGATATTTCCTTTTCTACTGTTGGCATCAAATCGCTTGAAATCTCCACTTGCAAACTCCACAAAAAGAGTGTTTCAAATCTGCTCTGTGCAAAGGGACGTTCCACTCTGTGAGTTGAATACACACAGCACAAAGAAGTTACTGAGAATTCTTCTGTCTAGCATGAAATGAAGAAATCCCGTTTCCAACGAAGGCCTCAATGCGGTCTATATATCCACTTGCAGACTTTACAAACAGAGTGTTTCCAAACTGCTCTATGAAAAGAAAGGTTAAACTATGTGAGTTGAACGCACACATCACAAAGAATTTTCTGAGAATGATTCTCTGTCTGGTTTTTATTTGAAGATATTTCCCTTTCTACTGTTGGCATCAAATGGCTAGAAATCTCCACTTGCAAATTCCGCAAAAAGAGTGTTCCAAATCTGCTCTGTCTAAAGGGACGTTCCACTCTGTGAGTTGAATGCACACAACACAAAGAATTTACTGAGAATTCTTCCGTCTAGCATTCAATGAAGAAATCCCGTTTCCAACGAAGGCCTCAAACAGGTCCATATATCCAATTGCAGACTTTACAAACAGTGTGTTTCCAAACTCCTTTATGAAAAGAAAGGTTAACTCTGTGAGTTGAATGCACACATCACAAAGCACTTTCTGATAATGATTCTGTCTAGTTTTTGTTTGCAGATATTTCCTTTTCTACTGTTGGCATCAAATCGCTTGAAATCTCCACTTGCAAACTCCACAAAAAGAGTGTTTCAAATCTGCTCTGTGTAAAGGGACGTTCCACTCTGTGAGTTGAATACACACAGCACAAAGAAGTTACTGAGAATTCTTCTGTCTAGCATGAAATGAAGAAATCCCGTTTCCAACGAAGGCCTCAAAGCGGTCCATATATCCACTTGCAGACATTACCAACAGAGTGTTCCCAAACTGCTCTATGAAAAGAAAGGTTAAACTATGTGAGTTGAACGCACACATCACAAAGAATTTTCTGAGAATGATTCTGTCTGGTTTTTATTTGAAGATATTTCCCTTTCTACTGTTGGCATCAAATGGCTAGAAATCTCCACTTGCAAATTCCGCAAAAAGAGTGTTTCAAATCTGCTCTGTCTAAAGGGACGTTCCACTCTGTGAGTTGAATGCACACAACACAAAGAATTTACTGAGAATTCTTCCGTCTAGCATTCAATGAAGAAATCCCGTTTCCAACGAAGGCCTCAAACAGGTCCATATATCCAATTGCAGACTTTACAAACAGTATGTTTCCAAACTCCTCTATGAAAAGAAAGGTTAAACTCTGTGAGTTGAACGCACACATCACAAAGCACTTTCTGAGAATGATTCTGTCTGGTTGTTATACGAAGATATTTCCTTTTCTGTAATTGTCCTCAAATCGCTTGAAATCTCCACCTGAAAATGCCACAGCAAGAGTGTTTCAAATCTGCTCTCTCTAAAGCAAGGTTCAACTCTGTGAGTTGAATACACACAACACAAAAAAGTTACTGAGAACTCTTCTTAGTCTAGCATTAAAGGAAGAAACCCCGTTTGCAACGAAGGCCTCAAAGAGGTCCAAATATCCACTTGCAGACATAACAAGCAGAGTGTTTCTAAACTGCTCTAAGAAAAGAAAGGTTAAACTCTGTGAGTTGAAGGCACACATCACAAAGTAGTTTCTGAGAATGATTCTGTCTAGTTTTTATTTGAAGATATTTCCTTTTCTACTGTTGGCATCAAATCGCTTGAAATCTCCACTTGCAAACTCCACAAAAAGAGTGTTTCAAATCTGCTCTGTGCAATGGGACGTTCCACTCTGTGAGTTGAATACACACAGCACAAAGAAGTTACTGAGAATTCTTCTGTCTAGCATGAAATGAAGAAATCCCGTTTCCAACGAAGGCCTCAATGCGGTCCATATATCCACTTGCAGACTTTACAAACAGAGTGTTTCCAAACTGCTCTATGAAAAGAAAGGTTAAACTATGTGAGTTGAACGCACACATCACAAAGAATTTTCTGAGAATGATTCTGTCTAGTTTTTATTTGAAGATATTTCCCTTTCTACTGTTGGCATCAAATGGCTAGAAATCTCCACTTGCAACTTCCGCAAAAAGAGTGTTTCAAATCTGCTCTGTCTAAAGGGACGTTCCACTCTGTGAGTTGAATGCACACAACACAAAGAATTTACTGAGAATTCTTCCGTCTAGCATTCAATGAAGAAATCCCGTTTCCAACGAAGGCCTCAAACAGGTCCATATATCCACTTGCAGACGTTACAAACAGTGTGTTTCCAAACTCCTCTATGAAAAGAAAGGTTAAACTCTGTGAGTTGAACGCACACATCACAAAGCACTTTCTGAGAATGATTCTGTCTGGTTATTATACGAAGATATTTCCTTTTCTGCAATTGTCCTCAAATCGCTTGAAATCTCCACCTGAAAATGCCACAGCAAGAGTGTTTCAAATCTGCTCTCTCTAAAGCAAGGTTCAACTCTGTGAGTTGAATACACACAACACAAAAAAGTTACTGAGAACTCTTCTTAGTCTAGCATGAAAGGAAGAAACCCCGTTTGCAACGAAGGCCTCAAAGAGGTCCAAATATCCACTTG
The DNA here is from genome assembly GCF_000001405.40 of Homo sapiens. Lineage (NCBI taxonomy): Eukaryota > Metazoa > Chordata > Mammalia > Primates > Hominidae > Homo > Homo sapiens. Next base: position 59,859,217 of record NC_000007.14, on the reverse strand, counting down.
CAGACATAACAAGCAGAGTGTTTCTAAACTGCTCTAAGAAAAGAAAGGTTAAACTCTGTGAGTTGAAGGCACACATCACAAAGTAGTTTCTGAGAATGATTCTGTCTAGTTTTTATTTGAAGATATTTCCTTTTCTACTGTTGGCATCAAATCGCTTGAAATCTCCACTTGCAAACTCCACAAAAAGAGTGTTTCAAATCTGCTCTGTGCAAAGGGACGTTCCACTCTGTGAGTTGAATACACACAGCACAAAGAAGTTACTGAGAATTCTTCTGTCTAGCATGAAATGAAGAAATCCCGTTTCCAACGAAGGCCTCAATGCGGTCCATATATCCACTTGCAGACTTTACAAACAGAGTGTTTCCAAACTGCTCTATGAAAAGAAAGGTTAAACTATGTGAGTTGAACGCACACATCACAAAGAATTTTCTGAGAATGATTCTGTCTGGTTTTTATTTGAAGATGTTTCCCTTTCTACTCTTGGCATCAAATGGCTAGAAATCTCCACTTGCAAATTCCGCAAAAAGAGTGTTTCAAATCTGCTCTGTCTAAAGGGACGTTCCACTCTGTGAGTTGAATGCACACAATACAAAGAATTTACTGAGAATTCTTCCGTCTAGCATTCAATGAAGAAATCCCGTTTCCAACGAAGGCCTCAAACAGGTCCATATATCCAATTGCAGACTTTACAAACAGTGTGTTTCCAAACTCCTCTATGAAAAGAAAGGTTAAACTCTGTGAGTTGAACGCACACATCACAAAGCACTTTCTGAGAATGATTCTGTCTTGTTATTATACGAAGATATTTCCTTTTCTGCAATTGTCCTCAAATCGCTTGAAATCTCCACCTGAAAATGCCACAGCAAGAGTGTTTCAAATCTGCTCTCTCTAAAGCAAGGTTCAACTCTGTGAGTTGAATACACACAACACAAAAAAGTTACTGAGAACTCTTCTTAGTCTAGCATGAAAGGAAGAAACCCCGTTTGCAACGAAGGCCTCAAAGAGGTCCAAATATCCACTTGCAGACATAACAAGCAGAGTGTTTCTAAACTGCTCTAAGAAAAGAAAGGTTAAACTCTGTGAGTTGAAGGCACACATCACAAAGTAGTTTCTGAGAATGATTCTGTCTAGTTTTTATTTGAAGATATTTCCTTTTCTACTGTTGGCATCAAATCGCTTGAAATCTCCACTTGCAAACTCCACAAAAAGAGTGTTTCAAATCTGCTCTGTGTAAAGGGACGTTCCACTCTGTGAGTTGAATACACACAGCACAAAGAAGTTACTGAGAATTCTTCTGTCTAGCATGAAATGAAGAAATCCCGTTTCCAACGAAGGCCTCAATGCGGTCCATATATCCACTTGCAGACTTTACAAACAGAGTGTTTCCAAACTGCTCTATGAAAAGAAAGGTTAAACTATGTGAGTTGAACGCACACATCACAAAGAATTTTCTGATAATGATTCTGTCTGGTTTTTATTTGAAGATATTTCCCTTTCTACTGTTGGCATCAAATGGCTAGAAATCTCCACTTGCAAATTCCGCAAAAAGAGTGTTTCAAATCTGCTCTGTCTAAAGGGACGTTCCACTCTGTCAGTTGAATGCACACAACACAAAGAATTTACTGAGAATTCTTCCGTCTAGCATTCAATGAAGAAATCCCGTTTCCAACGAAGGCCTCAAAGAGGTCCATATATCCACTTGCAGACTTTACAAACAGTGTGTTTCCAAACTCCTCTATGAAAAGAAAGGTTAAACTCTGTGAGTGGAACGCACACATCACAAAGCACTTTCTGAGAATGATTCTGTCTGGTTGTTATACGAAGATATTTCCTTTTCTGCAATTGTCCTCAAATCGCTTGAAATCTCCACCTGAAAATGCCACAGCAAGAGTGTTTCAAATCTGCTCTCTCTAAAGCAAGGTTCAGCTCTGTGAGTTGAATACACACAACACAAAAAAGTTACTGAGAACTCTTCTTAGTCTAGCATGAAAGGAAGAAACCCCGTTTGCAACGAAGGCCTCAAAGAGGTCCAAATATCCACTTGCAGACATAACAAGCAGAGTGTTTCTAAACTGCTCTAAGAAAAGAAAGGTTAAACTCTGTGAGTTGAAGGCACACATCACAAAGTAGTTTCTGAGAATGATTCTGTCTAGTTTTTATTTGAAGATATTTCCTTTTCTACTGTTGGCATCAAATCGCTTGAAATCTCCACTTGCAAACTCCACAAAAAGAGTGTTTCAAATCTGCTCTGTGCAAAGGGACGTTCCACTCTGAGAGTTGAATACACACAGCACAAAGAAGTTACTGAGAATTCTTCTGTCTAGCATGAAATGAAGAAATCCCGTTTCCAACGAAGGCCTCAATGCGGTCCATATATCCACTTGCAGACTTTACAAACAGAGTGTTTCCAAACTGCTCTATGAAAAGAAAGGTTAAACTATGTGAGTTGAACGCACACATCACAAAGAATTTTCTGAGAATGATTCTGTCTGGTTTTTATTTGAAGATATTTCCCTTTCTACTGTTGGCATCAAATGGCTAGAAATCTCCACTTGCAAATTCCGCAAAAAGAGTGTTTCAAATCTGCTCTGTCTAAAGGGACGTTCCACTCTGTGAGTTGAATGCACACAACACAAAGAATTTACTGAGAATTCTTCCGTCTAGCATTCAATGAAGAAATCCCGTTTCCAACGAAGGCCTCAAACAGGTCCATATATCCAATTGCAGACTTTACAAACAGTGTGTTTCCAAACTCCTCTATGAAAAGAAAGGTTAAACTCTGTGAGTTGAACGCACACATCACAAAGCACTTTCTGAGAATGATTCTGTCTAGTTTTTATTTGAAGATATTTCCCTTTCTACTGTTGGCATCAAATGGCTAGAAATCTCCACTTGCAACTTCCGCAAAAAGAGTGTTTCAACTCTGCTCTGTCTAAAGGGACGTTCCACTGTGTGAGTTGAATGCACACAACACAAAGAATTTACTGAGAATTCTTCCGTCTAGCATTCAATGAAGAAATCCCGTTTCCAACGAAGGCCTCAAACAGGTCCATATATCCACTTGCAGACGTTACAAACAGTGTGTTTCCAAACTCCTCTATGAAAAGAAAGGTTAAACTCTGTGAGTTGAACGCACACATCACAAAGCACTTTCTGTGAATGATTCTGTCTGGTTATTATACGAAGATATTTCCTTTTCTGCAATTGTCCTCAAATCGCTTGAAATCTCCACCTGAAAATGCCACAGCAAGAGTGTTTCAAATCTGCTCTCTCTAAAGCAAGGTTCAACTCTGTGAGTTGAATACACACAACACAAAAAAGTTACTGAGAACTCTTCTTAGTCTAGCATTAAAGGAAGAAACCCCGTTTGCAACGAAGGCCTCAAAGAGGTCCAAATATCCACTTGCAGACATAACAAGCAGAGTGTTTCTAAACTGCTCTAAGAAAAGAAAGGTTAAACTCTGAGAGTTGAAGGCACACATCACAAAGTAGTTTCTGAGAATGATTCTGTCTAGTTTTTATTTGAAGATACTTCCTTTTCTACTGTTGGCATCAAATCGCTTGAAATCTCCACTTGCAAACTCCACAAAAAGAGTGTTTCAAATCCGCTCTGTGCAAAGGGACGTTCCACTCTGTGAGTTGAATACACACAGCACAAAGAAGTTACTGAGAATTCTTCTGTCTAGCATGAAATGAAGAAATCCCGTTTCCAACGAAGGCCTCAATGCGGTCCATATATCCACTTGCAGACTTTACAAACAGAGTGTTTCCAAACTGCTCTATGAAAAGAAAGGTTAAACTATGTGAGTTGAACGCACACATCACAAAGAATTTTCTGAGAATGATTCTGTCTGGTTTTTATTTGAAGATATTTCCCTTTCTACTGTTGGCATCAAATGGCTAGAAATCTCCACTTGCAAATTCCGCAAAAAGAGTGTTTCAAATCTGCTCTGTCTAAAGGGACGTTCCACTCTGTGAGTTGAATGCACACAACACAAAGAATTTACTGAGAATTCTTCCGTCTAGCATTCAATGAAGAAATCCCGTTTCCAACGAAGGCCTCAAACAGGTCCATATATCCAATTGCAGACTTTAGAAACAGTGTGTTTCCAAACTCCTCTATGAAAAGAAAGGTTAAACTCTGTGAGTTGAACGCACACATCACAAAGCACTTTCTGAGAATGATTCTGTCTGGTTATTATACGAAGATATTTGCTTTTCTGCAATTGTCCTCAAATCGCTTGAAATCTCCACCTGAAAATGCCACAGCAAGAGTGTTTCAAATCTGCTCTCTCTAAAGCAAGGTTCAACTCTGTGAGTTGAATACACACAACACAAAAAAGTTACTGAGAACTCTTCTTAGTCTAGCATGAAAGGAAGAAACCCCGTTTGCAACGAAGGCCTCAAAGAGGTCCAAATATCCACTTGCAGACATAACAAGCAGAGTGTTTCTAAACTGCTCTAAGAAAAGAAAGGTTAAACTCTGTGAGTTGAAGGCACACATCACAAAGTAGTTTCTGAGAATGATTCTGTCTAGTTTTTATTTGAAGATATTTCCTTTTCTACTGTTGGCATCAAATCGCTTGAAATCTCCACTTGCAAACTCCACAAAAAGAGTGTTTCAAATCTGCTCTGTGTAAAGGGACGTTCCACTCTGTGAGTTGAATACACACAGCACAAAGAAGTTACTGAGAATTCTTCTGTCTAGCATGAAATGAAGAAATCCCGTTTCCAACGAAGGCCTCAATGCGGTCCATATATCCACTTGCAGACTTTACAGAGTGTTTCCAAACTGCTCTATGAAAAGAAAGGTTAAACTATGTGAGTTGAACGCACACATCACAAAGAATTTTCTGAGAATGATTCTGTCTGGTTTTTATTTGAAGATATTTCCCTTTCTACTGTTGGCATCAAATGGCTAGAAATCTCCACTTGCAAATTCCGCAAAAAGAGTGTTTCAAATCTGCTCTGTCTAAAGGGACGTTCCACTCTGTGAGTTCAATGCACACCACACAAAGAATTTACTGAGAATTCTTCCGTCTACCATTCAATGAAGAAATCCCGTTTCCAACGAAGGCCTCAAACAGGTCCATATATCCAATTGCAGACTTTACAAACAGTGTGTTTCCAAACTCCTCTATGAAAAGAAAGGTTAAACTCTGTGAGTTGAACGCACACATCACAAAGCACTTTCTGAGAATGATTCTGTCTGGTTGTTATACGAAGATATTTCCTTTTCTGCAATTGTCCTCAAATCGCTTGAAATCTCCACCTGAAAATGCCACAGCAAGAGTGTTTCAAATCTGCTCTCTCTAAAGCAAGGTTCAACTCTGTGAGTTGAATACACACAACACAAAAAAGTTACTGAGAACTCTTCTTAGTCTAGCATGAAAGGAAGAAACCCCGTTTGCAACGACGCCTCAAAGAGGTCCAAATATCCACTTGCAGACATAACAAGCAGAGTGTTTCTAAACTGCTCTAAGAAAAGAAAGGTTAAACTCTGTGAGTTGAAGGCACACATCACAAAGTAGTTTCTGAGAATGATTCTGTCTAGTTTTTATTTGAAGATATTTCCTTTTCTACTGTTGGCATCAAATCGCTTGAAATCTCCACTTGCAAATTCCACAAAAAGTGTGTTTCAAATCTGCTCTGTGCAAAGGGACGTTCTACTCTGTGAGTTGAATACACACAGCACAAAGAAGTTACTCAGAATTCTTCTGTCTAGCATGAAATGAAGAAATCCCGTTTCCAACGAAGGCCTCAATGCGGTCCATATATCCACTTGCAGACTTTACAAACAGAGTGTTTCCAAACTGCTCTATGAAAAGAAAGGTTAAACTATGTGAGTTGAACGCACACATCACAAAGAATTTTCTGAGAATGATTCTGTCTGGTTTTTATTTGAAGATATTTCCCTTTCTACTGTTGGCATCAAATGGCTAGAAATCTCCACTTGCAAATTCCGCAAAAAGAGTGTTTCAAATCTGCTCTGTCTAAAGGGACGTTCCACTCTCTGAGTTGAATGCACACAACACAAAGAATTTACTGAGAATTCTTCCGTCTAGCATTCAATGAAGAAATCCCGTTTCCAACGGAGGCCTCAAACAGGTCCATATATCCAATTGCAGACTTTACAAACAGTGTGTTTCCAAACTCCTCTATGAAAAGAAAGGTTAAACTCTGTGAGTTGAACGCACACATCACAAAGCACTTTCTGAGAATGATTCTGTCTGGTTATTATACGAAGATATTTCCTTTTCTGCAATTGTCCTCAAATCGCTTGAAATCTCCACCTGAAAATTCCACAGCGAGAGTGTTTCAAATCTGCTCTCTCTAAAGCAAGGTTCAACTCTGTGAGTTGAATACACACAACACAAAAAAGTTACTGAGAACTCTTCTTAGTCTAGCATTAAAGGGAAGAAACCCCGTTTGCAACGAAGGCCTCAAAGAGGTCCAAATATCCACTTGCAGACATAACAAGCAGAGTGTTTCTAAACTGCTCTAAGAAAAGAAAGGTTAAACTCTGTGAGTTGAAGGCACACATCACAAAGTAGTTTCTGAGAATGATTCTGTCTAGTTTTTATTTGAAGATATTTCCTTTTCTACTGTTGGCATCAAATCGCTTGAAATCTCCACTTGCAAATTCCACAAAAAGAGTGTTTCAAATCTGCTCTGTGTAAAGGAACGTTCCACTCTGTGAGTTGAATACACACAGCACAAAGAAGTTACTGAGAATTCTTCTGTCTAGCATGAAATGAAGAAATCCCGTTTCCAACGAAGGCCTCAATGCGGTCCATATATCCACTTGCAGACTTTACAAACAGAGTGTTTCCAAACTGCTCTATGAAAAGAAAGGTTAAACTATGTGAGTTGAACGCACACATCACAAAGAATTTTCTGAGAATGATTCTGTCTGGTTTTTATTTGAAGATATTTCCCTTTCTACTGTTGGCATCAAATGGCTAGAAATCTCCACTTGCAAATTCCGCAAAAAGAGTGTTTCAAATCTGCTCTGTCTAAAGGGACGTTCCACTCTGTGAGTTGAATGCACACAACACAAAGTATTTACTGAGAATTCTTCCGTCTAGCATTCAATGAAGAAATCCCGTTTCCAACGAAGGCCTCAAACAGGTCCATATATCCACTTGCAGACTTTACAAACAGTGTGTTTCCAAACTCCTCTATGAAAAGAAAGGTTAAACTCTGTGAGTGGAACGCACACATCACAAAGCACTTTCTGAGAATGATTCTGTCTGGTTATTATACGAAGATATTTCCTTTTCTGCAATTGTCCTCAAATCGCTTGAAATCTCCACCTGAAAATGCCACAGCAAGAGTGTTTCAAATCTGCTCTCTCTAAAGCAAGGTTCAACTCTGTGAGTTGAATACACACAACACAAAAAAGTTACTGAGAACTCTTCTTAGTCTAGCATGAAAGGAAGAAACCCCGTTTGCAACGAAGGCCTCAAAGAGGTCCAAATATCCACTTGCAGACATAACAAGCAGAGTGTTTCTAAACTGCTCTAAGAAAAGAAAGGTTAAACTCTGTGAGTTGAAGGCACACATCACAAAGTAGTTTCTGAGAATGATTCTGTCTAGTTTTTATTTGAAGATATTTCCTTTTCTACTGTTGGCATCAAATCGCTTGAAATCTCCACTTGCAAACTCCAGAAAAAGAGTGTTTCAAATCTGCTCTGTGCATAGGGATGTTCCACTCTGTGAGTTGAATACACACAGCACAAAGAAGTTACTGAGAATTCTTCTGTCTAGCATGAAATGAAGAAATCCCGTTTCCAACGAAGGCCTCAATGCGGTCCATATATCCACTTGCAGACTTTACAAACAGAGTGTTTCCAAACTGCTCTATGAAAAGAAAGGTTAAACTATGTGAGTTGAACGCACCCATCACAAAGAATTTTCTGAGAATGATTCTGTCTGGTTTTTATTTGAAGATATTTCCCTTTCTACTGTTGGCATCAAATGGCTAGAAATCTCCACTTGCAAATTCCGCAAAAAGAGTGTTTCAAATCTGCTCTGTCTAAAGGGACGTTCCACTCTGTGAGTTGAATGCACACAACACAAAGAATTTACTGAGAATTCTTCCGTCTAGCATTCAATGAAGAAATCCCGTTTCCAACGAAGGCCTCAAACAGGTCCATATATCCAATTGCAGACTTTACAAACAGTGTGTTTCCAAACTCCTCTATGGAAAGAAAGGTTAAACTCTGTGAGTTGAACGCACACATCACAAAGCACTTTCTGAGAAAGATTCTGTCTGGTTATTATACGAAGATATTTCCTTTTCTGCAATTGTCCTCAAATCGCTTGAAATCTCCACCTGAAAATGCCACAGCAAGAGTGTTTCAAATCTGCTCTCTCTAAAGCAAGGTTCAACTCTGTGAGTTGAATACACACAACACAAAAAAGTTACTGAGAACTCTTCTTAGTCTAGCATTAAAGGAAGAAACCCTGTTTGCAACGAAGGCCTCAAAGAGGTCCAAATATCCACTTGCAGACATAACAAGCAGAGTGTTTCTAAACTGCTCTAAGAAAAGAAAGGTTAAACTCTGTGAGTTGAAGGCACACATCACAAAGTAGTTTACTGAGAATGATTCTGTCTAGTTTTTATTTGAAGATATTTCCTTTTCTACTGTTGGCATCAAATCGCTTGAAATCTCCACTTGCAAATTCCACAAAAAGAGTGTTTCAAATCTGCTCTGTGCAAAGGGACCTTCCACTCTGTGAGTTGAATACACACAGCACAAAGAAGTTACTGAGAATTCTTCTGTCTAGCATGAAATGAAGAAATCCCGTTTCCAACGAAGGCCTCAATGCGGTCCATATATCCACTTGCAGACTTTACAAACAGAGTGTTTCCAAACTGCTCTATGAAAAGAAAGGTTAAACTATGTGAGTTGAACGCACACATCACAAAGAATTTTCTGAGAATGATTCTGTCTGGTTTTTATTTGAAGATATTTCCCTTTCTACTGTTGGCATCAAATGGCTAGAAATCTCCACTTGCAAATTCCGCAAAAAGAGTGTTTCAAATCTGCTCTGTCTAAAGGGACGTTCCACTCTGTGAGTTGAATGCACACAACACAAAGAATTTACTGAGAATTCTTCCGTCTAGCATTCAATGAAGAAATCCCGTTTCCAACGAAGGATTCAAACAGGTCCATATATCCAATTGCAGACTTTAGAAACAGTGTGTTTCCAAACTCCTCTATGAAAAGAAAAGTTAAACTCTGTGAGTTGAACGCACACATCACAAAGCACTTTCTGAGAATGATTCTGTCTGGTTGTTATACGAAGATATTTCCTTTTCTGCAATTGTCCTCAAATCGCTTGAAATCTCCACCTGAAAATGCCACAGCAAGAGGGTTTCAAATCTGCTCTCTCTAAAGCAAGGTTCAGCTCTGTGAGTTGAATACACACAACACAAAAAAGTTACTGAGAACTCTTCTTAGTCTAGCATGAAAGGAAGAAACCCCGTTTGCAACGAAGGCCTCAAAGAGGTCCAAATATCCACTTGCAGACATAACAAGCAGAGTGTTTCTAAACTGCTCTAAGAAAAGAAAGGTTAAACTCTGTGAGTTGAAGGCACACATCACAAAGTAGTTTCTGAGAATGATTCTGTCTAGTTTTTATTTGAAGATATTTCCTTTTCTACTGCTGACATCAAATCGCTTGAAATCTCCACTTGCAAATTCCACAAAAGGTGTGTTTCAAATCTGCTCTGTCTAAAGGGACGTTCCACTCTGTGAGTTGAATACACACAACACAAAGAAGTTACTGAGAATTCTTCTGTCTAGCATGAAATGAAGAAATCCCGTTTCCAACGAAGGCCTCAAAGCGGTCCATATATCTACTTGCAGACTTTACAAACAGAGTGTTTCCAAACTGCTCTATGAAAAGAAAGGTTAAACTATGTGAGTTGAACGCACACATCACAAAGAATTTTCTGAGAATGATTCTGTCTAGTTTTTATTTGAAGATATTTCCCTTTCTATTGTTGGCATCAAATGGCTTGAAATCTCCACTTCCAAATTTCGCAAAAAGAGTGTTTCAAATCTGGTCTGTCTAAAGGGACGTTCCACTCGGTGAGTTGAATGCACACAACACAAAGAATTTACTGAGAATTCTTCTGTCTAGCATTCAATGAAGAAATCCCGTTTCCAAGGAATGCCTCAAAGCGGTACATATATCCACTTGCAGATTTTACAAATAGTGTGTTTCGAAACTGCTCTATGAAAAGAAAGGTTAAACTATGTGAGCTGAACGCACACATCACAAAGAATTTTCTGAGAATGATTCTGTCTGGTTATTATACGAAGATATTTCCTTTTCTGCAATTGTCCTCAAATCGCTTGAAATCTCCACCTGAAAATGCCACAGCAAGAGTGTTTCAAATCTGCTCTCTCTAAAGCAAGGTTCAACTCTGTGAGTTGAATACACACAACACAAAAAAGTTACTGAGAACTCTTCTTAGTCTAGCATTAAAGGAAGAAATCCCGTTTGCAACGAAGGCCTCAAAGAGGTCCAAATATCCACTTGCAGACATAACAAGCAGAGTGTTTCTAAACTGCTCTAAGAAAAGAAAGGTTAAACTCTGCGAGTTGAAGGCACACATCACATAGTAGTTTCTGAGAATGATTCTGTCTAGTTTTTATTTGAAGATATTTCCTTTTCTACTGTTGGCATCAAATCGCTTGAAATCTCCACTTGCAAACTCCACAAAAAGAGTGTTTCAAATCTGCTCTGTGTAAAGGGACGTTCCACTCTGTGAGTTGAATACACACAGCACAAAGGAGTTACTGAGAATTCTTCTGTCTAGCATGAAATGAAGAAATCCCGTTTCCAACGAAGGCCTCAATGCGGTCCATATATCCACTTGCAGACTTTACAAACAGAGTGTTTCCAAACTGCTCTATGAAAAGAAAGGTTAAACTATGTGAGTTGAACGCACACATCACAAAGAATTTTCTGAGAATGATTCTGTCTGGTTTTTATTTGAAGATATTTCCCTTTCTACTGTTGGCATCAAATGGCTAGAAATCTCCACTTGCAAATTCCGCAAAAAGAGTGTTTCAAATCTACTCTGTCTAAAGGGACGTTCCACTCTGTCAGTTGAATGCACACAACACAAAGAATTTACTGAGAATTCTTCCGCCTAGCATTCAATGAAGAAATCCCGTTTCCAACGAAGGCCTCAAACAGGTCCATATATCCAATTGCAGACTTTACAAACAGTGTGTTTCCAAACTCCTCTATGAAAAGAAAGGTTAAACTCTGTGAGTTGAACGCACACATCACAAAGCACTTTCTGAGAATGATTCTGTCTGGTTATTATACGAAGATATTTCCTTTTCTGCAATTGTCCTCAAATCGCTTGAAATCTCCACCTGAAAATGCCACAGCAAGAGTGTTTCAAATCTGCTCTCTCTAAAGCAAGGTTCAACTCTGTGAGTTGAATACACACAACACAAAAAAGTTACTGAGAACTCTTCTTAGTCTAGCATGAAAGGAAGAAACCCCGTTTGCAACGAAGGCCTCAAAGAGGTCCAAATATCCACTTGCAGACATAACAAGCAGAGTGTTTCTAAACTGCTCTAAGAAAAGAAAAGGTTAAACTCTGTGAGTTGAAGGCACACATCACAAAGTAGTTTCTGAGAATGATTCTGTCTAGTTTTTATTTGAAGATATTTCCTTTTCTACTGTTGGCATCAAATCGCTTGAAATCTCCACTTGCAAACTCCACAAAAAGAGTGTTTCAAATCTGCTCTGTGCAAAGGGACGTTCCACTCTGTGAGTTGAATACACACAGCACAAAGAAGTTACTGAGAATTCTTCTGTCTAGCATGAAATGAAGAAATCCCGTTTCCAACGAAGGCCTCAATGCGGTCCATAGATCCACTTGCAGACTTTACAAACAGAGTGTTTCCAAACTGCTCTATGAAAAGAAAGGTTAAACTATGTGAGTTGAACGCACACATCACAAAGAATTTTCTGAGAATGATTCTGTCTGGTTTTTATTTGAAGATGTTTCCCTTTCTACTGTTGGCATCAAATGGCTAGAAATCTCCACTTGCAAATTCCGCAAAAAGAGTGTTTCAAATCTGCTCTGTCTAAAGGGACGTTCCACTCTGTCAGTTGAATGCTCACAACACAAAGAATTTACTGAGAATTCTTCCGTCTAGCATTCAATGAAGAAATCCCGTTTCCAACGAAGGCCTCAAACAGGTCCATATATCCACTTGCAGACTTTACAAACAGTGTGTTTCCAAACTCCTCTATGGAAAGAAAGGTTAAACTCTGTGAGTTGAACGCACACATCACAAAGCACTTTCTGAGAATGATTCTGTCTGGTTATTATACGAAGATATTTCCTTTTCTGCAATTGTCCTCAAATCGCTTGAAATCTCCACCTGAAAATGCCACAGCAAGAGTGTTTCAAATCTGCTCTCTCTAAAGCAAGGTTCAACTCTGTGAGTTGAATACACATAACACAAAAAAGTTACTGAGAACTCTTCTTAGTCTAGCATGAAAGGAAGAAACCCCGTTTGCAACGAAGGCCTCAAAGAGGTCCAAATATCCACTTGCAGACATAACAAGCAGAGTGTTTCTAAACTGCTCTAAGAAAAGAAAGGTTAAACTCTGTGAGTTGAAGGCACACATCACAAAGTAGTTTCTGAGAATGATTCTGTCTAGTTTTTATTTGAAGATATTTCCTTTTCTACTGTTGGCATCAAATCGCTTGAAATATCCACTTGCAAACTCCACAAAAAGAGTGTTTCAAATCTGCTCTGTGCAAAGGGACGTTCCACTCTGTGAGTTGAATACACACAGCACAAAGAAGTTACTGAGAATTCTTGTCTAGCATGAAATGAAGAAATCCCGTTTCCAACGAAGGCCTCAATGCGGTCTATATATCCACTTGCAGACATCACAAACAGAGTGTTTCCAAACTGCTCTATGAAAAGAAAGGTTAAACTATGTGAGTTGAACGCACACATCACAAAGAATTTTCTGAGAATGATTCTGTCTGGTTTTTATTTGAAGATATTTCCCTTTCTACTGTTGGCATCAAATGGCTAGAAATCTCCACTTGCAAATTCCGCAAAAAGAGTGTTTCAAATCTGCTCTGTCTAAAGGGACGTTCCACTCTGTGAGTTGAATGCACACCACACAAAGAATTTACTGAGAATTCTTCCGCCTAGCATTCAATGAAGAAATCCCGTTTCCAACGAAGGCCTCAAACAGGTCCATATATCCACTTGCAGACTTTACAAACAGTGTGTTTCCAAACTCCTCTATGAAAAGAAAGGTTAAACTCTGTGAGTGGAACGCACACATCACAAAGCACTTTCTGAGAATGATTCTGTCTGGTTGTTATACGAAGATATTTCCTTTTCTGCAATTGTCCTCAAATCGCTTGAAATCTCCACCTGAAAATGCCACAGCAAGAGTGTTTCAAATCTGCTCTCTCTAAAGCAAGGTTCAGCTCTGTGAGTTGAATACACACAACACAAAAAAGTTACTGAGAACTCTTCTTAGTCTAGCATTAAAGGAAGAAACCCCGTTTGCAACGAAGGCCTCAAAGAGGTCCAAATATCCACTTGCAGACATAACAAGCAGAGTGTTTCTAATCTGCTCTAAGAAAAGAAAGGTTAAACTCTGTGAGTTGAAGGCACACATCACAAAGTAGTTTCTGAGAATGATTCTGTCTAGTTTTTATTTGAAGATATTTCCTTTTCTACTGTTGGCATCAAATCGCTTGAAATCTCCACTTGCAAATTCCACAAAAAGAGTGTTTCAAATCTGCTCTGTGCAAAGGGACGTTCCACTCTGTGAGTTGAATACACACAGCACAAAGAAGTTACTGAGAATTCTTCTGTCTAGCATGAAATGAAGAAATCCCGTTTCCAACGAAGGCCTCAATGCGGTCCATATATCCACTTGCAGACTTTACAAACAGAGTGTTTCCAAACTGCTCTATGAAAAGAAAGGTTAAACTATGTGAGTTGAACGCACACATCACAAAGAATTTTCTGAGAATGATTCTGTCTGGTTTTTATTTGAAGATATTTCCCTTTCTACTGTTGGCATCAAATGGCTAGAAATCTCCACTTGCAAATTCCGCAAAAAGAGTGTTTCAAATCTGCTCTGTCTAAAGGGACGTTCCACTCTGTGAGTTGAATGCACACAACACAAAGAATTTACTGAGAATTCTTCCGACTAGCAGTCAATGAAGAAATCCCGTTTCCAACGAAGGCCTCAAACAGGTCCATATATCCAATTGCAGACTTTACAAACAGTGTGTTTCCAAACTCCTCTATGAAAAGAAAGGTTAAACTCTGTGAGTTGAACGCACACATCACAAAGCACTTTCTGAGAATGATTCTGTCTGGTTATTATACGAAGATATTTCCTTTTCTGCAATTGTCCTCAAATCGCTTGAAATCTCCACCTGAAAATGCCACAGCAAGAGTATTTCAAATCTGCTCTCTCTAAAGCAAGGTTCAACTCTGTGATTTGAATACACACAACACAAAAAAGTTACTGAGAACTCTTCTTAGTCTAGCATGAAAGGAAGAAACCCCGTTTGCAACGAAGGCCTCAAAGAGGTCCAAATATCCACTTGCAGACATAACAAGCAGAGTGTTTCTAAACTGCTCTAAGAAAAGAAAGGTTAAACTCTGTGAGTTGAAGGCACACATCACAAAGTAGTTTCTGAGAATGATTCTGTCTAGTTTTTATTTGAAGATATTTCCTTTTCTACTGTTGGCATCAAATCGCTTGAAATCTCCACTTGCAAACTCCACAAAAAGAGTGTTTCAAATCTGCTCTGTGTAAAGGGACGTTCCACTCTGTGAGTTGAATACACCCAGCACAAAGAAGTTACTGAGAATTCTTCTGTCTAGCATGAAATGAAGAAATCCCGTTTCCAACGAAGGCCTCAATGCGGTCCATATATCCACTTGCAGACTTTACAAACAGAGTGTTTCCAAACTTCTCTATGAAAAGAAAGGTTAAACTATGTGAGTTGAACGCACACATCACAAAGAATTTTCTGAGAATGATTCTGTCTGGTTTTTATTTGAAGATATTTCCCTTTCTACTGTTGGCATCAAATGGCTAGAAATCTCCACTTGCAAATTCCGCAAAAAGAGTGTTTCAAATCTGCTCTGTCTAAAGGGACGTTCCACTCTGTGAGTTGAATGCACACAACACAAAGAATTTACTGAGAATTCTTCCGTCTAGCATTCAATGAAGAAATCCCGTTTCCAACGAAGGCCTCAAACAGGTCCATATATCCACTTGCAGACTTTACAAACAGTGTGTTTCCAAACTCCTCTATGAAAAGAAAGGTTAAACTCTGTGAGTGGAACGCACACATCACAAAGCACTTTCTGAGAATGATTCTGTCTGGTTGTTATACGAAGATATTTCCTTTTCTGCAATTGTCCTCAAATCGCTTGAAATCTCCACCTGAAAATGCCACAGCAAGAGTGTTTCAAATCTGCTCTCTCTAAAGCAAGGTTTAACTCTGTGAGTTGAATACACACAACACAAAAAAGTTACTGAGAACTCTTCTTAGTCTAGCATGAAAGGAAGAAACCCCGTTTGCAACGAAGGCCTCAAAGAGGTCCAAATATCCACTTGCAGACATAACAAGCAGAGTGTTTCTAAACTGCTCTAAGAAAAGAAAGGTTAAACTCTGTGAGTTGAAGGCACACATCACAAAGTAGTTTCTGAGAATGATTCTGTCTAGTTTTTATTTGAAGATATTTCCTTTTCTACTGTTGGCATCAAATCGCTTGAAATCTCCACTTGCAAATTCCACAAAAAGAGTGTTTCAAATCTGCTCTGTGCAAAGGGACGTTCCACTCTGTGAGTTGAATACACACAGCACAAAGAAGTTACTGAGAATTCTTCTGTCTAGCATGAAATGAAGAAATCCCGTTTCCAACGAAGGCCTCAATGCGGTCCATATATCCACTTGCAGACTTTACAAACAGAGTGTTTCCAAACTGCTCTATGAAAAGAAAGGTTAAATTATGTGAGTTGAACGCACACATCACAAAGAATTTTCTGAGAATGATTCTGTCTGGTTTTTATTTGAAGATATTTCCCTTTCTACTGTTGGCATCAAATGGCTAGAAATCTCCACTTGCAAATTCCGCAAAAAGAGTGTTTCAAATCTGCTCTGTCTAAAGGGACGTTCCACTCTGTGAGTTGAATGCACACAACACAAAGAATTTACTGAGAATTCTTCCGTCTAGCATTCAATGAAGAAATCCCGTTTCCAACGAAGGCCTCAAACAGGTCCATATATCCACTTGCAGACTTTACAAACAGTGTGTTTCCAAACTCCTCTATGAAAAGAAAGGTTAAACTCTGTGAGTTGAACGCACACATCACAAAGCACTTTCTGAGAATGATTCTGTCTGGTTATTATACGAAGATATTTCCTTTTCTGCAATTGTCCTCAAATCGCTTGAAATCTCCACCTGAAAATGCCACAGCAAGAGTGTTTCAAATCTGCTCTCTCTAAAGCAAGGTTCAACTCTGTGAGTTGAATACACACAACACAAAAAAGTTACTGAGAACTCTTCTTAGTCTAGCATGAAAGGAAGAAACCCCGTTTGCAACGAAGGCCTCAAAGAGGTCCAAATATCCACTTGCAGACATAACAAGCAGAGTGTTTCTAAACTGCTCTAAGAAAAGAAAGGTTAAACTCTGTGAGTTGAAGGCACACATCACAAAGTAGTTTCTGAGAATGATTCTGTCTAGTTTTTATTTGAAGATATTTCCTTTTCTACTGTTGGCATCAAATCGCTTGAAATCTCCACTTGCAAACTCCACAAAAAGAGTGTTTCAAATCTGCTCTGTGCAAAGGGACGTTCCACTCTGTGAGTTGAATACACACAGCACAAAGAAGTTACTGAGAATTCTTCTGTCTAGCATGAAATGAAGAAATCCCGTTTCCAACGAAGGCCTCAATGCGGTCCATATATCCACTTGCAGACTTTACAAACAGAGTGTTTCCAAACTGCTCTATGAAAAGAAAGGTTAAACTATGTGAGTTGAACGCACACATCACAAAGAATTTTCTGAGAATGATTCTGTCTGGTTTTTATTTGAAGATATTTCCCTTTCTACTGTTGGCATCAAATGGCTAGAAATCTCCACTTGCAAATTCCGCAAAAAGAGTGTTTCAAATCTGCTCTGTCTAAAGGGACGTTCCACTCTGTGAGTTGAATGCACACAACACAAAGAATTTACTGAGAATTCTTCCGTCTAGCATTCAATGAAGAAATCCCGTTTCCAACGAAGGCCTCAAACAGGTCCATATATCCAATTGCAGACTTTACAAACAGTGTGTTTCCAAACTCCTCTATGAAAAGAAAGGTTAAACTCTGTGAGTTGAACGCACACATCACAAAGCACTTTCTGAGAATGATTCTGTCTGGTTATTATACGAAGATATTTCCTTTTCTGCAATTGTCCTCAAATCGCTTGAAATCTCCACCTGAAAATGCCACAGCAAGAGTGTTTCAAATCTGCTCTCTCTAAAGCAAGGTTCAACTCTGTGAGTTGAATACACACAACACAAAAAAGTTACTGAGAACTCTTCTTAGTCTAGCATTAAAGGAAAAAACCCCGTTTGCAACGAAGGCCTCAAAGAGGTCCAAATATCCACTTGCAGACATAACAAGCAGAGTGTTTCTAAACTGCTCTAAGAAAAGAAAGGTTAAACTCTGTGAGTTGAAGGCACACATCACAAAGAATTTTCTGAGAATGATTCTGTCTGGTTTTTATTTGAAGATATTTCCCTTTCTACTGTTGGCATCAAATGGCTAGAAATCTCCACTTGCAAATTCCGCAAAAAGAGTGTTTCAAATCTGCTCTGTCTAAAGGGACGTTCCACTCTGTGAGTTGAATGCACACAACACAAAGAATTTACTGAGAATTCTTCCGTCTAGCATTCAATGAAGAAATCCCGTTTCCAACGAAGGCCTCAAACAGGTCCATATATCCACTTGCAGACTTTACAAACAGTGTGTTTCCAAACTCCTCTATGAAAAGAAAGGTTAAACTCTGTGAGTTGAACGCACACATCACAAAGCACTTTCTGAGAATGATTCTGTCTGGTTATTATACGAAGATATTTCCTTTTCTGCAATTGTCCTCAAATCGCTTGAAATCTCCACCTGAAAATGCCACAGCAAGAGTGTTTCAAATCTGCTCTCTCTAAAGCAAGGTTCAACTCTGTGAGTTGAATACACACAACACAAAAAAGTTACTGAGAACTCTTCTTAGTCTAGCATTAAAGGAAGAAACCCCGTTTGCAACGAAGGCCTCAAAGAGGTCCAAATATCCACTTGCAGACATAACAAGCAGAGTGTTTCTAAACTGCTCTAAGAAAAGAAAGGTTAAACTCTGTGAGTTGAAGGCACACATCACAAAGTAGTTTCTGAGAATGATTCTGTCTAGTTTTTATTTGAAGATATTTCCTTTTCTACTGTTGGCATCAAATCGCTTGAAATCTCCACTTGCAAATTCCACAAAAAGAGTGTTTCAAATCTGCTCTGTGTAAAGGGACGTTCCACTCTGTGAGTTGAATACACACAGCACAAAGAAGTTACTGAGAATTCTTCTGTCTAGCATGAAATGAAGAAATCCCGTTTCCAACGAAGGCCTCAATGCGGTCCATATATCCACTTGCAGACTTTACAAACAGAGTGTTTCCAAACTGCTCTATGAAAAGAAAGGTTAAACTATGTGAGTTGAACGCACACATCACAAAGAATTTTCTGAGAAATGATTCTGTCTGGTTTTTATTTGAAGATATTTCCCTTTCTACTGTTGGCATCAAATGGCTAGAAATCTCCACTTGCAAATTCCGCAAAAAGAGTGTTTCAAATCTGCTCTGTCTAAAGGGACGTTCCACTCTGTGAGTTGAATGCACACAACACAAAGAATTTACTGAGAATTCTTCCGTCTAGCATTCAATGAAGAAATCCCGTTTCCAACGAAGGCCTCAAACAGGTCCATATATCCAATTGCAGACTTTACAAACAGTGTGTTTCCAAACTCCTCTATGAAAAGAAAGGTTAAACTCTGTGAGTTGAACGCACACAACACAAAGCACTTTCTGAGAATGATTCTGTCTGGTTATTATACGAAGATATTTCCTTTTCTGCAATTATCCTCAAATCGCTTGAAATCTCCACCTGAAAATGCCACAGCAAGAGTGTTTCAAATCTGCTCTCTCTAAAGCAAGGTTCAACTCTGTGAGTTGAATACACACAACACAAAAAAGTTACTGAGAACTCTTCTTAGTCTAGCTTGAAAGGAAGAAACCCCGTTTGCAACGAAGGCCTCAAAGAGGTCCAAATATCCACTTGCAGACATAACAAGCAGAGTGTTTCTAAACTGCTCTAAGAAAAGAAAGGTTAAACTCTGTGAGTTGAAGGCACACATCACAAAGTAGTTTCTGAGAATGATTCTGTCTAGTTTTTATTTGAAGATATTTCCTTTTCTACTGTTGGCATCAAATCGCTTGAAATCTCCACTTGCAAACTCCACAAAAAGAGTGTTTCAAATCTGCTCTGTGCAAAGGGACGTTCCACTCTGTGAGTTGAATACACACAGCACAAAGAAGTTACTGAGAATTCTTCTGTCTAGCATGAAATGAAGAAATCCCGTTTCCAACGAAGGCCTCAATGCGGTCCATATATCCACTTGCAGACTTTACAAACAGAGTGTTTCCAAACTGCTCTATGAAAAGAAAGGTTAAACTATGTGAGTTGAACGCACACATCACAAAGAATTTTCTGAGAATGATTCTGTCTGGTTTTTATTTGAAGATATTTCCCTTTCTACTGTTGGCATCAAATGGCTAGAAATCTCCACTTGCAAATTCCGCAAAAAGAGTGTTTCAAATCTGCTCTGTCTAAAGGGACGTTCCACTCTGTGAGTTGAATGCACACAACACAAAGAATTTACTGAGAATTCTTCCGTCTAGCATTCAATGAAGAAATCCCGTTTCCAACGAAGGCCTCAAACAGGTCCATATATCCACTTGCAGACTTTACAAACAGTGTGTTTCCAAACTCCTCTATGAAAAGAAAGGTTAAACTCTGTGAGTTGAACGCACACATCACAAAGCACTTTCTGAGAATGATTCTGTCTGGTTATTATACGAAGATATTTCCTTTTCTGCAATTGTCCTCAAATCGCTTGAAATCTCCACCTGAAAATGCCACAGCAAGAGTGTTTCAAATCTGCTCTCTCTAAAGCAAGGTTCAACTCTGTGAGTTGAATACACACAACACAAAAAAGTTACTGAGAACTCTTCTTAGTCTAGCATGAAAGGAAGAAACCCCGTTTGCAACGAAGGCCTCAAAGAGGTCCAAATATCCACTTGCAGACATAACAAGCAGAGTGTTTCTAAACTGCTCTAAGAAAAGAAAGGTTAAACTCTGTGAGTTGAAGGCACACATCACAAAGTAGTTTCTGAGAATGATTCTGTCTAGTTTTTATTTGAAGATATTTCCTTTCCTACTGTTGGCATCAAATCGCTTGAAATCTCCACATGCAAACTCCACAAAAAGAGTGTTTCAAATCTGCTCTGTGCAAAGGGACGTTCCACTCTGTGAGTTGAATACACACAGCACAAAGAAGTTACTGAGAATTCTTCTGTCTAGCATGAAATGAAGAAATCCCGTTTCCAACGAAGGCCTCAAAGCGGTCCATATATCTACTTGCAGACTTTACAAACAGAGTGTTTCCAAACTGCTCTATGAAAAGAAAGGTTAAACTATGTGAGTTGAACGCACACATCACAAAGAATTTTCTGAGAATGATTCTGTCTAGTTTTTATTTGAAGATATTTCCCTTTCTATTGTTGGCATCAAATGGCTTGAAATCTCCACTTCCAAATTTCGCAAAAAGAGTGTTTCAAATCTGGTCTGTCTAAAGGGACGTTCCACTCGGTGAGTTGAATGCACACAACACAAAGAATTTACTGAGAATTCTTCCGTCTAGCATTCAATGAAGAAATCCCGTTTCCAACGAAGGCCTCAAACAGGTCCATATATCCACTTGCAGACTTTACAAACAGTGTGTTTCCAAACTCCTCTATGAAAAGAAAGGTTAAACTCTGTGAGTTGAACGCACACATCACAAAGCACTTTCTGAGAATGATTCTGTCTGGTTGTTATACGAAGATATTTCCTTTTCTGCAATTGTCCTCAAATCGCTTGAAATCTCCACCTGAAAATGCCACAGCAAGAGTGTTTCAAATCTGCTCTCTCTAAAGCAAGGTTCAACTCTGTGAGTTGAATACAGACAACACAAAAAAGTTACTGAGAACTCTTCTTAGTCTAGCATGAAAGGAAGAAACCCCGTTTGCAACGAAGGCCTCAAAGAGGTCCAAATATCCACTTGCAGACATAACAAGCAGAGTGTTTCTAAACTGCTCTAAGAAAAGAAAGGTTAAACTCTGTGAGTTGAAGGCACACATCACAAAGTAGTTTCTGAGAATGATTCTGTCTAGTTTTTATTTGAAGATATTTCCTTTTCTACTGTTGGCATCAAATCGCTTGAAATCTCCACTTGCAAACTCCACAAAAAGAGTGTTTCAAATCTGCTCTGTGTAAAGGGACGTTCCACTCTGTGAGTTGAATACACACAGCACAAAGAAGTTACTGAGAATTCTTCTGTCTAGCATGAAATGAAGAAATCCCGTTTCCAACGAAGGCCTCAATGCGGTCCATATATCCACTTGCAGACTTTACAAACAGAGTGTTTCCAAACTGCTCTATGAAAAGAAAGGTTAAACTATGTGAGTTGAACGCACACATCACAAAGAATTTTCTGAGAATGATTCTGTCTGGTTTTTATTTGAAGATATTTCCCTTTCTACTGTTGGCATCAAATGGCTAGAAATCTCCACTTGCAAATTCCGCAAAAAGAGTGTTTCAAATCTGCTCTGTCTAAAGGGACGTTCCACTCTGTCAGTTGAATGCACACAACACAAAGTATTTACTGAGAATTCTTCCGTCTAGCATTCAATGAAGAAATCCCGTTTCCAACGAAGGCCTCAAACAGGTCCATATATCCAATTGCAGACTTTACAAACAGTGTGTTTCCAAACTCCTCTATGAAAAGAAAGGTTAAACTCTGTGAGTTGAACGCACACAACACAAAGCACTTTCTGAGAATGATTCTGTCTGGTTGTTATACGAAGATATTTCCTTTTCTGCAATTGTCCTCAAATCGCTTGAAATCTCCACCTGAAAATACCACAGCAAGAGTGTTTCAAATCTGCTCTCTCTAAAGCAAGGTTCAACTCTGTGAGTTGAATACACACAACACAAAAAAGTTACTGAGAACTCTTCTTAGTCTAGCATGAAAGGAAGAAACCCCGTTTGCAACGAAGGCCTCAAAGAGGTCCAAATATCCACTTGCAGACATAACAAGCAGAGTGTTTCTAAACTGCTCTAAGAAAAGAAAGGTTAAACTCTGTGAGTTGAAGGCACACATCACAAAGTAGTTTCTGAGAATGATTCTGTCTAGTTTTTATTTGAAGATATTTCCTTTTCTACTGTTGGCATCAAATCGCTTGAAATCTTCACTTGCAAACTCCACAAAAAGAGTGTTTCAAATCTGCTCTGTGTAAAGGGACGTTCCACTCTGTGAGTTGAATACACACAGCACAAAGAAGTTGCTGAGAATTCTTCTGTCTAGCATGAAATGAAGAAATCCCGTTTCCAACGAAGGCCTCAATGCGGTCCATATATCCACTTGCAGACTTTACAAACAGAGTGTTTCCAAACTGCTCTATGAAAAGAAAGGTTAAACTATGTGAGTTGAACGCACACATCACAAAGTATTTTCTGAGAATGATTCTGTCTGGTTTTTATTTGAAGATATTTCCCTTTCTACTGTTGGCATCAAATGGCTAGAAATCTCCACTTGCAAATTCCGCAAAAAGAGTGTTTCAAATCTGCTCTGTCTAAAGGGACGTTCCACTCTGTGAGTTGAATGCACACAACACAAAGAATTTACTGAGAATTCTTCCGTCTAGCATTCAATGAAGAAATCCCGTTTCCAACGAAGGCCTCAAAGAGGTCCATATATCCACTTGCAGACTTTACAAACAGTGTGTTTCCAAACTCCTCTATGAAAAGAAAGGTTAAACTCTGTCAGTTGAACGCACACATCACAAAGCACTTTCTGAGAATGATTCTGTCTGGTTATTATACGAAGATATTTCCTTTTCTGCAATTGTCCTCAAATCGCTTGAAATCTCCACCTGAAAATGCCACAGCAAGAGTGTTTCAAATCTGCTCTCTCTAAAGCAAGGTTCAACTCTGTGAGTTGAATACACACAACACAAAAAAGTTACTGAGAACTCTTCTTAGTCTAGCATGAACGGAAGAAACCCCGTTTGCAACGAAGGCCTCAAAGAGGTCCAAATATCCACTTGCAGACATAACAAGCAGAGTGTTTCTAAACTGCTCTAAGAAAAGAAAGGTTAAACTCTGTGAGTTGAAGGCACACATCACAAAGTAGTTTCTGAGAATGATTCTGTCTAGTTTTTATTTGAAGATATTTCCTTTTCTACTGTTGGCATCAAATCGCTTGAAATCTCCACTTGCAAACTCCACAAAAAGAGTGTTTCAAATCTGCTCTGTGTAAAGGGACGTTCCACTCTGTGAGTTGAATACACACAGCACAAAGAAGTTACTGAGAATTCTTCTGTCTAGCATGAAATGAAGAAATCCCGTTTCCAACGAAGGCCTCAATGCGGTCCATATATCCACTTGCAGACTTTACAAACAGAGTGTTTCCAAACTGCTCTATGAAAAGAAAGGTTAAACTATGTGAGTTGAACGCACACATCACAAAGAATTTTCTGAGAATGATTCTGTCTGGTTTTTATTTGAAGATATTTCCCTTTCTACTGTTGGCATCAAATGGCTAGAAATCTCCACTTGCAAATTCCGCAAAAAGAGTGTTTCAAATCTGCTCTGTCTAAAGGGACGTTCCACTCTGTGAGTTGAATGCACACAACACAAAGAATTTACTGAGAATTCTTCCGTCTAGCATTCAATGAAGAAATCCCGTTTCCAACGAAGGCCTCAAACAGGTCCATATATCCACTTGCAGACTTTACAAACAGTGTGTTTCCAAACTCCTCTATGAAAAGAAAGGTTAAACTCTGTGAGTTGAACGCACACATCACAAAGCACTTTCTGAGAATGATTCTGTCTGGTTATTATACGAAGATATTTCCTTTTCTGCAATTGTCCTCAAATCGCTTGAAATCTCCACCTGAAAATGCCACAGCAAGAGTGTTTCAAATCTGCTCTCTCTAAAGCAAGGTTCAACTCTGTGAGTTGAATACACACAACACAAAAAAGTTACTGAGAACTCTTCTTAGTCTAGCATGAAAGGAAGAAACCCCGTTTGCAACGAAGGCCTCAAAGAGGTCCAAATATCCACTTGCAGACATAACAAGCAGAGTGTTTCTAAACTGCTCTGAGAAAAGAAAGGTTAAACTCTGTGAGTTGAAGGCACACATCACAAAGTAGTTTCTGAGAATGATTCTGTCTAGTTTTTATTTGAAGATATTTCCTTTTCTACTGTTGGCATCAAATCGCTTGAAATCTCCACTTGCAAACTCCACAAAAAGAGTGTTTCAAATCTGCTCTGTGCAAAGGGATGTTCCACTCTGTGAGTTGAATACACACAGCACAAAGAAGTTACTGAGAATTCTTCTGTCTAGCATGAAATGAAGAAATCCCGTTTCCAACGAAGGCCTCAATGCGGTCCATATATCCACTTGCAGACTTTACAAACAGAGTGTTTCCAAACTGCTCTATGAAAAGAAAGGTTAAACTATGTGAGTTGAACGCACACATCACAAAGAATTTTCTGAGAATGATTCTGTCTGGTTTTTATTTGAAGATATTTCCCTTTCTACTGTTGGCATCAAATGGCTAGAAATCTCCACTTGCAAATTCCGCAAAAAGAGTGTTTCAAATCTGCTCTGTCTAAAGGGACGTTCCACTCTGTGAGTTGAATGCACACAACACAAAGAATTTACTGAGAATTCTTCCGCCTAGCATTCAATGAAGAAATCCCGTTTCCAACGAAGGCCTCAAAGCGGTCCATATATCCACTTGCAGACTTTACAAACAGTGTGTTTCCAAACTCCTCTATGAAAAGAAAGGTTAAACTCTGTGAGTGGAACGCACACATCACAAAGCACTTTCTGAGAATGATTCTGTCTGGTTATTATACGAAGATATTTCCTTTTCTGCAATTGTCCTCAAATCGCTTGAAATCTCCACCTGAAAATGCCACAGCAAGAGTGTTTCAAATCTGCTCTCTCTAAAGCAAGGTTCAACTCTGTGAGTTGAATACACACAACACAAAAAAGTTACTGAGAACTCTTCTTAGTCTAGCATGAAAGGAAGAAACCCCGTTTGCAACGAAGGCCTCAAAGAGGTCCAAATATCCACTTGCAGACATAACAAGCAGAGTGTTTCTAAACTGCTCTAAGAAAAGAAAAGGTTAAACTCTGTGAGTTGAAGGCACACATCACAAAGTAGTTTCTGAGAATGATTCTGTCTAGTTTTTATTTGAAGATATTTCCTTTTCTACTGCTGGCATCAAATCGCTTGAAATCTCCACTTGCAAACTCCACAAAAAGAGTGTTTCAAATCTGCTCTGTGTAAAGGGACGTTCCACTCTCTGAGTTGAATACACACAGCACAAAGAAGTTACTGAGAATTCTTCTGTCTAGCATGAAATGAAGAAATCCCGTTTCCAACGAAGGCCTCAATGCGGTCCATATATCCACTTGCAGACTTTACAAACAGAGTGTTTCCAAACTGCTCTATGAAAAGAAAGGTTAAACTATGTGAGTTGAACGCACACATCACAAAGAATTTTCTGAGAATGATTCTGTCTGGTTTTTATTTGAAGATATTTCCCTTTCTACTGTTGGCATCAAATGGCTAGAAATCTCCACTTGCAAATTCCGCAAAAAGAGTGTTTCAAATCTGCTCTGTCTAAAGGGACGTTCCACTCTGTGAGTTGAATGCACACAACACAAAGAATTTACTGAGAATTCTTCCGTCTAGCATTCAATGAAGAAATCCCTTTTCCAACGAAGGCCTCAAACAGGTCCATATATCCACTTGCAGACTTTACAAACAGTGTGTTTCCAAACTCCTCTATGAAAAGAAAGGTTAAACTCTGTGAGTGGAACGCACACATCACAAAGCACTTTCTGAGAATGATTCTGTCTGGTTATTATACGAAGATATTTCCTTTTCTGCAATTGTCCTCAAATCGCTTGAAATCTCCACCTGAAAATGCCACAGCAAGAGTGTTTCAAATCTGCTCTCTCTAAAGCAAGGTTCAACTCTGTGAGTTGAATACACACAACACAAAAAAGTTACTGAGAACTCTTCTTAGTCTAGCATTAAAGGAAGAAACCCCGTTTGCAACGAAGGCCTCAAAGAGGTCCAAATATCCACTTGCAGACATAACAAGCAGAGTGTTTCTAAGCTGCTCTAAGAAAAGAAAGGTTAAACTCTGTGAGTTGAAGGCACACATCACAAAGTAGTTTCTGAGAATGATTCTGTCTAGTTTTTATTTGAAGATATTTCCTTTTCTACTGTTGGCATCAAATCGCTTGAAATCTCCACTTGCAAACTCCACAAAAAGAGTGTTTCAAATCTGCTCTGTGTAAAGGGACGTTGCACTCTGTGAGTTGAATACACACAGCACAAAGAAGTTACTGAGAATTCTTCTGTCTAGCATGAAATGAAGAAATCCCGTTTCCAACGAAGGCCTCAATGCGGTCCATAGATCCACTTGCAGACTTTACAAACAGAGTGTTTCCAAACTGCTCTATGAAAAGAAAGGTTAAACTATGTGAGTTGAACGCACACATCACAAAGAATTTTCTGAGAATGATTCTGTCTGGTTTTTATTTGAAGATATTTCCCTTTCTACTGTTGGCATCAAATGGCTAGAAATCTCCACTTGCAAATTCCGCAAAAAGAGTGTTTCAAATCTGCTCTGTCTAAAGGGACGTTCCACTCTGTGAGTTGAATGCACACAACACAAAGAATTTACTGAGAATTTTTCCGTCTAGCATTCAATGAAGAAATCCCGTTTCCAACGAAGGCCTCAAACAGGTCCATATATCCACTTGCAGACTTTACAAACAGTGTGTTTCCAAACTCCTCTATGAAAAGAAAGGTTAAACTCTGTGAGTTGAACGCACACATCACAAAGCACTTTCTGAGAATGATTCTGTCTGGTTATTATACGAAGATATTTCCTTTTCTGCAATTGTCCTCAAATCGCTTGAAATCTCCACCTGAAAATGCCACAGCAAGAGTGTTTCAAATCTGCTCTCTCTAAAGCAAGGTTCAACTCTGTGAGTTGAATACACACAACACAAAAAAGTTACTGAGAACTCTTCTTAGTCTAGCATGAAAGGAAGAAACCCCGTTTGCAACGAAGGCCTCAAAGAGGTCCAAATATCCACTTGCAGACATAACAAGCAGAGTGTTTCTAAACTGCTCTAAGAAAAGAAAGGTTAAACTCTGTGAGTTGAAGGCACACATCACAAAGTAGTTTCTGAGAATGATTCTGTCTAGTTTTTATTTGAAGATATTTCCTTTTCTACTGTTGGCATCAAATCGCTTGAAATCTCCACTTGCAAACTCCACAAAAAGAGTGTTTCAAATCTGCTCTGTGCAAAGGGACGTTCCACTCTGTGAGTTGAGTACACACAGCACAAAGAAGTTACTGAGAATTCTTCTGTCTAGCATGAAATGAAGAAATCCCGTTTCCAACGAAGGCCTCAATGCGGTCCATATATCCACTTGCAGACTTTACAAACAGAGTGTTTCCAAACAGCTCTATGAAAAGAAAGGTTAAACTATGTGAGTTGAACGCACACATCACAAAGAATTTTCTGAGAATGATTCTGTCTGGTTTTTATTTGAAGATATTTCCCTTTCTACTGTTGGCATCAAATGGCTAGAAATCTCCACTTGCAAATTCCGCAAAAAGAGTGTTTCAAATCTGCTCTGTCTAAAGGAACGTTCCACTCTGTGAGTTGAATGCACACAACACAAAGAATTTACTGAGAATTCTTCCGTCTAGCATTCAATGAAGAAAACCCGTTTCCAACGAAGGCCTCAAACAGGTCCATATATCCACTTGCAGAGTTTACAAACAGTGTGTTTCCAAACTCCTCTATGAAAAGAAAGGTTAAACTCTGTGAGTGGAACGCACACATCACAAAGCACTTTCTGAGAATGATTCTGTCTGGTTATTATACGAAGATATTTCCTTTTCTGCAATTGTCCTCAAAACGCTTGAAATCTCCACCTGAAAATGCCACAGCAAGAGTGTTTCAAATCTGCTCTCTCTAAAGCAAGGTTCAACTCTGTGAGTTGAATACACACAACACAGAAAAGTTACTGAGAACTCTTCTTAGTCTAGCATTAAAGGAAGAAACCCCGTTTGCAACGAAGGCCTCAAAGAGGTCCAAATATCCACTTGCAGACATAACAAGCAGAGTGTTTCTAAACTGCTCTAAGAAAAGAAAGGTTAAACTCTGTGAGTTGAAGGCACACATCACAAAGTAGTTTCTCAGAATGATTCTGTCTAGTTTTTATTTGAAGATATTTCCTTTTCTACTGTTGGCATCAAATCGCTTGAAATCTCCACTTGCAAACTCCACAAAAAGAGTGTTTCAAATCTGCTCTGTGTAAAGGGACGTTCCACTCTGTGAGTTGAATACACACAGCACAAAGAAGTTACTGAGAATTCTTCTGTCTAGCATGAAATGAAGAAATCCCGTTTCCATCGAAGGCCTCAATGCGGTCCATATATCCACTTGCAGACTTTACAAACAGAGTGTTTCCAAACTGCTCTATGAAAAGAAAGGTTAAACTATGTGAGTTGAACGCACACATCACAAAGAATTTTCTGAGAATGATTCTGTCTGGTTTTTATTTGAAGATATTTCCCTTTCTACTGTTGGCATCAAATGGCTAGAAATCTCCACTTGCAAATTCCGCAAAAAGAGTGTTTCAAATCTGCTCTGTCTAAAGGGACGTTCCACTCTGTGAGTTGAATGCACACAACACAAAGAATTTACTGAGAATTCTTCCGTCTAGCATTCAATGAAGAAATCCCGTTTCCAACGAAGGCCTCAAACAGGTCCATATATCCACTTGCAGACTTTACAAACAGTGTGTTTCCAAACTCCTCTATGAAAAGAAAGGTTAAACTCTGTGAGTGGAACGCACACATCACAAAGCACTTTCTGAGAATGATTCTGTCTGGTTATTATACGAAGATATTTCCTTTTCTGCAATTGTCCTCAAATCGCTTGAAATCTCCACCTGAAAATGCCACAGCAAGAGTGTTTCAAATCTGCTCTCTCTAAAGCAAGGTTCAACTCTGTGAGTTGAATACACACAACACAGAAAAGTTACTGAGAACTCTTCTTAGTCTAGCATGAAAGGAAGAAACCCCGTTTGCAACGAAGGCCTCAAAGAGGTCCAAATATCCACTTGCAGACATAACAAGCAGAGTGTTTCTAAACTGCTCTAAGAAAAGAAAGGTTAAACTCTGTGAGTTGAAGGCACACATCACAAAGTAGTTTCTGAGAATGATTCTGTCTAGTTTTTATTTGAAGATATTTCCTTTTCTACTGTTGGCATCAAATCGCTTGAAATCTCCACTTGCAAACTCCAGAAAAAGAGTGTTTCAAATCTGCTCTGTGCAAAGGGATGTTCCACTCTGTGAGTTGAATACACACAGCACAAAGAAGTTACTGAGAATTCTTCTGTCTAGCATGAAATGAAGAAATCCCGCTTCCAACGAAGGCCTCAATGCGGTCCATATATCCACTTGCAGACTTTACAAACAGAGTGTTTCCAAACTGCTCTATGAAAAGTAAGGTTAAACTATGTGAGTTGAATGCACACATCACAAAGAATTTTCTGAGAATGACTCTGTCTGGTTTTTATTTGAAGATATTTCCCTTTCTACTGTTGGCATCAAATGGCTAGAAATCTCCACTTGCAAATTCCGCAAAAAGAGTGTTTCAAATCTGCTCTGTCTAAAGGGACGTTCCACTCTGTGAGTTGAATGCACACAACACAAAGAATTTACTGAGAATTCTTCCGTCTAGCATTCAATGAAGAAATGCCGTTTCCAACGAAGGCCTCAAACAGGTCCATATATCCACTTGCAGACTTTACAAACAGTGTGTTTCCAAACTCCTCTATGAAAAGAAAGGTTCAACTCTGTGAGTTGAACGAACACATCACAAAGCACTTTCTGAGAATGATTCTGTCTGGTTGTTATACGAAGATATTTCCTTTTCTGCAATTGTCCTCAAATCGCTTGAAATCTCCACCTGAAAATGCCACAGCAAGAGTGTTTCAAATCTGCTCTCTCTAAAGCAAGGTTCAACTCTGTGAGTTGAATACACACAACACAAAAAAGTTACTGAGAACTCTTCTTAGTCTAGCATGAAAGGAAGAAACCCCGTTTGCAACGAAGGCCTCAAAGAGGTCCAAATATCCACTTGCAGACATAACAAGCAGAGTGTTTCTAAACTGCTCTAAGAAAAGAAAGGTTAAACTCTGTGAGTTGAAGGCACACATCACAAAGTAGTTTCTGAGAATGATTCTGTCTAGTTTTTATTTGAAGATATTTCCTTTTCTACTGTTGGCATCAAATCGCTTGAAATCTCCACTTGCAAACTCCACAAAAAGAGTGTTTCAAATCTGCTCTGTGCAAAGGGACGTTCCACTCTGTGAGTTGAATACACACAGCACAAAGAAGTTACTGAGAATTCTTCTGTCTAGCATGAAATGAAGAAATCCCGTTTCCAACGAAGGCCTCAATGCGGTCCATATATCCACTTGCAGACTTTACAAACAGAGTGTTTCCAAACTGCTCTATGAAAAGAAAGGTTAAACTATGTGAGTTGAACGCACACATCACAAAGAATTTTCTGAGAATGATTCTGTCTGGTTTTTATTTGAAGATATTTCCCTTTCTACTGTTGGCATCAAATGGCTAGAAATCTCCACTTGCAAATTCCGCAAAAAGAGTGTTTCAAATCTGCTCTGTCTAAAGGGACGTTCCACTCTGTGAGTTGAATGCACACAACACAAAGAATTTACTGAGAATTCTTCCGTCTAGCATTCAATGAAGAAATCCCGTTTCCAACGAAGGCCTCAAAGAGGTCCATATATCCACTTGCAGACTTTACAAACAGTGTGTTTCCAAACTCCTCTATGAAAAGAAAGGTTAAACTCTGTGAGTGGAACGCACACATCACAAAGCACTTTCTGAGAATGATTCTGTCTGGTTATTATACGAAGATATTTCCTTTTCTGCAATTGTCCTCAAATCGCTTGAAATCTCCACCTGAAAATGCCACAGCAAGAGTGTTTCAAATCTGCTCTCTCTAAAGCAAGGTTCAACTCTGTGAGTTGAATACACACAACACAAAAAAGTTACTGAGAACTCTTCTTAGTCTAGCATGAAAGGAAGAAACCCCGTTTGCAACGAAGGCCTCAAAGAGGTCCAAATATCCACTTGCAGACATAACAAGCAGAGTGTTTCTAAACTGCTCTAAGAAAAGAAAGGTTAAACTCTGTGAGTTGAAGGCACACATCACAAAGTAGTTTCTGAGAATGATTCTGTCTAGTTTTTATTTGAAGATATTTCCTTTTCTACTGTTGGCATCAAATCGCTTGAAATCTCCACTTGCAAACTCCACAAAAAGAGTGTTTCAAATCTGCTCTGTGTAAAGGGACGTTCCACTCTGTGAGTTGAATACACACAGCACAAAGAAGTTACTGAGAATTCTTCTGTCTAGCATGAAATGAAGAAATCCCGTTTCCAACGAAGGCCTCAATGCGGTCCATATATCCACTTGCAGACTTTACAAACAGAGTGTTTCCAAACTGCTCTATGAAAAGAAAGGTTAAACTATGTGAGTTGAACGCACACATCACAAAGAATTTTCTGAGAATGATTCTGTCTGGTTTTTATTTGAAGATATTTCCCTTTCTACTGTTGGCATCAAATGGCTAGAAATCTCCACTTGCAAATTCCGCAAAAAGAGTGTTTCAAATCTGCTCTGTCTAAAGGGACGTTCCACTCTGTGAGTTGAATGCACACAACACAAAGAATTTACTGAGAATTCTTCCGTCTAGCATTCAATGAAGAAATCCCGTTTCCAACGAAGGCCTCAAACAGGTCCATATATCCAATTGCAGACTTTACAAACAGTGTGTTTCCAAACTCCTCAATGAAAAGAAAGGTTAAACTCTGTGAGTTGAATGCACACATCACAAAGCACTTTCTGAGAATGATTCTGTCTGGTTATTATACGAAGATATTACCTTTTCTGCAATTGTCCTCAAATCGCTTGAAATCTCCACCTGAAAATGCCACAGCAAGAGTGTTTCAAGTCTGCTCTCTCTAAAGCAAGGTTCAACTCTGTGATTTGAATACACACAACACAAAAAAGTTACTGAGAACTCTTCTTAGTCTAGCATGAAAGGAAGAAACCCCGTTTGCAACGAAGGCCTCAAAGAGGTCCAAATATCCACTTGCAGACATAACAAGCAGAGTGTTTCTAAACTGCTCTAAGAAAAGAAAGGTTAAACTCTGTGAGTTGAAGGCACACATCACAAAGTAGTTTCTGAGAATGATTCTGTCTAGTTTTTATTTGAAGATATTTCCTTTTCTACTGTTGGCATCAAATCGCTTGAAATCTCCACTTGCAAATTCCACAAAAAGAGTGTTTCAAATCTGCTCTGTGCAAAGGGACGTTCCACTCTGTGAGTTGAATACACACAGCACAAAGAAGTTACTGAGAATTCTTCTGTCTAGCATGAAATGAAGAAATCCCGTTTCCAACGAAGGCCTCAATGCGGTCCATATATCCACTTGCAGACTTTACAAACAGAGTGTTTCCAAACTGCTCTATGAAAAGAAAGGTTAAACTATGTGAGTTGAACGCACACATCACAAAGAATTTTCTGAGAATGATTCTGTCTGGTTTTTATTTGAAGATGTTTCCCTTTCTACTGTTGGCATCAAACGGCTAGAAATCTCCACTTGCAAATTCCGCAAAAAGAGTGTTTCAAATCTGCTCTGTCTAAAGGGACGTTCCACTCTGTGAGTTGAATGCACACAACACAAAGAATTTACTGAGAATTCTTCCGTCTAGCATTCAATGAAGAAATCCCGTTTCCAACGAAGGCCTCAAACAGGTCCATATATCCAATTGCAGACTTTACAAACAGTGTGTTTCCAAACTCCTCTATGGAAAGAAAGGTTAAACTCTGTGAGTTGAACGCACACATCACAAAGCACTTTCTGAGAATGATTCTGTCTGGTTATTATACGAAGATATTTCCTTTTCTGCAATTGTCCTCAAATCGCTTGAAATCTCCACCTGAAAATGCCACAGCAAGAGTGTTTCAAATCTGCTCTCTCTAAAGCAAGGTTCAACTCCGTGAGTTGAATACACACAACACAAAAAAGTTACTGAGAACTCTTCTTAGTCTAGCATGAAAGGAAGAAACCCCGTTTGCAACGAAGGCCTCAAAGAGGTCCAAATATCCACTTGCAGACATAACAAGCAGAGTGTTTCTAAACTGCTCTAAGAAAAGAAAGGTTAAACTCTGTGAGTTGAAGGCACACATCACAAAGTAGTTTCTGAGAATGATTCTGTCTAGTTTTTATTTGAAGATATTTCCTTTTCTACTGTTGGCATCAAATCGCTTGAAATCTCCACTTGCAAATTCCACAAAAAGAGTGTTTCAAATCTGCTCTGTGCAAAGGGACGTTCCACTCTGTGAGTTGAATACACACAGCACAAAGAAGTTACTGAGAATTCTTCTGTCTAGCATGAAATGAAGAAATCCCGTTTCCAACGAAGGCCTCAATGCGGTCCATATATCCACTTGCAGACTTTGCAAACAGAGTGTTTCCAAACTGCTCTATGAAAAGAAAGGTTAAACTATGTGATTTGAACGCACACATCACAAAGAATTTTCTGAGAATGATTCTGTCTGGTTTTTATTTGAAGATATTTCCCTTTCTACTGTTGGCATCAAATGGCTAGAAATCTCCACTTGCAAATTCCGCAAAAAGAGTGTTTCAAATCTGCTCTGTCTAAAGGGACGTTCCACTCTGTGAGTTGAATGCACACAACACAAAGAATTTACTGAGAATTCTTCTGTCTAGCAGTCAATGAAGAAATCCCGTTTCCAACGAAGGCCTCAAACAGGTCCATATATCCAATTGCAGACTTTACAAACAGTGTGTTTCCAAACTCCTCTATGAAAAGAAAGGTTAAACTCTGTGAGTTGAACCCACACATCACAAAGCACTTTCTGAGAATGATTCTGTCTAGTTGTTATACGAAGATATTTCCTTTTCTGCAATTGTCCTCAAATCGCTTGAAATCTCCACCTGAAAATGCCACAGCAAGAGTGTTTCAAATCTGCTCTCTCTAAAGCATGGTTCAACTCTGTGAGTTGAATACACACAACACAAAAAAGTTACTGAGAACTCTTCTTAGTCTAGCATGAAAGGAAGAAACCGCGTTTGCAACGAAGGCCTCAAAGAGGTCCAAATATCCACTTGCAGACATAACAAGCAGAGTGTTTCTAAACTGCTCTAAGAAAAGAAAGGTTAAACTATGTGAGTTGAACGCACACATCACAAAGAATTTTCTGAGAATGATTCTGTCTGGTTTTTATTTGAAGATATTTCCCTTTCTACTGTTGGCATCAAATGGCTAGAAATCTCCACTTGCAAATTCCGCAAAAAGAGTGTTTCAAATCTGCTCTGTCTAAAGGGACGTTCCACTCTGTGAGTTGAATGCACACAACACAAAGAATTTACTGAGAATTCTTCCGTCTAGCATTCAATGAAGAAATCCCGTTTCCAACGAAGGCCTCAAACAGGTCCATATATCCACTTGCAGACTTTACAAACAGTGTGTTTCCAAACTCCTCTATGAAAAGAAAGGTTAAACTCTGTGAGTGGAACGCACACATCACAAAGCACTTTCTGAGAATGATTCTGTCTGGTTGTTATACGAAGATATTTCCTTTTCTGCAATTGTCCTCAAATCGCTTGAAATCTCCACCTGAAAATGTCACAGCAAGAGTGTTTCAAATCTGCTCTCTCTAAAGCAAGGTTCAACTCTGTGAGTTGAATACACACAACACAGAAAAGTTACTGAGAACTCTTCTTAGTCTAGCATGAAAGGAAGAAACCCCGTTTGCAACGAAGGCCTCAAAGAGGTCCAAATATCCACTTGCAGACACAACAAGCAGAGTGTTTCTAAACTGCTCTAAGAAAAGAAAGGTTAAACTCTGTGAGTTGAAGGCACACATCACAAAGTAGTTTCTGAGAATGATTCTGTCTAGTTTTTATTTGAAGATATTTCCTTTTCTACTGTTGGCATCAAATCGCTTGAAATCTCCACTTGCAAACTCCACAAAAAGAGTGTTTCAAATCTTCTCTGTGTAAAGGGACGTTCCACTCTGTGAGTTGAATACACACAGCACAAAGAAGTTACTGAGAATTCTTCTGTCTAGCATGAAATGAAGAAATCCCGTTTCCAACGAAGGCCTCAATGCGGTCCATATATCCACTTGCAGACTTTACAAACAGAGTGTTTCCAAACTGCTCTATGAAAAGAAAGGTTAAACTATGTGAGTTGAACGCACACATCACAAAGAATTTTCTGAGAATGATTCTGTCTGGTTTTTATTTGAAGATATTTCCCTTTCTACTGTTGGCATCAAATGGCTAGAAGTCTCCACTTGCAAATTCCGCAAAAAGAGTGTTTCAAATCTGCTCTGTCTAAAGGGACGTTCCACTCTGTCAGTTGAATGCACACAACACAAAGAATTTACTGAGAATTCTTCCGTCTAGCATTCAATGAAGAAATCCCGTTTCCAACGAAGGGCCTCAAACAGGTCCATATATCCACTTGCAGACTTTACAAACAGTGTGTTTCCAAACTCCTCTATGAAAAGAAAGGTTAAACTCTGTGAGTTGAACGCACACATCACAAAGCACTTTCTGAGAATGATTCTGTCTGGTTATTATACGAAGATATTTCCTTTTCTGCAGTTGTCCTCAAATCGCTTGAAATCTCCACCTGAAAATGCCACAGCAAGAGTGTTTCAAATCTGCTCTCTCTAAAGCAAGGTTCAACTCTGTGAGTTGAATACACACAACACAAAAAAGTTACTGAGAACTCTTCTTAGTCTAGCATGAAAGGAAGAAACCCCGTTTGCAACGAAGGCCTCAAAGAGGTCCAAATATCCACTTGCAGACATAACAAGCAGAGTGTTTCTAAACTGCTCTAAGAAAAGAAAGGTTAAACTCTGTGAGTTGAAGGCACACATCACAAAGTAGTTTCTGAGAATGATTCTGTCTAGTTTTTATTTGAAGATATTTCCTTTTCTACTGTTGGCATCAAATCGCTTGAAATCTCCACTTGCAAACTCCACAAAAAGAGTGTTTCAAATCTGCTCTGTGCAAAGGGACGTTCCACTCCTGTGAGTTGAATACACACAGCACAAAGAAGTTACTGAGAATTACTTCTGTCTAGCATGAAATGAAGAAATCCCGTTTCCAACGAAGGCCTCAATGCGGTCCATATATCCACTTGCAGACTTTACAAACAGAGTGTTTCCAAACTGCTCTATGAAAAGAAAGGTTAAACTATGTGAGTTGAACGCACACATCACAAAGAATTTTCTGAGAATGATTCTGTCTGGTTTTTATTTGAAGATATTTCCCTTTCTACTGTTGGCATCAAATGGCTAGAAATCTCCACTTGCAAATTCCGCAAAAAGAGTGTTTCAAATCTGCTCTGTCTAAAGGGACGTTCCACTCTGTGAGTTGAATGCACACAACACAAAGAATTTACTGAGAATTCTTCCGTCTAGCATTCAATGAAGAAATCCCGTTTCCAACGAAGGCCTCAAAGAGGTCCATATATCCACTTGCAGACTTTACAAACAGTGTGTTTCCAAACTCCTCTATGAAAAGAAAGGTTAAACTCTGTGAGTGGAACGCACACATCACAAAGCACTTTCTGAGAATGATTCTGTCTGGTTATTATACGAAGATATTTCCTTTTCTGCAATTGTCCTCAAATCGCTTGAAATCTCCACCTGAAAATGCCACAGCAAGAGTGTTTCAAATCTGCTCTCTCTAAAGCAAGGTTCAACTCTGTGAGTTGAATACACACAACACAAAAAAGTTACTGAGAACTCTTCTTAGTCTAGCATGAAAGGAAGAAACCCCGTTTGCAACGAAGGCCTCAAAGAGGTCCAAATATCCACTTGCAGACATAACAAGCAGAGTGTTTCTAAACTGCTCTAAGAAAAGAAAGGTTAAACTCTGTGAGTTGAAGGCACACATCACAAAGTAGTTTCTGAGAATGATTCTGTCTAGTTTTTATTTGAAGATATTTCCTTTTCTACTGTTGGCATCAAATCGCTTGAAATCTCCACTTGCAAACTCCACAAAAAGAGTGTTTCAAATCTGCTCTGTGCAAAGGGACGTTCCACTCTGTGAGTTGAATACACACAGCACAAAGAAGTTACTGAGAATTCTTCTGTCTAGCATGAAATGGAGAAATCCCGTTTCCAACGAAGGCCTCAATGCGGTCCATATATCCACTTGCAGACTTTACAAACAGAGTGTTTCCAAACTGGTCTATGAAAAGAAAGGTTAAACTATGTGATTTGAACGCACACATCACAAAGAATTTTCTGAGAATGATTCTGTCTGGTTTTTATTTGAAGATGTTTCCCTTTCTACTGTTGGCATCAAATGGCTAGAAATCTCCACTTGCAAATTCCGCAAAAAGAGTGTTTCAAATCTGCTCTGTCTAAAGGGACGTTCCACTCTGTCAGTTGAATGCACACAACACAAAGAATTTACTGAGAATTCTTCCGTCTAGCATTCAATGAAGAAATCCCGTTTCCAACGAAGGCCTCAAACAGGTCCATATATCCAATTGCAGACTTTACAAACAGTGTGTTTCCAAACTCCTCTATGAAAAGAAAGGTTAAACTCTGTGAGTTGAACGCACACATCACAAAGCACTTTCTGAGAATGATTCTGTCTGGTTGTTATACGAAGATATTTCCTTTTCTGCAATTGTCCTCAAATCGCTTGAAATCTCCACCTGAAAATGCCACAGCAAGAGTGTTTCAAATCTGCTCTCTCTAAAGCAAGGTTCAACTCTGTGAGTTGAATACACACAACACAAAAAAGTTACTGAGAACTCTTCTTAGTCTAGCATGAAAGGAAGAAACCCCGTTTGCAACGAAGGCCTCAAAGAGGTCCAAATATCCACTTGCAGACATAACAAGCAGAGTGTTTCTAAACTGCTCTAAGAAAAGAAAGGTTAAACTCTGTGAGTTGAAGGCACACATCACAAAGTAGTTTCTGAGAATGATTCTGTCTAGTTTTTATTTGAAGATATTTCCTTTTCTACTGTTGGCATCAAATCGCTTGAAATCTCCACCTGCAAACTCCACAAAAAGAGTGTTTCAAATCTGCTCTGTGTAAAGGGACGTTCCACTCTGTGAGTTGAATACACACAGCACAAAGAAGTTACTGAGAATTCTTCTGTCTAGCATGAAATGAAGAAATCCCGTTTCCAACGAAGGCCTCAATGCGGTCCATATATCCACTTGCAGACTTTACAAACAGAGTGTTTCCAAACTGCTCTATGAAAAGAAAGGTTAAACTATGTGAGTTGAACGCACACATCACAAAGAATTTTCTGAGAATGATTCTGTCTGGTTTTTATTTGAAGATATTTCCCTTTCTACTGTTGGCATCAAATGGCTAGAAATCTCCACTTGCAAATTCCGCAAAAAGAGTGTTTCAAATCTGCTCTGTCTAAAGGGACGTTCCACTCTGTGAGTTGAATGCACACAACACAAAGAATTTACTGAGAATTCTTCCGTCTAGCATTCAATGAAGAAATCCCGTTTCCAACGAAGGCCTCAAACAGGTCCATATATCCAATTGCAGACTTTACAAACAGTGTGTTTCCAAACTCCTCTATGAAAAGAAAGGTTAAACTCTGTGAGTGGAACGAACACATCACAAAGCACTTTCTGAGAATGATTCTGTCTGGTTGTTATACGAAGATATTTCCTTTTCTGAAATTGTCCTCAAATCGCTTGAAACCTCCACCTGAAAATGCCACAGCAAGAGTGTTTCAAATCTGCTCTCTCTAAAGCAAGGTTCAGCTCTGTGAGTTGAATACACACAACACAAAAAAGTTACTGAGAACTCTTCTTAGTCTAGCATTAAAGGAAGAAAGCCCGTTTGCAACGAAGGCCTCAAAGAGGTCCAAATATCCACTTGCAGACATAACAAGCAGAGTGTTTCTAAACTGCTCTAAGAAAAGAAAGGTTAAACTCTGTGAGTTGAACGCACACATCACAAAGTAGTTTCTGAGAATGATTCTGTCTAGTTTTTATTTGAAGATATTTCCTTTTCTACTGTTGGCATCAAATCGCTTGAAATCTCCACTTGCAAATTCCACAAAAAGAGTGTTTCAAATCTGCTCTGTGCAAAGGGACGTTCCACTCTGTGAGTTGAATACACACAGCACAAAGAAGTTACTGAGAATTCTTCTGTCTAGCATGAAATGAAGAAATCCCGTTTCCAACGAAGGCCTCAATGCGGTCCATATATCCACTTGCAGACTTTACAAACAGAGTGTTTCCAAACTGCTCTATGAAAAGAAAGGTTAAACTATGTGAGTTGAACGCACACATCACAAAGAATTTTCTGAGAATGATTCTGTCTGGTTTTTATTTGAAGATATTTCCCTTTCTACTGTTGGCATCAAATGGCTAGAAATCTCCACTTGCAAATTCCGCAAAAAGAGTGTTTCAAATCTGCTCTGTCTAAAGGGACGTTCCACTCTGTGAGTTGAATGCACACAACACAAAGAATTTACTGAGAATTCTTCCGTCTAGCATTCAATGAAGAAATCCCGTTTCCAACGAAGGCCTCAAACAGGTCCATATATCCAATTGCAGACTTTACAAACAGTGTGTTTCCAAACTCCTCTATGAAAAGAAAGGTTAAACTCTGTGAGTTGAACGCACACATCACAAAGCACTTTCTGAGAATGATTCTGTCTGGTTATTATACGAAGATATTTCCTTTTCTGCAATTGTCCTCAAATCGCTTGAAATCTCCACCTGAAAATGCCACAGCAAGAGTGTTTCAAATCTGCTCTCTCTAAAGCAAGGTTCAACTCTGTGAGTTGAATACACACAACACAAAAAAGTTACTGAGAACTCTTCTTAGTCTAGCATGAAAGGAAGAAACCCCGTTTGCAAGGAAGGCCTCAAAGAGGTCCAAATATCCACTTGCAGACATAACAAGCAGAGTGTTTCTAAACTGCTCTAAGAAAAGAAAGGTTAAACTCTGTGAGTTGAAGGCACACATCACAAAGTAGTTTCTGAGAATGATTCTGTCTAGTTTTTATTTGAAGATATTTCCTTTTCTACTGTTGGCATCAAATCGCTTGAAATCTCCACTTGCAAATTCCACAAAAAGAGTGTTTCAAATCTTCTCTGTGTAAAGGAACGTTCCACTCTGTGAGTTGAATACACACAGCACAAAGAAGTTACTGAGAATTCTTCTGTCTAGCATGAAATGAAGAAATCCCGTTTCCAACGAAGGCCTCAATGCGGTCCATATATCCACTTGCAGACTTTACAAACAGAGTGTTTCCAAACTGCTCTATGAAAAGAAAGGTTAAACTATGTGAGTTGAACGCACACATCACAAAGAATTTTCTGAGAATGATTCTGTCTGGTTTTTATTTGAAGATATTTCCCTTTCTACTGTTGGCATCAAATGGCTAGAAATCTCCACTTGCAAATTCCGCAAAAAGAGTGTTTCAAATCTGCTCTGTCTAAAGGGACGTTCCACTCTGTGAGTTGAATGCACACAACACAAAGAATTTACTGAGAATTCTTCCGTCTAGCATTCAATGAAGAAATCCCGTTTCCAACGAAGGCCTCAAAGAGGTCCATATATCCACTTGCAGACTTTACAAACAGTGTGTTTCCAAACTCCTCTATGAAAAGAAAGGTTAAACTCTGTGAGTGGAACGCACACATCACAAAGCACTTTCTGAGAATGATTTTGTCTGGTTATTATACGAAGATATTTCCTTTTCTGCAATTGTCCTCAAATCGCTTGAAATCTCCACCTGAAAATGCCACAGCAAGAGTGTTTCAAATCTGCTCTCTCTAAAGCAAGGTTCAACTCTGTGAGTTGAATACACACAACACAAAAAAGTTACTGAGAACTCTTCTTAGTCTAGCATGAAAGGAAGAAACCCCGTTTGCAACGAAGGCCTCAAAGAGGTCCAAATATCCACTTGCAGACATAACAAGCAGAGTGTTTCTAAACTGCTCTAAGAAAAGAAAGGTTAAACTCTGTGAGTTGAAGGCACACATCACAAAGTAGTTTCTGAGAATGATTCTGTCTAGTTTTTATTTGAAGATATTTCCTTTTCTACTGTTGGCATCAAATCGCTTGAAATCTCCACTTGCAAATTGCACAAAAAGAGTGTTTCAAATCTGCTCTGTGCAAAGGGACGTTCCACTCTGTGAGTTGAATACACACAGCACAAAGAAGTTACTGAGAATTCTTCTGTCTAGCATGAAATGAAGAAATCCCGTTTCCAACGAAGGCCTCAATGCGGTCCATATATCCACTTGCAGACTTTACAAACAGAGTGTTTCCAAACTGCTCTATGAAAAGAAAGGTTAAACTATGTGAGTTGAACGCACACATCACAAAGAATTTTCTGAGAATGATTCTGTCTGGTTTTTATTTGAAGATATTTCCCTTTCTACTGTTGGCATCAAATGGCTAGAAATCTCCACTTGCAAATTCCGCAAAAAGAGTGTTTCAAATCTGCTCTGTCTAAAGGGACGTTCCACTCTGTGAGTTGAATGCACACAACACAAAGAATTTACTGAGAATTCTTCCGTCTAGCATTCAATGAAGAAATCCCGTTTCCAACGAAGGCCTCAAACAGGTCCATATATCCACTTGCAGACTTTACAAACAGTGTGTTTCCAAACTCCTCTATGAAAAGAAAGGTTAAACTCTGTGAGTTGAACGCACACATCACAAAGCACTTTCTGAGAATGATTCTGTCTGGTTATTATACGAAGATATTTCCTTTTCTGCAATTGTCCTCAAATCGCTTGAAATCTCCACCTGAAAATGCCACAGCAAGAGTGTTTCAAATCTGCTCTCTCTAAAGCAAGGTTCAACTCTGTGAGTTGAATACACACAACACAAAAAAGTTACTGAGAACTCTTCTTAGTCTAGCATGAAAGGAAGAAACCCCGTTTGCAACGAAGGCCTCAAAGAGGTCCAAATATCCACTTGCAGACATAACAAGCAGAGTGTTTCTAAACTGCTCTAAGAAAAGAAAGGTTAAACTCTGTGAGTTGAAGGCACACATCACAAAGTAGTTTCTGAGAATGATTCTGTCTAGTTTTTATTTGAAGATATTTCCTTTTCTACTGTTGGCATCAAATCGCTTGAAATCTCCACTTGCAAACTCCACAAAAAGAGTGTTTCAAATCTGCTCTGTGTAAAGGGACGTTCCACTCTGTGAGTTGAATACACACAGCACAAAGAAGTTACTGAGAATTCTTCTGTCTAGCATGAAATGAAGAAATCCCGTTTCCAACGAAGGCCTCAATGCGGTCCATATATCCACTTGCAGACTTTACAAACAGAGTGTTTCCAAACTGCTCTATGAAAAGAAAGGTTAAACTATGTGAGTTGAACGCACACATCACAAAGAATTTTCTGAGAATGATTCTGTCTGGTTTTTATTTGAAGATATTTCCCTTTCTACTGTTGGCATCAAATGGCTAGAAATCTCCACTTGCAAATTCCGCAAAAAGAGTGTTTCAAATCTGCTCTGTCTAAAGGGACGTTCCACTCTGTGAGTTGAATGCACACAACACAAAGAATTTACTGAGAATTCTTCCGTCTAGCATTCAATGAAGAAATCCCGTTTCCAACGGAGGCCTCAAACAGGTCCATATATGCAATTGCAGACTTTACAAACAGTGTGTTTCCAAACTCCTCTATGAAAAGAAAGGTTAAACTCTGTGAGTTGAACGCACACATCACAAAGCACTTTCTGAGAATGATTCTGTCTGGTTATTATACGAAGATATTTCCTTTTCTGCAATTGTCCTCAAATCGCTTGAAATCTCCACCTGAAAATGCCACAGCAAGAGTGTTTCAAATCTGCTCTCTCTAAAGCAAGGTTCAACTCTGTGAGTTGAATACACACAACACAAAAAAGATACTGAGAACTCTTCTTAGTCTAGCATAAAAGGAAGAAACCCCGTTTGCAACGAAGGCCTCAAAGAGGTCCAAATATCCACTTGCAGACATAACAAGCAGAGTGTTTCTAAACTGCTCTAAGAAAAGAAAGGTTAAACTCTGTGAGTTGAAAGCACACATCACAAAGTAGCTTCTGAGAATGATTCTGTCTAGTTTTTATTTGAAGATATTTCCTTTTCTACTGTTGGCATCAAATCGCTTGAAATCTCCACTTGCAAACTCCACAAAAAGAGTGTTTCAAATCTGCTCTGTGCAAAGGGACGTTCCACTCTGTGAGTTGAATACACA
The DNA here is from genome assembly GCF_000001405.40 of Homo sapiens. Classification (NCBI taxonomy): domain Eukaryota; kingdom Metazoa; phylum Chordata; class Mammalia; order Primates; family Hominidae; genus Homo; species Homo sapiens. The sequence continues at coordinate 59,815,366 of NC_000007.14, read as the reverse complement.
CAGCACAAAGAAGTTACTGAGAATTCTTCTGTCTAGCATGAAATGAAGAAATCCCTTTTCCAACGAAGGCCTCAATGCGGTCCATATATCCACTTGCAGACTTTACAAACAGAGTGTTTCCAAACTGCTCTATGAAAAGAAAGGTTAAACTATGTGAGTTGAACGCACACATCACAAAGAATTTTCTGAGAATGATTCTGTCTGGTTTTTATTTGAAGATATTTCCCTTTCTACTGTTGGCATCAAATGGCTAGAAATCTCCACTTGCAAATTCCGCAAAAAGAGTGTTTCAAATCTGCTCTGTCTAAAGGGACGTTCCACTCTGTGAGTTGAATGCACACAACACAAAGAATTTACTGAGAATTCTTCCGTCTAGCATTCAATGAAGAAATCCCGTTTCCAACGAAGGCCTCAAACAGGTCCATATATCCACTTGCAGACTTTACAAACAGTGTGTTTCCAAACTCCTCTATGAAAAGAAAGGTTAAACTCTGTGAGTGGAACGCACACATCACAAAGCACTTTCTGAGAATGATTCTTTCTGGTTATTATACGAAGATATTTCCTTTTCTGCAATTGTCCTCAAATCGCTTGAAATCTCCACCTGAAAATGTCACAGCAAGAGTGTTTCAAATCTGCTCTCTCTAAAGCAAGGTTCAACTCTGTGAGTTGAATACACACAACACAAAAAAGTTACTGAGAACTCTTCTTAGTCTAGCATTAAAGGAAGAAACCCCGTTTGCAACGAAGGCCTCAAAGAGGTCCAAATATCCACTTGCAGACATAACAAGCAGAGTGTTTCTAAACTGCTCTAAGAAAAGAAAGGTTAAACTCTGTGAGTTGAAGGCACACATCACAAAGTAGTTTCTGAGAATGATTCTGTCTAGTTTTTATTTGAAGATATTTCCTTTCCTACTGTTGGCATTAAATCGCTTGAAATCTCCACTTGCAAACTCCACAAAAAGAGTGTTTCAAATCTGCTCTGTGCAAAGGGACGTTCCACTCTGTGAGTTGAATACACACAGCACAAAGAAGTTACTGAGAATTCTTCTGTCTAGCATGAAATGAAGAAATCCCGTTTCCAACGAAGGCCTCAATGCGGTCCATATATCCACTTGCAGACTTTACAAACAGAGTGTTTCCAAACTGCTCTATGAAAAGAAAGGTTAAACTATGTGAGTTGAACGCACACATCACAAAGAATTTTCTGAGAATGATTCTGTCTGGTTTTTATTTGAAGATATTTCCCTTTCTACTGTTGGCATCAAATGGCTAGAAATCTCCACTTGCAAATTCCGCAAAAAGAGTGTTTCAAATCTGCTCTGTCTAAAGGGACGTTCCACTCTGTGAGTTGAATGCACACAACACAAAGAATTTACTGAGAATTCTTCCGTCTAGCATTATATGATAAAATCCCGTTTCCAACGAAGGCCTCAAACAGGTCCATATATCCAATTGCAGACTTTACAAACAGTGTGTTTCCAAACTCCTCTATGAAAAGAAAGGTTAAACTCTGTGAGTTGAACGCACACATCACAAAGCACTTTCTGAGAATGATTCTGTCTGGTTATTATACGAAGATATTTCCTTTTCTGTAATTGTCCTCAAATCGTTTGAAATCTCCACCTGAAAATGCCACAGCGAGAGTGTTTCAAATCTGCTCTCTCTAAAGCAAGGTTCAACTCTGTGAGTTGAATACACACAACACAAAAAAGTTACTGAGAACTCTTCTTAGTCTAGCATTAAAGGAAGAAACCCCGTTTGCAACGAAGGCCTCAAAGAGGTCCAAATATCCACTTGCAGACATAACAAGCAGAGTGTTTCTAAGCTGCTCTAAGAAAAGAAAGGTTAAACTCTGTGAGTTGAAGGCACACATCACAAAGTAGTTTCTGAGAATGATTCTGTCTAGTTTTTATTTGAAGATATTTCCTTTTCTACTGTTGGCATCAAATCGCTTGAAATCTCCACTTGCAAACTCCACAAAAAGAGTGTTTCAAATCTGCTCTGTGTAAAGGGACGTTGCACTCTGTGAGTTGAATACACACAGCACAAAGAAGTTACTGAGAATTCTTCTGTCTAGCATGAAATGAAGAAATCCCGTTTCCAACGAAGGCCTCAATGCGGTCCATAGATCCACTTGCAGACTTTACAAACAGAGTGTTTCCAAACTGCTCTATGAAAAGAAAGGTTAAACTATGTGAGTTGAACGCACACATCACAAAGAATTTTCTGAGAATGATTCTGTCTGGTTTTTATTTGAAGATATTTCCCTTTCTACTGTTGGCATCAAATGGCTAGAAATCTCCACTTGCAAATTCCGCAAAAAGAGTGTTTCAAATCTGCTCTGTCTAAAGGGACGTTCCACTCTGTCAGTTGAATGCACACAACACAAAGAATTTACTGAGAATTCTTCCGTCTAGCATTCAATGAAGAAATCCCGTTTCCAACGAAGGCCTCAAACAGGTCCATATATCCAATTGCAGACTTTACAAACAGTGTGTTTCCAAACTCCTCTATGAAAAGAAAGGTTAAACTCTGTGAGTTGAACGCACACATCACAAAGCACTTTCTGAGAATGATTCTGTCTGGTTGTTATACGAAGATATTTCCTTTTCTGCAATTGTCCTCAAATCGCTTGAAATCTCCACCTGAAAATGCCACAGCAAGAGTGTTTCAAATCTGCTCTCTCTAAAGCAAGGTTCAGCTCTGTGAGTTGAATACACACAACACAAAAAAGTTACTGAGAACTCTTCTTAGTCTAGCATGAAAGGAAGAAACCCCGTTTGCAACGAAGGCCTCAAAGAGGTCCAAATATCCACTTGCAGACATAACAAGCAGAGTGTTTCTAAACTGCTCTAAGAAAAGAAAGGTTAAACTCTGTGAGTTGAAGGCACACATCACAAAGTAGTTTCTGAGAATGATTCTGTCTAGTTTTTATTTGAAGATATTTCCTTTTCTACTGTTGGCATCAAATCGCTTGAAATCTCCACTTGCAAATTCCACAAAAAGAGTGTTTCAAATCTGCTCTGTGCAAAGGGACGTTCCACTCTGTGAGTTGAATACACACAGCACAAAGAAGTTACTGAGAATTCTTCTGTCTAGCATGAAATGAAGAAATCCCGTTTCCAACGAAGGCCTCAATGCGGTCCATATATCCACTTGCAGACTTTACAAACAGAGTGTTTCCAAACTGCTCTATGAAAAGAAAGGTTAAACTATGTGAGTTGAACGCACACATCACAAAGAATTTTCTGAGAATGATTCTGTCTGGTTTTTATTTGAAGATATTTCCCTTTCTACTCTTGGCATCAAATGGCTAGAAATCTCCACTTGCAAATTCCGCAAAAAGAGTGTTTCAAATCTGCTCTGTCTAAAGGGACGTTCCACTCTGTGAGTTGAATGCACACAACACAAAGAATTTACTGAGAATTCTTCCGTCTAGCATTCAATGAAGAAATCCCGTTTCCAACGAAGGCCTCAAACAGGTCCATATATCCAATTGCAGACTTTACAAACAGTGTGTTTCCAAACTCCTCTATGAAAAGAAAGGTTAAACTCTGTGAGTTGAACGCACACATCACAAAGCACTTTCTGAGAATGATTCTGTCTAGTTTTTATTTGAAGATATTTCCCTTTCTACTGTTGGCATCAAATGGCTAGAAATCTCCACTTGCAACTTCCGCAAAAAGAGTGTTTCAAATCTGCTCTGTCTAAAGGGACGTTCCACTGTGTGAGTTGAATGCACACAACACAAAGAATTTACTGAGAATTCTTCCGTCTAGCATTCAATGAAGAAATCCCGTTTCCAACGAAGGCCTCAAACAGGTCCATATATCCACTTGCAGACTTTACAAACAGTGTGTTTCCAAACTCCTCTATGAAAAGAAAGGTTAAACTCTGTGAGTTGAACGCACACATCACAAAGCACTTTCTGAGAATGATTCTGTCTGGTTATTATACGAAGATATTTCCTTTTCTGCAGTTGTCCTCAAATCGCTTGAAATCTCCACCTGAAAATGCCACAGCAAGAGTGTTTCAAATCTGCTCTCTCTAAAGCAAGGTTCAACTCTGTGAGTTGAATACACACAACACAAAAAAGTTACTGAGAACTCTTCTTAGTCTAGCATGAAAGGAAGAAACCCCGTTTGCAACGAAGGCCTCAAAGAGGTCCAAATATCCACTTGCAGACATAACAAGCAGAGTGTTTCTAAACTGCTCTAAGAAAAGAAAGGTTAAACTCTGTGAGTTGAAGGCACACATCACAAAGTAGTTTCTGAGAATGATTCTGTCTAGTTTTTATTTGAAGATATTTCCTTTTCTACTGTTGGCATCAAATCGCTTGAAATCTCCACTTGCAAATTCCACAAAAAGAGTGTTTCAAATCTGCTCTGTGCAAAGGGACGTTCCACTCTGTGAGTTGAATACACACAGCACAAAGAAGTTACTGAGAATTCTTCTGTCTAGCATGAAATGAAGAAATCCCGTTTCCAACGAAGGCCTCAATGCGGTCCATATATCCACTTGCAGACTTTACAAACAGAGTGTTTCCAAACTGCTCTATGAAAAGAAAGGTTAAACTATGTGAGTTGAACGCACACATCACAAAGAATTTTCTGAGAATGATTCTGTCTGGTTTTTATTTGAAGATATTTCCCTTTCTACTGTTGGCATCAAATGGCTAGAAATCTCCACTTGCAAATTCCGCAAAAAGAGTGTTTCAAATCTGCTCTGTCTAAAGGGACGTTCCACTCTGTGAGTTCAATGCACACAACACAAAGAATTTACTGAGAATTCTTCCGTCTAGCATGCAATGAAGAAATCCCGTTTCCAACGAAGGCCTCAAACAGGTCCATATATCCAATTGCAGACTTTACAAACAGTGTGTTTCCAAACTCCTCTATGAAAAGAAAGGTTAAACTCTGTGAGTTGAACGCACACATCACAAAGCACTTTCTGAGAATGATTCTGTCTGGTTATTATACGAAGATATTTCCTTTTCTGCAATTGTCCTCAAATCGCTTGAAATCTCCACCTGAAAATGCCACAGCAAGAGTGTTTCAAATCTGCTCTCTCTAAAGCAAGGTTCAACTCTGTGAGTTGAATACACACAACACAAAAAAGTTACTGAGAACTCTTCTTAGTCTAGCATGAAAGGAAGAAACCCCGTTTGCAACGAAGGCCTCAAAGAGGTCCAAATATCCACTTGCAGACATAACAAGCAGAGTGTTTCTAAACTGCTCTAAGAAAAGAAAGGTTAAACTCTGTGAGTTGAAGGCACACATCACAAAGTAGTTTCTGAGAATGATTCTGTCTAGTTTTTATTTGAAGATATTTCCTTTTCTACTGTTGGCATCAAATCGCTTGAAATCTCCACTTGCAAACTCCACAAAAAGAGTGTTTCAAATCTGCTCTGTGCAAAGGGACGTTCCACTCTGTGAGTTGAATACACACAGCACAAAGAAGTTACTGAGAATTCTTCTGTCTAGCATGAAATGAAGAAATCCCGTTTCCAACGAAGGCCTCAATGCGGTCCATATATCCACTTGCAGACTTTACAAACAGAGTGTTTCCAAACTGCTCTATGAAAAGAAAGGTTAAACTATGTGAGTTGAACGCACACATCACAAAGAATTTTCTGAGAATGATTCTGTCTGGTTTTTATTTGAAGATATTTCCCTTTCTACTGTTGGCATCAAATGGCTAGAAATCTCCACTTGCAAATTCCGCAAAAAGAGTGTTTCAAATCTGCTCTGTCTAAAGGGACGTTCCACTCTGTGAGTTGAATGCACACAACACAAAGAATTTACTGAGAATTCTTCCGTCTAGCATTCAATGAAGAAATCCCGTTTCCAACGAAAGCCTCAAACAGGTCCATATATCCACTTGCAGACTTTACAAACAGTGTGTTTCCAAACTCCTCTATGAAAAGAAAGGTTAAACTCTGTGAGTGGAACGCACACATCACAAAGCACTTTCTGAGAATGATTCTGTCTGGTTATTATACGAAGATATTTCCTTTTCTGCAATTGTCCTCAAATCGCTTGAAATCTCCACCTGAAAATGCCACAGCAAGAGTGTTTCAAATCTGCTCTCTCTAAAGCAAGGTTCAACTCTGTGAGTTGAATACACACAACACAAAAAAGTTACTGAGAACTCTTCTTAGTCTAGCATTAAAGGAAGAAATCCCGTTTGCAACGAAGGCCTCAAAGAGGTCCAAATATCCACTTGCAGACATAAGAAGCAGAGTGTTTCTAAACTGCTCTAAGAAAAGAAAGGTTAAACTCTGTGAGTTGAAGGCACACATCACAAAGTAGTTTCCTGAGAATGATTTCTGTCTAGTTTTTATTTGAAGATATTTCCTTTTCTACTGGTGGCATCAAATCGCTTGAAATCTCCACTTGCAAATTCCACAAAAAGAGTGTTTCAAATCTGCTCTGTGTAAAGGGACGTTCCACTCTGTGAGTTGAATACACACAGCACAAAGAAGTTACTGAGAATTCTTCTGTCTAGCATGAAATGAAGAAATCCCGTTTCCAACGAAGGCCTCAATGCGGTCCATATATGCACTTGCAGACTTTACAAACAGAGTGTTTCCAAACTGCTCTATGAAAAGAAAGGTTAAACTATGTGAGTTGAACGCACACATCACAAAGAATTTTCTGAGAATGATTCTGTCTGGTTTTTATTTGAAGATATTTCCCTTTCTACTGTTGGCATCAAATGGCTAGAAATCTCCACTTGCAAATTCCGCAAAAAGAGGGTTTCAAATCTGCTCTGTCTAAAGGGACGTTCCACTCTGTGAGTTGAATGCACACAACACAAAGAATTTACTGAGAATTCTTCCCGTCTAGCATTCAATGAAGAAATCCCGTTTCCAACGAAGGCCTCAAACAGGTCCATATATCCACTTGCAGACTTTACAAACAGTGTGTTTCCAAACTCCTCTATGAAAAGAAAGGTTAAACTCTGTGAGTTGAACGCACACATCACAAAGCACTTTCTGAGAATGATTCTGTCTGGTTATTATACGAAGATATTTCCTTTTCTGCAATTGTCCTCAAATCGCTTGAAATCTCCACCTGAAAATGCCACAGCAAGAGTGTTTCAAATCTGCTCTCTCTAAAGCAAGGTTCAACTCTGTGAGTTGAATACACACAACACAAAAAAGTTACTGAGAACTCTTCTTAGTCTAGCATGAAAGGAAGAAACCCCGTTTGCAACGAAGGCCTCAAAGAGGCCCAAATATCCACTTGCAGACATAACAAGCAGAGTGTTTCTAAACTGCTCTAAGAAAAGAAAGGTTAAACTCTGTGAGTTGAAGGCACACATCACAAAGTAGTTTTTGAGAATGATTCTGTCTAGTTTTTATTTGAAGATATTTCCTTTTCTACTGTTGGCATCAAATCGCTTGAAATCTCCACTTGCAAACTCCACAAAAAGAGTGTTTCAAATCCGCTCTGTGCAAAGGGACGTTCCACTCTGTGAGTTGAATACACACAGCACAAAGAAGTTACTGAGAATTCTTCTGTCTAGCATGAAATGAAGAAATCCCGTTTCCAACGAAGGCCTCAATGCGGTCCATATATCCACTTGCAGACTTTACAAACAGAGTGTTTCCAAACTGCTCTATGAAAAGAAAGGTTAAACTATGTGAGTTGAACGCACACATCACAAAGAATTTTCTGAGAATGATTCTGTCTGGTTTTTATTTGAAGATATTTCCCTTTCTACTGTTGGCATCAAATGGCTAGAAATCTCCACTTGCAAATTCCGCAAAAAGAGTGTTTCAAATCTGCTCTGTCTAAAGGGACGTTCCACTCTGTGAGTTGAATGCACACAACACAAAGAATTTACTGAGAATTCTTCCGTCTAGCATTCAATGAAGAAATCCCGTTTCCAACGAAGGCCTCAAACAGGTCCATATATCCACTTGCAGACTTTACAAACAGTGTGTTTCCAAACTCCTCTATGAAAAGAAAGGTTAAACTCTGTGAGTGGAACGCACACATCACAAAGCACTTTCTGAGAATGATTCTGTCTGGTTATTATACGAAGATATTTCCTTTTCTGCAATTGTCCTCAAATCGCTTGAAATCTCCACCTGAAAATTCCACAGCAAGAGTGTTTCAAATCTGCTCTCTCTAAAGCAAGGTTCAAATCTGTGAGTTGAATACACACAACACAAAAAAGTTACTGAGAACTCTTCTTAGTCTAGCATTAAAGGAAGAAACCCCGTTTGCAACGAAGGCCTCAAAGAGGTCCAAATATCCACTTGCAGACATAACAAGCAGAGTGTTTCTAAACTGCTCTAAGAAAAGAAAGGTTAAACTCTGTGAGTTGAAGGCACACATCACAAAGTAGTTTCTGAGAATGATTCTGTCTAGTTTTTATTTGAAGATATTTCCTTTTCTACTGTTGGCATCAAATCGCTTGAAATCTCCACTTGCAAACTCCACAAAAAGAGTGTTTCAAATCTGCTCTGTGCAAAGGGACGTTCCACTCTGTGAGTTGAATACACACAGCACAAAGAAGTTACTGAGAATTCTTCTGTCTAGCATGAAATGAAGAAATCCCGTTTCCAACGAAGGCCTCAATGCGGTCCATATATCCACTTGCAGACTTTACAAACAGAGTGTTTCCAAACTGCTCTATGAAAAGAAAGGTTAAATTATGTGAGTTGAACGCACACATCACAAAGAATTTTCTGAGAATGATTCTGTCTGGTTTTTATTTGAAGATATTTCCCTTTCTACTGTTGGCATCAAATGGCTAGAAATCTCCACTTGCAAATTCCGCAAAAAGAGTGTTTCAAATCTGCTCTGTCTAAAGGGACGTTCCACTCTGTCAGTTGAATGCACACAACACAAAGAATTTACTGAGAATTCTTCCGTCTAGCAGTCAATGAAGAAATCCAGTTTCCAACGAAGGCCTCAAACAGGTCCATATATCCACTTGCAGACTTTACAAACAGTGTGTTTCCAAACTCCTCTATGAAAAGAAAGGTTAAACTCTGTGAGTTGAACGCACACATCACAAAGCACTCTCTGAGAATGATTCTGTCTGGTTGTTATACGAAGATATTTCCTTTTCTGCAATTGTCCTCAAATCGCTTGAAATCTCCACCTGAAAATGCCACAGCAAGAGTGTTTCAAATCTGCTCTCTCTAAAGCAAGGTTCAACTCTGTGAGTTGAATGCACACAACACAAAAAAGTTACTGAGAACTCTTTAGTCTAGCATTAAATGAAGAAATCCCGTTTGCAACGAAGGCCTCAAAGAGGTCCAAATATCCACTTGCAGACATAACAAGCAGAGTGTTTCTAAACTGCTCTAAGAAAAGAAAGGTTAAACTCTGTGAGTTGAAGGCATACTTCACAAAGTAGTTTCTGAGAATGATTCTGTCTATTTTTTATTTGAAGATATTTCCTTTTCTACTGTTGGCATCAAATCGCTTGAAATCTCCACTTGCAAACTCCACAAAAAGAGTGTTTCAAATCTGCTCTGTGCAAAGGGACGTTCCACTCTGTGAGTTGAATACACACAGCACAAAGAAGTTACTGAGAATTCTTCTGTCTAGCATGAAATGAAGAAATCCCGTTTCCAACGAAGGCCTCAATGCGGTCCATATATCCACTTGCAGACTTTACAAACAGAGTGTTTCCAAACTGCTCTATGAAAAGAAAGGTTAAACTATGTGAGTTGAAAGTACACATCACAAAGAATTTTCTGAGAATGATTCTGTCTGGTTTTTATTTGAAGATATTTCCCTTTCTACTGTTGGCATCAAATGGCTAGAAATCTCCACTTGCAAATTCCGCAAAAAGAGTGTTTCAAATCTGCTCTGTCTAAAGGGACGTTCCACTCTGTGAGTTGAATGCACACAACACAAAGAATTTACTGAGAATTCTTCCGTCTAGCATTCAATGAAGAAATCCCGTTTCCAACGGAGGCCTCAAACAGGTCCATATATCCAATTGCAGACTTTACAAACAGTGTGTTTCCAAACTCCTCTATGAAAAGAAAGGTTAAACTCTGTGAGTTGAACGCACACATCACAAAGCACTTTCTGAGAATGATTCTGTCTGGTTATTATACGAAGATATTTCCTTTTCTGCAATTGTCCTCAAATCGCTTGAAATCTCCACCTGAAAATTCCACAGCGAGAGTGTTTCAAATCTGCTCTCTCTAAAGCAAGGTTCAACTCTGTGAGTTGAATACACACAACACAAAAAAGTTACTGAGAACTCTTCTTAGTCTAGCATGAAAGGAAGAAACCCCGTTTGCAACGAAGGCCTCAAAGAGGTCCAAATATCCACTTGCAGACATAACAAGCAGAGTGTTTCTAAACTGCTCTAAGAAAAGAAAGGTTAAACTCTGTGAGTTGAAGGCACACATCACAAAGTAGTTTCTGAGAATGATTCTGTCTAGTTTTTATTTGAAGATATTTCCTTTTCTACTGTTGGCATCAAATCGCTTGAAATCTCCACTTGCAAACTCCACAAAAAGAGTGTTTCAAATCTGCTCTGTGCAAAGGGACGTTCCACTCTGTGAGTTGAATACACACAGCACAAAGAAGTTACTGAGAATTCTTCTGTCTAGCATGAAATGAAGAAATCCCGTTTCCAACGAAGGCCTCAATGCGGTCCATATATCCACTTGCAGACTTTACAAACAGAGTGTTTCCAAACTGCTCTATGAAAAGAAAGGTTAAACTATGTGAGTTGAACGCACACATCACAAAGAATTTTCTGAGAATGATTCTGTCTGGTTTTTATTTGAAGATATTTCCCTTTCTACTGTTGGCATCAAATGGCTAGAAATCTCCACTTGCAAATTCCGCAAAAAGAGTGTTTCAAATCTGCTCTGTCTAAAGGGACGTTCCACTCTGTGAGTTGAATGCACACAACACAAAGAATTTACTGAGAATTCTTCCGTCTAGCATTCAATGAAGAAATCCCGTTTCCAACGAAGGCCTCAAACAGGTCCATATATCCACTTGCAGAGTTTACAAACAGTGTGTTTCCAAACTCCTCTATGAAAAGAAAGGTTAAACTCTGTGAGTGGAACGCACACATCACAAAGCACTTTCTGAGAATGATTCTGTCTGGTTATTATACGAAGATATTTCCTTTTCTGCAATTGTCCTCAAAACGCTTGAAATCTCCACCTGAAAATGCCACAGCAAGAGTGTTTCAAATCTGCTCTCTCTAAAGCAAGGTTCAACTCTGTGAGTTGAATACACACAACACAAAAAAGTTACTGAGAACTCTTCTTAGTCTAGCATGAAAGGAAGAAACCCCGTTTGCAACGAAGGCCTCAAAGAGGTCCAAATATCCACTTGCAGACATAACAAGCAGAGTGTTTCTAAACTGCTCTAAGAAAAGAAAGGTTAAACTCTGTGAGTTGAAGGCACACATCACAAAGTAGTTTCTGAGAATGATTCTGTCTAGTTTTTATTTGAAGATATTTCCTTTTCTACGGTTGGCATCAAATCGCTTGAAATCTCCACTTGCAAACTCCACAAAAAGAGTGTTTCAAATCTGCTCTGTGTAAAGGGACGTTCCACTCTGTGAGTTGAATACACACAGCACAAAGAAGTTACTGAGAATTCTTCTGTCTAGCATGAAATGAAGAAATCCCGTTTCCAACGAAGGCCTCAATGCGGTCCATATATCCACTTGCAGACTTTACAAACAGAGTGTTTCCAAACTGCTCTATGAAAAGAAAGGTTAAACTATGTGAGTTGAACGCACACATCACAAAGAATTTTCTGAGAATGATTCTGTCTGGTTTTTATTTGAAGATATTTCCCTTTCTACTGTTGGCATCAAATGGCTAGAAATCTCCACTTGCAAATTCCGCAAAAAGAGTGTTTCAAATCTGCTCTGTCTAAAGGGACGTTCCACTCTGTGAGTTGAATGCACACAACACAAAGAATTTACTGAGAATTCTTCCGTCTAGCATTCAATGAAGAAATCCCGTTTCCAACGAAGGCCTCAAACACGTCCATATATCCACTTGCAGACTTTACAAACAGTGTGTTTCCAAACTCCTCTATGAAAAGAAAGGTTAAACTCTGTGAGTTGAACGCACACATCACAAAGCACTTTCTGAGAATGATTCTGTCTGGTTATTATACGAAGATATTTCCTTTTCTGCAATTGTCCTCAAATCGCTTGAAATCTCCACCTGAAAATGCCACAGCAAGAGTGTTTCAAATCTGCTCTCTCTAAAGCAAGGTTCAACTCTGTGAGTTGAATACACACAACACAAAAAAGTTACTGAGAACTCTTCTTATTCTAGCATGAAAGGAAGAAACCCCGTTTGCAACGAAGGCCTCAAAGAGGTCCAAATATCCACTTGCAGACATAACAAGCAGAGTGTTTCTAAACTGCTCTAAGAAAAGAAAGGTTAAACTCTGTGAGTTGAAGGCACACATCACAAAGTAGTTTCTGAGAATGATTCTGTCTAGTTTTTATTTGAAGATATTTCCTTTTCTACTGTTGGCATCAAATCGCTTGAAATCTCCACTTGCAAATTCCACAAAAAGAGTGTTTCAAATCTGCTCTGTGCAAAGGGACGTTCCACTCTGTGAGTTGAATACACACAGCACAAAGAAGTTACTGAGAATTCTTCTGTCTAGCATGAAATGAAGAAATCCCGTTTCCAACGAAGGCCTCAATGCGGTCCATATATCCACTTGCAGACTTTACAAACAGAGTGTTTCCAAACTGCTCTATGAAAAGAAAGGTTAAACTATGTGAGTTGAACGCACACATCACAAAGAATTTTCTGAGAATGATTCTGTCTGGTTTTTATTTGAAGATATTTCCCTTTCTACTGTTGGCATCAAATGGCTAGAAATCTCCACTTGCAAATTCCGCAAAAAGAGTGTTTCAAATCTGCTCTGTCTAAAGGGACGTTCCACTCTGTGAGTTGAATGCACACAACACAAAGAATTTACTGAGAATTCTTCCGTCTAGCATTCAATGAAGAAATCCCGTTTCCAACGAAGGCCTCAAACAGGTCCATATATCCAATTGCAGACTTTGCAAACAGTGTGTTTCCAAACTCCTCTATGAAAAGAAAGGTTAAACTCTGTGAGTTGAACGCACACATCACAAAGCACTTTCTGAGAATGATTCTGTCTGGTTATTATACGAAGATATTTCCTTTTCTGCAATTGTCCTCAAATCGCTTGAAATCTCCACCTGAAAATTCCACAGCGAGAGTGTTTCAAATCTGCTCTCTCTAAAGCAAGGTTCAACTCTGTGAGTTGAATACACACAACACAAAAAAGTTACTGAGAACTGTTCTTAGTCTAGCATTAAAGGAAGAAACCCCGTTTGCAACGAAGGCCTCAAAGAGGTCCAAATATCCACTTGCAGACATAACAAGCAGAGTGTTTCTAAACTGCTCTAAGAAAAGAAAGGTTAAACTCTGTGAGTTGAAGGCACACGTCACAAAGTAGTTTCTGAGAATGATTCTGTCTAGTTTTTATTTGAAGATATTTCCTTTTCTACTGTTGGCATCAAATCGCTTGAAATCTCCACTTGCAAACTCCACAAAAAGAGTGTTTCAAATCTGCTCTGTGTAAAGGGACGTTCCACTCTGTGAGTTGAATACACACAGCACAAAGAAGTTACTGAGAATTCTTCTGTCTAGCATGAAATGAAGAAATCCCGTTTCCAACGAAGGCCTCAATGCGGTCCATATATCCACTTGCAGACTTTACAAACAGAGTGTTTCCAAACTGCTCTATGAAAAGAAAGGTTAAACTATGTGAGTTGAATGCACACATCACAAAGAATTTTCTGAGAATGATTCTGTCTGGTTTTTATTTGAAGATATTTCCCTTTCTACTGTTGGCATCAAATGGCTAGAAATCTCCACTTGCAAATTCCGCAAAAAGAGTGTTTCAAATCTGCTCTGTCTAAAGGGACGTTCCACTCTGTGAGTTGAATGCACACAACACAAAGAATTTACTGAGAATTCTTCCGTCTAGCATTCAATGAAGAAATCCCGTTTCCAACGAAGGCCTCAAACAGGTCCATATATCCAATTGCAGACTTTACAAACAGTGTGTTTCCAAACTCCTCTATGAAAAGAAAGGTTAAACTCTGTGAGTTGAACGCACACATCACAAAGCACTTTCTGAGAATGATTCTGTCTGGTTATTATACGAAGATATTTCCTTTTCTGCAATTGTCCTCAAATCGTTTGAAATCTCCACCTGAAAATGCCACAGCAAGAGTGTTTCAAATCTGCTCTCTCTAAAGCAAGGTTCAACTCTGTGAGTTGAATACACACAACACAAAAAAGTTACTGAGAACTCTTCTTAGTCTAGCATGAAAGGAAGAAACCCCGTTTGCAACGAAGGCCTCAAAGAGGTCCAAATATCCACTTGCAGACATAACAAGCAGAGTGTTTCTAAACTGCTCTATGAAAAGAAAGGTTAAACTCTGTGAGTTGAAGGCACACATCACAAAGTAGTTTCTGAGAATGATTCTGTCTAGTTTTTATTTGAAGATATTTCCTTTTCTACTGTTGGCATCAAATCGCTTGAAATCTCCAATTACAAACTCCACAAAAAGAGTGTTTCAAATCTGCTCTGTGCAAAGGGACGTTCCACTCTGTGAGTTGAATACACACAGCACAAAGAAGTTACTTGAGAATTCTTCTGTCTAGCATGAAATGAAGAAATCCCGTTTCCAACGAAGGCCTCAATGCGGTCCATATATCCACTTGCAGACTTTACAAACAGAGTGTTTCCAAACTGCTCTATGAAAAGAAAGGTTAAACTATGTGAGTTGAACGCACACATCACAAAGAATTTTCTGAGAATGATTCTGTCTGGTTTTTATTTGAAGATATTTCCCTTTCTACTGTTGGCATCAAATGGCTAGAAATCTCCACTTGCAAATTCCGCAAAAAGAGTGTTTCAAATCTGCTCTGTCTAAAGGGACGTTCCACTCTGTGAGTTGAATGCACACAACACAAAGAATTTACTGAGAATTCTTCCGTCTAGCATTCAATGAAGAAATCCCGTTTCCAACGAAGGCCTCAAACAGGTCCATATATCCACTTGCAGAGTTTACAAACAGTGTGTTTCCAAACTCCTCTATGAAAAGAAAGGTTAAACTCTGTGAGTGGAACGCACACATCACAAAGCACTTTCTGAGAATGATTCTGTCTGGTTATTATACGAAGATATTTCCTTTTCTGCAATTGTCCTCAAAACGCTTGAAATCTCCACCTGAAAATGCCACAGCAAGAGTGTTTCAAATCTGCTCTCTCTAAAGCAAGGTTCAACTGTGTGAGTTGAATACACACAACACAGAAAAGTTACTGAGAACTCTTCTTAGTCTAGCATGAAAGGAAGAAACCCCGTTTGCAACGAAGGCCTCAAAGAGGTCCAAATATCCACTTGCAGACATAACAAGCAGAGTGTTTCTAAACTGCTCTAAGAAAAGAAAGGTTAAACTCTGTGAGTTGAAGGCACACATCACAAAGTAGTTTCTGAGAATGATTCTGTCTAGTTTTTATTTGAAGATATTTCCTTTTCTACTGTTGGCATCAAGTCGCTTGAAATCTCCACTTGCAAACTCCACAAAAAGAGTGTTTCAAATCTGCTCTGTGTAAAGGGACGTTCCACTCTGTGAGTTGAATACACACAGCACAAAGAAGTTACTGAGAATTCTTCTGTCTAGCATGAAATGAAGAAATCCCGTTTCCAACGAAGGCCTCAATGCGGTCCATATATCCACTTGCAGACTTTACAAACAGAGTGTTTCCAAACTGCTCTATGAAAAGAAAGGTTAAACTATGTGAGTTGAACGCACACATCACAAAGAATTTTCTGAGAATGATTCTGTCTGGTTTTTATTTGAAGATGTTTCCCTTTCTACTGTTGGCATCAAATGGCTAGAAATCTACACTTGCAAATTCCGCAAAAAGAGTGTTTCAAATCTGCTCTGTCTAAAGGGACGTTCCACTCTGTCAGTTGAATGCACACAACACAAAGAATTTACTGAGAATTCTTCCGTCTAGCATTCAATGAAGAAATCCCGTTTCCAACGAAGGCCTCAAACAGGTCCATATATCCAATTGCAGACTTTACAAACAGTGTGTTTCCAAACTCCTCTATGGAAAGAAAGGTTAAACTCTGTGAGTTGAACGCACACATCACAAAGCACTTTCTGAGAATGATTCTGTCTGGTTATTATACGAAGATATTTCCTTTTCTGCAATTGTCCTCAAATCGCTTGAAATCTCCACCTGAAAATGCCACAGCAAGAGTGTTTCAAATCTGCTCTCTCTAAAGCAAGGTTCAACTCTGTGAGTTGAATACACACAACACAAAAAAGTTACTGAGAACTCTTCTTAGTCTAGCATGAAAGGAAGAAACGCCGTTTGCAACGAAGGCCTCAAAGAGGTCCAAATATCCACTTGCAGACATAACAAGCAGAGTGTTTCTAAACTGCTCTAAGAAAAGAATGGTTAAACTCTGTGAGTTGAAGGCACACATCACAAAGTAGTTTCTGAGAATGATTCTGTCTAGTTTTTATTTGAAGATATTTCCTTTTCTACTGTTGGCATCAAATCGCTTGAAATCTCCACTTGCAAATTCCACAAAAAGAGTGTTTCAAATCTGCTCTGTGCAAAGGGACGTTCCACTCTGTGAGTTGAATACACACAGCACAAAGAAGTTACTGAGAATTCTTCTGTCTAGCATGAAATGAAGAAATCCCGTTTCCAACGAAGGCCTCAATGCGGTCCATATATCCACTTGCAGACTTTACAAACAGAGTGTTTCCAAACTGCTCTATGAAAAGAAAGGTTAAACTATGTGAGTTGAACGCACACATCACAAAGAATTTTCTGAGAATGATTCTGTCTGGTTTTTATTTGAAGATATTTCCCTTTCTACTGTTGGCATCAAATGGCTAGAAATCTCCACTTGCAAATTCCGCAAAAAGAGTGTTTCAAATCTGCTCTGTCTAAAGGGACGTTCCACTCTGTGAGTTGAATGCACACAACACAAAGAATTTACTGAGAATTCTTCCGTCTAGCATTCAATGAAGAAATCCCGTTTCCAACGAAGGCCTCAAACAGGTCCATATATCCACTTGCAGAGTTTACAAACAGTGTGTTTCCAAACTCCTCTATGAAAAGAAAGGTTAAACTCTGTGAGTGGAACGCACACATCACAAAGCACTTTCTGAGAATGATTCTGTCTGGTTGTTATACGAAGATATTTCCTTTTCTGTAATTGTCCTCAAATCGCTTGAAATCTCCACCTGAAAATGCCACAGCAAGAGTGTTTCAAATCTGCTCTCTCTAAAGCAAGGTTCAACTCTGTGAGTTGAATACACACAACACAAAAAAGTTACTGAGAACTCTTCTTAGTCTAGCATGAAAGGAAGAAACCCCGTTTGCAACGAAGGCCTCAAAGAGGTCCAAATATCCACTTGCAGACATAACAAGCAGAGTGTTTCTAAACTGCTCTAAGAAAAGAAAGGTTAAACTCTGTGAGTTGAAGGCACACATCACAAAGTAGTTTCTGAGAATGATTCTGTCTAGTTTTTATTTGAAGATATTTCCTTTTCTACTGTTGGCATCAAATCGCTTGAAATCTCCACTTGCAAACTCCACAAAAAGAGTGTTTCAAATCTGCTCTGTGCAAAGGGACGTTCCACTCTGTGAGTTGAATACACACAGCACAAAGAAGTTACTGAGAATTCTTCTGTCTAGCATGAAATGAAGAAATCCCGTTTCCAACGAAGGCCTCAATGCGGTCCATATATCCACTTGCAGACTTTACAAACAGAGTGTTTCCAAACTGCTCTATGAAAAGAAAGGTTAAACTATGTGAGTTGAACGCACACATCACAAAGAATTTTCTGAGAACGATTCTGTCTGGTTTTTATTTGAAGATATTTCCCTTTCTACTGTTGGCATCAAATGGCTAGAAATCTCCACTTGCAAATTCCGCAAAAAGAGTGTTTCAAATCTGCTCTGTCTAAAGGGACGTTCCACTCTGTGAGTTGAATGCACACAACACAAAGAATTTACTGAGAATTCTTCCGTCTAGCATTCAATGAAGAAATCCCGTTTCCAACGGAGGCCTCAAACAGGTCCATATATCCACTTGCAGACTTTACAAACAGTGTGTTTCCAAACTCCTCTATGAAAAGAAAGGTTAAACTCTGTGAGTTGAACGCACACATCACAAAGCACTTTCTGAGAATGATTCTGTCTGGTTATTATACGAAGATATTTCCTTTTCTGCAATTGTCCTCAAATCGCTTGAAATCTCCACCTGAAAATGCCACAGCAAGAGTGTTTCAAATCTGCTCTCTCTAAAGCAAGGTTCAACTCTGTGAGTTGAATACACACAACACAAAAAAGTTACTGAGAACTCTTCTTAGTCTAGCATGAAAGGAAGAAACCCCGTTTGCAACGAAGGCCTCAAAGAGGTCCAAATATCCACTTGCAGACATAACAAGCAGAGTGTTTCTAAACTGCTGTAAGAAAAGAAAGGTTAAACTCTGTGAGTTGAAGGCACACATCACAAAGTAGTTTCTGAGAATGATTCTGTCTAGTTTTTATTTGAAGATATTTCCTTTTCTACTGTTGGCATCAAATCGCTTGAAATCTCCACTTGCAAATTCCACAAAAAGAGTGTTTCAAATCTGCTCTGTGCAAAGGGACGTTCCACTCTGTGAGTTGAATACACACAGCACAAAGAAGTTACTGAGAATTCTTCTGTCTAGCATGAAATGAAGAAATCCCGTTTCCAACGAAGGCCTCAATGCCGTCCATATATCCACTTGCAGACATTACAAACAGAGTGTTTCCAAACTGCTCTATGAAAAGAAAGGTTAAACTATGTGAGTTGAACGCACACATCACAAAGAATTTTCTGAGAATGATTCTGTCTGGTTTTTATTTGAAGATATTTCCCTTTCTACTGTTGGCATCAAATGGCTAGAAATCTCCACTTGCAAATTCCGCAAAAAGAGTGTTTCCAATCTGCTCTGTCTAAAGGCACGTTCCACTCTGTGAGTTGAATGCACACAACACAAAGAATTTACTGAGATTTCTTCCGTCTAGCATTCAATGAAGAAATCCCGTTTCCAACGGAGGCCTCAAACAGGTCCATATATCCAATTGCAGACTTTACAAACAGTGTGTTTCCAAACTCCTCTATGAAAAGAAAGGTTAAACTCTGTGAGTTGAACGCACACATCACAAAGCACTTTCTGAGAATGATTCTGTCTGGTTATTATACGAAGATATTTCCTTTTCTGCAATTGTCCTCAAATCGCTTGAAATCTCCACCTGAAAATGCCACAGCAAGAGTGTTTCAAATCTGCTCTCTCTAAAGCAAGGTTCAACTCTGTGAGTTGAATACACACAACACAAAAAAGTTACTGAGAACTCTTCTTAGTCTAGCATGAAAGGAAGAAACCCCGTTTGCAACGAAGGCCTCAAAGAGGTCCAAATATCCACTTGCAGACATAACAAGCAGAGTGTTTCTAAACTGCTCTAAGAAAAGAAAGGTTAAACTCTGTGAGTTGAAGGCACACATCACAAAGTAGTTTCTGAGAATGATTCTGTCTAGTTTTTATTTGAAGATATTTCCTTTTCTACTGTTGGCATCAAATCGCTTGAAATCTCCACTTGCAAACTCCACAAAAAGAGTGTTTCAAATCTGCTCTGTGCAAAGGGACGTTCCACTCTGTGAGTTGAATACACACAGCACAAAGAAGTTACTGAGAATTCTTCTGTCTAGCATGAAATGAAGAAATCCCGTTTCCAACGAAGGCCTCAATGCGGTCCATATATCCACTTGCAGACTTTACAAACAGAGTGTTTCCAAACTGCTCTATGAAAAGAAAGGTTAAACTATGTGAGTTGAACGCACACATCACAAAGAATTTTCTGAGAATGATTCTGTCTGGTTTTTATTTGAAGATATTTCCCTTTCTACTGTTGGCATCAAATGGCTAGAAATCTCCACTTGCAAATTCCGCAAAAAGAGTGTTTCAAATCTGCTCTGTCTAAAGGGACGTTCCACTCTGTGAGTTGAATGCACACAACACAAAGAATTTACTGAGAATTCTTCCGTCTAGCATTCAATGAAGAAATCCCGTTTCCAACGAAGGCCTCAAACAGGTCCATATATCCACTTGCAGACTTTAGAAACAGTGTGTTTCCAAACTCCTCTATGAAAAGAAAGGTTAAACTCTGTGAGTTGAACGCACACATCACAAAGCACTTTCTGAGAATGATTCTGTCTGGTTATTATACGAAGATATTTCCTTTTCTGCAATTGTCCTCAAAACGCTTGAAATCTCCACCTGAAAATGCCACAGCAAGAGTGTTTCAAATCTGCTCTCTCTAAAGCAAGGTTCAACTCTGTGAGTTGAATACACACAACACAAAAAAGTTACTGAGAACTCTTCTTCGTCTAGCATTAAAGGAAGAAACCCCGTTTGCAACGAAGGCCTCAAAGAGGTCCAAATATCCACTTGCAGACATAACAAGCAGAGTGTTTCTAAACTGCTCTAAGAAAAGAAAGGTTAAACTCTGTGAGTTGAAGGCACACATCACAAAGTAGTTTCTGAGAATGATTCTGTCTAGTTTTTATTTGAAGATATTTCCTTTTCTACTGTTGGCATCAAATCGCTTGAAATCTCCACTTGCAAACTCCACAAAAAGAGTGTTTCAAATCTGCTCTGTGCAAAGGGACGTTCCACTCTGTGAGTTGAATACACACAGCACAAAGAAGTTACTGAGAATTCTTCCGTCTAGCATTCAATGAAGAAATCCCGTTTCCAACGAAGGCCTCAAAGAGGTCCATATATCCACTTGCAGACTTTACAAACAGAGTGTTTCCAAACTGCTCTATGAAAAGAAAGGTTAAACTATGTGAGTTGAACGCACACATCACAAAGAATTTTCTGAGAATGATTCTGTCTGGTTTTTATTTGAAGATATTTCCCTTTCTACTGTTGGCATCAAATGGCTAGAAATCTCCACTTGCAAATTCCGCAAAAAGAGTGTTTCAAATCTGCTCTGTCTAAAGGGACGTTCCACTCTGTGAGTTGAATGCACACAACACAAAGAATTTACTGAGAATTCTTCCGTCTAGCATGCAATGAAGAAATCCCGTTTCCAACGAAGGCCTCAAACAGGTCCATATATCCAATTGCAGACTTTACAAACAGTGTGTTTCCAAACTCCTCTATGAAAAGAAAGGTTAAACTCTGTGAGTTGAACGCACACATCACAAAGCACTTTCTGAGAATGATTCTGTCTGGTTATTATACGAAGATATTTCCTTTTCTGCAATTGTCCTCAAATCGCTTGAAATCTCCACCTGAAAATGCCACAGCAAGAGTGTTTCAAATCTGCTCTCTCTAAAGCAAGGTTCAACTCTGTGAGTTGAATACACACAACACAAAAAAGTTACTGAGAACTCTTCTTAGTCTAGCATTAAAGGAAGAAACCCCGTTTGCAACGAAGGCCTCAAAGAGGTCCAAATGTCCACTTGCAGACATAACAAGCAGAGTGTTTCTAAACTGCTCTAAGAAAAGAAAGGTTAAACTCTGTGAGTTGAAGGCACACATCACAAAGTAGTTTCTGAGAATGATTCTGTCTAGTTTTTATTTGAAGATATTTCCTTTTCTACTGTTGGCATCAAATCGCTTGAAATCTCCACTTGCAAATTCCACAAAAAGAGTGTTTCAAATCTGCTCTGTGTAAAGGGACGTTCCACTCTGTGAGTTGAATACACACAGCACAAAGAAGTTACTGAGAATTCTTCTGGCTAGCATGAAATGAAGAAATCCCGTTTCCAACGAAGGCCTCAATGAGGTCCATATATCCACTTGCAGACTTTACAAACAGAGTGTTTCCAAACTGCTCTATGAAAAGAAAGGTTAAATTATGTGAGTTGAACGCACACATCACAAAGAATTTTCTGAGAATGATTCTGTCTGGTTTTTATTTGAAGATATTTCCCTTTCTACTGTTGGCATCAAATGGCTAGAAATCTCCACTTGCAAATTCCGCAAAAAGAGTGTTTCAAATCTGCTCTGTCTAAAGGGACGTTCCACTCTGTGAGTTGAATGCACACAACACAAAGAATTTACTGAGAATTCTTCCGTCTAGCATTCAATGAAGAAATCCCGTTTCCAACGAAGGCCTCAAACAGGTCCATATATCCAATTGCAGACGTTACAAACAGTGTGTTTCCAAACTCCTCTATGAAAAGAAAGGTTAAACTCTGTGAGTTGAACGCACACATCACAAAGCACTTTCTGAGAATGATTCTGTCTGGTTATTATACGAAGATATTTCCTTTTCTGCAATTGTCCTCAAATCGCTTGAAATCTCCACCTGAAAATGCCACAGCAAGAGTGTTTCACATCTGCTCTCTCTAAAGCAAGGTTCAACTCTGTGAGTTGAATACACACAACACAAAAAAGTTACTGAGAACTCTTCTTAGTCTAGCATGAAAGGAAGAAACCCCGTTTGCAACGAAGGCCTCAAAGAGGTCCAAATATCCACTTGCAGACATAACAAGCAGAGTGTTTCTAAACTGCTCTAAGAAAAGAAAGGTTAAACTCTGTGAGTTGAAGGCACACATCACAAAGTAGTTTCTGAGAATGATTCTGTCTAGTTTTTATTTGAAGATATTTCCTTTTCTACTGTTGGCATCAAATCGCTTGAAATCTCCACTTGCAAACTCCACAAAAAGAGTGTTTCAAATCTGCTCTGTGTAAAGGGACGTTCCACTCTGTGAGTTGAATACACACAGCACAAAGAAGTTACTGAGAATTCTTCTGTCTAGCATGAAATGAAGAAATCCCGTTTCCAACGAAGGCCTCAATGCGGTCCATATATCCACTTGCAGACTTTACAAACAGAGTGTTTCCAAACTGCTCTATGAAAAGAAAGGTTAAACTATGTGAGTTGAACGCACACATCACAAAGAATTTTCTGAGAATGATTCTGTCTGGTTTTTATTTGAAGATATTTCCCTTTCTACTGTTGGCATCAAATGGCTAGAAATCTCCACTTGCAAATTCCGCAAAAAGAGTGTTTCAAATCTGCTCTGTCTAAAGGGACGTTCCACTCTGTGAGTTGAATGCACACAACACAAAGAATTTACTGAGAATTCTTCCGTCTAGCATTCAATGAAGAAATCCCGTTTCCAACGAAGGCCTCAAACAGGTCCATATATCCACTTGCAGACTTTACAAACAGTGTGTTTCCAAACTCCTCTATGAAAAGAAAGGTTAAACTCTGTGAGTTGAACGCACACATCACAAAGCACTTTCTGAGAATGATTCTGTCTGGTTATTATACGAAGATATTTCCTTTTCTGCAATTGTCCTCAAATCGCTTGAAATCTCCACCTGAAAATGCCACAGCAAGAGTGTTTCAAATCTGCTCTCTCTAAAGCAAGGTTCAACTCTGTGAGTTGAATACACACAACACAAAAAAGTTACTGAGAACTCTTCTTAGTCTAGCATGAAAGGAAGAAACCCCGTTTGCAACGAAGGCCTCAAAGAGGTCCAAATATCCACTTGCAGACATAACAAGCAGAGTGTTTCTAAACTGCTCTAAGAAAAGAAAGGTTAAACTCTGTGAGTTGAAGGCACACATCACAAAGTAGTTTCTGAGAATGATTCTGTCTAGTTTTTATTTGAAGATATTTCCTTTTCTACTGTTGGCATCAAATCGCTTGAAATCTCCACTTGCAAACTCCACAAAAAGAGTGTTTCAAATCTGCTCTGTGTAAAGGGACGTTCCACTCTGTGAGTTGAATACACACAGCACAAAGAAGTTACTGAGAATTCTTCTGTCTAGCATGAAATGAAGAAATCCCGTTTCCAACGAAGGCCTCAATGCGGTCCATATATCCACTTGCAGACTTTACAAACAGAGTGTTTCCAAACTGCTCTATGAAAAGAAAGGTTAAATTATGTGAGTTGAACGCACACATCACAAAGAATTTTCTGAGAATGATTCTGTCTGGTTTTTATTTGAAGATATTTCCCTTTCTACTGTTGGCATCAAATGGCTAGAAATCTCCACTTGCAAATTCCGCAAAAAGAGTGTTTCAAATCTGCTCTGTCTAAAGGGACGTTCCACTCTGTGAGTTGAATGCACACAACACAAAGAATTTACTGAGAATTCTTCCGTCTAGCATTCAATGAAGAAATCCCGTTTCCAACGAAGGCCTCAAACAGGTCCATATATCCAATTGCAGACTTTACAAACAGTGTGTTTCCAAACTCCTCTATGAAAAGAAAGGTTAAACTCTGTGAGTTGAACGCACACATCACAAAGCACTTTCTGAGAATGATTCTGTCTGGTTATTATACGAAGATATTTCCTTTTCTGCAATTGTCCTCAAATCGCTTGAAATCTCCACCTGAAAATGCCACAGCAAGAGTGTTTCAAATCTGCTCTCTCTAAAGCAAGGTTCAACTCTGTGAGTTGAATACACACAACACAAAAAAGTTACTGAGAACTCTTCTTAGTCTAGCATGAAAGGAAGAAACCCCGTTTGCAACGAAGGCCTCAAAGAGGTCCAAATATCCACTTGCAGACATAACAAGCAGAGTGTTTCTAAACTGCTCTAAGAAAAGAAAGGTTAAACTCTGTGAGTTGAAGGCACACATCACAAAGTAGTTTCTGAGAATGATTCTGTCTAGTTTTTATTTGAAGATATTTCCTTTTCTACTGTTGGCATCAAATCGCTTGAAATCTCCACTTGCAAACTCCACAAAAAGAGTGTTTCAAATCTGCTCTGTGCAAAGGGACGTTCCACTATGTGAGTTGAATACACACAGCACAAAGAAGTTACTGAGAATTCTTCTGTCTAGCATGAAATGAAGAAATCCCGTTTCCAACGAAGGCCTCAATGCGGTCCATATATCCACTTGCAGACTTTACAAACAGAGTGTTTCCAAACTGCTCTATGAAAAGAAAGGTTAAACTATGTGAGTTGAACGCACACATCACAAAGAATTTTCTGAGAATGATTCTGTCTGGTTTTTATTTGAAGATATTTCCCTTTCTACTGTTGGCATCAAATGGCTAGAAATCTCCACTTGCAAATTCCGCAAAAAGAGTGTTTCAAATCTGCTCTGTCTAAAGGGACGTTCCACTCTGTGAGTTGAATGCACACCACACAAAGAATTTACTGAGAATTCTTCCGTCTAGCATTCAATGAAGAAATCCCGTTTCCAACGAAGGCCTCAAACAGGTCCATATATCCAATTGCAGACTTTACAAACAGTGTGTTTCCAAACTCCTCTATGAAAAGAAAGGTTAAACTCTGTGAGTTGAACGCACACATCACAAAGCACTTTCTGAGAATGATTCTGTCTGGTTGTTATACGAAGATATTTCCTTTTCTGCAATTGTCCTCAAATCGCTTGAAATCTCCACCTGAAAATGCCACAGCAAGAGTGTTTCAAATCTGCTCTCTCTAAAGCAAGGTTCAGCTCTGTGAGTTGAATACACACAACACAAAAAAGTTACTGAGAACTCTTCTTAGTCTAGCATTAAAGGAAGAAACCCCGTTTGCAACGAAGGCCTCAAAGAGGTCCAAATATCCACTTGCAGACATAACAAGCAGAGTGTTTCTAAACTGCTCTAAGAAAAGAAAGGTTAAACTCTGTGAGTTGAAGGCTCACATCACAAAGTAGTTTCTGAGAATGATTCTGTCTAGTTTTTATTTGAAGATATTTCCTTTTCTACTGTTGGCATCAAATCGCTTGAAATCTCCACTTGCAAATTCCACAAAAAGAGTGTTTCAAATCTGCTCTGTGCAAAGGGACGTTCCACTCTGTGAGTTGAATACACACAGCACAAAGAAGTTACTGAGAATTCTTCTGTCTAGCATGAAATGAAGAAATCCCGTTTCCAACGAAGGCCTCAATGCGGTCCATATATCCACTTGCAGACTTTACAAACAGTGTGTTTCCAAACTGCTCTATGAAAAGAAAGGTTAAACTATGTGAGTTGAACGCACACATCACAAAGAATTTTCTGAGAATGATTCTGTCTGGTTTTTATTTGAAGATATTTCCCTTTCTACTGTTGGCATCAAATGGCTAGAAATCTCCACTTGCAAATTCCGCAAAAAGAGTGTTTCAAATCTGCTCTGTCTAAAGGGACGTTCCACTCTGTCAGTTGAATGCACACAACACAAAGAATTTACTGAGAATTCTTCCGTCTAGCATTCAATGAAGAAATCCCGTTTCCAATGAAGGCCTCAAACAGGTCCATATATCCAATTGCAGACTTTACAAACAGTGTGTTTCCAAACTCCTCTATGAAAAGAAAGGTTAAACTCTGTGAGTTGAACGCACACATCACAAAGCACTCTCTGAGAATGATTCTGTCTGGTTGTTATACGAAGATATTTCCTTTTCTGCAATTGTCCTCAAATCGCTTGAAATCTCCACCTGAAAATGCCACAGCAAGAGTGTTTCAAATCTGCTCTCTCTAAAGCAAGGTTCAACTCTGTGAGTTGAATACACACAACACAAAAAAGTTACTGAGAACTCTTCTTAGTCTAGAATTAAAGGAAGAAACCCCGTTTGCAATGAAGGCCTCAAAGAGGTCCAAATATCCACTTGCAGACATAACAAGCAGAGTGTTTCTAAACTGCTCTAAGAAAAGAAAGGTTAAACTCTGTGAGTTGAAGGCACACATCACAAAATAGTTTCTGAGAATGATTCTGTCTAGTTTTTATTTGAAGATATTTCCTTTTCTACTGTTGGCATCAAATCGCTTGAAATCTCCACTTGCAAACTCCACAAAAAGAGTGTTTCATATCTGCTCTGTGTAAAGGGACGTTCCACTCTGTGAGTTGAATACACACAGCACAAAGAAGTTACTGAGAATTCTTCTGTCTAGCATGAAATGAAGAAATCCCGTTTCCAACGAAGGCCTCAATGCGGTCCATATATCCACTTGCAGACTTTACAAACAGAGTGTTTCCAAACTGCTCTATGAAAAGAAAGGTTAAACTATGTGAGTTGAACGCACACATCACAAAGAATTTTCTGAGAATGATTCTGTCTGGTTTTTATTTGAAGATATTTCCCTTTCTACTGTTGGCATCAAATGGCTAGAAATCTCCACTTGCAAATTCCGCAAAAAGAGTGTTTCAAATCTGCTCTGTCTAAAGGGACGTTCCACTCTGTGAGTTGAATGCACACAACACAAAGAATTTACTGAGAATTCTTCCGTCTAGCATTCAATGAAGAAATCCCGTTTCCAACGAAGGCCTCAAACAGGTCCATATATCCAATTGCAGACTTTACAAACAGTGTGTTTCCAAACTCCTCTATGAAAAGAAAGGTTAAACTCTGTGAGTTGAACGCACACATCACAAAGCACTTTCTGAGAATGATTCTGTCTGGTTATTATACGAAGATATTTCCTTTTCTGCAATTGTCCTCATATCGCTTGAAATCTCCACCTGAAAATGCCACAGCAAGAGTGTTTCAAATCTGCTCTCTCTAAAGCAAGGTTCAACTCTGTGAGTTGAATACACACAACACAAAAAAGTTACTGAGAACTCTTCTTAGTCTAGCATGAAAGGAAGAAACCCCGTTTGCAACGAAGGCCTCAAAGAGGTCCAAATATCCACTTGCAGACATAACAAGCAGAGTGTTTCTAAACTGCTCTAAGAAAAGAAAGGTTAAACTCTGTGAGTTGAAGGCACACATCACAAAGTAGTTTCTGAGAATGATTCTGTCTAGTTTTTATTTGAAGATATTTCCTTTTCTACTGTTGGCATCAAATCGCTTGAAATCTCCACTTGCAAAGTCCACAAAAAGAGTGTTTCAAATCTGCTCTGTGTAAAGGGACGTTCCACTCTGTGAGTTGAATACACACAGCACAAAGAAGTTACTGAGAATTCTTCTGTCTAGCATGAAATGAAGAAATCCCGTTTCCAACGAAGGCCTCAATGCGGTCCATATATCCACTTGCAGACTTTACAAACAGAGTGTTTCCAAACTGCTCTATGAAAAGAAAGGTTAAACTATGTGAGTTGAACGCACACATCACAAAGAATTTTCTGAGAATGATTCTGTCTGGTTTTTATTTGAAGATATTTCCCTTTCTACTGTTGGCATCAAATGGCTAGAAATCTCCACTTGCAAATTCCGCAAAAAGAGTGTTTCAAATCTGCTCTGTCT
Source organism: Homo sapiens (assembly GCF_000001405.40). NCBI lineage: Eukaryota > Metazoa > Chordata > Mammalia > Primates > Hominidae > Homo > Homo sapiens. Next base: position 59,787,124 of record NC_000007.14, on the reverse strand, counting down.
AAAGGGACGTTCCACTCTGTGAGTTGAATGCACACAACACAAAGAATTTACTGAGAATTCTTCCGTCTAGCATTCAATGAAGAAATCCCGTTTCCAACGAAGGCCTCAAACAGGTCCATATATCCACTTGCAGACTTTACAAACAGTGTGTTTCCAAACTCCTCTATGAAAAGAAAGGTTAAACTCTGTGAGTGGAACGCACACATCACAAAGCACTTTCTGAGAATGATTCTGTCTGGTTATTATACGAAGATATTTCTTTTTCTGCAATTGTCCTCAAATCGCTTGAAATCTCCACCTGAAAATGTCACAGCAAGAGTGTTTCAAATCTGCTCTCTCTAAAGCAAGGTTCAACTCTGTGAGTTGAATACACACAACACAAAAAAGTTACTGAGAACTCTTCTTAGTCTAGCATGAAAGGAAGAAACCCCGTTTGCAACGAAGGCCTCAAAGAGGTCCAAATATCCACTTGCAGACATAACAAGCAGAGTGTTTCTAAACTGCTCTAAGAAAAGAAAGGTTAAACTCTGTGAGTTGAAGGCACACATCACAAAGTAGTTTCTGAGAATGATTCTGTCTAGTTTTTATTTGAAGATATTTCCTTTTCTACTGTTGGCATCAAATCGCTTGAAATCTCCACTTGCAAACTCCACAAAAAGAGTGTTTCAAATCTGCTCTGTGTAAAGGGACGTTCCACTCTGTGAGTTGAATACACACAGCACAAAGAAGTTACTGAGAATTCTTCTGTCTAGCATGAAATGAAGAAATCCCGTTTCCAACGAAGGCCTCAATGCGGTCCATATATCCACTTGCAGACTTTACAAACAGAGTGTTTCCAAACTGCTCTATGAAAAGAAAGGTTAAACTATGTGAGTTGAACGCACACATCACAAAGAATTTTCTGAGAATGATTCTGTCTGGTTTTTATTTGAAGATATTTCCCTTTCTACTGTTGGCATCAAATGGCTAGAAATCTCCACTTGCAAATTCCGCAAAAAGAGTGTTTCAAATCTGCTCTGTCTAAAGGGACGTTCCACTCTGTGAGTTGAATGCACACAACACAAAGAATTTACTGAGAATTCTTCCGTCTAGCATTCAATGAAGAAATCCCGTTTCCAACGAAGGCCTCAAACAGGTCCATATATCCACTTGCAGACTTTACAAACAGTGTGTTTCCAAACTCCTCTATGAAAAGAAAGGATAAACTCTGTGAGTTGAACGCACACATCACAAAGCACTTTCTGAGAATGATTCTGTCTGGTTATTATACGAAGATATTTCCTTTTCTGCAATTGTCCTCAAATCGCTTGAAATCTCCACCTGAAAATGCCACAGCAAGAGTGTTTCAAATCTGCTCTCTCTAAAGCAAGGTTCAACTCTGTGAGTTGAATACACACAACACAAAAAAGTTACTGAGAACTCTTCTTAGTCTAGCATGAAAGGAAGAAACCCCGTTTGCAACGAAGGCCTCAAAGAGGTCCAAATATCCACTTGCAGACATAACAAGCAGAGTGTTTCTAAACTGCTCTAAGAAAAGAAAGGTTAAACTCTGTGAGTTGAAGGCACACATCACAAAGTAGTTTCTGAGAATGATTCTGTCTAGTTTTTATTTGAAGATATTTCCTTTTCTACTGTTGGCATCAAATCGCTTGAAATCTCCACTTGCAAACTCCACAAAAAGAGTGTTTCAAATCTGCTCTGTGTAAAGGGACGTTCCACTCTGTGAGTTGAATACACACAGCACAAAGAAGTTACTGAGAATTCTTCTGTCTAGCATGAAATGAAGAAATCCCGTTTCCAACGAAGGCCTCAATGCGGTCCATATATCCACTTGCAGACTTTACAAACAGAGTGTTTCCAAACTGCTCTATGAAAAGAAAGGTTAAACTATGTGAGTTGAACGCACACATCACAAAGAATTTTCTGAGAATGATTCTGTCTGGTTTTTATTTGAAGATATTTCCCTTTCTACTGTTGGCCATCAAATGGCTAGAAATCTCCACTTGCAAATTCCGCAAAAAGAGTGTTTCAAATCTGCTCTGTCTAAAGGGACGTTCCACTCTGTGAGTTGAATGCACACAACACAAAGAATTTACTGAGAATTCTTCCTTCTAGCATTATATGATAAAATCCCGTTTCCAACGAAAGCCTCAAACAGGTCCAAATATCCACTTCCGGACATACAAATAGTGTGTTTCCATACTGCTTTATGAGAAGAAAGGTTAAACTCTGTGAGTTGAACGCACACATCATAAAGCACTTTCTGAGAATGATTCTGTCTGGTTGTTATACGAAGATATTTCCTTTTCTGCAATTGTCCTCAAATCGCTTGAAATCTCCACCTGAAAATGCCACAGCAAGAGTGTTTCAAATCTGCTCTCTCTAAAGCAAGGTTCAACTCTGTGAGTTGAATACACACAACACAAAAAAGTTACTGAGAACTCTTCTTAGTCTAGCATGAAAGGAAGAAACCCCGTTTGCAACGAAGGCCTCAAAGAGGTCCAAATATCCACTTGCAGACATAACAAGCACAGTGTTTCTAAAGTGCTCTAAGAAAAGAAAGGTTAAACTCTGTGAGTTGAAGGCACACATCACAAAGTAGTTTCTGAGAATGATTCTGTCTAGTTTTTATTTGAAGATATTTCCTTTTCTACTGTTGGCATCAAATCGCTTGAAATCTCCACTTGCAAACTCCACAAAAAGAGTGTTTCAAATCTGCTCTGTGCAAAGGGACGTTCCACTCTGTGAGTTGAATACACACAGCACAAAGAAGTTACTGAGAATTCTTCTGTCTAGCATGAAATGAAGAAATCCCGGTTCCAACGAAGGCCTCAATGCGGTCCATATATCCACTTGCAGACTTTACAAACAGAGTGTTTCCAAACTGCTCTATGAAAAGAAAGGTTAAACTATGTGAGTTGAACGCACACATCACAAAGAATTTTCTGAGAATGATTCTGTCTGGTTTTTATTTGAAGATATTTCCCTTTCTACTGTTGGCATCAAATGGCTAGAAATCTCCACTTGCAAATTCCGCAAAAAGAGTGTTTCAAATCTGCTCTGTCTAAAGGGACGTTCCACTCTGTGAGTTGAATGCACACAACACAAAGAATTTACTGAGAATTCTTCCGTCTAGCATTCAATGAAGAAATCCCGTTTCCAACGAAGGCCTCAAATAGGTCCATATATCCAATTGCAGACTTTACAAACAGTGTGTTTCCAAACTCCTCTATGAAAAGAAAGGTTAAACTCTGTGAGTTGAACGCACACATCACAAAGCACTCTCTGAGAATGATTCTGTCTGGTTGTTATACGAAGATATTTCCTTTTCTGCAATTGTCCTCAAATCGCTTGAAATCTCCACCTGAAAATGCCACAGCAAGAGTGTTTCAAATCTGCTCTCTCTAAAGCAAGGTTCAACTCTGTGAGTTGAATGCACACAACACAAAAAAGTTACTGAGAACTCTTCTTAGTCTAGCATGAAAGGAAGAAACCCCGTTTGCAACGAAGGCCTCAAAGAGGTCCAAATATCCACTTGCAGACATAACAAGCAGAGTGTTTCTAAACTGCTCTAAGAAAAGAAAGGTTAAACTCTGTGAGTTGAAGGCACACATCACAAAGTAGTTTCTGAGAATGATTCTGTCTAGTTTTTATTTGAAGATATTTCCTTTTCTACTGTTGGCATCAAATCGCTTGAAATCTCCACTTGCAAACTCCACTAAAAGAGTGTTTCAAATCTGCTCTGTGTAAAGGGACGTTCCACTCTGTGAGTTGAATACACACAGCACAAAGAAGTTACTGAGAATTCTTCTGTCTAGCATGAAATGAAGAAATCCCGTTTCCAACGAAGGCCTCAATGCGGTCCATAGATCCACTTGCAGACTTTACAAACAGAGTGTTTCCAAACTGCTCTATGAAAAGAAAGGTTAAACTATGTGAGTTGAACGCACACATCACAAAGAATTTTCTGAGAATGATTCTGTCTGGTTTTTATTTGAAGATATTTCCCTTTCTACTGTTGGCATCAAATGGCTAGAAATCTCCACTTGCAAATTCCGCAAAAAGAGTGTTTCAAATCTGCTCTGTCTAAAGGGACGTTCCACTCTGTGAGTTGAATGCACACAACACAAAGAATTTACTGAGAATTCTTCCGTCTAGCATTCAATGAAGAAATCCCGTTTCCAACGAAGGCCTCAAACAGGTCCATATATCCAATTGCAGACTTTACAAACAGTGTGTTTCCAAACTCCTCTATGAAAAGAAAGGTTAAACTCTGTGAGTTGAACGCACACATCACAAAGCACTTTCTGAGAATGATTCTGTCTGGTTATTATACGAAGATATTTCCTTTTCTGCAATTGTCCTCAAATCGCTTGAAATCTCCACCTGAAAATGCCACAGCAAGAGTGTTTCAAATCTGCTCTCTCTAAAGCAAGGTTCAACTCTGTGAGTTGAATACACACAACACAAAAAAGTTACTGAGAACTCTTCTTAGTCTAGCATGAAAGGAAGAAACCCCGTTTGCAACGAAGGCCTAAAAGAGGTCCAAATATCCACTTGCAGACATAACAAGCAGAGTGTTTCTAAACTGCTCTAAGAAAAGAAAGGTTAAACTCTGTGAGTTGAAGGCGCACATCACAAAGTAGTTTCTGAGAATGATTCTGTCTAGTTTTTATTTGAAGATATTTCCTTTTCTACTGTTGGCATCAAATCGCTTGAAATCTCCACTTGCAAATTCCACAAAAAGAGTGTTTCAAATCTGCTCTGTGCAAAAGGACGTTCCACTCTGTGAGTTGAATACACACAGCACAAATAAGTTACTGAGAATTCTTCTGTCTAGCATGAAATGAAGAAATCCCGTTTCCAACGAAGGCCTCAATGCGGTCCATATATCCACTTGCAGACTTTACAAACAGAGTGTTTCCAAACTGCTCTATGAAAAGAAAGGTTAAACTATGTGAGTTGAACGCACACATCACAAAGAATTTTCTGAGAATGATTCTGTCTGGTTTTTATTTGAAGATATTTCCCTTTCTACTGTTGGCATCAAATGGCTAGAAATCTCCACTTGCAAATTCCGCAAAAAGAGTGTTTCAAATCTGCTCTGTCTAAAGGGACGTTCCACTCTGTGAGTTGAATGCACACAACACAAAGAATTTACTGAGAATTCTTCCGTCTAGCATTCAATGAAGAAATCCCGTTTCCAACGAAGGCCTCAAACAGGTCCATATATCCACTTGCAGACTTTACAAACAGTGTGTTTCCAAACTCCTCTATGAAAAGAAAGGTTAAACTCTGTGAGTTGAACGGCACACATCACAAAGCACTTTCTGAGAATGATTCTGTCTGGTTATTATACGAAGATATTTCCTTTTCTGCAATTGTCCTCAAATCGCTTGAAATCTCCACCTGAAAATGCCACAGCAAGAGTGTTTCAAATCTGCTCTCTCTAAAGCAAGGTTCAACTCTGTGAGTTGAATACACACAACACAAAAAAGTTACTGAGAACTCTTCTTAGTCTAGCATGAAAGGAAGAAACCCCGTTTGCAACGAAGGCCTCAAAGAGGTCCAAATATCCACTTGCAGACATAACAAGCAGAGTGTTTCTAAACTGCTCTAAGAAAAGAAAGGTTAAACTCTGTGAGTTGAAGGCACACATCACAAAGTAGTTTCTGAGAATGATTCTGTCTAGTTTTTATTTGAAGATATTTCCTTTTCTACTGTTGGCATCAAATCGCTTGAAATCTCCACTTGCAAACTCCACAAAAAGAGTGTTTCAAATCTGCTCTGTGCAAAGGGACGTTCCACTCTGTGAGTTGAATACACACAGCACAAAGAAGTTACTGAGAATTCTTCTGTCTAGCATGAAATGAAGAAATCCCGTTTCCAACGAAGGCCTCAATGCGGTCCATATATCCACTTGCAGACTTTACAAACAGAGTGTTTCCAAACTGCTCTATGAAAAGAAAGGTTAAACTATGTGAGTTGAACGCACACATCACAAAGAATTTTCTGAGAATGATTCTGTCTGGTTTTTATTTGAAGATATTTCCCTTTCTACTGTTGGCATCAAATGGCTAGAAATCTCCACTTGCAAATTCCGCAAAAAGAGTGTTTCAAATCTGCTCTGTCTAAAGGGACGTTCCACTCTGTGAGTTGAATGCACACAACACAAAGAATTTACTGAGAATTCTTCCGTCTAGCATTCAATGAAGAAATCCCGTTTCCAACGGAGGCCTCAAACAGGTCCATATATCCACTTGCAGACTTTACAAACAGTGTGTTTCCAAACTCCTCTATGAAAAGAAAGGTTAAACTCTGTGAGTTGAACGAACACATCACAAAGCACTTTCTGAGAATGATTCTGTCTGGTTATTATACGAAGATATTTCCTTTTCTGCAATTGTCCTCAAATCGCTTGAAATCTCCACCTGAAAATGCCACAGCAAGAGTGTTTCAAATCTGCTCTCTCTAAAGCAAGGTTCAACTCTGTGAGTTGAATACACACAACACAAAAAAGTTACTGAGAACTCTTCTTAGTCTAGCATGAAAGGAAGAAACCCCGTTTGCAACGAAGGCCTCAAAGAGGTCCAAATATCCACTTGCAGACATAACAAGCAGAGTGTTTCTAAACTGCTCTAAGAAAAGAAAGGTTAAACTCTGTGAGTTGAAGGCACACATCACAAAGTAGTTTCTGAGAATGATTCTGTCTAGTTTTTATTTGAAGATATTTCCTTTTCTACTGTTGGCATCAAATCGCTTGAAATCTCCACTTGCAAACTCCACAAAAAGAGTGCTTCAAATCTGCTCTGTGTAAAGGGACGTTCCACTCTGTGAGTTGAATACACACAGCACAAAGAAGTTACTGAGAATTCTTCGGTCTAGCATGAAATGAAGAAATCCCGTTTCCAACGAAGGCCTCAATGCGGTCCATATATCCACTTGCAGACTTTACAAACAGAGTGTTTCCAAACTGCTCTATGAAAAGAAAGGTTAAACTATGTGAGTTGAAAGCACACATCACAAAGAATTTTCTGAGAATGATTCTGTCTGGTTTTTATTTGAAGATATTTCCCTTTCTACTGTTGGCATCAAATGGCTAGAAATCTCCACTTGCAAATTCCGCAAAAAGAGTGTTTCAAATCTGCTCTGTCTAAAGGGACGTTCCACTCTGTGAGTTGAATGCACACAACACAAAGAATTTACTGAGAATTCTTCCGTCTAGCAGTCAATGAAGAAATCCCGTTTCCAACGAAGGCCTCAAACAGGTCCATAAATCCACTTGCAGACTTTACAAACAGTGTGTTTCCAAACTCCTCTATGAAAAGAAAGGTTAAACTCTGTGAGTGGAACGCACACATCACAAAGCACTTTCTGAGAATGATTCTGTCTGGTTGTTATACGAAGATATTTCCTTTTCTGCAATTGTCCTCAAATCGCTTGAAATCTCCACCTGAAAATGCCACAGCAAGAGTGTTTCAAATCTGCTCTCTCTAAAGCAAGGTTCAACTCTGTGAGTTGAATACAGACAACACAAAAAAGTTACTGAGAACTCTTCTTAGTCTAGCATGAAAGGAAGAAACCCCGTTTGCAACGAAGGCCTCAAAGAGGTCCAAATATCCACTTGCAGACATAACAAGCAGAGTGTTTCTAAACTGCTCTAAGAAAAGAAAGGTTAAACTCTGTGAGTTGAAGGCACACATCACAAAGTAGTTTCTGAGAATGATTCTGTCTAGTTTTTATTTGAAGATATTTCCTTTTCTACTGTTGGCATCAAATCGCTTGAAATCTCCACTTGCAAACTCCACAAAAAGAGTGTTTCAAATCTGCTCTGTGCAAAGGGACGGTTCCACTCTGTGAGTTGAATACACACAGCACAAAGAAGTTACTGAGAATTCTTCTGTCTAGCATGAAATGAAGAAATCCCGTTTCCAACGAAGGCCTCAATGCGGTCCATATATCCACTTGCAGACTTTACAAACAGAGTGTTTCCAAACTGCTCTATGAAAAGAAAGGTTAAACTATGTGAGTTGAACGCACACATCACAAAGAATTTTCTGAGAATGATTCTGTCTGGTTTTTATTTGAAGATATTTCCCTTTCTACTGTTGGCATCAAATGGCTAGAAATCTCCACTTGCAAATTCCGCAAAAAGAGTGTTTCAAATCTGCTCTGTCTAAAGGGACGTTCCACTCTGTGAGTTGAATGCACACAACACAAAGAATTTACTGAGAATTCTTCCGTCTAGCATTCAATGAAGAAATCCCGTTTCCAACGAAGGCCTCAAACAGGTCCATATATCCACTTGCAGAGTTTACAAACAGTGTGTTTCCAAACTCCTCTATGAAAAGAAAGGTTAAACTCTGTGAGTGGAACGCACACATCACAAAGCACTTTCTGAGAATGATTCTGTCTGGTTATTATACGAAGATATTTCCTTTTCTGCAATTGTCCTCAAAACGCTTGAAATCTCCACCTGAAAATGCCACAGCAAGAGTGTTTCAAATCTGCTCTCTCTAAAGCAAGGTTCAACTCTGTGAGTTGAATACACACAACACAAAAAAGTTACTGAGAACTCTTCTTAGTCTAGCATGAAAGGAAGAAACCCCGTTTGCAACGAAGGCCTCAAAGAGGTCCAAATATCCACTTGCAGACATAACAAGCAGAGTGTTTCTAAACTGCTCTAAGAAAAGAAATGTTAAACTCTGTGAGTTGAAGGCACACATCACAAAGTAGTTTTTGAGAATGATTCTGTCTAGTTTTTATTTGAAGATATTTCCTTTTCTACTGTTGGCATCAAATCGCTTGAAATCTCCACTTGCAAACTCCACAAAAAGAGTGTTTCAAATCTGCTCTGTGTAAAGGGACGTTCCACTCTGTGAGTTGAATACACGCAGCACAAAGAAGTTACTGAGAATTCTTCTGTCTAGCATGAAATGAAGAAATCCCGTTTCCAACGAAGGCCTCAATGCGGTCCATATATCCACTTGCAGACTTTACAAACAGAGTGTTTCCAAACTGCTCTATGAAAAGAAAGGTTAAACTATGTGAGTTGAACGCACACATCACAAAGAATTTTCTGAGAATGATTCTGTCTGGTTTTTATTTGAAGATATTTCCCTTTCTACTGTTGGCATCAAATGGCTAGAAATCTCCACTTGCAAATTCCGCAAAAAGAGTGTTTCAAATCTGCTCTGTCTAAAGGGACGTTCCACTCTGTGAGTTGAATGCACACAACACAAAGAATTTACTGAGAATTCTTCCGTCTAGCATTCAATGAAGAAATCCCGTTTCCAAAGAAGGCCTCAAACAGGTCCATATATCCACTAGCAGACTTTACAAACAGTGTGTTTCCAAACTCCTCTATGAAAAGAAAGGTTAAACTCTGTGAGTTGAACGCACACATCACAAAGCACTTTCTGAGAATGATTCTGTCTGGTTATTATACGAAGATATTTCCTTTTCTGCAATTGTCCTCAAATCGCTTGAAATCTCCACCTGAAAATGCCACAGCAAGAGTGTTTCAAATCTGCTCTCTCTAAAGCAAGGTTCAACTCTGTGAGTTGAATACACACAACACAAAAAAGTTACTGAGAACTCTTCTTAGTCTAGCATGAAAGGAAGAAACCCCGTTTGCAACGAAGGCCTCAAAGAGGTCCAAATATCCACTTGCAGACATAACAAGCAGAGTGTTTCTAAACTGCTCTAAGAAAAGAAAGGTTAAACTCTGTGAGTTGAAGGCACACATCACAAAGTAGTTTTTGAGAATGATTCTGTCTAGTTTTTATTTGAAGATATTTCCTTTTCTACTGTTGGCATCAAATCGCTTGAAATCTCCACTTGCAAACTCCACAAAAAGAGTGTTTCAAATCCGCTCTGTGCAAAGGGACGTTCCACTCTGTGAGTTGAATACACACAGCACAAAGAAGTTACTGAGAATTCTTCTGTCTAGCATGAAATGAAGAAATCCCGTTTCCAACGAAGGCCTCAATGCGGTCCATATATCCACTTGCAGACTTTACAAACAGAGTGTTTCCAAACTGCTCTATGAAAAGAAAGGTTAAACTATGTGAGTTGAACGCACACATCACAAAGAATTTTCTGAGAATGACTCTGTCTGGTTTTTATTTGAAGATATTTCCCTTTCTACTGTTGGCATCAAATGGCTAGAAATCTCCACTTGCAAATTCCGCAAAAAGAGTGTTTCAAATCTGCTCTGTCTAAAGGGACGTTCCACTCTGTGAGTTGAATGCACACAACACGAAGAATTTACTGAGAATTCTTCCGTCTAGCATTCAATGAAGAAATCCCGTTTCCAACGAAGGCCTCAAACAGGTCCATATATCCAATTGCAGACTTTACAAACAGTGTGTTTCCAAACTCCTCTATGAAAAGAAAGATTAAACTCTGTGAGTTGAACGCACACATCACAAAGCACTTTCTGAGAATGATTCTGTCTGGTTATTATACGAAGATATTTCCTTTTCTGCAATTGTCCTCAAATCGCTTGAAATCTCCACCTGAAAATGCCACAGCAAGAGTGTTTCAAATCTGCTCTCTCTAAAGCAAGGTTCAACTCTGTGAGTTGAATACACACAACACAAAAAAGTTACTGAGAACGCCTCTTAGTCTAGCATGAAAGGAAGAAACCCCGTTTGCAACGAAGGCCTCAAAGAGGTAAAAATATCCACTTGCAGACATAACAAGCAGAGTGTTTCTAAACTGCTCTATGAAAAGAAAGGTTAAACTCTGTGAGTTGAAGGCACACATCACAAAGTAGTTTCTGAGAATGATTCTGTCTAGTTTTTATTTGAAGATATTTCCTTTTCTACTGTTGGCATCAAATCGCTTGAAATCTCCACTTGCAAACTCCACAAAAAGAGTGTTTCAAATCTGCTCTGTGTAAAGGGACGTTCCACTCTGTGAGTTGAATACACACAGCACAAAGAAGTTACTGAGAATTCTTCTGTCTAGCATGAAATGAAGAAATCCCGCTTCCAACGAAGGCCTCAATGCGGTCCATATATCCACTTGCAGACTTTACAAACAGAGTGTTTCCAAACTGCTCTATGAAAAGAAAGGTTAAACTATGTGAGTTGAACGCACACATCACAAAGAATTTTCTGAGAATGATTCTGTCTGGTTTTTATTTGAAGATATTTCCCTTTCTACTGTTGGCATCAAATGGCTAGAAATCTCCACTTGCAAATTCCGCAAAAAGAGTGTTTCAAATCTGCTCTGTCTTAAGGGACGTTCCACTCTGTCAGTTGAATGCACACAACACAAAGAATTTACTGAGAATTCTTCCGTCTAGCATTCAATGAAGAAATCCCGTTGCCAACGAAGGCCTCAAACAGGTCCATATATCCAATTGCAGACTTTACAAACAGTGTGTTTCCAAACTCCTCAATGAAAAGAAAGGTTAAACTCTGTGAGTTGAATGCACACATCACAAAGCACTTTCTGAGAATGATTCTGTCTGGTTGTTATACGAAGATATTTCCTTTTCTGCAATTGTCCTCAAATCGCTTGAAATCTCCACCTGAAAATGCCACAGCAAGAGTGTTTCAAATCTGCTCTCTCTAAAGCAAGGTTCAACTCTGTGAGTTGAATACACACAACACAAAAAAGTTACTGAGAACTCTTCTTAGTCTAGCATTAAAGGAAGAAACCCCGTTTGCAACGAAGGCCTCAAAGAGGTCCAAATATCCACTTGCAGACATAACAAGCAGAGTGTTTCTAAACTGCTCTAAGAAAAGAAAGGTTAAACTCTGTGAGTTGAAGGCACACATCACAAAGTAGTTTCTGAGAATGATTCTGTCTAGTTTTTATTTGAAGATATTTCCTTTTCTACTGTTGGCATCAAATCGCTTGAAATCTCCACTTGCAAATTCCACAAAAAGAGTGTTTCAAATCTGCTCTGTGCAAAGGGACGTTCCACTCTGTGAGTTGAATACACACAGCACAAAGAAGTTACTGAGAATTTTTCTGTCTAGCATGAAATGAAGAAATCCCGTTTCCAACGAAGGCCTCAATGCGGTCCATATATCCACTTGCAGACTTTACAAACAGAGTGTTTCCAAACTGCTCTATGAAAAGAAAGGTTAAACTATGTGAGTTGAACGCACACATCACAAAGAATTTTCTGAGAATGATTCTGTCTGGTTTTTATTTGAAGATATTTCCCTTTCTACTGTTGGCATCAAATGGCTAGAAATCTCCACTTGCAAATTCCGCAAAAAGAGTGTTTCAAATCTGCTCTGTCTAAAGGGACGTTCCACTCTGTGAGTTGAATGCACACAACACAAAGAATTTACTGAGAATTCTTCCGTCTAGCATTCAATGAAGAAATCCCGTTTCCAACGAAGGCCTCAAACAGGTCCATATATCCACTTGCAGACTTTACAAACAGTGTGTTTCCAAACTCCTCTATGAAAAGAAAGGTTAAACTCTGTGAGTGGAACGCACACATCACAAAGCACTTTCTGAGAATGATTCTGTCTGGTTATTATACGAAGATATTTCCTTTTCTGCAATTGTCCTCAAATCGCTTGAAATCTCCACCTGAAAATGCCACAGCAAGAGTGTTTCAAATCTGCTCTCTCTAAAGCAAGGTTCAACTCTGTGAGTTGAATACACACAACACAAAAAAGTTACTGAGAACTCTTCTTAGTCTAGCATGAAAGGAAGAAACCCCGTTTGCAACGAAGGCCTCAAAGAGGTCCAAATATCCACTTGCAGACATAACAAGCAGAGTGTTTCTAAAGTGCTCTAAGAAAAGAACGGTTAAACTCTGTGAGTTGAAGGCACACATCACAAAGTAGTTTCTGAGAATGATTCTGTCTAGTTTTTATTTGAAGATATTTCCTTTTCTACTGTTGGCATCAAATCGCTTGAAATCTCCACTTGCAAACTCCACAAAAAGAGTGTTTCAAATCTGCTCTGTGTAAAGGGACGTTCCACTCTGTGAGTTGAATACACACAGCACAAAGAAGTTACTGAGAATTCTTCTGTCTAGCATGAAATGAAGAAATCCCGTTTCCAACGAAGGCCTCATTGCGGTCCGTATATCCACTTGCAGACTTTACAAACAGAGTGTTTCCAAACTGCTCTATGAAAAAGAAAGGTTAAACTATGTGAGTTGAACGCACACATCACAAAGAATTTTCTGAGAATGATTCTGTCTGGTTTTTATTTGAAGATATTTCCCTTTCTACTGTTGGCATCAAATGGCTAGAAATCTCCACTGCAAATTCCGCAAAAAGAGTGTTTCAAATCTGCTCTCTCTAAAGGGACGTTCCACTCTGTGAGTTGAAGGCACACAACACAAAGAATTTACTGAGAATTCTTCCGTCTAGCATTCAATGAAGAAATCCCGTTTCCAACGAAGGCCTCAAACAGGTCCATATATCCAATTGCAGACTTTACAAACAGTGTGTTTCCAAACTCCTCTATGGAAAGAAAGGTTAAACTCTGTGAGTGGAACGCACACATCACAAAGCACTTTCTGAGAATGATTCTGTCTGGTTATTATACGAAGATATTTCCTTTTCTGCAATTGTCCTCAAATCGCTTGAAATCTCCACCTGAAAATGCCACAGCAAGAGTGTTTCAAATCTGCTCTCTCTAAAGCAAGGTTCAACTCTGTGAGTTGAATACACACAACACAAAAAAGTTACTGAGAACTCTTCTTAGTCTAGCATGAAAGGAAGAAAGCCCGTTTGCAACGAAGGCCTCAAAGAGGTCCAAATATCCACTTGCAGACATAACAAGCAGAGTGTTTCTAAAGTGCTCTAAGAAAAGAAAGGTTAAACTCTGTGAGTTGAAGGCACACATCACAAAGTAGTTTCTGAGAATGATTCTGTCTAGTTTTTATTGGAAGATATTTCCTTTTCTACTGTTGGCATCAAATCGCTTGAAATCTCCACTTGCAAACTCCACAAAAAGAGTGTTTCAAATCTGCTCTGTGTAAAGGGACGTTCCACTCTGTGAGTTGAATACACACAGCACAAAGAAGTTACTGAGAATTCTTCTGTCTAGCATGAAATGAAGAAATCCCGTTTCCAACGAAGGCCTCAATGCGGTCCATATATCCACTTGCAGACTTTACAAACAGAGTGTTTCCAAACTGCTCTATGAAAAGAAAGGTTAAACTATGTGAGTTGAACGCACACATCACAAAGAATTTTCTGAGAATGATTCTGTCTGGTTTTTATTTGAAGATATTTCCCTTTCTACTGTTGGCATCAAATGGCTAGAAATCTCCACTTGCAAATTCCGCAAAAAGAGTGTTTCAAATCTGCTCTGTCTAAAGGGACGTTCCACTCTGTGAGTTGAATGCACACAACACAAAGAATTTACTGAGAATTCTTCCGTCTAGCATTCAATGAAGAAATCCCGTTTCCAACGAAGGCCTCAAACAGGTCCATATATCCACTTGCAGACTTTACAAACAGTGTGTTTCCAAACTCCTCTATGAAAAGAAAGGTTAAACTCTGTGAGTGGAACGCACACATCACAAAGCACTTTCTGAGAATGATTCTGTCTGGTTATTATACGAAGATATTTCCTTTTCTGCAATTGTCCTCAAATCGCTTGAAATCTCCACCTGAAAATGTCACAGCAAGAGTGTTTCAAATCTGCTCTCTCTAAAGCAAGGTTCAACTCTGTGAGTTGAATACACACAACACAAAAAAGTTACTGAGAACTCTTCTTAGTCTAGCATGAAAGGAAGAAACCCCGTTTGCAACGAAGGCCTCAAAGAGGTCCAAATATCCACTTGCAGACATAACAAGCAGAGTGTTTCTAAACTGCTCTAAGAAAAGAAAGGTTAAACTCTGTGAGTTGAAGGCACACATCACAAAGTAGTTTCTGAGAATGATTCTGTCTAGTTTTTATTTGAAGATATTTCCTTTTCTACTGTTGGCATCAAATCGCTTGAAATCTCCACTTGCAAACTCCACAAAAAGAGTGTTTCAAATCTGCTCTGTGCAAAGGGACGTTCCACTCTGTGAGTTGAATACACACAGCACAAAGAAGTTACTGAGAATTCTTCTGTCTAGCATGAAATGAAGAAATCCCGTTTCCAACGAAGGCCTCAATGCGGTCTATATATCCACTTGCAGACTTTACAAACAGAGTGTTTCCAAACTGCTCTATGAAAAGAAAGGTTAAACTATGTGAGTTGAACGCACACATCACAAAGAATTTTCTGAGAATGATTCTGTCTGGTTTTTATTTGAAGATATTTCCCTTTCTACTGTTGGCATCAAATGGCTAGAAATCTCCACTTGCAAATTCCGCAAAAAGAGTGTTTCAAATCTGCTCTGTCTAAAGGGACGTTCCACTCTGTGAGTTGAATGCACACAACACAAAGAATTTACTGAGAATTCTTCCGTCTAGCATTCAATGAAGAAATCCCGTTTCCAAAGAAGGCCTCAAACAGGTCCATATATCCAATTGCAGACTTTACAAACAGTGTGTTTCCAAACTCCTCTATGAAAAGAAAGGTTAAACTCTGTGAGTTGAACGCACACATCACAAAGCACTTTCTGAGAATGATTCTGTCTGGTTATTATACGAAGATATTTCCTTTTCTGCAATTGTCCTCAAATCGCTTGAAATCTCCACCTGAAAATGCCACAGCAAGAGTGTTTCAAATCTGCTCTCTCTAAAGCAAGGTTCAACTCTGTGAGTTGAATACACACAACACAAAAAAGTTACTGAGAACTCTTCTTAGTCTAGCATTAAAGGAAGAAACCCCGTTTGCAACGAAGGCCTCAAAGAGGTCCAAATATCCACTTGCAGACATAACAAGCAGAGTGTTTCTAAACTGCTCTAAGAAAAGAAAGGTTAAACTCTGTGAGTTGAAGGCACACATCACAAAGTAGTTTCTGAGAATGATTCTGTCTAGTTTTTATTTGAAGATATTTCCTTTTCTACTGTTGGCATCAAATCGCTTGAAATCTCCACTTGCAAATTCCACAAAAAGAGTGTTTCAAATCTGCTCTGTGCAAAGGGACGTTCCACTCTGTGAGTTGAATACACACAGCACAAAGAAGTTACTGAGAATTCTTCTGTCTAGCATGAAATGAAGAAATCCCGTTTCCAACGAAGGCCTCAATGCGGTCCATATATCCACTTGCAGACTTTACAAACAGAGTGTTTCCAAACTGCTCTATGAAAAGAAAGGTTAAACTATGTGAGTTGAACGCACACATCACAAAGAATTTTCTGAGAATGATTCTGTCTGGTTTTTATTTGAAGATATTTCCCTTTCTACTGTTGGCATCAAATGGCTAGAAATCTCCACTTGCAAATTCCGCAAAAAGAGTGTTTCAAATCTGCTCTGTCTAAAGGGACGTTCCACTCTGTGAGTTGAATGCACACAACACAAAGAATTTACTGAGAATTCTTCCGTCTAGCATTCAATGAAGAAATCCCGTTTCCAACGAAGGCCTCAAACAGGTCCATATATCCACTTGCAGACTTTACAAACAGTGTGTTTCCAAACTCCTCTATGAAAAGAAAGGTTAAACTCTGTGAGTGGAACGCACACATCACAAAGCACTTTCTGAGAATGATTCTGTCTGGTTATTATACGAAGATATTTCCTTTTCTGCAATTGTCCTCAAAACGCTTGAAATCTCCACCTGAAAATGCCACAGCAAGAGTGTTTCAAATCTGCTCTCTCTAAAGCAAGGTTCAACTCTGTGAGTTGAATACACACAACACAAAAAAGTTACTGAGAACTCTTCTTAGTCTAGCATGAAAGGAAGAAACCCCGTTTGCAACGAAGGCCTCAAAGAGGTCCAAATATCCACTTGCAGACATAACAAGCAGAGTGTTTCTCAACTGCTCTAAGAAAAGAAAGGTTAAACTCTGTGAGTTGAAGGCAGACATCACAAAGTAGTTTCTGAGAATGATTCTGTCTAGTTTTTATTTGAAGATATTTCCTTTTCTACTGTTGGCATCAAATCGCTTGAAATCTCCACTTGCAAACTCCACAAAAAGAGTGTTTCAAATCTGCTCTGTGCAAAGGGACGTTCCACTCTGTGAGTTGAGTACACACAGCACAAAGAAGTTACTGAGAATTCTTCTGTCTAGCATGAAATGAAGAAATCCCGTTTCCAACGAAGGCCTCAATGCGGTCCATATATCCACTTGCAGACTTTACAAACAGAGTGTTTCCAAACTGCTCTATGAAAAGAAAGGTTAAACTATGTGAGTTGAACGCACACATCACAAAGAATTTTCTGAGAATGATTCTGTCTGGTTTTTATTTGAAGATATTTCCCTTTCTACTGTTGGCATCAAATGGCTAGAAATCTCCACTTGCAAATTCCGCAAAAAGAGTGTTTCAAATCTGCTCTGTCTAAAGGAACGTTCCACTCTGTGAGTTGAATGCACACAACACAAAGAATTTACTGAGAATTCTTCCGTCTAGCATTCAATGAAGAAATCCCGTTTCCAACGAAGGCCTCAAACAGGTCCATATATCCACTTGCAGAGTTTACAAACAGTGTGTTTCCAAACTCCTCTATGAAAAGAAAGGTTAAACTCTGTGAGTGGAACGCACACATCACAAAGCACTTTCTGAGAATGATTCTGTCTGGTTATTATACGAAGATATTTCCTTTTCTGCAATTGTCCTCAAAACGCTTGAAATCTCCATCTGAAAATGCCACAGCAAGAGTGTTTCAAATCTCCTCTCTCTAAAGCAAGGTTCAACTCTGTGAGTTGAATACACACAACACAAAAAAGTTACTGAGAACTCTTCTTAGTCTAGCATTAAAGGAAGAAACCCCGTTTGCAACGAAGGCCTCAAAGAGGTCCAAATATCCACTTGCAGACATAACAAGCAGAGTGTTTCTAAACTGCTCTAAGAAAAGAAAGGTTAAACTCTGTGAGTTGAAGGCACACATCACAAAGTAGTTTCTGAGAATGATTCTGTCTAGTTTTTATTTGAAGATATTTCCTTTTCTACTGTTGGCATCAAATCGCTTGAAATCTCCTCTTGCAAATTCCACAAAAAGAGTGTTTCTAATCTGCTCTGTGCAAAGGGACGTTCCACTCTGTGAGTTGAATACACACAGCACAAAGAAGTTACTGAGAATTCTTCTGTCTAGCATGAAATGAAGAAATCCCGTTTCCAACGAAGGCCTCAATGCGGTCCATATATCCACTTGCAGACTTTACAAACAGAGTGTTTCCAAACTGCTCTATGAAAAGAAAGGTTAAACTATGTGAGTTGAACGCACACATCACAAAGAATTTTCTGAGAATGATTCTGTCTGTTTTTTATTTGAAGATATTTCCCTTTCTACTGTTGGCATCAAATGGCTAGAAATCTCCACTTGCAAATTCCGCAAAAAGAGTGTTTCAAATCTGCTCTGTCTAAAGGGACGTTCCACTCTGTGAGTTGAATGCACTCAACACAAAGAATTTACTGAGAATTCTTCCGTCTAGCATTCAATGAAGAAATCCCGTTTCCAACGAAGGCCTCAAACAGGTCCATATATCCAATTGCAGACTTTACAAACAGTGTGTTTCCAAACTCCTCTATGAAAAGAAAGGTTAAACTCTGTGAGTTGAACGCACACATCACAAAGCACTTTCTGAGAATGATTCTGTCTGGTTGTTATACGAAGATATTTCCTTTTCTGCAATTGTCCTCAAATCGCTTGAAATCTCCACCTGAAAATGCCACAGCAAGAGTGTTTCAAATCTGCTCTCTCTAAAGCAAGGTTCAACTCTGTGAGTTGAATACACACAACACAAAAATGTTACTGAGAACTCTTCTTAGTCTAGCATGAAAGGAAGAAACCCCGTTTGCAACGAAGGCCTCAAAGAGGTCCAAATATCCACTTGCAGACATAACAAGCAGAGTGTTTCTAAACTGCTCTAAGAAAAGAAAGGTTAAACTCTGTGAGTTGAAGGCACACATCACAAAGTACTTTCTGAGAATGGTTCTGTCTAGTTTTTATTTGAAGATATTTCCTTTTCTACTGTTGGCATCAAATCGCTTGAAATCTCCACTTGCAAACTCCACAAAAAGAGTGTTTCAAATCTGCTCTGTGCAAAGGGACGTTCCACTCTGTGAGTTGAATACACACAGCACAAAGAAGTTACTGAGAATTCTTCTGTCTAGCATGAAATGAAGAAATCCCGTTTCCAACGAAGGCCTCAATGCGGTCCATATATCCACTTGCAGACTTTACAAACAGAGTGTTTCCAAACTGCTCTATGAAAAGAAAGGTTAAACTATGTGAGTTGAACGCACACATCACAAAGAATTTTCTGAGAATGATTCTGTCTGGTTTTTATTTGAAGATATTTCCCTTTCTACTGTTGGCATCAAATGGCTAGAAATCTCCACTTGCAAATTCCGCAAAAAGAGTGTTTCAAATCTGCTCTGTCTAAAGGGACGTTCCACTCTGTGAGTTGAATGCACACCACACAAAGAATTTACTGAGAATTCTTCCGTCTAGCATTCAATGAAGAAATCCCGTTTCCAACGAAGGCCTCAAACAGGTCCATATATCCAATTGCAGACTTTACAAACAGTGTGTTTCCAAACTCCTCTATGAAAAGAAAGGTTAAACTCTGTGAGTTGAACGCACACATCACAAAGCACTTTCTGAGAATGATTCTGTCTGGTTATTATACGAAGATATTTCCTTTTCTGCAATTGTCCTCAAATCGTTTGAAATCTCCACCTGAAAATGCCACAGCAAGAGTGTTTCAAATCTGCTCTCTCTAAAGCAAGGTTCAACTCTGTGAGTTGAATACACACAACACAAAAAAGTTACTGAGAACTCTTCTTAGTCTAGCATGAAAGGAAGAAACCCCGTTTGCAACGAAGGCCTCAAAGAGGTCCAAATATCCACTTGCAGACATAACAAGCAGAGTGTTTCTAAACTGCTCTATGAAAAGAAAGGTTAAACTCTGTGAGTTGAAGGCACACATCACAAAGTAGTTTCTGAGAATGATTCTGTCTAGTTTTTATTTGAAGATATTTCCTTTTCTACTGTTGGCATCAAATCGCTTGAAATCTCCACTTGCAAACTCCACAAAAAGAGTGTTTCAAATCTGCTCTGTGTAAAGGGACGTTCCACTCTGTGAGTTGAATACACACAGCACAAAGAAGTTACTGAGAATTCTTCTGTCTAGCATGAAATGAAGAAACCCCGTTTCCAACGAAGGCCTCAATGCGGTCCATATATCCACTTGCAGACTTTACAAACAGAGTGTTTCCAAACTGCTCTATGAAAAGAAAGGTTAAACTATGTGAGTTGAACGCACACATCACAAAGAATTTTCTGAGAATGATTCTGTCTGGTTTTTATTTGAAAATATTTCCCTTTCTACTGTTGGCATCAAATGGCTAGAAATCTCCACTTGCAAATTCCGCAAAAAGAGTGTTTCAAATCTGCTCTGTCTAAAGGGACGTTCCACTCTGTGAGTTGAATGCACACAACACAAAGAATTTACTGAGAATTCTTCCGTCTAGCATTCAATGAAGAAATCCCGTTTCCAACGAAGGCCTCAAACAGGTCCATATATCCACTTGCAGAGTTTACAAACAGTTTGTTTCCAAACTCCTCTATGAAAAGAAAGGTTAAACTCTGTGAGTGGAACGCACACATCACAAAGCACTTTCTGAGAATGATTCTCTCTGGTTATTATACGAAGATATTTCCTTTTCTGCAATTGTCCTCAAATCGCTTGAAATCTCCACCTGAAAATGCCACAGCAAGAGTGTTTCAAATCTGCTCTCTCTAAAGCAAGGTTCAACTCTGTGAGTTGAATACACACAACACAAAAAAGTTACTGAGAACTCTTCTTAGTCTAGCATGAAAGGAAGAAACCCCGTTTGCAACGAAGGCCTCAAAGAGGTCCAAATATCCACTTGCAGACATAACAAGCAGAGTGTTTCTAAACTGCTCTAAGAAAAGAAAGGTTAAACTCTGTGAGTTGAAGGCACACATCACAAAGTAGTTTCTGAGAATGATTCTGTCTAGTTTTTATTTGAAGATATTTCCTTTTCTACTGTTGGCATCAAATCGCTTGAAATCTCCACTTGCAAACTCCACAAAAAGAGTGTTTCAAATCTGCTCTGTGCAAAGGGACGTTCCACTCTGTGAGTTGAATACACACAGCACAAAGAAGTTACTGAGAATTCTTCTGTCTAGCATGAAATGAAGAAATCCCGTTTCCAACGAAGGCCTCAATGCGGTCCATATATCCACTTGCAGACTTTACAAACAGAGTGTTTCCAAACTGCTCTATGAAAAGAAAGGTTAAACTATGTGAGTTGAACGCACACATCACAAAGAATTTTCTGAGAATGATTCTGTCTGGTTTTTATTTGAAGATATTTCCCTTTCTACTGTTGGCATCAAATGGCTAGAAATCTCCACTTGCAAATTCCGCAAAAAGAGTGTTTCAAATCTGCTCTGTCTAAAGGGACGTTCCACTCTGTGAGTTGAATGCACACAACACAAAGAATTTACTGAGAATTCTTCCGTCTAGCATTCAATGAAGAAATCCCGTTTCCAACGAAGGCCTCAAACAGGTCCATATATCCAATTGCAGACTTTACAAACAGTGTGTTTCCAAACTCCTCTATGAAAAGAAAGGTTAAACTCTGTGAGTGGAACGCACACATCACAAAGCACTTTCTGAGAATGATTCTGTCTGGTTGTTATACGAAGATATTTCCTTTTCTGCAATTGTCCTCAAATCGCTTGAAATCTCCACCTGAAAATGTCACAGCAAGAGTGTTTCAAATCTGCTCTCTCTAAAGCAAGGTTCAACTCTGTGAGTTGAATACACACAACACAGAAAAGTTACTGAGAACTCTTCTTAGTCTAGCATGAAAGGAAGAAACCCCGTTTGCAACGAAGGCCTCAAAGAGGTCCAAATATCCACTTGCAGACATAACAAGCAGAGTGTTTCTAAACTGCTCTAAGAAAAGAAAGGTTAAACTCTGTGAGTTGAAGGCACACATCACAAAGTAGTTTCTGAGAATGATTCTGTCTAGTTTTTATTTGAAGATATTTCCTTTTCTACTGTTGGCATCAAATCGCTTGAAATCTCCACTTGCAAACTCCACAAAAAGAGTGTTTCAAATCTGCTCTGTGCAAAGGGACGTTCCACTCTGTGAGTTGAATACACACAGCACAAAGAAGTTACTGAGAATTCTTCTGTCTAGCATGAAATGAAGAAATCCCGTTTCCAACGAAGGCCTCAATGCGGTCCATATATCCACTTGCAGACTTTACAAACAGAGTGTTTCCAAACTGCTCTATGAAAAGAAAGGTTAAACTATGTGAGTTGAACGCACACATCACAAAGAATTTTCTGAGAATGATTCTGTCTGGTTTTTATTTGAAGATATTTCCCTTTCTACTGTTGGCATCAAATGGCTAGAAATCTCCACTTGCAAATTCCGCAAAAAGAGTGTTTCAAATCTGCTCTGTCTAAAGGGACGTTCCACTCTGTGAGTTGAATGCACACAACACAAAGAATTTACTGAGAATTCTTCCGTCTAGCATTCAATGAAGAAATCCCGTTTCCAACGAAGGCCTCAAACAGGTCCATATATCCACTTGCAGAGTTTACAAACAGTGTGTTTCCAAACTCCTCTATGAAAAGAAAGGTTAAACTCTGTGAGTGGAACGCACACATCACAAAGCACTTTCTGAGAATGATTCTGTCTGGTTATTATACGAGAATTTCCTTTTCTGCAATTGTCCTCAAATCGCTTGAAATCTCCACCTGAAAATGCCACAGCAAGAGTGTTTCAAATCTGCTCTCTCTAAAGCAAGGTTCAACTCTGTGAGTTGAATACACACAACACAAAAAAGTTACTGAGAACTCTTCTTAGTCTAGCATGAAAGGAAGAAACCCCGTTTGCAACGAAGGCCTCAAAGAGGTCCAAATATCCACTTGCAGACATAACAAGCAGAGTGTTTCTAAACTGCTCTAAGAAAAGAAAGGTTAAACTCTGTGAGTAGAAGGCACACATCACAAAGTAGTTTCTGAGAATGATTCTGTCTAGTTTTTATTTGAAGATATTTCCTTTTCTACTGTTGGCATCAAATCGCTTGAAATCTCCACTTGCAAACTCCACAAAAAGAGTGTTTCAAATCTGCTCTGTGTAAAGGGACGTTCCACTCTGTGAGTTGAATACACACAGCACAAAGAAGTTACTGAGAATTCTTCTGTCTAGCATGAAATGAAGAAATCCCGTTTCCAACGAAGCCTCAATGCGGTCCATATATCCACTTGCAGACTTTACAAACAGAGTGTTTCCAAACTGCTCTATGAAAAGAAAGGTTAAACTATGTGAGTTGAACGCACACATCACAAAGAATTTTCTGAGAATGATTCTGTCTGGTTTTTATTTGAAGATATTTCCCTTTCTACTGTTGGCATCAAATGGCTAGAAATCTCCACTTGCAAATTCCGCAAAAAGAGTGTTTCAAATCTGCTCTGCCTAAAGGGACGTTCCACTCTGTGAGTTGAATGCACACAACACAAAGAATTTACTGAGAATTCTTCCGTCTAGCATTCAATGAAGAAATCCCGTTTCCAACGAAGGCCTCAAACAGGTCCATATATCCACTTGCAGAGTTTACAAACAGTTTGTTTCCAAACTCCTCTATGAAAAGAAAGGTTAAACTTCTGTGAGTGGAACGCACACATCACAAAGCACTTTCTGAGAATGATTCTGTCTGGTTATTATACGAAGATATTTCCTTTTCTGCAATTGTCCTCAAATCGCTTGAAATCTCCACCTGAAAATTCCACAGCAAGAGTGTTTCAAATCTGCTCTCTCTAAAGCAAGGTTCAACTCTGTGAGTTGAATACACACAACACAAAAAAGTTACTGAGAACTCTTCTTAGTCTAGCATGAAAGGAAGAAACCCCGTTTGCAACGAAGGCCTCAAAGAGGTCCAAATATCCACTTGCAGACATAACAAGCAGAGTGTTTCTAAACTGCTCTAAGAAAAGAAAGGTTAAACTCTGTGAGTTGAAGGCACACATCACAAAGTAGTTTCTGAGAATGATTCTGTCTAGTTTTTAGTTTTTATTTGAAGATATTTCCTTTTCTACTGTTGGCATCAAATCGCTTGAAATCTCCACTTGCAAACTCCACAAAAAGAGTGTTTCAAATCTGCTCTGTGCAAAGGGACGTTCCACTCTGTGAGTTGAATACACACAGCACAAAGAAGTTACTGAGAATTCTTCTGTCTAGCATGAAATGAAGAAATCCCGTTTCCAACGAAGGCCTCAATGCGGTCCATATATCCACTTGCAGACTTTACAAACAGAGTGTTTCCAAACTGCTCTATGAAAAGAAAGGTTAAACTATGTGAGTTAAACGCACACATCACAAAGAATTTTCTGAGAATGATTCTGTCTGGTTTTTATTTGAAGATATTTCCCTTTCTACTGTTGACATCAAATGGCTAGAAATCTCCACTTGCAAATTCCGCAAAAAGAGTGTTTCAAATCTGCTCTGTCTAAAGGGACGTTCCACTCTGTGAGTTGAATGCACACAACACAAAGAATTTACTGAGAATTCTTCCGTCTAGCATTCAATGAAGAAATCCCGTTTCCAACGAAGGCCTCAAACAGGTCCATATATCCAATTGCAGACTTTACAAACAGTGTGTTTCCAAACTCCTCTATGAAAAGAAAGGTTAAACTCTGTGAGATGAACGCACACATCACAAAGCACTTTCTGAGAATGATTCTGTCTGGTTGTTATACGAAGATATTTCCTTTTCTGCAATTGTCCTCAAATCGCTTGAAATCTCCACCTGAAAATGCCACAGCAAGAGTGTTTCAAATCTGCTCTCTCTAAAGCAAGGTTCAACTCTGTGAGTTGAATACACACAACACAAAAAAGTTATTGAGAACTCTTCTTAGTCTAGCATGAAAGGAAGAAACCCCGTTTGCAACGAAGGCCTCAAAGAGGTCCAAATATCCACTTGCAGACATAACAAGCAGAGTGTTTCTAAACTGCTCTAAGAAAAGAAAGGTTAAACTCTGTGAGTTGAAGGCACACATCACAAAGTAGTTTCTGAGAATGATTCTGTCTAGTTTTTATTTGAAGATATTTCCTTTTCTACTGTTGGCATCAAATCGCTTGAAATCTCCACTTGCAAATTCCACAAAAAGAGTGTTTCAAATCTGCTCTGTGCAAAGGGACGTTCCACTCTGTGAGTTGAATACACACAGCACAAAGAAGTTACTGAGAATTCTTCTGTCTAGCATGAAATGAAGAAATCCCGTTTCCAACGAAGGCCTCAATGCGGTCCATATATCCACTTGCAGACTTTACAAACAGAGTGTTTCCAAACTGCTCTATGAAAAGAAAGGTTAAACTATGTGAGTTGAACGCACACATCACAAAGAATTTTCTGAGAATGATTCTGTCTGGTTTTTATTTGAAGATATTTCCCTTTCTACTGTTGGCATCAAATGGCTAGAAATCTCCACTTGCAAATTCCGCAAAAAGAGTGTTTCAAATCTGCTCTGTCTAAAGGGACGTTCCACTCTGTGAGTTGAATGCACACAACACAAAGAATTTACTGAGAATTCTTCCGTCTAGCATTCAATGAAGAAATCCCGTTTCCAACGAAGGCCTCAAACAGGTCCATATATCCACTTGCAGACTTTACAAACAGTGTGTTTCCAAACTCCTCTATGAAAAGAAAGGTTAAACTCTGTGAGTGGAACGCACACATCACAAAGCACTTTCTGAGAATGATTCTGTCTGGTTATTATACGAAGATATTTCCTTTTCTGCAATTATCCTCAAATCGCTTGAAATCTCCACCTGAAAATGCCACAGCAAGAGTGTTTCAAATCTGCTCTCTCTAAAGCAAGGTTCAACTCTGTGAGTTGAATACACACAACACAAAAAAGTTACTGAGAACTCTTCTTAGTCTAGCTTGAAAGGAAGAAACCCCGTTTGCAACGAAGGCCTCAAAGAGGTCCAAATATCCACTTGCAGACATAACAAGCAGAGTGTTTCTAAACTGCTCTAAGAAAAGAAAGGTTAAACTCTGTGAGTTGAAGGCACACATCACAAAGTAGTTTCTGAGAATGATTCTGTCTAGTTTTTATTTGAAGATATTTCCTTTTCTACTGTTGGCATCAAATCGCTTGAAATCTCCACTTGCAAACTCCACAAAAAGAGTGTTTCAAATCTGCTCTGTGCAAAGGGACGTTCCACTCTGTGAGTTGAATACACACAGCACAAAGAAGTTACTGAGAATTCTTCTGTCTAGCATGAAATGAAGAAATCCCGTTTCCAACGAAGGCCTCAATGCGGTCCATATATCCACTTGCAGACTTTACAAACAGAGTGTTTCCAAACTGCTCTATGAAAAGAAAGATTAAACTATGTGAGTTGAACGCACACATCACAAAGAATTTTCTGAGAATGATTCTGTCTGGTTTTTATTTGAAGATATTTCCCTTTCTACTGTTGACATCAAATGGCTAGAAATCTCCACTTGCAAATTCCGCAAAAAGAGTGTTTCAAATCTGCTCTGTCTAAAGGGACGTTCCACTCTGTGAGTTCAATGCACACAACACAAAGAATTTACTGAGAATTCTTCCGTCTAGCATTCAATGAAGAAATCCCGTTTCCAACGGAGGCCTCAAACAGGTCCATATATCCAATTGCAGACTTTACAAACAGTGTGTTTCCAAACTCCTCTATGAAAAGAAAGGTTAAACTCTGTGAGTTGAACGCACACATCACAAAGCACTTTCTGAGAATGATTCTGTCTGGTTATTATACGAAGATATTTCCTTTTCTGCAATTGTCCTCAAATCGCTTGAAATCTCCACCTGAAAATGCCACAGCAAGAGTGTTTCAAATCTGCTCTCTCTAAAGCAAGGTTCAACTCTGTGAGTTGAATACACACAACACAAAAAAGTTACTGAGAACTCTTCTTAGTCTAGCATTAAAGGAAGAAACCCCGTTTGCAACGAAGGCCTCAAAGAGGTCCAAATATCCACTTGCAGACATAACAAGCAGAGTGTTTCTAAACTGCTCTAAGAAAAGAAAGGTTAAACTCTGTGAGTTGAAGGCACACATCACAAAGTAGTTTCTGAGAATGATTCTGTCTAGTTTTTATTTGAAGATATTTCCTTTTCTACTGTTGGCATCAAATCGCTTGAAATCTCCACTTGCAAATTCCACAAAAAGAGTGTTTCAAATCTGCTCTGTGCAAAGGGACGTTCCACTCTGTGAGTTGAATACACACAGCACAAAAGAAGTTACTGAGAATTCTTCTGCCTAGCATGAAATGAAGAAATCCCGTTTCCAACGAAGGCCTCAATGCGGTCCATATATCCACTTGCAGACTTTACAAACAGAGTGTTTCCAAACTACTCTATGAAAAGAAAGGTTAAACTATGTGAGTTGAACGCACACATCACAAAGAATTTTCTGAGAATGATTCTGTCTGGTTTTTATTTGAAGATATTTCCCTTTCTACTGTTGGCATCAAATGGCTAGAAATCTCCACTTGCAAATTCCGCAAAAAGAGTGTTTCAAATCTGCTCTGTCTAAAGGGACGTTCCACTCTGTGAGTTGAATGCACACAACACAAAGAATTTACTGAGAATTCTTCCGTCTAGCATTCAATGAAGAAATCCCGTTTCCAACGATGGCCTCAAACAGGTCCATATATCCAATTGTAGACTTTACAAACAGTGTGTTTCCAAACTCCTCTATGAAAAGAAAGGTTAAACTCCGTGAGTTGAACGCACACATCACAAAGCACTTTCTGAGAATGATTCTGTCTAGTTTTTATTTGCAGATATTTCCTTTTCTACTGTTGGCATCAAATCGCTTGAAATCTCCACTTGCAAATTCCACAAAAAGAGTGTTTCAAATCTGCTCTGTGTAAAGGGACGTTCCAATCTGTGAGTTGAATACACACAACACAAAGAAGTTACTGAGAATTCTTCTGTCTAGTATGAAATGAAGAAATCCCGTTTCCAACGAAGGCCTCAAAGCGGTCCATATATCCACTTGCAGACATTACCAACAGAGTGTTTCCAAACTGCTCTATGAAAAGAAAGGTTAAACTATGTGAGTTGAACGCACACATCACAAAGAATTTTTTGAGGATGATTCTGTCTAGTTTTTATTTGAAGATATTTCCCTTTCTACTGTTGGCATCAAATGGCTAGAAGTCTCCACTTGCAAATTCCGCAAAAAGAGTGTTTCAAATCTGCTCTGTCTAAAGGGACGTTCCACTCTGTGAGTTGAATGCACACAACACAAAGAATTTACTGAGAATTCTTCCGTCTAGCATTATATGATAAAATCCCGTTTCCAACGAAGGCCTCAAACAGGTCCATATATCCACTTGCAGACTTTACAAACAGTGTGTTTCCAAACTCCTCTATGAAAAGAAAGGTTAAACTCTGTGAGTTGAACGCACACATCACAAAGCACTTTCTGAGAATGATCTGTCTGGTTATTATACGAAGATATTTCCTTTTCTGCAATTGTCCTCAAATCGCTTGAAATCTCCACCTGAAAATGCCACAGCAAGAGTGTTTCAAATCTGCTCTCTCTAAAGCAAGGTTCAACTCTGTGAGTTGAATACACACAACACAAAAAAGTTACTGAGAACTCTCTCTTAGTCTAGCATGAAAGGAAGAAACCCCGTTTGCAACGAAGGCCTCAAAGAGGTCCAAATATCCACTTGCAGACATAACAAGCAGAGTGTTTCTAAACTGCTCTAAGAAAAGAAAGGTTAAACTCTGTGAGTTGAAGGCACACATCACAAAGCAGTTTCTGAGAATGATTCTGTCTAGTTTTTATTTGAAGATATTTCCTTTTCTACTGTTGGCATCAAATCGCTTGAAATCTCCACTTGCAAACTCCACAAAAAGAGTGTTTCAAATCTGCTCTGTGTAAAGGGACGTTCCACTCTGTGAGTTGAATACACACAGCACAAAGAAGTTACTGAGAATTCTTCTGTCTAGCATGAAATGAAGAAATCCCGTTTCCAACGAAGGCCTCAAAGCGGTCCATATATCCACTTGCAGACATTACCAACAGAGTGTTCCCAAACTGCTCTATGAAAAGAAAGGTTAAACTATGTGAGTTGAACGCACACATCACAAAGAATTTTCTGAGAATGATTCTGTCTGGTTTTTATTTGAAGATATTTCCCTTTCTACTGTTGGCATCAAATGGCTAGAAATCTCCACTTGCAAATTCCGCAAAAAGAGTGTTTCAAATCTGCTCTGTCTAAAGGGACGTTCCACTCTGTGAGTTGAATGCACACAACACAAAGAATTTACTGAGAATTCTTCCGTCTAGCATTCAATGAAGAAATCCCGTTTCCAACGAAGGCCTCAAACAGGTCCATATATCCAATTGCAGACTTTACAAACAGTGTGTTTCCAAACTCCTCTATGAAAAGAAAGGTTAAACTCTGTGAGTTGAACGCACACATCACAAAGCACTTTCTGAGAATGATTCTGTCTGGTTGTTATACGAAGATATTTCCTTTTCTGCAATTGTCCTCAAATCGCTTGAAATCTCCACCTGAAAATGCCACAGCAAGAGTGTTTCAAATCTGCTCTCTCTAAAGCAAGGTTCAGCTCTGTGAGTTGAATACACACAACACAAAAAAGTTACTGAGAACTCTTCTTAGTCTAGCATGAAAGGAAGAAACCCCGTTTGCAACGAAGGCCTCAAAGAGGTCCAAATATCCACTTGCAGACATAACAAGCAGAGTGTTTCTAAACTGCTCTAAGAAAAGAAAGGTTAAACTCTGTGAGTTGAAGGCACACATCACAAAGTAGTTTCTGAGAATGATTCTGTCTAGTTTTTATTTGAAGATATTTCCTTTTCTACTGTTGGCATCAAATCGCTTGAAATCTCCACTTGCAAACTCCACAAAAAGAGTGTTTCAAATCTGCTCTGTGCAAAGGGACGTTCCACTCTGTGAGTTGAATACACACAGCACAAAGAAGTTACTGAGAATTCTTCTGTCTAGCATGAAATGAAGAAATCCCGTTTCCAACGAAGGCCTCAATGCGGTCTATATATCCACTTGCAGACTTTACAAACAGAGTGTTTCCAAACTGCTCTATGAAAAGAAAGGTTAAACTATGTGAGTTGAACGCACACATCACAAAGAATTTTCTGAGAATGATTCTGTCTGGTTTTTATTTGAAGATATTTCCCTTTCTACTGTTGGCATCAAATGGCTAGAAATCTCCACTTGCAAATTCCGCAAAAAGAGTGTTTCAAATCTGCTCTGTCTAAAGGGACGTTCCACTCTGTGAGTTGAATGCACACAACACAAAGAATTTACTGAGAATTCTTCCGTCTAGCATTCAATGAAGAAATCCCGTTTCCAAAGAAGGCCTCAAACAGGTCCATATATCCAATTGCAGACTTTACAAACAGTGTGTTTCCAAACTCCTCTATGAAAAGAAAGGTTAAACTCTGTGAGTTGAACGCACACATCACAAAGCACTTTCTGAGAATGATTCTGTCTGGTTCTTATACGAAGATATTTCCTTTTCTGCAATTGTCCTCAAATCGCTTGAAATCTCCACCTGAAAATGCCACAGCAAGAGTGTTTCAAATCTGGTCTCTCTAAAGCAAGGTTCAACTCTGTGAGTTGAATACACACAACACAAAAAAGTTACTGAGAACTCTTCTTAGTCTAGCATGAAAGGAAGAAATCCCGTTTGCAACGAAGGCCTCAAAGAGGTCCAAATATCCACTTGCAGACATAACAAGCAGAGTGTTTCTAAACTGCTCTAAGAAAAGAAAGGTTAAACTCTGTGAGTTGAAGGCACACATCACAAAGTAGTTTCTGAGAATGATTCTGTCTAGTTTTTATTTGAAGATATTTCCTTTTCTACTGTTGGCATCAAATCGCTTGAAATCTCCACTTGCAAACTCCACAAAAAGAGTGTTTCAAATCTGCTCTGTGTAAAGGGACGTTCCACTCTGTGAGTTGAATACACACAGCACAAAGAAGTTACTGAGAATTCTTCTGTCTAGCATGAAATGAAGAAATCCCGTTTCCAATGAAGGCCTCAATGCGGTCCATATATCCACTTGCAGACTTTACAAACAGAGTGTTTCCAAACTGCTCTATGAAAAGAAAGGTTAAACTATGTGAGTTGAACGCACATATCACAAAGAATTTTCTGAGAATGATTCTGTCTGGTTTTTATTTGAAGATATTTCCCTTTCTACTGTTGGCATCAAATGGCTAGAAATCTCCACTTGCAAATTCCGCAAAAAGAGTGTTTCAAATCTGCTCTGTCTAAAGGGACGTTCCACTCTGTGAGTTGAATGCACACAACACAAAGAATTTACTGAGAATTCTTCCGTCTAGCATTCAATAAAGAAATCCCGTTTCCAAAGAAGGCCTCAAACAGGTCCATATATCCAATTGCAGACATTACAAACAGTGTGTTTCCAAACTCCTCTATGAAAAGAAAGGTTAAACTCTGTGAGTTGAACGCACACATCACAAAGCACTTTCTGAGAATGATTCTGTCTGGTTATTATACGAAGATATTTCCTTTTCTGCAATTGTCCTCAAATCGCTTGAAATCTCCACCTGAAAATGCCACAGCAAGAGTGTTTCAAATCTGCTCTCTCTAAAGCAAGGTTCAACTCTTTGAGTTGAATACACACAACACAAAAAAGTTACTGAGAACTCTTCTTAGTCTAGCATTAAAGGAAGAAACCCCGTTTGCAACGAAGGCCTCAAAGAAGTCCAAATATCCACTTGCAGACATAACAAGCAGAGTGTTTCTAAACTGCTCTAAGAAAAGAAAGGTTAAACTCTGTGAGTTGAAGGCACACATCACAAAGTAGTTTCTGAGAATGATTCTGTCTAGTTTTTATTTGAAGATATTTCCTTTTCTACTGTTGGCATCAAATCGCTTGAAATCTCCACTTGCAAACTCCACAAAAAGAGTGTTTCAAATCTGCTCTCTGCAAAGGGACGTTCCACTCTGTGAGTTGAATACACACAGCACAAAGAAGTTACTGAGAATTCTTCTGTCTAGCATGAAATGAAGAAATCCCGTTTCCAACGAAGGCCTCAATGCGGTCCATATATCCACTTGCAGACTTTACAAACAGAGTGTTTCCAAACTGCTCTATGAAAAGAAAGGTTAAACTATGTGAGTTGAACGCACACATCACAAAGAATTTTCTGAGAATGATTCTGTCTGGTTTTTATTTGAAGATATTTCCCTTTCTACTGTTGGCATCAAATGGCTAGAAATCTCCACTTGCAAATTCCGCAAAAAGAGTGTTTCAAATCTGCTCTGTCTAAAGGGACGTTCCACTCTGTGAGTTGAATGCACACAACACAAAGAATTTACTGAGAATTCTTCCGTCTAGCATGCAATGAAGAAATCCCGTTTCCAACGAAGGCCTCAAACAGGTCCATATATCCAATTGCAGACTTTACAAACAGTGTGTTTCCAAACTCCTCTATGAAAAGAAAGGTTAAACTCTGTGAGTTGAACGCACACATCACAAAGCACTTTCTGAGAATGATTCTGTCTGGTTGTTATACGAAGATATTTCCTTTTCTGCAATTGTCCTCAAATCGCTTGAAATCTCCACCTGAAAATGCCACAGCAAGAGTGTTTCAAATCTGCTCTCTCTAAAGCAAGGTTCAACTCTGTGAGTTGAATACACACAACACAAAAAAGTTACTGAGAACTCTTCTTAGTCTAGCATGAAAGGAAGAAACCCCGTTTGCAACGAAGGCCTCAAAGAGGTCCAAATATCCACTTGCAGACATAACAAGCAGAGTGTTTCTAAACTGCTCTAAGAAAAGAAATGTTAAACTCTGTGAGTTGAAGGCACACATCACAAAGTAGTTTCTGAGAATGATTCTGTCTAGTTTTTATTTGAAGATATTTCCTTTTCTACTGTTGGCATCAAATCGCTTGAAATCTCCACTTGCAAATTCCACAAAAAGAGTGTTTCAAATCTGCTCTGTGCAAAGGGACGTTCCACTCTGTGAGTTGAATACACACAGCACAAAGAAGTTACTGAGAATTCTTCTGTCTAGCATGAAATGAAGAAATCCCGTTTCCAACGAAGGCCTCAATGCGGTCTATATATCCACTTGCAGACTTCACAAACAGAGTGTTTCCAAACTGCTCTATGAAAAGAAAGGTTAAACTATGTGAGTTGAACGCACACATCACAAAGAATTTTCTGAGAATGATTCTGTCTGGTTTTTATTTGAAGATATTTCCCTTTCTACTGTTGGCATCAAATGGCTAGAAATCTCCACTTGCAAATTCCGCAAAAAGAGTGTTTCAAATCTGCTCTGTCTAAAGGGACGTTCCACTCTGTGAGTTGAATGCACACAACACAAAGAATTTACTGAGAATTCTTCCGTCTAGCATGCAATGAAGAAATCCCGTTTCCAACGAAGGCCTCAAACAGGTCCATATATCCAATTGCAGACTTTACAAACAGTGTGTTTCCAAACTCCTCTATGAAAAGAAAGGTTAAACTCTGTGAGTTGAACGCACACATCACAAAGCACTTTCTGAGAATGATTCTGTCTGGTTATTATACGAAGATATTTCCTTTTCTGCAATTGTCCTCAAAACGCTTGAAATCTCCACCTGAAAATGCCACAGCAAGAGTGTTTCAAATCTGCTCTCTCTAAAGCAAGGTTCAACTCTGTGAGTTGAATACACACAACACAAAAAAGTTACTGAGAACTCTTCTTAGTCTAGCATGAAAGGAAGAAACCCCGTTTGCAACGAAGGCCTCAAAGAGGTCCAAATATCCACTTGCAGACATAACAAGCAGAGTGTTTCTAAACTGCTCTAAGAAAAGAAAGGTTAAACTCTGTGAGTTGAAGGCACACATCACAAAGTAGTTTCTGAGAATGATTCTTCCTAGTTTTTATTTGAAGATATTTCCTTTTCTACTGTTGGCATCAAATCGCTTGAAATCTCCACTTGCAAACTCCACAAAAAGAGTGTTTCAAATCTGCTCTGTGCAAAGGGACGTTCCACTCTGTGAGTTGAATACACACAGCACAAAGAAGTTACTGAGAATTCTTCTGTCTAGCATGAAATGGAGAAATCCCGTTTCCAACGAAGGCCTCAATGCGGTCCATATATCCACTTGCAGACTTTACAAACAGAGTGTTTCCAAACTGCTCTATGAAAAGAAAGGTTAAACTATGTGATTTGAACGCACACATCACAAAGAATTTTCTGAGAATGATTCTGTCTGGTTTTTATTTGAAGATATTTCCCTTTCTACTGTTGGCATCAAATGGCTAGAAATCTCCACTTGCAAATTCCGCAAAAAGAGTGTTTCAAATCTGCTCTGTCTAAAGGGACGTTCCACTCTGTGAGTTGAATGCACACAACACAAAGAATTTACTGAGAATTCTTCCGTCTAGCATTCAATGAAGAAATCCCGTTTCCAACGAAGGCCTCAAACAGGTCCATATATCCACTTGCAGACTTTACAAACAGTGTGTTTCCAAACTCCTCTATGAAAAGAAAGGTTAAACTCTGTGAGTTGAACGCACACATCACAAAGCACTTTCTGAGAATGTTTCTGTCTGGTTATTATTTGAAGATATTTCCTTTTCTGCAATTGTCCTCAAATCGCTTGAAATCTCCACCTGAAAATGCCACAGCAAGAGTGTTTCAAATCTGCTCTCTCTAAAGCAAGGTTCAACTCTGTGAGTTGAATACACACAGCACAAAGAAGTTACTGAGAATTCTTCTGTCTAGCATGAAATGAAGAAATCCCGTTTCCAACGAAGGCCTCAATGCGGTCCATATATCCACTTGCAGACTTTACAAACAGAGTGTTTCCAAACTGCTCTATGAAAAGAAAGGTTAAACTATGTGAGTTGAACGCACACATCACAAAGAATTTTCTGAGAATGATTCTGTCTGGTTTTTATTTGAAGATATTTCCCTTTCTACTGTTGGCATCAAATGGCTAGAAATCTCCACTTGCAAATTCCGCAAAAAGAGTGTTTCAAATCTGCTCTGTCTAAAGGGACGTTCCACTCTGTGAGTTGAATGCACACAACACAAAGAATTTACTGAGAATTCTTCCGTCTAGCATGCAATGAAGAAATCCCGTTTCCAACGAAGGCCTCAAACAGGTCCATATATCCAATTGCAGACTTTACAAACAGTGTGTTTCCAAACTCCTCTATGAAAAGAAAGGTTAAACTCTGTGAGTTGAACGCACACATCACAAAGCACTTTCTGAGAATGATTCTGTCTGGTTTTTATTTGAAGATATTTCCCTTTCTACTGTTGGCATCAAATGGCTAGAAATCTCCACTTGCAAATTCCGCAAAAAGAGTGTTTCAAATCTGCTCTGTCTAAAGGGACGTTCCACTCTGTGAGTTGAATGCACACAACACAAAGAATTTACTGAGAATTCTTCCGTCTAGCATTCAATGAAGAAATCCCGTTTCCAACGAAGGCCTCAAACAGGTCCATATATCCACTTGCAGACTTTACAAACAGTGTGTTTCCAAACTCCTCTATGAAAAGAAAGGTTAAACTCTGTGAGTTGAACGCACACATCACAAAGCACTTTCTGAGAATGATTCTGTCTGGTTGTTATACGAAGATATTTCCTTTTTTGCAATTGTCCTCAAATCGCTTGAAATCTCCACCTGAAAATGCCACAGCAAGAGTGTTTCAAATCTGCTCTCTCTAAAGCAAGGTTCAACTCTGTGAGTTGAATACACACAACACAAAAAAGTTACTGAGAACTCTTCTTAGTCTAGCATTAAAGGAAAAAACCCCGTTTGCAACGAAGGCCTCAAAGAGGTCCAAATATCCACTTGCAGACATAACAAGCAGAGTGTTTCTAAACTGCTCTAAGAAAAGAAAGGTTTAACTCTGTGAGTTGAAGGCACACATCACAAAGAATTTTCTGAGAATGATTCTGTCTAGTTTTTATTTGAAGATATTTCCTTTTCTACTGTTGGCATCAAATCGCTTGAAATCTCCACTTGCAAACTCCACAAAAAGAGTGTTTCAAATCTGCTCTGTGCAAAGGGACGTTCCACTCTGTGAGTTGAATACACACAGCACAAAGAAGTTACTGAGAATTCTTCTGTCTAGCATGAAATGAAGAAATCCCGTTTCCAACGAAGGCCTCAATGCGGTCCATAGATCCACTTGCAGACTTTACAAACAGAGTGTTTCCAAACTGCTCTATGAAAAGAAAGGTTAAACTATGTGAGTTGAACGCACACATCACAAAGAATTTTCTGAGAATGATTCTGTCTGGTTTTTATTTGAAGATATTTCCCTTTCTACTGTTGGCATGAAATGGCTAGAAATCTCCACTTGCAAATTCCGCAAAAAGAGTGTTTCAAATCTGCTCTGTCTAAAGGGACGTTCCACTCTGTCAGTTGAATGCACACAACACAAAGAATTTACTGAGAATTCTTCCGTCTAGCATTCAATGAAGAAATCCCGTTTCCAACGAAGGCCTCAAACAGGTCCATATATCCAATTGCAGACTTTACAAACAGTGTGTTTCCAAACTCCTCTATGAAAAGAAAGGTTAAACTCTGTGAGTTGAACGCACACATCACAAAGCACTTTCTGAGAATGATTCTGTCTGGTTATTATACGAAGATATTTCCTTTTCTGCAATTGTCCTCAAATCGCTTGAAATCTCCACCTGAAAATGCCACAGCAAGAGTGTTTCAAATCTGCTCTCTCTAAAGCAAGGTTCAACTCTGTGAGTTGAATACACACAACACAAAAAAGTTACTGAGCAACTCTTCTTAGTCTAGCATTAAAGGGAAGAAACCCCGTTTGCAACGAAGGCCTCAAAGAGGTCCAAATATCCACTTGCAGACATAACAAGCAGAGTGTTTCTAAACTGCTCTAAGAAAAGAAAGGTTAAACTCTGTGAGTTGAAGGCACACATCACAAAGTAGTTTCTGAGAATGATTCTGTCTAGTCTTTATACGAAGATATTTCCTTTTCTACCATTGACCTCAAAGCGGCTGAAATCTCCACTTGCAAATTCCACAAAAAGAGTGTTTCAAGTCTGCTCTGTGTAAAGGATCGTTCAACTCTGTGAGTTGAATACACACAACACAAGGAAGTTACTGAGAATTCTTCTGTCTAGCATGAAATGAAGAAATCCCGTTTCCAACGAAGGCCTCAATGCGGTCCATATATCCACTTGCAGACTTTACAAACAAAGTGTTTCCAAACTGCTCTATGAAAAGAAAGGTTAAACTATGTGAGTTGAACGCACACATCACAAAGAATTTTCTGAGAATGATTCTGTCTGGTTTTTATTTGAAGATATTTCCCTTTCTACTGTTGGCATCAAATGGCTAGAAATCTCCACTTGCAAATTCCGCAAAAAGAGTGTTTCAAATCTGCTCTGTCTAAAGGGACGTTCCACTCTGTGAGTTGAATGCACACAACACAAAGAATTTACTGAGAATTCTTCCGTCTAGCATTCAATGAAGAAATCCCGTTTCCAACGAAGGCCTCAAACAGGTCCATATATCCACTTGCAGAGTTTACAAACAGTGTGTTTCCAAACTCCTCTATGAAAAGAAAGGTTAAACTCTGTGAGTGGAACGCACACATCACAAAGCACTTTCTGAGAATGATTCTGTCTGGTCATTATACGAAGATATTCCCTTTTCTGCAATTTTCCTCAAATCGCTTGAAATCTCCACCTGAAAATGCCACAGCAAGAGTGTTTCAAATCTGCTCTCTCTAAAGCAAGGTTCAACTCTGTGAGTTGAATACACACAGCACAAAGAAGTTACTGAGAATTCTTCTGTCTAGCATGAAATGAAGAAATCCCGTTTCCAACGAAGGCCTCAATGCGGTCCATATATCCACTTGCAGACTTTACAAACAGAGTGTTTCCAAACTGCTCTATGAAAAGAAAGGTTAAACTATGTGAGTTGAACGCACACATCACAAAGAATTTTCTGAGAATGATTCTGTCTGGTTTTTATTTGAAGATATTTCCCTTTCTACTGTTGGCATCAAATGGCTAGAAATCTCCACTTGCAAATTCCGCAAAAAGAGTGTTTCAAATCTGCTCTGTCTAAAGGGACGTTCCACTCTGTGAGTTGAATGCACACAACACAAAGAATTTACTGAGAATTCTTCCGTCTAGCATTCAATGAAGAAATCCCGTTTCCAACGAAGGCCTCAAACAGGTCCATATATCCAATTGCAGACTTTACAAACAGTGTGTTTCCAAACTCCTCTATGGAAAGAAAGGTTAAACTCTGTGAGTTGAACGCACACATCACAAAGCACTTTCTGAGAATGATTCTGTCTGGTTATTATACGAAGATATTTCCTTTTCTGCAATTGTCCTCAAATCGCTTGAAATCTCCACCTGAAAATGCCACAGCAAGAGTGTTTCAAATCTGCTCTCTCTAAAGCAAGGTTCAACTCTGTGAGTTGAATACACACAACACAAAAAAGTTACTGAGAACTCTTCTTAGTCTAGCATGAAAGGAAGAAACCCCGTTTGCAACGAAGGCCTCAAAGAGGTCCAAATATCCACTTGCAGACATAACAAGCAGAGTGTTTCTAAACTGCTCTAAGAAAAGAAAGGTTAAACTCTGTGAGTTGAAGGCACACATCACAAAGTAGTTTCTGAGAATGATTCTGTCTAGTTTTTATTTGAAGATATTTCCTTTTCTACTGTTGGCATCAAATCGCTTGAAATCTCCACTTGCAAACTCCACAAAAAGAGTGTTTCAAATCTGCTCTGTGTAAAGGGACGTTCCACTCTGTGAGTTGAATACACACAGCACAAAGAAGTTACTGAGAATTCTTCTGTCTAGCATGAAATGAAGAAATCCCGTTTCCAACGAAGGCCTCAATGCGGTCCATATATCCACTTGCAGACTTTACAAACAGAGTGTTTCCAAACTGCTCTATGAAAAGAAAGGTTAAACTATGTGAGTTGAACGCACACACCACAAAGAATTTTCTGAGAATGATTCTGTCTGGTTTTTATTTGAAGATATTTCCCTTTCTACTGTTGGCATCAAATGGCTAGAAATCTCCACTTGCAAATTCCGCAAAAAGAGTGTTTCAAATCTGCTCTGTCTAAAGGGACGTTCCACTCTGTCAGTTGAATGCACACAACACAAAGAATTTACTGAGAATTCTTCCGTCTAGCATTCAATGAAGAAATCCCGTTTCCAACGAAGGCCTCAAACAGGTCCATATATCCAATTGCAGACTTTACAAACAGTGTGTTTCCAAACTCCTCTATGGAAAGAAAGGTTAAACTCTGTGAGTTGAACGCACACATCACAAAGCACTTTCTGAGAATGATTCTGTCTGGTTATTATACGAAGATATTTCCTTTTCTGCAATTGTCCTCAAATCGCTTGAAATCTCCACCTGAAAATGCCACAGCAAGAGTGTTTCAAATCTGCTCTCTCTAAAGCAAGGTTCAACTCTGTGAGTTGAATACACACAACACAAAAAAGTTACTGAGAACTCTTCTTAGTCTAGCATGAAAGGAAGAAACCCCGTTTGCAACGAAGGCCTCAAAGAGGTCCAAATATCCACTTGCAGACATAACAAGCAGAGTGTTTCTAAACTGCTCTAAGAAAAGAAAGGTTAAACTCTGTGAGTTGAAGGCACACATCACAAAGTAGTTTCTGAGAATGATTCTGTCTAGTTTTTATTTGAAGATATTTCCTTTTCTACTGTTGGCATCAAATCGCTTGAAATCTCCACTTGCAAACTCCACAAAAAGAGTGTTTCAAATCTGCTCTGTGTAAAGGGACGTTCCACTCTGTGAGTTGAATACACACAGCACAAAGAAGTTACTGAGAATTCTTCTGTCTAGCATGAAATGAAGAAATCCCGTTTCCAACGAAGGCCTCAATGCGGTCCATATATCCACTTGCAGACTTTACAAACAGAGTGTTTCCAAACTGCTCTATGAAAAGAAAGGTTAAACTATGTGAGTTGAACGCACACATCACAAAGAATTTTCTGAGAATGATTCTGTCTGGTTTTTATTTGAAGATATTTCCCTTTCTACTGTTGGCATCAAATGGCTAGAAATCTCCACTTGCAAATTCCGCAAAAAGAGTGTTTCAAATCTGCTCTGTCTAAAGGGACGTTCCACTCTGTGAGTTGAATGCACACAACACAAAGAATTTACTGAGAATTCTTCCGTCTAGCATTCAATGAAGAAATCCCGTTTCCAAAGAAGGCCTCAAACAGGTCCATATATCCAATTGCAGACTTTACAAACAGTGTGTTTCCAAACTCCTCTATGAAAAGAAAGGTTAAACTCTGTGAGTTGAACGCACACATCACAAAGCACTTTCTGAGAATGAT
This sequence comes from Homo sapiens, assembly GCF_000001405.40. NCBI lineage: Eukaryota > Metazoa > Chordata > Mammalia > Primates > Hominidae > Homo > Homo sapiens. The sequence continues at coordinate 59,746,690 of NC_000007.14, read as the reverse complement.
TCTGTCTGGTTATTATACGAAGATATTTCCTTTTCTGCAATTGTCCTCAAATCGCTTGAAATCTCCACCTGAAAATGCCACAGCAAGAGTGTTTCAAATCTGCTCTCTCTAAAGCAAGGTTCAACTCTGTGAGTTGAATACACACAACACAAAAAAGTTACTGAGAACTCTTCTTAGTCTAGCATGAAATGAAGAAACCCCGTTTGCAACGAAGGCCTCAAAGAGGTCCAAATATCCACTTGCAGACATAACAAGCAGAGTGTTTCTAAACTGCTCTAAGAAAAGAAAGGTTAAACTCTGTGAGTTGAAGGCACACATCACAAAGTAGTTTCTGAGAATGATTTCTGTCTAGTTTTTATTTGAAGATATTTCCTTTTCTACTGTTGGCATCAAATCGCTTGAAATCTCCACTTGCAAACTCCACAAAAAGAGTGTTTAAAATCTGCTCTGTGCAAAGGGACGTTCCACTCTGTGAGTTGAATACACACAGCACAAAGAAGTTACTGAGAATTCTTCTGTCTAGCATGAAATGAAGAAATCCCGTTTCCAACGAAGGCCTCAATGCGGTCCATATATCCACTTTCAGACTTTACAAACAGAGTGTTTCCAAACTGCTCTATGAAAAGAAAGGTTAAACTATGTGAGTTGAACGCACACATCACAAAGAATTTTCTGAGAATGATTCTGTCTGGTTTTTATTTGAAGATATTTCCCTTTCTACTGTTGGCATCAAATGGCTAGAAATCTCCACTTGCAAATTCCGCAAAAAGAGTGTTTCAAATCTGCTCTGTCTAAAGGGACGTTCCACTCTGTGAGTTGAATGCACACAACACAAAGAATTTACTGAGAATTCTTCCGTCTAGCATTCAATGAAGAAATCCCGTTTCCAACGAAGGCCTCAAACAGGTCCATATATCCAATTGCAGACTTTACAAACAGTGTGTTTCCAAACTCCTCTATGAAAAGAAAGGTTAAACTCTGTGAGTTGAACGCACACATCACAAAGCACTTTCTGAGAATGATTCTGTCTGGTTATTATACGAAGATATTTCCTTTTCTGCAATTGTCCTCAAATCGCTTGAAATCTCCACCTGAAAATTCCACAGCGAGAGTGTTTCAAATCTGCTCTCTCTAAAGCAAGGTTCAACTCTGTGAGTTGAATACACACAACACAAAAAAGTTACTGAGAACTCTTCTTAGTCTAGCATTAAAGGAAGAAACCCCGTTTGCAACGAAGGCCTCAAAGAGGTCCAAATATCCACTTGCAGACATAACAAGCAGAGTGTTTCTAAGCTGCTCTAAGAAAAGAAAGGTTAAACTCTGTGAGTTGAAGGCACACATCACAAAGTAGTTTCTGAGAATGATTCTGTCTAGTTTTTATTTGAAGATATTTCCTTTTCTACTGTTGGCATCAAATCGCTTGAAATCTCCACTTGCAAACTCCACAAAAAGAGTGTTTCAAATCTGCTCTGTGTAAAGGGACGTTCCACTCTGTGAGTTGAATACACACAGCACAAAGAAGTTACTGAGAATTCTTCTGTCTAGCATGAAATGAAGAAATCCCGTTTCCAACGAAGGCCTCAATGCAGTCCATATATCCACTTGCAGACTTTACAAACAGAGTGTTTCCAAACTGCTCTATGAAAAGAAAGGTTAAACTATGTGAGATGAATGCACACATCACAAAGAATTTTCTGAGAATGATTCTGTCTGTTTTTTATTTGAAGATATTTCCCTTTCTACTGTTGGCATCAAATGGCTAGAAATCTCCACTTGCAAATTCCGCAAAAAGAGTGTTTCAAATCTGCTCTGTCTAAAGGGACGTTCCACTCTGTGAGTTGAATGCACTCAACACAAAGAATTTACTGAGAATTCTTCCGTCTAGCATTCAATGAAGAAATCCCGTTTCCAACGAAGGCCTCAAACAGGTCCATATATCCACTTGCAGACTTTACAAACAGTGTGTTTCCAAACTCCTCTATGAAAAGAAAGGTTAAACTCTGTGAGTGGAACGCACACATCACAAAGCACTTTCTGAGAATGATTCTGTCTGGTTGTTATACGAAGATATTTCCTTTTCTGCAATTGTCCTCAAATCGCTTGAAATCTCCACCTGAAAATGCCACAGCAAGAGTGTTTCAAATCTGCTCTCTCTAAAGCATGGTTCAACTCTGTGAGTTGAATACACACAACACAAAAAAGTTACTGAGAACTCTTCTTAGTCTAGCATGAAAGGAAGAAACCCCGTTTGCAACGAAGGCCTCAAAGAGGTCCAAATATCCACTTGCAGACATAACAAGCAGAGTGTTTCTAAACTGCTCTAAGAAAAGAAAGGTTAAACTGTGTGAGTTGAACGCACACATCACAAAGAATTTTCTGAGAATGATTCTGTCTGGTTTTTATTTGAAGATATTTCCCTTTCTACTGTTGGCATCAAATGGCTAGAAATCTCCACTTGCAAATTCCGCAAAAAGAGTGTTTCAAATCTGCTCTGTCTAAAGGGACGTTCCACTCTGTGAGTTGAATGCACACCACACAAAGAATTTACTGAGAATTCTTCCGTCTAGCATTCAATGAAGAAATCCCGTTTCCAACGAAGGCCTCAAACAGGTCCATATATCCACTTGCAGACTTTACAAACAGTGTGTTTCCAAACTCCTCTATGAAAAGAAAGGTTAAACTCTGTGAGTGGAACGCACACATCACAAAGCACTTTCTGAGAATGATTCTGTCTGGTTATTATACGAAGATATTTCCTTTTCTGCAATTGTCCTCAAATCGCTTGAAATCTCCACCTGAAAATGCCACAGCAAGAGTGTTTCAAATCTGCTCTCTCTAAAGCAAGGTTCAACTCTGTGAGTTGAATACACACAACACAAAAAAGTTACTGAGAACTCTTCTTAGTCTAGCATGAAAGGAAGAAACCCCGTTTGCAACGAAGGCCTCAAAGAGGTCCAAATATCCACTTGCAGACATAACAAGCAGAGTGTTTCTAAACTGCTCTAAGAAAAGAAAGGTTAAACTCTGTGAGTTGAAGGCACACATCACAAAGTAGTTTCTGAGAATGATTCTGTCTAGTTTTTATTTGAAGATATTTCCTTTTCTACTGTTGGCATCAAATCGCTTGAAATCTCCACTTGCAAATTCCACAAAAAGAGTGTTTCAAATCTGCTCTGTGCAAAGGGACGTTCCACTCTGTGAGTTGAATACACACAGCACAAAGAAGTTACTGAGAATTCTTCTGTCTAGCATGAAATGAAGAAATCCCGTTTCCAACGAAGGCCTCAATGCGGTCCATATATCCACTTGCAGACTTTACAAACAGAGTGTTTCCAAACTGCTCTATGAAAAGAAAGGTTAAACTATGTGAGTTGAACGCACACATCACAAAGAATTTTCTGAGAATGATTCTGTCTGGTTTTTATTTGAAGATATTTCCCTTTCTACTGTTGGCATCAAATGGCTAGAAATCTCCACTTGCAAATTCCGCAAAAAGAGTGTTTCAAATCTGCTCTGTCTAAAGGGACGTTCCACTCTGTGAGTTGAATGCACACAACACAAAGAATTTACTGAGAATTCTTCCGTCTAGCATTCAATGAAGAAATCCCGTTTCCAACGAAGGCCTCAAAGAGGTCCATATATCCACTTGCAGACTTTACAAACAGTGTGTTTCCAAACTCCTCTATGAAAAGAAAGGTTAAACTCTGTGAGTGGAACGCACACATCACAAAGCACTTTCTGAGAATGATTTCTGTCTGGTTGTTATACGAAGATATTTCCTTTTCTGCAATTGTCCTCAAATCGCTTGAAATCTCCACCTGAAAATGCCACAGCAAGAGTGTTTCAAATCTGCTCTCTCTAAAGCAAGGTTCAACTCTGTGAGTTGAATACACACAACACAAAAAAGTTACTGAGAACTCTTCTTAGTCTAGCATGAAAGGAAGAAACCCCGTTTGCAACGAAGGCCTCAAAGAGGTCCAAATATCCACTTGCAGACATAACAAGCAGAGTGTTTCTAAACTGCTCTAAGAAAAGAAAGGTTAAACTCTGTGAGTTGAAGGCACACATCACAAAGTAGTTTCTGAGAATGATTCTGTCTAGTTTTTATTTGAAGATATTTCCTTTTCTACTGTTGGCATCAAATCGCTTGAAATCTCCACTTGCAAACTCCACAAAAAGAGTGTTTCAAATCTGCTCTGTGCAAAGGGACGTTCCACTCTGTGAGTTGAATACACACAGCACAAAGAAGTTACTGAGAATTCTTCTGTCTAGCATGAAATGAAGAAATCCCGTTTCCAACGAAGGCCTCAATGCGGTCCATATATCCACTTGCAGACTTTACAAACAGAGTGTTTCCAAACTGCTCTATGAAAAGAAAGGTTAAACTATGTGAGTTGAACGCACACATCACAAAGAATTTTCTGAGAATGATTCTGTCTGGTTTTTATTTGAAGATGTTTCCCTTTCTACTGTTGGCATCAAATGGCTAGAAATCTCCACTTGCAAATTCCGCAAAAAGAGTGTTTCAAATCTGCTCTGTCTAAAGGGACGTTCCACTCTGTGAGTTGAATGCACACAACACAAAGAATTTACTGAGAATTCTTCCGTCTAGCATTCAATGAAGAAATCCCGTTTCCAACGAAGGCCTCAAACAGGTCCATATATCCACTTGCAGACTTTACAAACAGTGTGTTTCCAAACTCCTCTATGAAAAGAAAGGTTAAACTCTGTGAGTTGAACGCACACATCACAAAGCACTTTCTGAGAATGATTCTGTCTGGTTATTATACGAAGATATTTCCTTTTCTGCAATTGTCCTCAAATCGCTTGAAATCTCCACCTGAAAATGCCACAGCAAGAGTGTTTCAAATCTGCTCTCTCTAAAGCAAGGTTCGACTCTGTGAGTTGAATACACACAACACAAAAAAGTTACTGAGAACTCTTCTTAGTCTAGCATGAAAGGAAGAAACCCCGTTTGCAACGAAGGCCTCAAAGGGGTCCAAATATCCACTTGCAGACATAACAAGCAGAGTGTTTCTAAACTGCTCTAAGAAAAGAAAGGTTAAACTCTGTGAGTTGAAGGCACACATCACAAAGTAGTTTCTGAGAATGATTCTGTCTAGTTTTTATTTGAAGATATTTCCTTTTCTACTGTTGGCATCAAATCGCTTGAAATCTCCACTTGCAAATTCAACAAAAAGAGTGTTTCAAATCTGCTCTGTGTAAAGGGACGTTCCACTCTGTGAGTTGAATACACACAGCACAAAGAAGCTACTGAGAATTCTTCTGTCTAGCATGAAATGAAGAAATCCCGTTTCCAACGAAGGCCTCAATGCGGTCCATATATCCACTTGCAGACTTTACAAACAGAGTGTTTCCAAACTGCTCTATGAAAAGAAAGGTTAAACTATGTGAGTTGAACGCACACATCACAAAGAATTTTCTGAGAATGATTCTGTCTGGTTTTTATTTGAAGATATTTCCCTTTCTACTGTTGGCATCAAATGGCTAGAAATCTCCACTTGCAAATTCCGCAAAAAGAGTGTTTCAAATCTGCTCTGTCTAAAGGGACGTTCCACTCTGTGAGTTGAATGCACACAACACAAAGAATTTACTGAGAATTCTTCCGTCTAGCATTCAATGAAGAAATCCCGTTTCCAACGAAGGCCTCAAACACGTCCATATATCCACTTGCAGACTTTACAAACAGTGTGTTTCCAAACTCCTCTATGAAAAGAAAGGTTAAACTCTGTGAGTTGAACGCACACATCACAAGGCACTTTCTGAGAATGATTCTTTCTGGTTATTATACGAAGATATTTCCTTTTCTGCAATTGTCCTCAAATCGCTTGAAATCTCCACCTGAAAATGTCACAGCAAGAGTGTTTCAAATCTGCTCTCTCTAAAGCAAGGTTCAACTCTGTGAGTTGAATACACACAACACAAAAAAGTTACTGAGAACTCTTCTTAGTCTAGCATGAAAGAAGAAACCCCGTTTGCAACGAAGGCCTCAAAGAGGTCCAAATATCCACTTGCAGACATAACAAGCAGAGTGTTTCTAAACTGCTCTAAGAAAAGAAAGGTTAAACTCTGTGAGTTGAAGGCACACATCACAAAGTAGTTTCTGAGAATGATTCTGTCTAGTTTTTATTTGAAGATATTTCCTTTTCTACTGTTGGCATCAAATCGCTTGAAATCTCCACTTGCAAACTCCACAAAAAGAGTGTTTCAAATCTGCTCTGTGCAAAGGGACGTTCCACTCTGTGAGTTGAATACACACAGCACAAAGAAGTTACTGAGAATTCTTCTGTCTAGCATGAAATGAAGGAAATCCCGTTTCCAACGAAGGCCTCAATGCGGTCCATATATCCACTTGCAGACTTTACAAACAGAGTGTTTCCAAACTGCTCTATGAAAAGAAAGGTTAAACTATGTGAGTTGAACGCACACATCACAAAGAATTTTCTGAGAATGATTCTGTCTGGTTTTTATTTGAAGATATTTCCCTTTCTACTGTTGGCATCAAATGGCTAGAAATCTCCACTTGCAAATTCCGCAAAAAGAGTGTTTCAAATCTGCTCTGTCTAAAGGGACGTTCCACTCTGTGAGTTGAATGCACACAACACAAAGAATTTACTGAGATTTCTTCCGCCTAGCATTCAATGAAGAAATCCCGTTTCCAACGAAGGCCTCAAACAGGTCCATATATCCAATTGCAGACTTTACAAACAGTGTGTTTCCAAACTCCTCTATGAAAAGAAAGGTTAAACTCTGTGAGTTGAACGCACACATCACAAAGCACTTTCTGAGAATGATTTTGTCTGGTTATTATACGAAGATATTTCCTTTTCTGCAATTGTCCTCAAATCGCTTGAAATCTCCACCTGAAAATGCCACATCAAGAGTGTTTCAAATCTGCTCTCTCTAAAGCAAGGTTCAACTCTGTGAGTTGAATACACACAACACAAAAAAGTTACTGAGAACTCTTCTTAGTCTAGCATGAAAGGAAGAAACCCCGTTTGCAACGAAGGCCTCAAAGAGGCCCAAATATCCACTTGCAGACATAACAAGCAGAGTGTTTCTAAACTGCTCTAAGAAAAGAAAGGTTAAACTCTGTGAGTTGAAGGCACACATCACAAAGTAGTTTTTGAGAATGATTCTGTCTAGTTTTTATTTGAAGATATTTCCTTTTCTACTGTTGGCATCAAATCGCTTGAAATCTCCACTTGCAAACTCCACAAAAAGAGTGTTTCAAATCCGCTCTGTGCAAAGGGACGTTCCACTCTGTGAGTTGAATACACACAGCACAAAGAAGTTACTGAGAATTCTTCTGTCTAGCATGAAATGAAGAAATCCCGTTTCCAACGAAGGCCTCAATGCGGTCCATATATCCACTTGCAGACTTTACAAACAGAGTGTTTCCAAACTGCTCTATGAAAAGAAAGGTTAAACTATGTGAGTTGAACGCACACATCACAAAGAATTTTCTGAGAATGATTCTGTCTGGTTTTTATTTGAAGATATTTCCCTTTCTACTGTTGGCATCAAATGGCTAGAAATCTCCACTTGCAAATTCCGCAAAAAGAGTGTTTCAAATCTGCTCTGTCTAAAGGGACGTTCCACTCTGTGAGTTGAATGCACACAACACAAAGAATTTACTGAGAATTCTTCCGTCTAGCATTCAATGAAGAAATCCCGTTTCCAACGAAGGCCTCAAACAGGTCCATATATCCACTTGCAGACTTTACGAACAGTGTGTTTCCAAACTCCTCTATGAAAAGAAAGGTTAAACTCTGTGAGTGGAACGCACACATCACAAAGCACTTTCTGAGAATGATTCTGTCTGGTTATTATACGAAGATATTTCCTTTTCTGCAATTGTCCTCAAATCGCTTGAAATCTCCACCTGAAAATGCCACAGCAAGAGTGTTTCAAATCTGCTCTCTCTAAAGCAAGGTTCAACTCTGTGAGTTGAATACACACAACACAAAAAAGTTACTGAGAACTCTTCTTAGTCTAGCATGAAAGGAAGAAACCCCGTTTGCAACGAAGGCCTCAAAGAGGTCCAAATATCCACTTGCAGACATAACAAGCAGAGTGTTTCTAAACTGCTCTAAGAAAAGAAAGGTTAAACTCTGTGAGTTGAAGGCACACATCACAAAGTAGTTTCTGAGAATGATTCTGTCTAGTTTTTATTTGAAGATATTTCCTTTTCTACTGTTGGCATCAAATCGCTTGAAATCTCCACTTGCAAACTCCACAAAAAGAGTGTTTCAAATCTGCTCTGTGTAAAGGGACGTTCCACTCTGTGAGTTGAATACACACAGCACAAAGAAGTTACTGAGAATTCTTCTGTCTAGCATGAAATGAAGAAATCCCGTTTCCAACGAAGGCCTCAATGCGGTCCATATATCCACTTGCAGACTTTACAAACAGAGTGTTTCCAAACTGCTCTATGAAAAGAAAGGTTAAACTATGTGAGTTGAACGCACACATCACAAAGAATTTTCTGAGAATGATTCTGTCTGGTTTTTATTTGAAGATATTTCCCTTTCTACTGTTGGCATCAAATGGCTAGAAATCTCCACTTGCAAATTCCGCAAAAAGAGTGTTTCAAATCTGCTCTGTCTAAAGGGACGTTCCACTCTGTGAGTTGAATGCACACAACACAAAGAATTTACTGAGAATTCTTCTTAGTCTAGCATGAAAGGAAGAAACCCCGTTTGCAACGAAGGCCTCAAAGAGGTCCAAATATCCACTTGCAGACTTTACAAACAGAGTGTTTCCAAACTGCTCTATGAAAAGAAAGGTTAAACTATGTGAGTTGAACGCACACATCACAAAGAATTTTCTGAGAATGATTCTGTCTGGTTATTATACGAAGATATTTCCTTTTCTGCAATTGTCCTCAAATCGCTTGAAATCTCCACCTGAAAATGCCACAGCAAGAGTGTTTCAAATCTGCTCTCTCTAAAGCAAGGTTCAACTCTGTGAGTTGAATACACACAACACAAAAAAGTTACTGAGAACTCTTCTTAGTCTAGCATGAAAGGAAGAAACCCCGTTTGCAACGAAGGCCTCAAAGAGGTCCAAATATCCACTTGCAGACATAACAAGCAGAGTGTTTCTAAACTGCTCTAAGAAAAGAAAGGTTAAACTCTGTGAGTTGAAGGCACACATCACAAAGTAGTTTCTGAGAATGATTCTGTCTAGTTTTTATTTGAAGATATTTCCTTTTCTACTGTTGGCATCAAATCGCTTGAAATCTCCACTTGCAAACTCCACAAAAAGAGTGTTTCAAATCTGCTCTGTGCAAAGGGACGTTCCACTCTGTGAGTTGAATACACACAGCACAAAGAAGTTACTGAGAATTCTTCTGTCTAGCATGAAATGAAGAAATCCCGTTTCCAACGAAGGCCTCAATGCGGTCCATATATCCACTTGCAGACTTTACAAACAGAGTGTTTCCAAACTGCTCTATGAAAAGAAAGGTTAAACTATGTGAGTTGAACGCACACATCACAAAGAATTTTCTGAGAATGATTCTGTCTGGTTTTTATTTGAAGATATTTCCCTTTCTACTGTTGGCATCAAATGGCTAGAAATCTCCACTTGCAAATTCCGCAAAAAGAGTGTTTCAAATCTGCTCTGTCTAAAGGGACGTTCCACTCTGTGAGTTGAATGCACACCACACAAAGAATTTACTGAGAATTCTTCCGTCTAGCATTCAATGAAGAAATCCCGTTTCCAACGAAGGCCTCAAACAGGTCCATATATCCAATTGCAGACTTTACAAACAGTGTGTTTCCAAACTCCTCTATGAAAAGAAAGGTTAAACTCTGTGAGTTGAACGCACACATCACAAAGCACTTTCTGAGAATGATTCTGTCTGGTTGTTATACGAAGATATTTCCTTTTCTGCAATTGTCCTCAAATCGCTTGAAATCTCCACCTGAAAATGCCACAGCAAGAGTGTTTCAAATCTGCTCTCTCTAAAGCAAGGTTCAACTCTGTGAGTTGAATACACACAACACAAAAAAGTTACTGAGAACTCTTCTTAGTCTAGCATGAAAGGAAGAAACCCCGTTTGCAACGAAGGCCTCAAAGAGGTCCAAATATCCACTTGCAGACATAACAAGCAGAGTGTTTCTAAAGTGCTCTAAGAAAAGAAAGGTTAAACTCTGTGAGTTGAAGGCACACATCACAAAGTAGTTTCTGAGAATGATTCTGTCTAGTTTTTATTTGAAGATATTTCCTTTTCTACTGTTGGCATCAAATCGCTTGAAATCTCCACTTGCAAACTCCACAAAAAGAGTGTTTCAAATCTGCTCTGTGTAAAGGGACGTTCCACTCTGTGAGTTGAATACACACAGCACAAAGAAGTTACTGAGAATTCTTCTGTCTAGCATGAAATGAAGAAATCCCGTTTCCAACGAAGGCCTCAATGCGGTCCATATATCCACTTGCAGACTTTACAAACAGAGTGTTTCCAAACTGCTCTATGAAAAGAAAGGTTAAACTATGTGAGTTGAACGCACACATCACAAAGAATTTTCTGAGAATGATTCTGTCTGGTTTTTATTTGAAGATATTTCCCTTTCTACTGTTGGCATCAAATGGCTAGAAATCTCCACTTGCAAATTCCGCAAAAAGAGTGTTTCAAATCTGCTCTGTCTAAAGGGACGTTCCACTCTGTGAGTTGAATGCACACAACACAAAGAATTTACTGAGAATTCTTCCGTCTAGCATTCAATGAAGAAATCCCGTTTCCAACGAAGGCCTCAAACAGGTCCATATATCCAATTGCAGACTTTACAAACAGTGTGTTTCCAAACTCCTCTATGAAAAGAAAGGTTAAACTCTGTGAGTTGAACGCACACATCACAAAGCACTTTCTGAGAATGATTCTGTCTGGTTATTATACGAAGATATTTCCTTTTCTGCAATTGTCCTCAAATCGCTTGAAATCTCCACCTGAAAATGCCACAGCGAGAGTGTTTCAAATCTGCTCTCTCTAAAGCAAGGTTCAACTCTGTGAGTTGAATACACACAACACAAAAAAGTTACTGAGAACTCTTCTTAGTCTAGCATGAAAGGAAGAAACCCCGTTTGCAACGAAGGCCTCAAAGAGGTCCAAATATCCACTTGCAGACATAACAAGCAGAGTGTTTCTAAACTGCTCTCAGAAAAGAAAGGTTAAACTCTGTGAGTTGAAGGCACACATCACAAAGTAGTTTCTGAGAATGATTCTGTCTAGTTTTTATTTGAAGATATTTCCTTTTCTACTGTTGGCATCAAATCGCTTGAAATCTCCACTTGCAAACTCCACAAAAAGAGTGTTTCAAATCTGCTCTGTGCAAAGGGATGTTCCACTCTGTGAGTTGAATACACACAGCACAAAGAAGTTACTGAGAATTCTTCTGTCTAGCATGAAATGAAGAAATCCCGTTTCCAACGAAGGCCTCAATGCGGTCCATATATCCACTTGCAGACTTTACAAACAGAGTGTTTCCAAACTGCTCTATGAAAAGAAAGGTTAAACTATGTGAGTTGAACGCACACATCACAAAGAATTTTCTGAGAATGATTCTGTCTGGTTTTTATTTGAAGATATTTCCCTTTCTACTGTTGGCATCAAATGGCTAGAAATCTCCACTTGCAAATTCCGCAAAAAGAGAGTTTCAAATCTGCTCTGTCTAAAGGGACGTTCCACTCTGTGAGTTGAATGCACACAACACAAAGAATTTACTGAGAATTCTTCCGTCTAGCATTCAATGAAGAAATCCCGTTTCCAACGAAGGCCTCAAACAGGTCCATGTATCCACTTGCAGACTTTACAAACAGTGTGTTTCCAAACTCCTCTATGAAAAGAAAGGTTAAACTCTGTGAGTTGAACGCACACATCACAAAGCACTTTCTGAGAATGATTCTGTCTGGTTATTATACGAAGATATTTCCTTTTCTGCAATTGTCCTCAAATCGCTTGAAATCTCCACCTGAAAATGCCACAGCAAGAGTGTTTCAAATCTGCTCTCTCTAAAGCAAGGTTCAACTCTGTGAGTTGAATACACACAACACAAAAAAGTTACTGAGAACTCTTCTTAGTCTAGCATGAAAGGAAGAAACCCCGTTTGCAACGAAGGCCTCAAAGAGGTCCAAATATCCACTTGCAGACATAACAAGCAGAGTGTTTCTAAACTGCTCTAAGAAAAGAAAGGTTAAACTCTGTGAGTTGAAGGCACACATCACAAAGTAGTTTCTGAGAATGATTCTGTCTAGTTTTTATTTGAAGATATTTCCTTTTCTACTGTTGGCATCAAATCGCTTGAAATCTCCACTTGCAAACTCCACAAAAAGAGTGTTTCAAATCTGCTCTGTGTAAAGGGACGTTCCACTCTGTGAGTTGAATACACACAGCACAAAGAAGTTACTGAGAATTCTTCTGTCTAGCATGAAATGAAGAAATCCCGTTTCCAACGAAGGCCTCAATGCGGTCCATATATCCACTTGCAGACTTTACAAACAGAGTGTTTCCAAACTGCTCTATGAAAAGAAAGGTTAAACTATGTGAGTTGAACGCACACATCACAAAGAATTTTCTGAGAATGATTCTGTCTGGTTTTTATTTGAAGATATTTCCCTTTCTACTGTTGGCATCAAATGGCTAGAAATCTCCACTTGCAAATTCCGCAAAAAGAGTGTTTCAAATCTGCTCTGTCTAAAGGGACGTTCCACTCTGTGAGTTGAATGCACACAACACAAAGAATTTACTGAGAATTCTTCTGTCTAGCAGTCAATGAAGAAATCCCGTTTCCAACGAAGGCCTCAAACAGGTCCATATATCCAATTGCAGACTTTACAAACAGTGTGTTTCCAAACTCCTCTATGAAAAGAAAGGTTAAACTCTGTGAGTTGAACGCACACATCACAAAGAATTTTCTGAGAATGATTCTGTCTGGTTGTTATACGAAGATATTTCCTTTTCTGTAATTGTCCTCAAATCGCTTGAAATCTCCACCTGAAAATGCCACAGCAAGAGTGTTTCAAATCTGCTCTCTCTAAAGCAAGGTTCAACTCTGTGAGTTGAATACACACAACACAAAAAAGTTACTGAGAACTCTTCTTAGTCTAGCATTAAAGGAAGAAACCCCGTTTGCAACGAAGGCCTCAAAGAGGTCCAAATATCCACTTGCAGACATAACAAGCAGAGTGTTTCTAAACTGCTCTAAGAAAAGAAAGGTTAAACTCTGTGAGTTGAAGGCACACATCACAAAGTAGTTTCTGAGAATGATTCTGTCTAGTTTTTATTTGAAGATATTTCATTTTCTACTGTTGGCATCAAATCGCTTGAAATCTCCACTTGCAAACTCCACAAAAAGAGTGTTTCAAATCTGCTCTGTGTAAAGGGACGTTCCACACTGTGAGTTGAATACACACAGCACAAAGAAGTTACTGAGAATTCTTCTGTCTAGCATGAAATGAAGAAATCCCGTTTCCAACGAAGGCCTCAATGCGGTCCATATATCCACTTGCAGACTTTACAAACAGAGTGTTTCCAAACTGCTCTATGAAAAGAAAGGTTAAACTATGTGAGTTGAACGCACACATCACAAAGAATTTTCTGAGAATGATTCTGTCTGGTTTTTATTTGAAGATATTTCCCTTTCTACTGTTGGCATCAAATGGCTAGAAATCTCCACTTGCAAATTCCGCAAAAAGAGTGTTTCAAATCTGCTCTGTCTAAAGGGACGTTCCACTCTGTGAGTTGAATGCACACAACACAAAGAATTTACTGAGAATTCTTCCGTCTAGCATTCAATGAAGAAATCCCGTTTCCAACGAAGGCCTCAAACAGGTCCATATATCCACTTGCAGACTTTACAAACAGTGTGTTTCCAAACTCCTCTATGAAAAGAAAGGTTAAACTCTGTGAGTTGAACGCACACATCACAAAGCACTTTCTGAGAATGATTCTGTCTGGTTATTATACGAAGATATTTCCTTTTCTGCAATTGTCCTCAAATCGCTTGAAATCTCCACCTGAAAATGCCACAGCAAGAGTGTTTCAAATCTGCTCTCTCTAAAGCAAGGTTCAACTCTGTGAGTTGAATACACACAACACAAAAAAGTTACTGAGAACTCTTCTTAGTCTAGCATGAAAAGAAGAAACCCCGTTTGCAACGAAGGCCTCAAAGAGGTCAAAATATCCACTTGCAGACATAACAAGCAGAGTGTTTCTAAACTGCTCTAAGAAAAGAAAGGTTAAACTCTGTGAGTTGAAGGCACACATCACAAAGTAGTTTCTGAGAATGATTCTGTCTAGTTTTTATTTGAAGATATTTCCTTTTCTACTGTTGGCATCAAATCGCTTGAAATCTCCACTTGCAAATTCCACAAAAAGAGTGTTTCAAATCTGCTCTGTGCAAAGGGACGTTCCACTCTGTGAGTTGAATACACACAGCACAAAGAAGTTACTGAGAATTCTTCTGTCTAGCATGAAATGAAGAAATCCCGTTTCCAACGAAGGCCTCAATGCGGTCCATATATCCACTTGCAGACTTTACAAACAGAGTGTTTCCAAACTGCTCTATGAAAAGAAAGGTTAAACTATGTGAGTTGAACGCACACATCACAAAGAATTTTCTGAGAATGATTCTGTCTGGTTTTTATTTGAAGATATTTCCCTTTCTACTGTTGGCATCAAATGGCTAGAAATCTCCACTTGCAAATTCCGCAAAAAGAGTGTTTCAAATCTGCTCTGTCTAAAGGGACGTTCCACTCTGTGAGTTGAATGCACACAACACAAAGAATTTACTGAGAATTCTTCTGTCTAGCATTCAATGAAGAAATCCCGTTTCCAACGAATGCCTCAAAGCGGTCCATATATCCACTTGCAGACTTTACAAACAGTGTGTTTCCAAACTCCTCTATGAAAAGAAAGGTTAAACTCTGTGAGTTGAACGCACACATCACAAAGCACTTTCTGAGAATGATTCTGTCTGGTTATTATACGAAGATATTTCCTTTTCTGCAATTGTCCTCAAATCGCTTGAAATCTCCACCTGAAAATGCCACAGCAAGAGTGTTTCAAATCTGCTCTCTCTAAAGCAAGGTTCAACTCTGTGAGTTGAATACACACAACACAAAAAAGTTACTGAGAACTCTTCTTAGTCTAGCATTAAAGGAAGAAACCCCGTTTGCAACGAAGGCCTCAAAGAGGTCCAAATATCCACTTGCAGACATAACAAGCAGAGTGTTTCTAAACTGCTCTAAGAAAAGAAAGGTTAAACTCTGTGAGTTGAAGGCACACATCACAAAGTAGTTTCTGAGAATGATTCTGTCTAGTTTTTATTTGAAGATATTTCCTTTTCTACTGTTGGCATCAAATCGCTTGAAATCTCCACTTGCAAATTCCACAAAAAGAGTGTTTCAAATCTGCTCTGTGCAAAGGGACGTTCCACTCTGTGAGTTGAATACACACAGCACAAAGAAGTTACTGAGAATTCTTCTGTCTAGCATGAAATGAAGAAATCCCGTTTCCAACGAAGGCCTCAATGCGGTCCATATATCCACTTGCAGACTTTACAAACAGAGTGTTTCCAAACTGCTCTATGAAAAGAAAGGTTAAACTATGTGAGTTGAACGCACACATCACAAAGAATTTTCTGAGAATGATTCTGTCTGGTTTTTATTTGAAAATATTTCCCTTTCTACTGTTGGCATCAAATGGCTAGAAATCTCCACTTGCAAATTCCGCAAAAAGAGTGTTTCAAATCTGCTCTGTCTAAAGGGACGTTCCACTCTGTGAGTTGAATGCACACAACACAAAGAATTTACTGAGAATTCTTCCGTATAGCATTCAATGAAGAAATCCCGTTTCCAACGAAGGCCTCAAACAGGTCCATATATCCACTTGCAGACTTTACAAACAGTGTGTTTCCAAACTCCTCTATGAAAAGAAAGGTTAAACTCTGTGAGTTGAACGCACACATCACAAAGCACTTTCTGAGAATGATTCTGTCTGGTTATTATACGAAGATATTTCCTTTTCTGCAATTGTCCTCAAATCGCTTGAAATCTCCACCTGAAAATGCCACAGCAAGAGTGTTTCAAATCTGCTCTCTCTAAAGCAAGGTTCAACTCTGTGAGTTGAATACACACAACACAAAAAAGTTACTGAGAACTCTTCTTAGTCTAGCATGAAAGGAAGAAACCCCGTTTGCAACGAAGGCCTCAAAGAGGTCCAAATATCCACTTGCAGACATAACAAGCAGAGTGTTTCTAAACTGCTCTAAGAAAAGAAAGGTTAAACTCTGTGAGTTGAAGGCACATATCACAAAGTAGTTTCTGAGAATGATTCTGTCTAGTTTTTATTTGAAGATATTTCCTTTTCTACTGTTGGCATCAAATCGCTTGAAATCTCCACTTGCAAACTCCACAAAAAGAGTGTTTCAAATCTGCTCTGTGTAAAGGGACGTTCCACTCTGTGAGTTGAATACACACAGCACAAAGAAGTTACTGAGAATTCTTCTGTCTAGCATGAAATGAAGAAATCCCGTTTCCAACGAAGGCCTCAATGCGGTCCATATATCCACTTGCAGACTTTACAAACAGAGTGTTTCCAAACTGCTCTATGAAAAGAAAGGTTAAACTATGTGAGTTGAACGCACACATCACAAAGAATTTTCTGAGAATGATTCTGTCTGGTTTTTATTTGAAGATATTTCCCTTTCTACTGTTGGCATCAAATGGCTAGAAATCTCCACTTGCAAATTCCGCAAAAAGAGTGTTTCAAATCTGCTCTGTCTAAAGGGACGTTCCACTCTGTGAGTTGAATGCACACAACACAAAGAATTTACTGAGAATTCTTCCGTCTAGCATTCAATGAAGAAATCCCGTTTCCAACGAAGGCCTCAAACAGGTCCATATATCCACTTGCAGACTTTACAAACAGTGTGTTTCCAAACTCCTCTATGAAAAGAAAGGTTAAACTCTGTGAGTGGAACGCACACATCACAAAGCACTTTCTGAGAATGATTCTGTCTGGTTGTTATACGAAGATATTTCCTTTTCTGTAATTGTCCTCAAATCGCTTGAAATCTCCACCTGAAAATGCCACAGCAAGAGTGTTTCAAATCTGCTCTCTCTAAAGCAAGGTTCAACTCTGTGAGTTGAATACACACAACACAAAAAAGTTACTGAGAACTCTTCTTAGTCTAGCATGAAAGGAAGAAACCCCGTTTGCAACGAAGGCCTCAAAGAGGTCCAAATATCCACTTGCAGACATAACAAGCAGAGTGTTTCTAAACTGCTCTAAGAAAAGAAAGGTTAAACTCTGTGAGTTGAAGGCACACATCACAAAGTAGTTTCTGAGAATGATTCTGTCTAGTTTTTATTTGAAGATATTTCCTTTTCTACTGTTGGCATCAAATCGCTTGAAATCTCCACTTGCAAACTCCACAAAAAGAGTGTTTCAAATCTGCTCTGTGCAAAGGGACGTTCCACTCTGTGAGTTGAATACACACAGCACAAAGAAGTTACTGAGAATTCTTCTGTCTAGCATGAAATGAAGAAATCCCGTTTCCAACGAAGGCCTCAATGCGGTCCATATATCCACTTGCAGACTTTACAAACAGAGTGTTTCCAAACTGCTCTATGAAAAGAAAGGTTAAACTATGTGAGTTGAACGCACACATCACAAAGAATTTTCTGAGAATGATTCTGTCTGGTTTTTATTTGAAGATATTTCCCTTTCTACTGTTGGCATCAAATGGCTAGAAATCTCCACTTGCAAATTCCGCAAAAAGAGTGTTTCAAATCTGCTCTGTCTAAAGGGACGTTCCACTCTGTGAGTTGAATGCACACAACACAAAGAATTTACTGAGAATTCTTCCGTCTAGCATTCAATGAAGAAATCCCGTTTCCAACGAAGGCCTCAAACAGGTCCATATATCCAATTGCAGACTTTACAAACAGTGTGTTTCCAAACTCCTCTATGAAAAGAAAGGTTAAACTCTGTGAGTTGAACGCACACATCACAAAGCACTTTCTGAGAATGATTCTGTCTGGTTATTATACGAAGATATTTCCTTTTCTGCAATTGTCCTTAAATCGCTTGAAATCTCCACGTGAAAATGCCACAGCAAGAGTGTTTCATATCTGCTCTCTCTAAAGCAAGGTTCAACTCTGTGAGTTGAATACACACAACACAAAAAAGTTACTGAGAACTCTTCTTAGTCTAGCATGAAAGGAAGAAACCCCGTTTGCAACGAAGGCCTCAAAGGAGGTCCAAATATCCAGTTGCAGACATAACAAGCAGAGTGTTTCTAAACTGCTCTAAGAAAAGAAAGGTTAAACTCTGTGAGTTGAAGGCACACATCACAAAGTAGTTTCTGAGAATGGTTCTGTCTAGTTTTTATTTGAAGATATTTCCTTTTCTACTGTTGGCATCAAATCGCTTGAAATCTCCACTTGCAAATTCCACAAAAAGAGTGTTTCAAATCTGCTCTGTGCAAACGGACGTTCCAGTCTGTGAGTTGAATACACACAGCACAAAGAAGTTACTGAGAATTCTTCTGTCTAGCATGAAATGAAGAAATCCCGTTTCCAACGAAGGCCTCAATGCGGTCCATATATCCACTTGCAGACTTTACAAACAGAGTGTTTCCAAACTGCTCTATGAAAAGAAAGGTTAAACTATGTGAGTTGAACGCACACATCACAAAGAATTTTCTGAGAATGATTCTGTCTGGTTTTTATTTGAAGATATTTCCCTTTCTACTGTTGGCATCAAATGGCTAGAAATCTCCACTTGCAAATTCCGCAAAAAGAGTGTTTCAAATCTGCTCTGTCTAAAGGGACGTTCCACTCTGTGAGTTGAATGCACACAACACAAAGAATTTACTGAGAATTCTTCCGTCTAGCATTCAATGAAGAAATCCCGTTTCCAACGAAGGCCTCAAACAGGTCCATATATCCACTTGCAGAGTTTACAAACAGTGTGTTTCCAAACTCCTCTATGAAAAGAAAGGTTAAACTCTGTGAGTGGAACGCACACATCACAAAGCACTTTCTGAGAATGATTCTGTCTGGTTATTATACGAAGATATTTCCTTTTCTGCAATTGTCCTCAAATCGCTTGAAATCTCCACCTGAAAATGCCACAGCAAGAGTGTTTCAAATCTGCTCTCTCTAAAGCAAGGTTCAACTCTGTGAGTTGAATACACACAACACAAAAAAGTTACTGAGAACTCTTCTTAGTCTAGCATGAAAGGAAGAAACCCCGTTTGCAACGAAGGCCTCAAAGAGGTCCAAATATCCACTTGCAGACATAACAAGCAGAGTGTTTCTAAACTGCTCTAAGAAAAGAAAGGTTAAACTCTGTGAGTTGAAGGCACACATCACAAAGTAGTTTCTGAGAATGATTCTGTCTAGTTTTTATTTGAAGATATTTCCTTTTCTACTGTTGGCATCAAATCGCTTGAAATCTCCACTTGCAAATTCCACAAAAAGAGTGTTTCAAATCTGCTCTGTGCAAAGGGACGTTCCACTCTGTGACTTGAATACACACAGCACAAAGAAGTTACTGAGAATTCTTCTGTCTAGCATGAAATGAAGAAATCCCGTTTCCAACGAAGGCCTCAATGCGGTCCATATATCCACTTGCAGACTTTACAAACAGAGTGTTTCCAAACTGCTCTATGAAAAGAAAGGTTAAACTATGTGAGTTGAACGCACACATCACAAAGAATTTTCTGAGAATGATTCTGTCTGGTTTTTATTTGAAGATATTTCCCTTTCTACTGTTGGCATCAAATGGCTAGAAATCTCCACTTGCAAATTCCGCAAAAAGAGTGTTTCAAATCTGCTCTGTCTAAAGGGACGTTCCACTCTGTGAGTTGAATGCACACAACACAAAGAATTTACTGAGAATTCTTCCGTCTAGCATTCAATGAAGAAATCCCGTTTCCAACGAAGGCCTCAAACAGGTCCATATATCCACTTGCAGACTTTACAAACAGTGTGTTTCCAAACTCCTCTATGAAAAGAAAGGTTAAACTCTGTGAGTTGAACGCACACATCACAAAGCACTTTCTGAGAATGATTCTGTCTGGTTATTATACGAAGATATTTCCTTTTCTGCAATTGTCCTCAAATCGCTTGAAATCTCCACCTGAAAATGCCACAGCAAGAGTGTTTGAAATCTGCTCTCTCTAAAGCAAGGTTCAACTCTGTGAGTTGAATACACACAACACAAAAAAGTTACTGAGAACTCTTCTTAGTGTAGCATTAAAGGAAGAAACCCCGTTTGCAACGAAGGCCTCAAAGAGGTCCAAATATCCACTTGCAGACATAACAAGCAGAGTGTTTCTAAACTGCTCTAAGAAAAGAAAGGTTAAACTCTGTGAGTTGAAGGCACACATGCTCAAAGTAGTTCCTGAGAATGATTCTGTCTAGTTTTTATTTGAAGATATTTCCTTTTCTACTGTTGGCATCAAATCGCTTGAAATCTCCACTTGCAAACTCCACAAAAGGAGTGTTTCAAATCTGCTCTGTGCAAAGGGACGTTCCACTCTGTGAGTTGAGTACACACAGCACAAAGAAGTTACTGAGAATTCTTCTGTCTAGCATGAAATGAAGAAATCCCGTTTCCAACGAAGGCCTCAATGCGGTCCATATATCCACTTGCAGACTTTACAAACAGAGTGTTTCCAAACTGCTCTATGAAAAGAAAGGTTAAACTATGTGAGTTGAACGCACACATCACAAAGAATTTTCTGAGAATGATTCTGTCTGGTTTTTATTTGAAGATATTTCCCTTTCTACTGTTGGCATCAAATGGCTAGAAATCTCCACTTGCAAATTCCGCAAAAAGAGTGTTTCAAATCTGCTCTGTCTAAAGGGACGTTCCACTCTGTGAGTTGAATGCACACAACACAAAGAATTTACTGAGAATTCTTCCGTCTAGCATGCAATGAAGAAATCCCGTTTCCAACGAAGGCCTCAAACAGGTCCATATATCCAATTGCAGACTTTACAAACAGTGTGTTTCCAAACTCCTCTATGAAAAGAAAGGTTAAACTCTGTGAGTTGAACGCACACATCACAAAGCACTTTCTGAGAATGATTCTGTCTGGTTGTTATACGAAGATATTTCCTTTTCTGCAATTGTCCTCAAATCGCTTGAAATCTCCACCTGAAAATGCCACAGCAAGAGTGTTTCAAATCTGCTCTCTCTAAAGCAAGGTTCAACTCTGTGAGTTGAATACACACAACACAAAAAAGTTACTGAGAACTCTTCTTAGTCTAGCATGAAAGGAAGAAACCCCGTTTGCAACGAAGGCCTCAAAGAGGTCCAAATATCCACTTGCAGACATAACAAGCAGAGTGTTTCTAAACTGCTCTAAGAAAAGAAAGGTTAAACTCTGTGAGTTGAAGGCACACATCACAAAGTAGTTTCTGAGAATGATTCTGTCTAGTTTTTATTTGAAGATATTTCCTTTTCTACTGTTGGCATCAAATCGCTTGAAATCTCCACTTGCAAACTCCACAAAAAGAGTGTTTCAAATCTGCTCTGTGTAAAGGGACGTTCCACTCTGTGAGTTGAATACACACAGCACAAAGAAGTTACTGAGAATTCTTCTGTCTAGCATGAAATGAAGAAATCCCGTTTCCAACGAAGGCCTCAATGCGGTCCATATATCCACTTGCAGACTTTACAAACAGAGTGTTTCCAAACTGCTCTATGAAAAGAAAGGTTAAACTATGTGAGTTGAACGCACACATCACAAAGAATTTTCTGAGAATGATTCTGTCTGGTTTTTATTTGAAGATATTTCCCTTTCTACTGTTGGCATCAAATGGCTAGAAATCTCCACTTGCAAATTCCGCAAAAAGAGTGTTTCAAATCTGCTCTGTCTAAAGGGACGTTCCACTCTGTGAGTTGAATGCACACAACACAAAGAATTTACTGAGAATTCTTCCGTCTAGCATTCAATGAAGAAATCCCGTTTCCAACGAAGGCCTCAAACAGGTCCATATATCCACTTGCAGACTTTACAAACAGTGTGTTTCCAAACTCCTCTATGAAAAGAAAGGTTAAACTCTGTGAGTTGAACGCACACATCACAAAGCACTTTCTGAGAATGATTCTGTCTGGTTATTATACGAAGATATTTCCTTTTCTGCAATTGTCCTCAAATCGCTTGAAATCTCCACCTGAAAATGCCACAGCAAGAGTGTTTCAAATCTGCTCTCTCTAAAGCAAGGTTCAACTCTGTGAGTTGAATACACACAACACAAAAAAGTTACTGAGAACTCTTCTTAGTCTAGCATGAAAGGAAGAAACCCCGTTTGCAACGAAGGCCTCAAAGAGGTCCAAATATCCACTTGCAGACATAACAAGCAGAGTGTTTCTAAACTGCTCTAAGAAAAGAAAGGTTAAACTCTGTGAGTTGAAGGCACACATCACAAAGTAGTTTCTGAGAATGATTCTGTCTAGTTTTTATTTGAAGATATTTCCTTTTCTACTGTTGGCATCAAATCGCTTGAAATCTCCACTTGCAAACTCCACAAAAAGAGTGTTTCAAATCTGCTCTGTGTAAAGGGACGTTCCACTCTGTGAGTTGAATACACACAGCACAAAGAAGTTACTGAGAATTCTTCTGTCTAGCATGAAATGAAGAAATCCCGTTTCCAACGAAGGCCTCAATGCGGTCCATATATCCACTTGCAGACTTTACAAACAGAGTGTTTCCAAACTGCTCTATGAAAAGAAAGGTTAAACTATGTGAGTTGAACGCACACATCACAAAGAATTTTCTGAGAATGATTCTGTCTGGTTTTTATTTGAAGATATTTCCCTTTCTACTGTTGGCATCAAATGGCTAGAAATCTCCACTTGCAAATTCCGCAAAAAGGGTGTTTCAAATCTGCTCTGTCTAAAGGGACGTTCCACTCTGTGAGTTGAATGCACACAACACAAAGAATTTACTGAGAATTCTTCCGTCTAGCATTCAATGAAGAAATCCCGTTTCCAACGAAGGCCTCAAACAGGTCCATATATCCACTTGCAGACTTTACAAACAGTGTGTTTCCAAACTCCTCTATGAAAAGAAAGGTTAAACTCTGTGAGTGGAACGCACACATCACAAAGCACTTTCTGAGAATGATTCTGTCTGGTTATTATACGGAAGATATTTCCTTTTCTGCAATTGTCCTCAAATCGCTTGAAATCTCCACCTGAAAATGCCACAGCAAGAGTGTTTCAAATCTGCTCTCTCTAAAGCAAGGTTCAACTCTGTGAGTTGAATACACACAACACAAAAAAGTTACTGAGAACTCTTCTTAGTCTAGCATGAAAGGAAGAAACCCCGTTTGCAACGAAGGCCTCAAAGAGGTCCAAATATCCACTTGCAGACATAACAAGCAGAGTGTTTCTAAACTGCTCTAAGAAAAGAAAGGTTAAACTCTGTGAGTTGAAGGCACACATCACAAAGTAGTTTCTGAGAATGATTCTGTCTAGTTTTTATTTGAAGATATTTCCTTTTCTACTGTTGGCATCAAATCGCTTGAAATCTCCACTTGCAAACTCCACAAAAAGAGTGTTTCAAATCTGCTCTGTGCAAAGGGACGTTCCACTCTGTGAGTTGAATACACACAGCACAAAGAAGTTACTGAGAATTCTTCTGTCTAGCATGAAATGAAGAAATCCCGTTTCCAACGAAGGCCTCAATGCGGTCCATATATCCACTTGCAGACTTTACAAACAGAGTGTTTCCAAACTGCTCTATGAAAAGAAAGGTTAAACTATGTGAGTTGAACGCACACATCACAAAGAATTTTCTGAGAATGATTCTGTCTGGTTTTTATTTGAAGATATTTCCCTTTCTACTGTTGGCATCAAATGGCTAGAAATCTCCACTTGCAAATTCCGCAAAAAGAGTGTTTCAAATCTGCTCTGTCTAAAGGGACGTTCCACTCTGTGAGTTGAATGCACACAACACAAAGAATTTACTGAGAATTCTTCCGTCTAGCATTCAATGAAGAAATCCCGTTTCCAACGAAGGCCTCAAACAGGTCCATATATCCACTTGCAGACTTTACAAACAGTGTGTTTCCAAACTCCTCTATGAAAAGAAAGGTTAAACTCTGTGAGTGGAACGCACACATCACAAAGCACTTTCTGAGAATGATTCTGTCTGGTTATTATACGAAGATATTTCCTTTTCTGCAATTGTCCTCAAATCGCTTGAAATCTCCACCTGAAAATGCCACAGCAAGAGTGTTTCAAATCTGCTCTCTCTAAAGCAAGGTTCAACTCTGTGAGTTGAATACACACAACACAAAAAAGTTACTGAGAACTCTTCTTAGTCTAGCATGAAAGGAAGAAACCCCGTTTGCAACGAAGGCCTCAAAGAGGTCCAAATATCCACTTGCAGACATAACAAGCAGAGTGTTTCTAACCTGCTCTAAGAAAAGAAAGGTTAAACTCTGTGAGTTGAAGGCACACATCACAAAGTAGTTTCTGAGAATGATTCTGTCTAGTTTTTATTTGAAGATATTTCCTTTTCTACTGTTGGCATCAAATCGCTTGAAATCTCCACTTGCAAACTCCACAAAAAGAGTGTTTCAAATCTGCTCTGTGCAAAGGGACGTTCCACTCTGTGAGTTGAATACACACAGCACAAAGAAGTTACTGAGAATTCTTCTGTCTAGCATGAAATGAAGAAATCCCGTTTCCAACGAAGGCCTCAATGCGGTCCATATATCCACTTGCAGACTTTACAAACAGAGTGTTTCCAAACTGCTCTATGAAAAGAAAGGTTAAACTATGTGAGTTGAACGCACACATCACAAAGAATTTTCTGAGAATGATTCTGTCTGGTTTTTATTTGAAGATATTTCCCTTTCTACTGTTGGCATCAAATGGCTAGAAATCTCCACTTGCAAATTCCGCAAAAAGAGTGTTTCAAATCTGCTCTGTCTAAAGGGACGCTCCACTCTGTCAGTTGAATGCACACAACACAAAGAATTTACTGAGACTTCTTCCGTCTAGCATTCAATGAAGAAATCCCGTTTCCAACGAAGGCCTCAAACAGGTCCATATATCCAATTGCAGACTTTACAAACAGTGTGTTTCCAAACTCCTCTATGAAAAGAAAGGTTAAACTCTGTGAGTTGAACGCACACATCACAAAGCACTTTCTGAGAATGATTCTGTCTGGTTATTATACGAAGATATTTCCTTTTCTGCAATTGTCCTCAAATCGCTTGAAATCTCCACCTGAAAATGCCACAGCAAGAGTGTTTCAAATCTGCTCTCTCTAAAGCAAGGTTCAACTCTGTGAGTTGAATACACACAACACAAAAAAGTTACTGAGAACTCTTCTTAGTCTAGCATGAAAGGAAGAAACCCCGTTTGCAACGAAGGCCTCAAAGAGGTCCAAATATCCACTTGCAGACATAACAAGCAGAGTGTTTCTAAACTGCTCTAAGAAAAGAAAGGTTAAACTCTGTGAGTTGAAGGCAGACATCACAAAGTAGTTTCTGAGAATGATTCTGTCTAGTTTTTATTTGAAGATATTTCCTTTTCTACTGTTGGCATCAAATCGCTTGAAATCTCCACTTGCAAACTCCACAAAAAGAGTGTTTCAAATCTGCTCTGTGTAAAGGGACGTTCCACTCTGTGAGTTGAATACACACAGCACAAAGAAGTTACTGAGAATTCTTCTGTCTAGCATGAAATGAAGAAATCCCGTTTCCAACGAAGGCCTCAATGCGGTCCATATATCCACTTGCAGACTTTACAGAGTGTTTCCAAACTGCTCTATGAAAAGAAAGGTTAAACTATGTGAGTTGAACGCACACATCACAAAGAATTTTCTGAGAATGATTCTGTCTGGTTTTTATTTGAAGATATTTCCCTTTCTACTGTTGGCATCAAATGGCTAGAAATCTCCACTTGCAAATTCCGCAAAAAGAGTGTTTCAAATCTGCTCTGTCTAAAGGGACGTTCCACTCTGTGAGTTGAATGCACACCACACAAAGAATTTACTGAGAATTCTTCCGTCTAGCATTCAATGAAGAAATCCCGTTTCCAACGAAGGCCTCAAACAGGTCCATATATCCAATTGCAGACTTTACAAACAGTGTGTTTCCAAACTCCTCTATGAAAAGAAAGGTTAAACTCTGTGAGTTGAACGCACACATCACAAAGCACTTTCTGAGAATGATTCTGTCTGGTTGTTATACGAAGATATTTCCTTTTCTGCAATTGTCCTCAAATCGCTTGAAATCTCCACCTGAAAATGCCACAGCAAGAGTGTTTCAAATCTGCTTTCTCTAAAGCAAGGTTCAACTCTGTGAGTTGAATACACACAACACAAAAAAGTTACTGAGAACTCTTCTTAGTCTAGCATTAAAGGAAGAAACCCCGTTTGCAACGAAGGCCTCAAAGAGGTCCAAATATCCACTTGCAGACATAACAAGCAGAGTGTTTCTAAACTGCTCTAAGAAAAGAAAGGTTAAACTCTGTGAGTTGAAGGCACACATCACAAAGTAGTTTCTGAGAATGATTCTGTCTAGTTTTTATTTGAAGATATTTCCTTTTCTACTGTTGGCATCAAATCACTTGAAATCTCCACTTGCAAACTCCACAAAAAGAGTGTTTCAAATCTGCTCTGTGCAAAGGGACGTTCCACTCTGTGAGTTGAATACACACAGCACAAAGAAGTTACTGAGAATTCTTCTGTCTAGCATGAAATGAAGAAATCCCGTTTCCAACGAAGGCCTCAATACGGTCCATATATCCATTTGCAGACTTTACAAACAGAGTGTTTCCAAACTGCTCTATGAAAAGAAAGGTTAAACTATGTGAGTTGAACGCACACATCACAAAGAATTTTCTGAGAATGATTCTGTCTGGTTTTTATTTGAAGATATTTCCCTTTCTACTGTTGGCATCAAATGGCTAGAAATCTCCACTTGCAAATTCCGCAAAAAGAGTGTTTCAAATCTGCTCTGTCTAAAGGGACGTTCCACTCTGTGAGTTGAATGCACACAACACAAAGAATTTACTGAGAATTCTTCCGTCTAGCAGTCAATGAAGAAATCCCGTTTCCAACGAAGGCCTCAAACAGGTCCATATATCCAATTGCAGACTTTACAAACAGTGTGTTTCCAAACTCCTCTATGAAAAGAAAGGTTAAACTCTGTGAGTTGAACGCACACATCACAAAGCACTCTCTGAGAATGATTCTGTCTGGTTGTTATAGGAAGATATTTCCTTTTCTGCAATTGTCCTCAAATCGCTTGAAATCTCCACCTGAAAATGCCACAGCAAGAGTGTTTCAAATCTGCTCTCTCTAAAGCAAGGTTCAACTCTGTGAGTTGAATACACACAACACAAAAAAGTTACTGAGAACTCTTCTTAGTCTAGCATGAAAGGAAGAAACCCCGTTTGCAACGAAGGCCTCAAAGAGGTCCAAATATCCACTTGCAGACATAACAAGCAGAGTGTTTCTAAACTGCTCTAAGAAAAGAAAGGTTAAACTCTGTGAGTTGAAGGCACACATCACAAAGTAGTTTCTGAGAATGATTCTGTCTAGTTTTTATTTGAAGATATTTCCTTTTCTACTGTTGGCATCAAATCGCTTGAAATCTCCACTTGCAAACTCCACAAAAAGAGTGTTTCAAATCTTCTCTGTGTAAAGGGACGTTCCACTCTGTGAGTTGAATACACACAGCACAAAGAAGTTACTGAGAATTCTTCTGTCTAGCATGAAATGAAGAAATCCCGTTTCCAACGAAGGCCTCAATGCGGTCCATATATCCACTTGCAGACTTTACAAACAGAGTGTTTCCAAACTGCTCTATGAAAAGAAAGGTTAAACTATGTGAGTTGAACGCACACATCACAAAGAATTTTCTGAGAATGATTCTGTCTGGTTTTTATTTGAAGATATTTCCCTTTCTACTGTTGGCATCAAATGGCTAGAAATCTCCACTTGCAAATTCCGCAAAAAGAGTGTTTCAAATCTGCTCTGTCTAAAGGGACGTTCCACTCTGTGAGTTGAATGCACACAACACAAAGAATTTACTGAGAATTCTTCCGTCTAGCATTCAATGAAGAAATCCCGTTTCCAACGAAGGCCTCAAACAGGTCCATATATCCACTTGCAGACTTTACAAACAGTGTGTTTCCAAACTCCTCTATGAAAAGAAAGGTTAAACTCTGTGAGTTGAACGCACACATCACAAAGCACTTTCTGAGAATGATTCTGTCTGGTTATTATACGAAGATATTTCCTTTTCTGCAATTGTCCTCAAATCGCTTGAAATCTCCACCTGAAAATGCCACAGCAAGAGTGTTTCAAATCTGCTCTCTCTAAAGCAAGGTTCAACTCTGTGAGTTGAATACACACAACACAAAAAAGTTACTGAGAACTCTTCTTAGTCTAGCATGAAAGGAAGAAACCCCGTTTGCAACGAAGGCCTCAAAGAGGTCCAAATATCCACTTGCAGACATAACAAGCAGAGTGTTTCTAAACTGCTCTATGAAAAGAAAGGTTAAACTCTGTGAGTTGAAGGCACACATCACAAAGTAGTTTCTGAGAATGATTCTGTCTAGTTTTTATTTGAAGATATTTCCTTTTCTACTGTTGGCATCAAATCGCTTGAAATCTCCACTTGCAAACTCCACAAAAAGAGTGTTTCAAATCTGCTCTGTGTAAAGGGACGTTCCACTCTGTGAGTTGAATACACACAGCACAAAGAAGTTACTGAGAATTCTTCTGTCTAGCATGAAATGAAGAAATCCCGTTTCCAACGAAGGCCTCAATGCGGTCCATAGATCCACTTGCAGACTTTACAAACAGAGTGTTTCCAAACTGCTCTATGAAAAGAAAGGTTAAACTATGTGAGTTGAACGCACACATCACAAAGAATTTTCTGAGAATGATTCTGTCTGGTTTTTATTTGAAGATATTTCCCTTTCTACTGTTGGCATCAAATGGCTAGAAATCTCCACTTGCAAATTCCGCAAAAAGAGTGTTTCAAATCTGCTCTGTCTAAAGGGACGTTCCACTCTGTGAGTTGAATGCACACAACACAAAGAATTTACTGAGAATTCTTCCGTCTAGCATTCAATGAAGAAATGCCGTTTCCAACGAAGGCCTCAAACAGGTCCATATATCCACTTGCAGACTTTACAAACAGTGTGTTTCCAAACTCCTCTATGAAAAGAAAGGTTCAACTCTGTGAGTTGAACGAACACATCACAAAGCACTTTCTGAGAATGATTCTGTCTGGTTGTTATACGAAGATATTTCCTTTTCTGCAATTGTCCTCAAATCGCTTGAAATCTCCACCTGAAAATGCCACAGCAAGAGTGTTTCAAATCTGCTCTCTCTAAAGCAAGGTTCAACTCTGTGAGTTGAATACACACAACACAAAAAAGTTACTGAGAACTCTTCTTAGTCTAGCATGAAAGGAAGAAACGCCGTTTGCAACGAAGGCCTCAAAGAGGTCCAAATATCCACTTGCAGACATAACAAGCAGAGTGTTTCTAAACTGCTCTAAGAAAAGAAAGGTTAAACTCTGTGAGTTGAAGGCACACATCACAAAGTAGTTTCTGAGAATGATTCTGTCTAGTTTTTATTTGAAGATATTTCCTTTTCTACTGTTGGCATCAAATCGCTTGAAATCTCCACTTGCAAACTCCACAAAAAGAGTGTTTCAAATCTGCTCTGTGCAAAGGGACGTTCCACTCTGTGAGTTGAATACACACAGCACAAAGAAGTTACTGAGAATTCTTCTGTCTAGCATGAAATGAAGAAATCCCGTTTCCAACGAAGGCCTCAATGCGGTCCATATATCCACTTGCAGACTTTACAAACAGAGTGTTTCCAAACTGCTCTATGAAAAGAAAGGTTAAACTATGTGAGTTGAACGCACACATCACAAAGAATTTTCTGAGAATGATTCTGTCTGGTTTTTATTTGAAGATATTTCCCTTTCTACTGTTGGCATCAAATGGCTAAAAATCTCCACTTGCAAATTCCGCAAAAAGAGTGTTTCAAATCTGCTCTGTGTAAAGGGACGTTCCACTCTGTGAGTTCAATGCACACAACACAAAGAATTTACTGAGAATTCTTCCGTCTAGCATTCAATGAAGAAATCCCGTTTCCAACGAAGGCCTCAAACAGGTCCCTATATCCAATTGCAGACTTTACAAACAGTGTGTTTCCAAACTCCTCTATGAAAAGAAAGGTTAAACTCTGTGAGTTGAACGCACACATCACAAAGCACTTTCTGAGGATGATTCTGTCTGCTTATTATACGAAGATATTTCCTTTTCTGCAATTGTCCTCAAATCGATTGAAATCTCAACCTGAAAATGCCACAGCAAGAGTGTCTCAAATCTGCTCTCTCTAAAGCAAGGTTCAACTCTGTGAGTTGAATACACACAACACAAAAAAGTTACTGAGAACTCTTCTTAGTCTAGCATGAAAGGAAGAAACCCCGTTTGCAACGAAGGCCTCAAAGAGGTCCAAATATCCACTTGCAGACATAACAAGCAGAGTGTTTCTAAACTGCTCTAAGAAAAGAAAGGTTAAACTCTGTGAGTTGAAGGCACACATCACAAAGTAGTTTCTGAGAATGATTCTGTCTAGTTTTTATTTGAAGATATTTCCTTTTCTACTGTTGGCATCAAATCGCTTGAAATCTCCACTTGCAAATTCCAAAAAAAGAGTGTTTCAAATCTGCTCTGTGCAAAGGGACGTTCCACTCTGTGAGTTGAATACACACAGCACAAAGAAGTTACTGAGAATTCTTCTGTCTAGCATGAAATGAAGAAATCCCGTTTCCAACGAAGGCCTCAATGCGGTCCATATATCCACTTGCAGACTTTACAAACAGAGTGTTTCCAAACTGCTCTATGAAAAGAAAGGTTAAACTATGTGAGTTGAACGCACACATCACAAAGAATTTTCTGAGAATGATTCTGTCTGGTTTTTATTTGAAGATATTTCCCTTTCTACTGTTGGCATCAAATGGCTAGAAATCTCCACTTGCAAATTCCGTAAAAAGAGTGTTTCAAATCTGCTCTGTCTAAAGGGACGTTCCACTCTGTGAGTTGAATGCACACAACACAAAGAATTTACTGAGAATTCTTCCGTCTAGCATTCAATGAAGAAATCCCGTTTCCAACGAAGGCCTCAAACAGGTCCATATATCCACTTGCAGACTTTACAAACAGTGTGTTTCCAAACTCCTCTATGAAAAGAAAGGTTAAACTCTGTGAGTGGAACGCACACATCACAAAGCACTTTCTGAGAATGATTCTGTCTGGTTATTATACGAAGATATTTCCTTTTCTGCAATTGTCCTCAAATCGCTTGAAATCTCCACCTGAAAATGCCACAGCAAGAGTGTTTCAAATCTGCTCTCTCTAAAGCAAGGTTCAACTCTGTGAGTTGAATACACACAACACAAAAAAGTTACTGAGAACTCTTCTTAGTCTAGCATGAAAGGAAGAAACCCCGTTTGCAACGAAGGCCTCAAAGAGGTCCAAATATCCACTTGCAGACATAACAAGCAGAGTGTTTCTAAACTGCTCTAAGAAAAGAAAGGTTAAACTCTGTGAGTTGAAGGCACACATCACAAAGTAGTTTCTGAGAATGATTCTGTCTAGTTTTTATTTGAAGATATTTCATTTTCTACTGTTGGCATCAAATCGCTTGAAATCTCCACTTGCAAACTCCACAAAAAGAGTGTTTCAAATCTGCTCTGTGTAAAGGGACGTTCCACTCTGTGAGTTGAATACACACAGCACAAAGAAGTTACTGAGAATTCTTCTGTCTAGCATGAAATGAAGAAATCCCGTTTCCAACGAAGGCCTCAATGCGGTCCATATATCCACTTGCAGACTTTACAAACAGAGTGTTTCCAAACTGCTCTATGAAAAGAAAGGTTAAACTATGTGAGTTGAACGCACACATCACAAAGAATTTTCTGAGAATGATTCTGTCTGGTTTTTATTTGAAGATATTTCCCTTTCTACTGTTGGCATCAAATGGCTAGAAATCTCCACTTGCAAATTCCGCAAAAATAGTGTTTCAAATCTGCTCTGTCTAAAGGGACGTTCCACTCTGTGAGTTGAATGCACACCACACAAAGAATTTACTGAGAATTCTTCCGTCTAGCATTCAATGAAGAAATCCCGTTTCCAACGAAGGCCTCAAACAGGTCCATATATCCAATTGCAGACTTTACAAACAGTGTGTTTCCAAACTCCTCTATGAAAAGAAAGGTTAAACTCTGTGAGTTGAACGCACACATCACAAAGCACTTTCTGAGAATGATTCTGTCTGGTTGTTATACGAAGATATTTCCTTTTCTGCAATTGTCCTCAAATCGCTTGAAATCTCCACCTGAAAATGCCACAGCAAGAGTGTTTCAAATCTGCTCTCTCTAAAGCAAGGTTCAGCTCTGTGAGTTGAATACACACAACACAAAAAAGTTACTGAGAACTCTTCTTAGTCTAGCATGAAAGGAAGAAACCCCGTTTGCAACGAAGGCCTCAAAGAGGTCCAAATATCCACTTGCAGACATAACAAGCAGAGTGTTTCTAAACTGCTCTAAGAAAAGAAAAGGTTAAACTCTGTGAGTTGAAGGCACACATCACAAAGTAGTTTCTGAGAATGATTCTGTCTAGTTTTTATTTGAAGATATTTCCTTTTCTACTGTTGGCATCAAATCGCTTGAAATCTCCACTTGCAAATTCCACAAAAAGAGTGTTTCAAATCTGCTCTGTGCAAAGGGACGTTCCACTCTGTGAGTTGAATACACACAGCACAAAGAAGTTACTGAGAATTCTTCTGTCTAGCATGAAATGAAGAAATCCCGTTTCCAACGAAGGCCTCAAAGCGGTCCATATATCTACTTGCAGACTTTACAAACAGAGTGTTTCCAAACTGCTCTATGAAAAGAAAGGTTAAACTATGTGAGTTGAACGCACACATCACAAAGAATTTTCTGAGAATGATTCTGCCTAGTTTTTATTTGAAGATATTTCCCTTTCTATTGTTGGCATCAAATGGCTTGAAATCTCCACTTCCAAATTTCGCAAAAAGAGTGTTTCAAATCTGGTCTGTCTAAAGGGACGTTCCACTCGGTGAGTTGAATGCACACAACACAAAGAATTTACTGAGAATTCTTCCGTCTAGCATTCAATGAAGAAATCCCGTTTCCAACGAAGGCCTCAAACAGGTCCATATATCCACATGCAGACTTTACAAACAGTGTGTTTCCAAACTCCTCTATGAAAAGAAAGGTTAAACTCTGTGAGTTGAACGCACACATCACAAAGCACTTTCTGAGAATGATTCTGTCTGGTTATTATACGAAGATATTTCCTTTTCTGCAATTGTCCTCAAATCGCTTGAAATCTCCACCTGAAAATGCCACAGCAAGAGTGTTTCAAATCTGCTCTCTCTAAAGCAAGGTTCAACTCTGTGAGTTGAATACACACAACACAAAAAAGTTACTGAGAACTCTTCTTAGTCTAGCATGAAAGGAAGAAACCCCGTTTGCAACGAAGGCCTCAAAGAGGTCCAAATATCCACTTGCAGACATAACAAGCAGAGTGTTTCTAAACTGCTCTAAGAAAAGAAAGGTAAAACTCTGTGAGTTGAAGGCACACATCACAAAGTAGTTTCTGAGAATGATTCTGTCTAGTTTTTATTTGAAGATATTTCCTTTTCTACTGTTGGCATCAAATCGCTTGAAATCTCCACTTGCAAACTCCACAAAAAGAGTGTTTCAAATCTGCTCTGTGCAAAGGGACGTTCCACTCTGTGAGTTGAATACACACAGCACAAAGAAGTTACTGAGAATTCTTCTGTCTAGCATGAAATGAAGAAATCCCGTTTCCAACGAAGGCCTCAATGCGGTCCATATATCCACTTGCAGACTTTACAAACAGAGTGTTTCCAAACTGCTCTATGAAAAGAAAGGTTAAACTATGTGAGTTGAACGCACACATCACAAAGAATTTTCTGAGAATGATTCTGTCTGGTTTTTATTTGAAGATATTTCCCTTTCTACTGTTGGCATCAAATTGCTAGAAATCTCCACTTGCAAATTCCGTAAAAAGAGTGTTTCAAATCTGCTCTGTCTAAAGGGACGTTCCACTCTGTGAGTTGAATGCACACAACACAAAGAATTTACTGAGAATTCTTCCGTCTAGCATTCAATGAAGAAATCCCGTTTCCAACGAAGGCCTCAAAGAGGTCCATATATCCACTTGCAGACTTTACAAACAGTGTGTTTCCAAACTCCTCTATGAAAAGAAAGGTTAAACTCTGTGAGTGGAACGCACACATCACAAAGCACTTTCTGAGAATGATTCTGTCTGGTTATTATACGAAGATATTTCCTTTTCTGCAATTGTCCTCAAAACGCTTGAAATCTCCACCTGAAAATGCCACAGCAAGAGTGTTTCAAATCTGCTCTCTCTAAAGCAAGGTTCAACTCTGTGAGTTGAATACACACAACACAAAAAAGTTACTGAGAACTCTTCTTAGTCTAGCATGAAAGGAAGAAACCCCGTTTGCAACGAAGGCCTCAAAGAGGTCCAAATATCCACTTGCAGACATAACAAGCAGAGTGTTTCTAAACTGCTCTAAGAAAAGAAAGGTTGAACTCTGTGAGTTGAAGGCACACATCACAAAGTAGTTTCTGAGAATGATTCTGTCTAGTTTTTATTTGAAGATATTTCCTTTTCTACTGTTGGCATCAAATCGCTTGAAATCTCCACTTGCAAACTCCACAAAAAGAGTGTTTCAAATCTGCTCTGTGCAAAGGGACGTTCCACTCTGTGAGTTGAATACACACAGCACAAAGAAGTTACTGAGAATTCTTCTGTCTAGCATGAAATGAAGAAATCCCGTTTCCAACGAAGGCCTCAATGCGGTCCATATATCCACTTGCAGACTTTACAAACAGAGTGTTTCCAAACTGCTCTATGAAAAGAAAGGTTAAACTATGTGAGTTGAACGCACACATCACAAAGAATTTTCTGAGAATGATTCTGTCTGGTTTTTATTTGAAGATATTTCCCTTTCTACTGTTGGCATCAAATGGCTAGAAATCTCCACTTGCAAATTCCGCAAAAAGAGTGTTTCAAATCTGCTCTGTCTAAAGGGACGTTCCACTCTGTGAGTTGAATGCACACCACACAAAGAATTTACTGAGAATTCTTCCGTCTAGCATTCAATGAAGAAATCCCGTTTCCAACGAAGGCCTCAAACAGGTCCATATATCCAATTGCAGACTTTACAAACAGAGTGTTTCCAAACTCCTCTATGAAAAGAAAGGTTAAACTCTGTGAGTTGAACGCACACATCACAAAGCACTTTCTGAGAATGATTCTGTCTGGTTGTTATACGAAGATATTTCCTTTTCTGCAATTGTCCTCAAATCGCTTGAAATCTCCACCTGAAAATGCCACAGCAAGAGTGTTTCAAATCTGCTCTCTCTAAAGCAAGGTTCAACTCTGTGAGTTGAATACACACAACACAAAAAAGTTACTGAGAACTCTTCTTAGTCTAGCATTAAAGGAAGAAACCCCGTTTGCAACGAAGGCCTCAAAGAGGTCCAAATATCCACTTGCAGACATAACAAGCAGAGTGTTTCTAAACTGCTCTAAGAAAAGAAAGGTTAAACTCTGTGAGTTGAAGGCACACATCACAAAGTAGTTTCTGAGAATGATTCTGTCTAGTTTTTATTTGAAGATATTTCCTTTTCTACTGTTGGCATCAAATCGCTTGAAATCTCCACTTGCAAACTCCACAAAAAGAGTGTTTCAAATCTGCTCTGTGCAAAGGGACGTTCCACTCTGTGAGTTGAATACACACAGCACAAAGAAGTTACTGAGAATTCTTCTGTCTAGCATGAAATGAAGAAATCCCGTTTCCAACGAAGGCCTCAATGCGGTCCATATATCCACTTGCAGACTTTACAAACAGAGTGTTTCCAAACTGCTCTATGAAAAGAAAGGTTAAACTATGTGAGTTGAACGCACACATCACAAAGAATTTTCTGAGAATGATTCTGTCTGGTTTTTATTTGAAGATATTTCCCTTTCTACTGTTGGCATCAAATGGCTAGAAATCTCCACTTGCAAATTCCGCAAAAAGAGTGTTTCAAATCTGCTCTGTCTAAAGGGACGTTCCACTCTGTGAGTTGAATGCACACAACACAAAGAATTTACTGAGAATTCTTCCGTCTAGCATTCAATGAAGAAATCCCGTTTCCAACGAAGGCCTCAAACACGTCCATATATCCACTTGCAGACTTTACAAACAGTGTGTTTCCAAACTCCTCTATGAAAAGAAAGGTTAAACTCTGTGAGTTGAACGCACACATCACAAAGCACTTTCTGAGAATGATTCTGTCTGGTTGTTATACGAAGATATTTCCTTTTCTGCAATTGTCCTCAAATCGCTTGAAATCTCCACCTGAAAATGCCACAGCAAGAGTGTTTCAAATCTGCTCTCTCTAAAGCAAGGTTCAGCTGCTGTGAGTTGAATACACACAACACAAAAAAGTTACTGAGAACTCTTCTTAGTCTAGCATGAAAGGAAGAAACCCCGTTTGCAACGAAGGCCTCAAAGAGGTCCAAATATCCACTTGCAGACATAACAAGCAGAGTGTTTCTAAACTGCTCTAAGAAAAGAAAGGTTAAACTCTGTGAGTTGAAGGCAGACATCACAAAGTAGTTTCTGAGAATGATTTCTGTCCATTTTTATTTGAAGATATTTCCTTTTCTACTGTTGGCATCAAATCGCTTGAAATCTCCACTTGCAAACTCCACAAAAAGAGTGTTTCAAATCTGCTCTGTGTAAAGGGACGTTCCACTCTGTGAGTTGAATACACACAGCACAAAGAAGTTACTGAGAATTCTTCTGTCTAGCATGAAATGAAGAAATCCCGTTTCCAACGAAGGCCTCAATGCGGTCCATATATCCACTTGCAGACTTTACAAACAGAGTGTTTCCAAACTGCTCTATGAAAAGAAAGGTTAAACTATGTGAGTTGAACGCACACATCACAAAGAATTTTCTGAGAATGATTCTGTCTGGTTTTTATTTGAAGATATTTCCCTTTCTACTGTTGGCATCAAATGGCTAGAAATCTCCACTTGCAAATTCCGCAAAAAGAGTGTTTCAAATCTGCTCTGTCTAAAGGGACGTTCCACTCTGTGAGTTGAATGCACACAACACAAAGAATTTACTGAGAATTCTTCCGTCTAGCATTCAATGAAGAAATCCCGTTTCCAACGAAGGCCTCAAACAGGTCCATATATCCACTTGCAGACTTTACAAACAGTGTGTTTCCAAACTCCTCTATGAAAAGAAAGGTTAAACTCTGTGAGTTGAACGCACACATCACAAAGCACTTTCTGAGAATGATTCTGTCTGGTTATTATACGAAGATATTTCCTTTTCTGCAATTGTCCTCAAATCGCTTGAAATCTCCACCTGAAAATGCCACAGCAAGAGTGTTTCAAATCTGCTCTCTCTAAAGCAAGGTTCAACTCTGTGAGTTGAATACACACAACACAAAAAAGTTACTGAGAACTCTTCTTAGTCTAGCATGAAAGGAAGAAACCCCGTTTGCAACGAAGGCCTCAAAGAGGTCCAAATATCCACTTGCAGACATAACAAGCAGAGTGTTTCTAAACTGCTCTAAGAAAAGAAAGGTTAAACTCTGTGAGTTGAAGGCACACATCACAAAGTAGTTTCTGAGAACGATTCTGTCTAGTTTTTATTTGAAGATATTTCCTTTTCTACTGTTGGCATCAAATCGCTTGAAATCTCCACTTGCAAACTCCACAAAAAGAGTGTTTCAAATCTGCTCTGTGTAAAGGGACGTTCCACTCTGTGAGTTGAATACACACAGCACAAAGAAGTTACTGAGAATTCTTCTGTCTAGCATGAAATGAAGAAATCCCGTTTCCAACGAAGGCCTCAATGCGGTCCATATATCCACTTGCAGACTTTACAAACAGAGTGTTTCCAAACTGCTCTATGAAAAGAAAGGTAAAACTATGTGAGTTGAACGCACACATCACAAAGAATTTTGTGAGAATGATTCTGTCTGGTTTTTATTTGAAGATATTTCCCTTTCTACTGTTGGCATCAAATGGCTAGAAATCTCCACTTGCAAATTCCGCAAAAAGAGTGTTTCAAATCTGCTCTGTCTAAAGGGACGTTCCACTCTGTGAGTTGAATGCACACAACACAAAGAATTTACTGAGAATTCTTCCGTCTAGCATTCAATGAAGAAATCCCGTTTCCAACGAAGGCCTCAAACAGGTCCATATATCCACTTGCAGACTTTACAAACAGTGTGTTTCCAAACTCCTCTATGAAAAGAAAGGTTAAACTCTGTGAGTTGAACGCACACATCACAAAGCACTTTCTGAAAATGATTCTGTCTGGTTATTATACGAAGATATTTCCTTTTCTGCAATTGTCCTCAAATCGCTTGAAATCTCCACCTGAAAATGCCACAGCAAGAGTGTTTCAAATCTGCTCTCTCTAAAGCAAGGTTCAACTCTGTGAGTTGAATACACACAACACAAAAAAGTTACTGAGAACTCTTCTTAGTCTAGCATGAAAGGAAGAAACCCCGTTTGCAACGAAGGCCTCAAAGAGGTCCAAATATCCACTTGCAGACATAACAAGCAGAGTGTTTCTAAACTGCTCTAAGAAAAGAAAGGTTAAACTCTGTGAGTTGAAGGCAGACATCACAAAGTAGTTTCTGAGAATGATTCTGTGCTAGTTTTTATTTGAAGATACTTCCTTTTCTACTGTTGGCATCAAATCGCTTGAAATCTCCACTTGCAAACTCCACAAAAAGAGTGTTTCAAATCTGCTCTGTGCAAAGGGACGTTCCACTCTGTGAGTTGAATACACACAGCACAAAGAAGTTACTGAGAATTCTTCTGTCTAGCATGAAATGAAGAAATCCCGTTTCCAACGAAGGCCTCAATGCGGTCCATATATCCACTTGCAGACTTTACAAACAGAGTGTTTCCAAACTGCTCTATGAAAAGAAAGGTTAAACTATGTGAGTTGAACGCACACATCACAAAGAATTTTCTGAGAATGATTCTGTCTGGTTTTTATTTGAAGATATTTCCCTTTCTACTGTTGGCATCAAATGGCTAGAAATCTCCACTTGCAAATTCCGCAAAAAGAGTGTTTCAAATCTGCTCTGTCTAAAGGGACGTTCCATTCTGTCAGTTGAATGCACACAACGCAAAGAATTTACTGAGAATTCTTCCGTCTAGCATTATATGATAAAATCCCGTTTCCAACGAAGGCCTCAGACAGGTCCATATATCCAATTGCAGACTTTACAAACAGTGTGCTTCCAAACTCCTCTATGAAAGGAAAGGTTAAACTCTGTGAGTTGAACGCACACATCACAAAGCACTTTCTGAGAATGATTCTGTCTGGTTATTATACGAAGATATTTCCTTTTCTACAATTGTCCTCAAATCGCTTGAAATCTCCACCTGAAAATGCCACAGCAAGAGTGTTTCAAATCTGCTCTCTCTAAAGCAAGGTTCAACTCTGTGTGTTGAATACACACAACACAAAAAAGTTACTGAGAACTCTTCTTAGTCTAGCATTAAAGGAAGAAACCCCGTTTGCAACGAAGGCCTCAAAGAGGTCCAAATATCCACTTGCAGACATAACAAGCAGAGCGTTTCTAAACTGCTCTAAGAAAAGAAAGGTTAAACTCTGTGAGTTGAAGGCACACATCACAAAGTAGTTTCTGAGAATGATTCTGTCTAGTTTTTATTTGAAGATATTTCCTTTTCTACTGCTGGCATCAAATCGCTTGAAATCTCCACTTGCAAACTCCACAAAAAGAGTGTTTCAAATCTGCTCTGTGTAAAGGGACGTTCCACTCTGTGAGTTGAATACACACAGCACAAAGAAGTTACTGAGAATTCTTCTGTCTAGCATGAAATGAAGAAATCCCGTTTCCAACGAAGGCCTCAATGCGGTCCATATATCCACTTGCAGACTTTACAAACAGAGTGTTTCCAAACTGCTCTATGAAAAGAAAGGTTAAACTATGTGAGTTGAACGCACACATCACAAAGAATTTTCTGAGAATGATTCTGTCTGGTTTTTATTTGAAGATATTTCCCTTTCTACTGTTGGCATCAAATGGCTAGAAATCTCCACTTGCAAATTCCGCAAAAAGAGTGTTTCAAATCTGCTCTGTCTAAAGGGACGTTCCACTCTGTGAGTTGAATGCACACAACACAAAGAATTTACTGAGAATTCTTCCGTCTAGCATTCAATGAAGAAACCCCTTTTACAACGAAGGCCTCAAACAGGTCCATATATCCAATTGCAGACTTTACAAACAGTGTGTTTCCAAACTCCTCTATGAAAAGAAAGGTTAAACTCTGTGAGTTGAACGCACACATCACAAAGCACTTTCTGAGAATGATTCTGTCTGGTTGTTATACGAAGATATTTCCTTTTCTGCAATTGTCCTCAAATCGCTTGAAATCTCCACCTGAAAATGCCACAGCAAGAGTGTTTCAAATCTGCTCTCTCTAAAGCAAGGTTCAACTCTGTGAGTTGAATACACACAACACAAAAAAGTTACTGAGAACTCTTCTTAGTCTAGCATTAAAGGAAGAAACCCCGTTTGCAACGAAGGCCTCAAAGAGGTCCAAATATCCACTTGCAGACATAACAAGCAGAGTGTTTCTAAACTGCTCTAAGAAAAGAAAGGTTAAACTCTGTGAGTTGAAGGCACACATCACAAAGTAGTTTCTGAGAATGATT
The DNA here is from genome assembly GCF_000001405.40 of Homo sapiens. NCBI lineage: Eukaryota > Metazoa > Chordata > Mammalia > Primates > Hominidae > Homo > Homo sapiens. The sequence continues at coordinate 59,705,801 of NC_000007.14, read as the reverse complement.
CTGTCTAGTTTTTATTTGAAGATATTTCCTTTTCTACTGTTGGCATCAAATCGCTTGAAATCTCCACTTGCAAACTCCACAAAAAGAGTGTTTCAAATCTGCTCTGTGCAAAGGGACGTTCCACTCTGTGAGTTGAATACACACAGCACAAAGAAGTTACTGAGAATTCTTCTGTCTAGCATGAAATGAAGAAATCCCGTTTCCAACGAAGGCCTCAATGCGGTCCATATATCCACTTGCAGACTTTACAAACAGAGTGTTTCCAAACTGCTCTATGAAAAGAAAGGTTAAACTATGTGAGTTGAACGCACACATCACAAAGAATTTTCTGAGAATGATTCTGTCTGGTTTTTATTTGAAGATATTTCCCTTTCTACTGTTGGCATCAAATGGCTAGAAATCTCCACTTGCAAATTCCGCAAAAAGAGTGTTTCAAATCTCCTGTGTCTAAAGGGACGTTCCACTCTGTGAGTTGAATGCACACAACACAAAGAATTTACTGAGAATTCTTCCGTCTAGCATTCAATGAAGAAATCCCGTTTCCAACGAAGGCCTCAAACAGGTCCATATATCCACTTGCAGACTTTACAAACAGTGTGTTTCCAAACTCCTCTATGAAAAGAAAGGTTAAACTCTGTGAGTGGAACGCACACATCACAAAGCACTTTCTGAGAATGATTCTGTCTGGTTGTTATACGAAGATATTTCCTTTTCTGTAATTGTCCTCAAATCGCTTGAAATCTCCACCTGAAAATGCCACAGCAAGAGTGTTTCAAATCTGCTCTCTCTAAAGCAAGGTTCAACTCTGTGAGTTGAATACACACAACACAAAAAAGTTACTGAGAACTCTTCTTAGTCTAGCATTAAAGGAAGAAACCCCGTTTGCAACGAAGGCCTCAAAGAGGTCCAAATATCCACTTGCAGACATAACAAGCAGAGTGTTTCTAAACTGCTTTAAGAAAAGAAAGGTTAACTCTGTGAGTTGAAGGCACACATCACAAAGTAGTTTCTGAGAATGATTCTGTCTAGTTTTTATTTGAAGATATTTCCTTTTCTACTGTTGGCATCAAATCGCTTGAAATCTCCACTTGCAAATTCCACAAAAAGAGTGTTTCAAATCTGCTCTGTGCAAAGGGACGTTCCACTCTGTGAGTTGAATACACACAGCACAAAGAAGTTACTGAGAATTCTTCTGTCTAGCATGAAATGAAGAAATCCCGTTTCCAACGAAGGGCCTCAATGCGGTCCATATATCCACTTGCAGACTTTACAAACAGAGTGTTTCCAAACTGCTCTATGAAAAGAAAGGTTAAACTATGTGAGTTGAACGCACACATCACAAAGAATTTTCTGAGAATGATTCTGTCTGGTTTTTATTTGAAGATATTTCCCTTTCTACTGTTGGCATCAAATGGCTAGAAATCTCCACTTGCAAATTCCGCAAAAAGAGTGTTTCAAATCTGCTCTGTCTAAAGGGACGTTCCACTCTGTGAGTTGAATGCACACAACACAAAGAATTTACTGAGAATTCTTCCGTCTAGCATTCAATGAAGAAATCCCGTTTCCAACGAAGGCCTCAAACAGGTCCATATATCCAATTGCAGACTTTACAAACAGTGTGTTTCCAAACTCCTCTATGAAAAGAAAGGTTAAACTCTGTGAGTGGAACGCACACATCACAAAGCACTTTCTGAGAATGATTCTGTCTGGTTATTATACGAAGATATTTCCTTTTCTGCAATTGTCCTCAAATCGCTTGAAATCTCCACCTGAAAATGCCACAGCAAGAGTGTTTCAAATCTGCTCTCTCTAAAGCAAGGTTCAACTCTGTGAGTTGAATACACACAACACAAAAAAGTTACTGAGAACTCTTCTTAGTCTAGCATGAAAGGAAGAAACCCCGTTTGCAACGAAGGCCTCAAAGAGGTCCAAATATCCACTTGCAGACATAACAAGCAGAGTGTTTCTAAAGTGCTCTAAGAAAAGAAAGGTTAAACTCTGTGAGTTGAAGGCACACATCACAAAGTAGTTTCTGAGAATGATTCTGTCTAGTTTTTATTTGAAGATATTTCCTTTTCTACTGTTGGCATCAAATCGCTTGAAATCTCCACTTGCAAACTCCACAAAAAGAGTGTTTCAAATCTGCTCTCTGTAAAGGGACGTTCCACTCTGTGAGTTGAATACACACAGCACAAAGAAGTTACTGAGTATTCTTCTGTCTAGCATGAAATGAAGAAATCCCGTTTCCAACGAAGGCCTCAATGCGGTCCATATATCCACTTGCAGACTTTACAAACAGAGTGTTTCCAAACTGCTCTATGAAAAGAAAGGTTAAACTATGTGAGTTGAACGCACACATCACAAAGAATTTTCTGAGAATGATTCTGTCTGGTTTTTATTTGAAGATATTTCCCTTTCTACTGTTGGCATCAAATGGCTAGAAATCTCCACTTGCAAATTCCGCAAAAAGAGTGTTTCAAATCTGCTCTGTCTAAAGGGACGTTCCACTCTGTCAGTTGAATGCACACAACACAAAGAATTTACTGAGAATTCTTCCGTCTAGCATTCAATGAAGAAATCCCGTTTCCAACGAAGGCCTCAAACAGGTCCATATATCCAATTGCAGACTTTACAAACAGTGTGTTTCCAAACTCCTCTATGAAAAGAAAGGTTAAACTCTGTGAGTTGAACGCACACATCACAAAGCACTTTCTGAGAATGATTCTGTCTGGTTGTTATACCGAAGATATTTCCTTTTCTGCAATTGTCCTCAAATCGCTTGAAATCTCCACCTGAAAATGCCACAGCAAGAGTGTTTCTAATCTGCTCTCTCTAAAGCAAGGTTCAACTCTGTGAGTTGAATACACACAACACAAAAAAGTTACTGAGAACTCTTTAGTCTAGCATTAAAGGAAGAAACCCCATTTGCAACGAAGGCCTCAAAGAGGTCCAAATATCCACTTGCAGACATAACAAGCAGAGTGTTTCTAAACTGCTCTAAGAAAAGAAAGGTTAAACTCTGTGAGTTGAAGGCACACATCACAAAGTAGTTTCTGAGAATGATTCTGTCTAGTTTTTATTTGAAGATATTTCCTTTTCTACTGTTGGCATCAAATCGCTTGAAATCTCCACTTGCAAACTCCACAAAAAGAGTGTTTCAAATCTGCTCTGTGCAAAGGGACGTTCCACTCTGTGAGTTGAATACACACAGCACAAAGAAGTTACTGAGAATTCTTCTGTCTAGCATGAAATGAAGAAATCCCGTTTCCAACGAAGGCCTCAATGCGGTCCATATATCCACTTGCAGACTTTACAAACAGAGTGTTTCCAAACTGCTCTATGAAAAGAAAGGTTAAACTATGTGAGTTGAACGCACACATCACAAAGAATTTTCTGAGAATGATTCTGTCTGGTTTTTATTTGAAGATATTTCCCTTTCTACTGTTGGCATCAAATGGCTAGAAATCTCCACTTGCAAATTCCGCAAAAAGAGTGTTTCAAATCTGCTCTGTCTAAAGGGACGTTCCACTCTGTGAGTTGAATGCACACAACACAAAGAATTTACTGAGAATTCTTCCGTCTAGCATTCAATGAAGAAATCCCGTTTCCAAAGAAGGCCTCAAACAGGTCCATATATCCAATTGCAGACTTTACAAACAGTGTGTTTCCAAACTCCTCTATGAAAAGAAAGGTTAAACTCTGTGAGTTGAACGCACACATCACAAAGCACTTTCTGAGAATGATTTTGTCTGGTTATTATACGAAGATATTTCCTTTTCTGCAATTGTCCTCAAATCGCTTGAAATCTCCACCTGAAAATGCCACATCAAGAGTGTTTCAAATCTGCTCTCTCTAAAGCAAGGTTCAACTCTGTGAGTTGAATACACACAACACAAAAAAGTTACTGAGAACTCTTCTTAGTCTAGCATGAAAGGAAGAAACCCCGTTTGCAACGAAGGCCTCAAAGAGGCCCAAATATCCACTTGCAGACATAACAAGCAGAGTGTTTCTAAACTGCTCTAAGAAAAGAAAGGTTAAACTCTGTGAGTTGAAGGCACACATCACAAAGTAGTTTTTGAGAATGATTCTGTCTAGTTTTTATTTGAAGATATTTCCTTTTCTACTGTTGGCATCAAATCGCTTGAAATCTCCACTTGCAAACTCCACAAAAAGAGTGTTTCAAATCCGCTCTGTGCAAAGGGACGTTCCACTCTGTGAGTTGAATACACACAGCACAAAGAAGTTACTGAGAATTCTTCTGTCTAGCATGAAATGAAGGAAATCCCGTTTCCAACGAAGGCCTCAATGCGGTCCATATATCCACTTGCAGACTTTACAAACAGAGTGTTTCCAAACTGCTCTATGAAAAGAAAGGTTAAACTATGTGAGTTGAACGCACACATCACAAAGAATTTTCTGAGAATGATTCTGTCTGGTTTTTATTTGAAGATATTTCCCTTTCTACTGTTGGCATCAAATGGCTAGAAATCTCCACTTGCAAATTCCGCAAAAAGAGTGTTTCAAATCTGCTCTGTCTAAAGGGACGTTCCACTCTGTGAGTTGAATGCACACAACACAAAGAATTTACTGAGAATTCTTCCGTCTAGCATTCAATGAAGAAATCCCGTTTCCAACGAAGGCCTGAAACAGGTCCATGTATCCACTTGCAGAGTTTACAAACAGTGTGTTTCCAAACTCCTCTATGAAAAGAAAGGTTAAACTCTGTGAGTGGAACGCACACATCACAAAGCACTTTCTGAGAATGATTCTGTCTGGTTATTATACGAAGATATTTCCTTTTCTGCAATTGTCCTCAAATCGCTTGAAATCTCCACCTGAAAATGCCACAGCAAGAGTGTTTCAAATCTGCTCTCTCTAAAGCAAGGTTCAGCTCTGTGAGTTGAATACACACAACACAAAAAAGTTACTGAGAACTCTTCTTAGTCTAGCATGAAAGGAAGAAACCCCGTTTGCAACGAAGGCCTCAAAGAGGTCCAAATATCCACTTGCAGACATAACAAGCAGAGTGTTTCTAAACTGCTCTAAGAAAAGAAAGGTTAAACTCTGTGAGTTGAAGGCACACATCACAAAGTAGTTTCTGAGAATGATTCTGTCTAGTTTTTATTTGAAGATACTTCCTTTTCTACTGTTGGCATCAAATCGCTTGAAATCTCCACTTGCAAACTCCACAAAACGAGTGTTTCAAATCTGCTCTGTGTAAAGGGACGTTCCACTCTGTGAGTTGAATACACACAGCACAAAGAAGTTACTGAGAATTCTTCTGTCTAGCATGAAATGAAGAAATCCCGTTTCCAACGAAGGCCTCAATGCGGTCCATAGATCCACTTGCAGACTTTACAAACAGAGTGTTTCCAAACTGCTCTATGAAAAGAAAGGTTAAACTATGTGAGTTGAACGCACACATCACAAAGAATTTTCTGAGAATGATTCTGTCTGGTTTTTATTTGAAGATATTTCCCTTTCTACTGTTGGCATCAAATGGCTAGAAATCTCCACTTGCAAATTCCGCAAAAAGAGTGTTTCAAATCTGCTCTGTCTAAAGGGACGTTCCACTCTGTGAGTTGAATGCACACAACACAAAGAATTTACTGAGAATTCTTCCGTCTAGCATTCAATGAAGAAATCCCGTTTCCAACGAAGGCCTCAAACAGGTCCATATATCCAATTGCAGACATTACAAACAGTGTGTTTCCAAACTCCTCTATGAAAAGAAAGGTTAAACTCTGTGAGTTGAACGCACACATCACAAAGCACTTTCTGAGAATGATTCTGTCTGGTTACTATACGAAGATATTTCCTTTTCTGCAATTGTCCTCAAATCGCTTGAAATCTCCACCTGAAAATCCCACAGCAAGAGTGTTTCAAATCTGCTCTCTCTAAAGCAAGGTTCAACTCTGTGAGTTGAATACACACAACACAAAAAAGTTACTGAGAACTCTTCTTAGTCTAGCATTAAAGGAAGAAACCCCGTTTGCAACGAAGGCCTCAAAGAGGTCCAAATATCCACTTGCAGACATAACAAGCAGAGTGTTTCTAAACTGCTCTAAGAAAAGAAAGGTTAAACTCTGTGAGTTGAAGGCACACATCACAAAGTAGTTTCTGAGAATGATTCTGTCTAGTTTTTATTTGAAGATATTTCCTTTTCTACTGTTGGCATCAAATCGCTTGAAATCTCCACTTGCAAACTCCACAAAAAGAGTGTTTCAAATCTGCTCTGTGTAAAGGGACGTTCCACTCTGTGAGTTGAATACACACAGCACAAAGAAGTTACTGAGAATTCTTCTGTCTAGCATGAAATGAAGAAATCCCGTTTCCAACGAAGGCCTCAATGCGGTCCATATATCCACTTGCAGACTTTACAAACAGAGTGTTTCCAAACTGCTCTATGAAAAGAAAGGTTAAACTATGTGAGTTGAACGCACACATCACAAAGAATTTTCTGAGAATGATTCTGTCTGGTTTTTATTTGAAGATATTTCCCTTTCTACTGTTGGCATCAAATGGCTAGAAATCTCCACTTGCAAATTCCGCAAAAACAGTGTTTCAAATCTGCTCTGTCTAAAGGGACGTTCCACTCTGTCAGTTGAATGCACACAACACAAAGAATTTACTGAGAATTCTTCCGCCTAGCATTCAATGAAGAAATCCCGTTTCCAACGAAGGCCTCAAACAGGTCCATATATCCACTTGCAGACTTTACAAACAGTGTGTTTCCAAACTCCTCTATGAAAAGAAAGGTTAAACTCTGTGAGTGGAACGCACACATCACAAAGCACTTTCTGAGAATGATTCTGTCTGGTTGTTATACGAAGATATTTCCTTTTCTGCAATTGTCCTCAAATCGCTTGAAATCTCCACCTGAAAATGTCACAGCAAGAGTGTTTCAAATCTGCTCTCTCTAAAGCAAGGTTCAACTCTGTGAGTTGAATACACACAACACAAAAAAGTTACTGAGAACTCTTCTTAGTCTAGCATGAAAGGAAGAAACCCCGTTTGCAACGAAGGCCTCAAAGAGGTCCAAATATCCACTTGCAGACATAACAAGCAGAGTGTTTCTAAACTGCTCTAAGAAAAGAAAGGTTAAACTCTGTGAGTTGAAGGCACACATCACAAAGTAGTTTCTGAGAATGATTCTGTCTAGTTTTTATTTGAAGATATTTCCTTTTCTACTGTTGGCATCAAATCGCTTGAAATCTCCACTTGCAAACTCCACAAAAAGAGTGTTTCAAATCTGCTCTGTGCAAAGGGACGTTCCACTATGTGAGTTGAATACACACAGCACAAAGAAGTTACTGAGAATTCTTCTGTCTAGCATGAAATGAAGAAATCCCGTTTCCAACGAAGGCCTCAATGCGGTCCATATATCCACTTGCAGACTTTACAAACAGAGTGTTTCCAAACTGCTCTATGAAAAGAAAGGTTAAACTATGTGAGTTGAACGCACACATCACAAAGAATTTTCTGAGAATGATTCTGTCTGGTTTTTATTTGAAGATATTTCCCTTTCTACTGTTGGCATCAAATGGCTAGAAATCTCCACTTGCAAATTCCGCAAAAAGAGTGTTTCAAATCTGCTCTGTCTAAAGGGACGTTCCACTCTGTGAGTTGAATGCACACCACACAAAGAATTTACTGAGAATTCTTCCGTCTAGCAGTCAATGAAGAAATCCCGTTTCCAACGAAGGCCTCAAACAGGTCCATATATCCACTTGCAGACTTTACAAACAGTGTGTTTCCAAACTCCTCTATGAAAAGAAAGGTTAAACTCTGTGAGTGGAACGCACACATCACAAAGCACTTTCTGAGAATGATTCTGTCTGGTTGTTATACGAAGATATTTCCTTTTCTGCAATTGTCCTCAAATCGCTTGAAATCTCCACCTGAAAATGCCACAGCAAGAGTGTTTCAAATCTGCTCTCTCTAAAGCAAGGTTCAACTCTGTGAGTTGAATACACACAACACAAAAAAGTTACTGAGAACTCTTCTTAGTCTAGCATGAAAGGAAGAAACCCCGTTTGCAACGAAGGCCTCAAAGAGGTCCAAATATCCACTTGCAGACATAACAAGCAGAGTGTTTCTAAACTGCTCTAAGAAAAGAAAGGTTAAACTCTGTGAGTTGAAGGCACACATCACAAAGTAGTTTCTGAGAATGATTCTGTCTAGTTTTTATTTGAAGATATTTCCTTTTCTACTGTTGGCATCAAATCGCTTGAAATCTCCACTTGCAAATTCCACAAAAAGAGTGTTTCAAATCTGCTCTGTGCAAAGGGACGTTCCACTCTGTGAGTTGAATACACACAGCACAAAGAAGTTACTGAGAATTCTTCTGTCTAGCATGAAATGAAGAAATCCCGTTTCCAACGAAGGCCTCAATGCGGTCCATATATCCACTTGCAGACTTTACAAACAGAGTGTTTCCAAACTGCTCTATGAAAAGAAAGGTTAAACTATGTGAGTTGAACGCACACATCACAAAGAATTTTCTGAGAATGATTCTGTCTGGTTTTTATTTGAAGATATTTCCCTTTCTACTGTTGGCATCAAATGGCTAGAAATCTCCACTTGCAAATTCCGCAAAAAGAGTGTTTCAAATCTGCTCTGTCTAAAGGGACGTTCCACTCTGTGAGTTGAATGCACACAACACAAAGAATTTACTGAGAATTCTTCCGTCTAGCATTCAATGAAGAAATCCCGTTTCCAACGAAGGCCTCAAACAGGTCCATATATCCACTTGCAGACTTTACAAACAGTGTGTTTCCAAACTCCTCTATGAAAAGAAAGGTTAAACTCTGTGAGTTGAACGCACACATCACAAAGCACTTTCTGAGAATGATTCTGTCTGGTTATTATACGAAGATATTTCCTTTTCTGCAATTGTCCTCAAATCGCTTGAAATCTCCACCTGAAAATGCCACAGCAAGAGTGTTTCAAATCTGCTCTCTCTAAAGCAAGGTTCAACTCTGTGAGTTGAATACACACAACACAAAAAAGTTACTGAGAACTCTTCTTAGTCTAGCATTAAAGGAAGAAACCCCGTTTGCAACGAAGGCCTCAAAGAGGTCCAAATATCCACTTGCAGACATAACAAGCAGAGTGTTTCTAAACTGCTCTAAGAAAAGAACGGTTAAACTCTGTGAGTTGAAGGCACACATCACAAAGTAGTTTCTGAGAATGATTCTGTCTAGTTTTTATTTGAAGATATTTCCTTTTCTACTGTTGGCATCAAATCGCTTGAAATCTCCACTTGCAAACTCCACAAAAAGAGTGTTTCAAATCTGCTCTGTGTAAAGGGACGTTCCACTCTGTGAGTTGAATACACACAGCACAAAGAAGTTACTGAGAATTCTTCTGTCTAGCATGAAATGAAGAAATCCCGTTTCCAACGAAGGCCTCAATGCGGTCCATATATCCACTTGCAGACTTTACAAACAGAGTGTTTCCAAACTGCTCTATGAAAAGAAAGGTTAAACTATGTGAGTTGAACGCACACATCACAAAGAATTTTCTGAGAATGATTCTGTCTGGTTTTTATTTGAAGATATTTCCCTTTCTAGTGTTGGCATCAAATGGCTAGAAATCTCCACTTGCAAATTCCGCAAAAAGAGTGTTTCAAATCTGCTCTGTCTAAAGGGACGTTCCACTCTGTGAGTTGAATGCACACAACACAAAGAATTTACTGAGAATTCTTCCGTCTAGCATTCAATGAAGAAATCCCGTTTCCAACGAAGGCCTCAAACAGGTCCATATATCCACTTGCAGACTTTACAAACAGTGTGTTTCCAAACTCCTCTATGAAAAGAAAGGTTAAACTCTGTGAGTGGAACGCACACATCACAAAGCACTTTCTGAGAATGATTCTGTCTGGTTATTATTTGAAGATATTTCCTTTTCTGCAATTGTCCTCAAATCGCTTGAAATCTCCACCTGAAAATGCCACAGCAAGAGTGTTTCAAATCTGCTCTCTCTAAAGCAAGGTTCAACTCTGTGAGTTGAATACACACAGCACAAAGAAGTTACTGAGAATTCTTCTGTCTAGCATGAAAGGAAGAAACCCCGTTTGCAACGAAGGCCTCAAGGCGGTCCATATATCCACTTGCAGACTTTACAAACAGAGTGTTTCCAAACTGCTCTATGAAAAGAAAGGTTAAACTATGTGAGTTGAACGCACACATCACAAAGAATTTTCTGAGAATGATTCTGTCTGGTTTTTATTTGAAGATATTTCCCTTTCTACTGTTGGCATCAAATGGCTAGAAATCTCCACTTGCAAATTCCGCAAAAAGAGTGTTTCAAATCTGCTCTGTCTAAAGGGACGTTCCACTCTGTGAGTTGAATGCACACAACACAAAGAATTTACTGAGAATTCTTCCGTCTAGCATTCAATGAAGAAATCCCGTTTCCAACGAAGGCCTCAAACAGGTCCATATATCCAATTGCAGACTTTACAAACAGTGTGTTTCCAAACTCCTCTATGAAAAGAAAGGTTAAACTCTGTGAGTTGAACGCACACATCACAAAGCACTTTCTGAGAATGATTCTGTCTGGTTGTTATACGAAGATATTTCCTTTTCTGTAATTGTCCTCAAATCGCTTGAAATCTCCACCTGAAAATGCCACAGCAAGAGTGTTTCAAATCTGCTCTCTCTAAAGCAAGGTTCAACTCTGTGAGTTGAATACACACAACACAAAAAAGTTACTGAGAACTCTTCTTAGTCTAGCATGAAAGGAAGAAACCCCGTTTGCAACGAAGGCCTCAAAGAGGTCCAAATATCCACTTGCAGACATAACAAGCAGAGTGTTTCTAAACTGCTCTAAGAAAAGAAAGGTTAAACTCTGTGAGTTGAAGGCACACATCACAAAGTAGTTTCTGAGAATGATTCTTCCTAGTTTTTATTTGAAGATATTTCCTTTTCTACTGTTGGCATCAAATCGCTTGAAATCTCCACTTGCAAACTCCACAAAAAGAGTGTTTCAAATCTGCTCTGTGCAAAGGGACGTTCCACTCTGTGAGTTGAATACACACAGCACAAAGAAGTTACTGAGAATTCTTCTGTCTAGCATGAAATGGAGAAATCCCGTTTCCAACGAAGGCCTCAATGCGGTCCATATATCCACTTGCAGACTTTACAAACAGAGTGTTTCCAAACTGCTCTATGAAAAGAAAGGTTAAACTATGTGATTTGAACGCACACATCACAAAGAATTTTCTGAGAATGATTCTGTCTGGTTTTTATTTGAAGATATTTCCCTTTCTACTGTTGGCATCAAATGGCTAGAAATCTCCACTTGTAAATTCCGCAAAAAGAGTGTTTCAAATCTGCTCTGTCTAAAGGGACGTTCCACTCTGTGAGTTGAATGCACACAACACAAAGAATTTACTGAGAATTCTTCCGTCTAGCATTCAATGAAGAAATCCCGTTTCCAACGAAGGCCTCAAACAGGTCCATATATCCACTTGCAGACTTTACAAACAGTGTGTTTCCAAACTCCTCTATGAAAAGAAAGGTTAAACTCTGTGAGTTGAACGCACACATCACAAAGCACTTTCTGAGAATGATTCTGTCTGGTTATTATACGAAGATATTTCCTTTTCTGCAATTGTCCTCAAAACGCTTGAAATCTCCACCTGAAAATGCCACAGCAAGAGTGTTTCAAATCTGCTCTCTCTAAAGCAAGGTTCAACTCTGTGAGTTGAATACACACAACACAAAAAAGTTACTGAGAACTCTTCTTAGTCTAGCATGAAAGGAAGAAACCCCGTTTGCAACGAAGGCCTCAAAGAGGTCCAAATATCCACTTGCAGACATAACAAGCAGAGTGTTTCTAAACTGCTCTAAGAAAAGAAAGGTTAAACTCTGTGAGTTGAAGGCACACATCACAAAGTAGTTTCTGAGAATGATTCTGTCTAGTTTTTATTTGAAGATATTTCCTTTTCTACTGTTGGCATCAAATCGCTTGAAATCTCCACTTGCAAATTCCACAAAAAGAGTGTTTCAAATCTGTTCTGTGTAAAGGAACGTTCCACTCTGTGAGTTGAATACACACAGCACAAAGAAGTTACTGAGAATTCTTCTGTCTAACATGAAATGAAGAAATCCCGTTTCCAACGAAGGCCTCAATGCGGTCCATATATCCACTTGCAGACTTTACAAACAGAGTGTTTCCAAACTGCTCTATGAAAAGAAAGGTTAAACTATGTGAGTTGAACGCACACATCACAAAGAATTTTCTGAGAATGATTCTGTCTGGTTTTTATTTGAAGATATTTCCCTTTCTACTGTTGGCATCAAATGGCTAGAAATCTCCACTTGCAAATTCCGCAAAAAGAGTGTTTCAAATCTGCTCTGTCTAAAGGGACGTTCCACTCTGTGAGTTGAATGCACACAACACAAAGAATTTACTGAGAATTCTTCCGTCTAGCATGCAATGAAGAAATCCCGTTTCCAACGAAGGCCTCAAACAGGTCCATATATCCAATTGCAGACTTTACAAACAGTGTGTTTCCAAACTCCTCTATGAAAAGAAAGGTTAAACTCTGTGAGTTGAACGCACACATCACAAAGCACTTTCTGAGAATGATTCTGTCTGGTTGTTATACGAAGATATTTCCTTTTCTGCAATTGTCCTCAAATCGCTTGAAATCTCCACCTGAAAATGCCACAGCAAGAGTGTTTCAAATCTGCTCTCTCTAAAGCAAGGTTCAACTCTGTGAGTTGAATACACACAACACAAAAAAGTTACTGAGAACTCTTCTTAGTCTAGCATGAAAGGAAGAAACCCCGTTTGCAACGAAGGCCTCAAAGAGGTCCAAATATCCACTTGCAGACATAACAAGCAGAGTGTTTCTAAACTGCTCTAAGAAAAGAAAGGTTAAACTCTGTGAGTTGAAGGCACACATCACAAAGTAGTTTCTGAGAATGATTCTGTCTAGTTTTTATTTGAAGATACTTCCTTTTCTACTGTTGGCATCAAATCGCTTGAAATCTCCACTTGCAAACTCCACAAAAAGAGTGTTTCAAATCTGCTCTGTGCAAAGGGACGTTCCACTCTGTGAGTTGAATACACACAGCACAAAGAAGTTACTGAGAATTCTTCTGTCTAGCATGAAATGAAGAAATCCCGTTTCCAACGAAGGCCTCAATGCGGTCCATATATCCACTTGCAGACTTTACAAACAGAGTGTTTCCAAACTGCTCTATGAAAAGAAAGGTTAAACTATGTGAGTTGAATGCACACATCACAAAGAATTTTCTGAGAATGATTCTGTCTGGTTTTTATTTGAAGATATTTCCCTTTCTACTGTTGGCATCAAATGGCTAGAAATCTCCACTTGCAAATTCCGCAAAAAGAGTGTTTCAAATCTGCTCTGTCTAAAGGGACGTTCCACTCTGTGAGTTGAATGCACACAACACAAAGAATTTACTGAGAATTCTTCCGTCTAGCATTCAATGAAGAAATCCCGTTTCCAACGAAGGCCTCAAACAGGTCCATATATCCAATTGCAGACTTTACAAACAGTGTGTTTCCAAACTCCTCTATGAAAAGAAAGGTTAAACTCTGTGAGTGGAACGCACACATCACAAAGCACTTTCTGAGAATGATTCTGTCTGGTTATTATACGAAGATATTTCCTTTTCTGCAATTGTCCTCAAATCGCTTGAAATCTCCACCTGAAAATGCCACAGCAAGAGTGTTTCAAATCTGCTCTCTCTAAAGCAAGGTTCAACTCTGTGAGTTGAATACACACAACACAAAAAAGTTACTGAGAACTCTTCTTAGTCTAGCATGAAAGGAAGAAACCCCGTTTGCAACGAAGGCCTCAAAGAGGTCCAAATATCCACTTGCAGACATAACAAGCAGAGTGTTTCTAAACTGCTCTAAGAAAAGAAAGGTTAAACTCTGTGAGTTGAAGGCACACATCACAAAGTAGTTTCTGAGAATGATTCTGTCTAGTTTTTATTTGAAGATATTTCCTTTTCTACTGTTGGCATCAAATCGCTTGAAATCTCCACTTGCAAACTCCACAAAAAGAGTGTTTCAAATCTGCTCTGTGTAAAGGGACGTTCCACTCTGTGAGTTGAATACACACAGCACAAAGAAGTTACTGAGAATTCTTCTGTCTAGCATGAAATGAAGAAATCCCGTTTCCAACGAAGGCCTCAATGCGGTCCATATATCCACTTGCAGACTTTACAAACAGAGTGTTTCCAAACTGCTCTATGAAAAGAAAGGTTAAACTATGTGAGTTGAACGCACACATCACAAAGAATTTTCTGAGAATGATTCTGTCTGGTTTTTATTTGAAGATATTTCCCTTTCTACTGTTGGCATCAAATGGCTAGAAATCTCCACTTGCAAATTCCGCAAAAAGAGTGTTTCAAATCTGCTCTGTCTAAAGGGACGTTCCACTCTGTGAGTTGAATGCACACAACACAAAGAATTTACTGAGAATTCTTCCGTCTAGCATGCAATGAAGAAATCCCGTTTCCAACGAAGGCCTCAAACAGGTCCATATATCCAATTGCAGACTTTACAAACAGTGTGTTTCCAAACTCCTCTATGAAAAGAAAGGTTAAACTCTGTGAGTTGAACGCACACATCACAAAGCACTTTCTGAGAATGATTCTGTCTGGTTGTTATACAAAGATATTTCCTTTTCTGCAATTGTCCTCAAATCGCTTGAAATCTCCACCTGAAAATGCCACCGCAAGAGTGTTTCAAATCTGCTCTCTCTAAAGCAAGGTTCAACTCTGTGAGTTGAATACACACAACACAAAAAAGTTACTGAGAACTCTTCTTAGTCTAGCATGAAAGGAAGAAACCCCGTTTGCAACGAAGGCCTCAAAGAGGTCCAAATATCCACTTGCAGACATAACAAGCAGAGTGTTTCTAAACTGCTCTAAGAAAAGAAAGGTTAAACTCTGTGAGTTGAAGGCACACATCACAAAGTAGTTTCTGAGAATGATTCTGTCTAGTTTTTATTTGAAGATATTTCCTTTTCTACTGTTGGCATCAAATCGCTTGAAATCTCCACTTGCAAACTCCACAAAAAGAGTGTTTCAAATCTGCTCTGTGCAAAGGGACGTTCCACTCTGTGAGTTGAATACACACAGCACAAAGAAGTTACTGAGAATTCTTCTGTCTAGTATGAAATGAAGAAATCCCGTTTCCAACGAAGGCCTCAATGCGGTCCATATATCCACTTGCAGACTTTACAAACAGAGTGTTTCCAAACTGCTCCATGAAAAGAAAGGTTAAACTATGTGAGTTGAACGCACACATCACAAAGAATTTTCTGAGAATGATTCTGTCTGGTTTTTATTTGAAGATATTTCCCTTTCTACTGTTGGCATCAAATGGCTAGAAATCTCCACTTGCAAATTCCGCAAAAAGAGTGTTTCAAATCTGCTCTGTCTAAAGGGACGTTCCACTCTGTGAGTTGAATGCACACAACACAAAGAATTTACTGAGAATTCTTCCGTCTAGCATTCAATGAAGAAATCCCGTTTCCAACGAAGGCCTCAAACAGGTCCATATATCCAATTGCAGACTTTACAAACAGTGTGTTTCCAAACTCCTCTATGAAAAGAAAGGTTAAACTCTGTGAGTTGAACGCACACATCACAAAGCACTTTCTGAGAATGATTCTGTCTGGTTATTATACGAAGATATTTCCTTTTCTGCAATTGTCCTCAAATCGCTTGAAATCTCCACCTGAAAATGCCACAGCAAGAGTGTTTCAAATCTGCTCTCTCTAAAGCAAGGTTCAACTCTGTGAGTTGAATACACACAACACAAAAAAGTTACTGAGAACTCTTCTTAGTCTAGCATGAAAGGAAGAAACCCCGTTTGCAACGAAGGCCTCAAAGAGGTCCAAATATCCACTTGCAGACATAACAAGCAGAGTGTTTCTAAACTGCTCTAAGAAAAGAAAGGTTAAACTCTGTGAGTTGAAGGCACACATCACAAAGTAGTTTCTGAGAATGATTCTGTCTAGTTTTTATTTGAAGATATTTCCTTTTCTACTGTTGGCATCAAATCGCTTGAAATCTCCACTTGCAAACTCCACAAAAAGAGTGTTTCAAATCTGCTCTGTGCAAAGGGACGTTCCACTCTGTGAGTTGAATACACACAGCACAAAGAAGTTACTGAGAATTCTTCTGTCAAGCACGAAATGAAGAAATCCCGTTTCCAACGAAGGCCTCAATGCGGTCTATATATCCACTTGCAGACTTTACAAACAGAGTGTTTCCAAACTGCTCTATGAAAAGAAAGGTTAAACTATGTGAGTTGAACGCACACATCACAAAGAATTTTCTGAGAATGATTCTGTCTGGTTTTTATTTGAAGATATTTCCCTTTCTACTGTTGGCATCAAATGGCTAGAAATCTCCACTTGCAAATTCCGCAAAAAGAGTGTTTCAAATCTGCTCTGTCTAAAGGGACGTTCCACTCTGTGAGTTGAATGCACACAACACGAAGAATTTACTGAGAATTCTTCCGTCTAGCATTCAATGAAGAAATCCCGTTTCCAACGAAGGCCTCAAACAGGTCCATATATCCAATTGCAGACTTTACAAACAGTGTGTTTCCAAACTCCTCTATGAAAAGAAAGGTTAAACTCTGTGAGTTGAACGCACACATCACAAAGCACTTTCTGAGAATGATTCTGTCTGGTTGTTATACGAAGATATTTCCTTTTCTGTAATTGTCCTCAAATCGCTTGAAATCTCCACCTGAAAATGCCACAGCAAGAGTGTTTCAAATCTGCTCTCTCTAAAGCAAGGTTCAACTCTGTGAGTTGAATACACACAACACAAAAAAGTTACTGAGAACTCTTCTTAGTCTAGCATGAAAGGAAGAAACCCCGTTTGCAACGAAGGCCTCAAAGAGGTCCAAATATCCACTTGCAGACATAACAAGCAGAGTGTTTCTAAACTGCTCTATGAAAAGAAAGGTTAAACTCTGTGAGTTGAAGGCACACATCACAAAGTAGTTTCTGAGAATGATTCTGTCTAGTTTTTATTTGAAGATATTTCCTTTTCTACTGTTGGCATCAAATCGCTTGAAATCTCCACTTGCAAACTCCACAAAAAGAGTGTTTCAAATCTGCTCTGTGCAAAGGGACGTTCCACTCTGTGAGTTGAATACACACAGCACAAAGAAGTTACTGAGAATTCTTCTGTCTAGTATGAAATGAAGAAATCCCGTTTCCAACGAAGGCCTCAATGCGGTCCATATATCCACTTGCAGACTTTACAAACAGAGTGTTTCCAAACTGCTCTATGAAAAGAAAGGTTAAACTATGTGAGTTGAACGCACACATCACAAAGAATTTTCTGAGAATGATTCTGTCTGGTTTTTATTTGAAGATATTTCCCTTTCTACTGTTGGCATCAAATGGCTAGAAATCTCCACTTGCAAATTCCGCAAAAAGAGTGTTTCAAATCTGCTCTGTCTAAAGGGACGTTCCACTCTGTGAGTTGAATGCACACAACACAAAGAATTTACTGAGAATTCTTCCGTCTAGCATTCAATGAAGAAATCCCGTTTCCAACGAAGGCCTCAAACAGGTCCATATATCCAATTGCAGACTTTACAAACAGTGTGTTTCCAAACTCCTCTATGAAAAGAAAGGTTAAACTCTGTGAGTTGAACGCACACATCACAAAGCACTTTCTGAGAATGATTCTGTCTGGTTATTATACGAAGATATTTCCTTTTCTGCAATTGTCCTCAAATCGCTTGAAATCTCCACCTGAAAATGCCACAGCAAGAGTGTTTCAAATCTGCTCTCTCTAAAGCAAGGTTCAACTCTGTGAGTTGAATACACACAACACAAAAAAGTTACTGAGAACTCTTCTTAATCTAGCATTAAAGGAAGAAACCCCGTTTGCAACGAAGGCCTCAAAGAGGTCCAAATATCCACTTGCAGACATAACAAACAGAGTGTTTCTAAACTGCTCTAAGGAAAGAAAGGTTAAACTCTGTGAGTTGAAGGCACACATCACAAAGTAGTTTCTGAGAATGATTCTGTCTAGTTTTTATTTGTAGATATTTCCTTTTCTACTGTTGGCATCAAATCGCTTGAAATCTCCACTTGCAAATTCCACAAAAAGAGTGTTTCAAATCTGCTCTGTGTAAAGGGACGTTCCACTCTGTGAGTTGAATACACACAGCACAAAGAAGTTACTGAGAATTCTTCTGTCTAGCATGAAATGAAGAAATCCCGTTTCCAACGAAGGCCTCAATGCGGTCCATATATCCACTTGCAGACTTTACAAACAGAGTGTTTCCAAACTGCTCTATGAAAAGAAAGGTTAAACTATGTGAGTTGAACGCACACATCACAAAGAATTTTCTGAGAATGATTCTGTCTGGTTTTTATTTGAAGATATTTCCCTTTCTACTGTTGGCATCAAATGGCTAGAAATCTCCACTAGCAAATTCCGCAAAAAGAGTGTTTCAAATCTGCTCTGTCTAAAGGGACGTTCCACTCTGTGAGTTGAATGCACACAACACAAAGAATTTACTGAGAATTCTTCCGTCTAGCATTCAATGAAGAAATCCCGTTTCCAACGAAGGCCTCAAACAGGTCCATATATCCACTTGCAGACTTTACAAAAAGAGTGTTTCCAAACTGCTCTATGAAAAGAAAGGTTAAACTATGTGAGTTGAACGCACACATCACAAAGAATTTTCTGAGAATGATTCTGTCTGGTTTTTATTTGAAGATATTTCCCTTTCTACTGTTGGCATCAAATGGCTAGAAATCTCCACTTGCAAATTCCGCAAAAAGAGTGTTTCAAATCTGCTCTGTCTAAAGGGACGTTCCACTCTGTGAGTTGAATGCACACAACACAAAGAATTTACTGAGAATTCTTCCGTCTAGCATTCAATGAAGAAATCCCGTTTCCAACGAAGGCCTCAAACAGGTCCATATATCCAATTGCAGACTTTACAAACAGTGTGTTTCCAAACTCCTCTATGAAAAGAAAGGTTAAACTCTGTGAGTTGAACGCACACATCACAAAACACTTTCTGAGAATGATTCTGTCTGGTTATTATACGAAGATATTTCCTTTTCTGCAATTGTCCTCAAATCGCTTGAAATCTCCACCTGAAAATGCCACAGCAAGAGTGTTTCAAATCTGCTCTCTCTAAAGCAAGGTTCAACTCTGTGAGTTGAATACACACAACACAAAAAAGTTACTGAGAACTCTTCTTAGTCTAGCATGAAAGGAAGAAACCCCGTTTGCAACGAAGGCCTCAAAGAGGTCCAAATATCCACTTGCAGACATAACAAGCAGAGTGTTTCTAAACTGCTCTAAGAAAAGAAAGGTTAAACTCTGTGAGTTGAAGGCACACATCACAAAGTAGTTTCTGAGAATGATTCTGTCTAGTTTTTATTTGAAGATATTTCCTTTTCTACTGTTGGCATCAAATCGCTTGAAATCTCCACTTGCAAACTCCACAAAAAGAGTGTTTCAAATCTGCTCTGTGCAAAGGGACGTTCCACTCTGTGAGTTGAATACACACAGCACAAAGAAGTTACTGAGAATTCTTCTGTCTAGCATGAAATGAAGAAATCCCGTTTCCAACGAAGGCCTCAATGCGGTCCATATATCCACTTGCAGACTTTACAAACAGAGTGTTTCCAAACTGCTCTATGAAAAGAAAGGTTAAACTATGTGAGTTGAACGCACACATCACAAAGAATTTTCTGAGAATGATTCTGTCTGGTTTTTATTTGAAGATATTTCCCTTTCTACTGTTGGCATCAAATGGCTAGAAATCTCCACTTGCAAATTCCGCAAAAAGAGTGTTTCAAATCTGCTCTGTCTTAAGGGACGTTCCACTCTGTCAGTTGAATGCCCACAACACAAAGAATTTACTGAGAATTCTTCCGTCTAGCATTCAATGAAGAAATCCCGTTTCCAACGAAGGCCTCAAACAGGTCCATATATCCAATTGCAGACTTTACAAACAGTGTGTTTCCAAACTCCTCAATGAAAAGAAAGGTTAAACTCTGTGAGTTGAACGCACACATCACAAAGCACTTTCTGAGAATGATTCTGTCTGGTTGTTATACGAAGATATTTCCTTTTCTGCAATTGTCCTCAAATCGCTTGAAATCTCCACCTGAAAATGCCACAGCAAGAGTGTTTCAAATCTGCTCTCTCTAAAGCAAGGTTCAACTCTGTGAGTTGAATACACACAACACAAAAAAGTTACTGAGAACTCTTCTTAGTCTAGCATTAAAGGAAGAAACCCCGTTTGCAACGAAGGCCTCAAAGAGGTCCAAATATCCACTTGCAGACATAACAAGCAGAGTGTTTCTAAACTGCTCTAAGAAAAGAAAGGTTAAACTCTGTGAGTTGAAGGCACACATCACAAAGTAGTTTCTGAGAATGATTCTGTCTAGTTTTTATTTGAAGATACTTCCTTTTCTACTGTTGGCATCAAATCGCTTGAAATCTCCACTTGCAAACTCCACAAAACGAGTGTTTCAAATCTGCTCTGTGTAAAGGGACGTTCCACTCTGTGAGTTGAATACACACAGCACAAAGAAGTTACTGAGAATTCTTCTGTCTAGCATGAAATGAAGAAATCCCGTTTCCAACGAAGGCCTCAATGCGGTCCATAGATCCACTTGCAGACTTTACAAACAGAGTGTTTCCAAACTGCTCTATGAAAAGAAAGGTTAAACTATGTGAGTTGAACGCACACATCACAAACAATTTTCTGAGAATGATTCTGTCTGGTTTTTATTTGAAGATATTTCCCTTTCTACTGTTGGCATCAAATGGCTAGAAATCTCCACTTGCAAATTCCGCAAAAAGAGTGTTTCAAATCTGCTCTGTCTAAAGGGACGTTCCACTCTGTGAGTTGAATGCACACAACACAAAGAATTTACTGAGAATTCTTCCGTCTAGCATTCAATGAAGAAATCCCGTTTCCAACGAAGGTCTCAAAGAGGTCCATATATCCACTTGCAAACTTTACAAACAGTGTGTTTCCAAACTCCTCTATGGAAAGAAAGGTTAAACTCTGTGAGTTGAACGCGCACATCACAAAGCACTTTCTGAGAATGATTCTGTCTGGTTATTATACGAAGATATTTCCTTTTCTGCAATTGTCCTCAAATCGTTTGAAATCTCCACCTGAAAATGCCACAGCAAGAGTGTTTCAAATCTGCTCTCTCTAAAGCAAGGTTCAACTCTGTGAGTTGAATACACACAACACAAAAAAGTTACTGAGAACACTTCTTAGTCTAGCATGAAAGGAAGAAACCCCGTTTGCAACGAAGGCCTCAAAGAGGTCCAAATATCCACTTGCAGACATAACAAGCAGAGTGTTTCTAAACTGCTCTAAGAAAAGAAAGGTTAAACTCTGTGAGTTGAAGGCACACATCACAAAGTAGTTTCTGAGAATGATTCTGTCTAGTTTTTATTTGAAGATATTTCCTTTTCTACTGTTGGCATCAAATCGCTTGAAATCTCCACTTGCAAACTCCACAAAAAGAGTGTTTCAAATCTGCTCTGTGCAAAGGGACGTTCCACTCTGTGAGTTGAATACACACAGCACAAAGAAGTTACTGAGAATTCTTCTGTCTAGTATGAAATGAAGAAATCCCGTTTCCAACGAAGGCCTCAATGCGGTCCATATATCCACTTGCAGACTTTACAAACAGAGTGTTTCCAAACTGCTCCATGAAAAGAAAGGTTAAACTATGTGAGTTGAACGCACACATCACAAAGAATTTTCTGAGAATGATTCTGTCTGGTTTTTATTTGAAGATATTTCCCTTTCTACTGTTGGCATCAAATGGCTAGAAATCTCCACTTGCAAATTCCGCAAAAAGAGTGTTTCAAATCTGCTCTGTCTAAAGGGACGTTCCACTCTGTGAGTTGAATGCACACAACACAAAGAATTTACTGAGAATTCTTCCGTCTAGCATTCAATGAAGAAATCCCGTTTCCAACGAAGGCCTCAAACAGGTCCATATATCCAATTGCAGACTTTACAAACAGTGTGTTTCCAAACTCCTCTATGAAAAGAAAGGTTAAACTCTGTGAGTTGAACGCACACATCACAAAGCACTTTCTGAGAATGATTCTGTCTGGTTATTATACGAAGATATTTCCTTTTCTGCAATTGTCCTCAAATCGCTTGAAATCTCCACCTGAAAATGCCACAGCAAGAGTGTTTCAAATCTGCTCTCTCTAAAGCAAGGTTCAACTCTGTGAGTTGAATACACACAACACAAAAAAGTTACTGAGAACTCTTCTTAGTCTAGCATGAAAGGAAGAAACCCCGTTTGCAACGAAGGCCTCAAAGAGGTCCAAATATCCACTTGCAGACATAACAAGCAGAGTGTTTCTAAACTGCTCTAAGAAAAGAAAGGTTAAACTCTGTGAGTTGAAGGCACACATCACAAAGTAGTTTCTGAGAATGATTCTGTCTAGTTTTTATTTGAAGATATTTCCTTTTCTACTGTTGGCATCAAATCGCTTGAAATCTCCACTTGCAAATTCCACAAAAAGAGTGTTTCAAATCTGCTCTGTGCAAAGGGACGTTCCACTCTGTGAGTTGAATACACACAGCACAAAGAAGTTACTGAGAATTCTTCTGTCTAGCATGAAATGAAGAAATCCCGTTTCCAACGAAGGCCTCAATGCGGTCCATATATCCACTTGCAGACTTTACAAACAGAGTGTTTCCAAACTGCTCTATGAAAAGAAAGGTTAAATTATGTGAGTTGAACGCACACATCACAAAGAATTTTCTGAGAATGATTCTGTCTGGTTTTTATTTGAAGATATTTCCCTTTCTACTGTTGGCATCAAATTGCTAGAAATCTCCACTTGCAAATTCCGCAAAAAGAGTGTTTCAAATCTGCTCTGTCTAAAGGGACGTTCCACTCTGTGAGTTGAATGCACACAACACAAAGAATTTACTGAGAATTCTTCCGTCTAGCATTCAATGAAGAAATCCCGTTTCGAACGAAGGCCTCAAACAGGTCCATATATCCAATTGCAGACTTTACAAACAGTGTGTTTCCAAACTCCTTTATGAAAAGAAAGGTTAACTCTGTGAGTTGAATGCACACATCACAAAGCACTTTCTGATAATGATTCTGTCTAGTTTTTGTTTGCAGATATTTCCTTTTCTACTGTTGGCATCAAATCGCTTGAAATCTCCACTTGCAAACTCCACAAAAAGAGTGTTTCAAATCTGCTCTGTGTAAAGGGACGTTCCACTCTGTGAGTTGAATACACACAGCACAAAGAAGTTACTGAGAATTCTTCTGTCTAGCATGAAATGAAGAAATCCCTTTTCCAACGAAGGCCTCAAAGCGGTCCATATATCCACTTGCAGACATTACCAACAGAGTGTTCCCAAACTGCTCTATGAAAAGAAAGGTTAAACTATGTGAGTTGAACAGCACACATCACAAAGAATTTTCTGAGAATGATTCTGTCTGGTTTTTATTTGAAGATATTTCCCTTTCTACTGTTGGCATCAAATGGCTAGAAATCTCCACTTGCAAATTCCGCAAAAAGAGTGTTTCAAATCTGCTCTGTCTAAAGGGACGTTCCACTCTGTGAGTTGAATGCACACAACACAAAGAATTTACTGAGAATTCTTCCGTCTAGCATTCAATGAAGAAATCCCGTTTCCAACGAAGGCCTCAAACAGGTCCATATATCCACTTGCAGAGTTTACACACAGTGTGTTTCCAAACTCCTCTATGAAAAGAAAGGTTAAACTCTGTGAGTGGAACGCACACATCACAAAGCACTTTCTGAGAATGATTCTGTCTGGTTATTATACGAAGATATTTCCTTTTCTGCAATTGTCCTCAAAACGCTTGAAATCTCCACCTGAAAATGCCACAGCAAGAGTGTTTCAAATCTGCTCTCTCTAAAGCAAGGTTCAACTCTGTGAGTTGAATACACACAACACAAAAAAGTTACTGAGAACTCTTCTTAGTCTAGCATGAAAGGAAGAAACCCCGTTTGCAACGAAGGCCTCAAAGAGGTCCAAATATCCACTTGCAGACATAACAAGCAGAGTGTTTCTAAACTGCTCTAAGAAAAGAAAGGTTAAACTCTGTGAGTTGAAGGCACACATCACAAAGTAGTTTTTGAGAATGATTCTGTCTAGTTTTTATTTGAAGATATTTCCTTTTCTACTGTTGGCATCAAATCGCTTGAAATCTCCACTTGCAAACTCCACAAAAAGAGTGTTTCAAATCCGCTCTGTGCAAAGGGACGTTCCACTCTGTGAGTTGAATACACACAGCACAAAGAAGTTACTGAGAATTCTTCCCTCTAGCATTCAATGAAGAAATCCCGTTTCCAACGAAGGCCTCAAACAGGTCCATATATCCACTTGCAGACTTTACAAAAAGAGTGTTTCCAAACTGCTCTATGAAAAGAAAGGTTAAACTATGTGAGTTGAACGCACACATCACAAAGAATTTTCTGAGAATGATTCTGTCTGGTTTTTATTTGAAGATATTTCCCTTTCTACTGTTGGCATCAAATGGCTAGAAATCTCCACTTGCAAATTCCGCAAAAAGAGTGTTTCAAATCTGCTCTGTCTAAAGGGACGTTCCACTCTGTCAGTTGAATGCGCACAACACAAAGTATTTACTGAGAATTCTTCCGTCTAGCATGCAATGAAGAAATCCCGTTTCCAACGAAGGCCTCAAACAGGTCCATATATCCAATTGCAGACTTTACAAACAGTGTGTTTCCAAACTCCTCTATGAAAAGAAAGGTTAAACTCTGTGAGTTGAACGCACACATCACAAAGCACTTTCTGAGAATGATTCTGTCTGGTTGTTATACGAAGATATTTCCTTTTCTGCAATTGTCCTCAAATCGCTTGAAATCTCCACCTGAAAATGCCACAGCAAGAGTGTTTCAAATCTGCTCTCTCTAAAGCAAGGTTCAGCTCTGTGAGTTGAATACACACAACACAAAAAAGTTACTGAGAACTCTTCTTAGTCTAGCATGAAAGGAAGAAACCCCGTTTGCAACGAAGGCCTCAAAGAGGTCCAAATATCCACTTGCAGACATAACAAGCAGAGTGTTTCTAAACTGCTCTAAGAAAAGAAAGGTTAAACTCTGTGAGTTGAAGGCACACATCACAAAGTAGTTTCTGAGAATGATTCTGTCTAGTTTTTATTTGAAGATATTTCCTTTTCTACTGTTGGCATCAAATCGCTTGAAATCTCCACTTGCAAATTCCACAAAAAGAGTGTTTCAAATCTGCTCTGTGCAAAGGGACGTTCCACTCTGTGAGTTGAATACACACAGCACAAAGAAGTTACTGAGAATTCTTCTGTCTAGCATGAAATGAAGAAATCCCGTTTCCAACGAAGGCCTCAATGCGGTCCATATATCCACTTGCAGACTTTACAAACAGAGTGTTTCCAAACTGCTCTATGAAAAGAAAGGTTAAACTATGTGAGTTGAACGCACACATCACAAAGAATTTTCTGAGAATGATTCTGTCTGGTTTTTATTTGAAGATATTTCCCTTTCTACTGTTGGCATCAAATGGCTAGAAATCTCCACTTGCAAATTCCGCAAAAAGAGTGTTTCAAATCTGCTCTGTCTAAAGGCACGTTCCACTCTGTGAGTTGAATGCACACAACACAAAGAATTTACTGAGAATTCTTCCGTCTAGCATTCAATGAAGAAATCCCGTTTCCAACGAAGGCCTCAAACAGGTCCATATATCCAATTGCAGACTTTACAAACAGTGTGTTTCCAAACTCCTCTATGAAAAGAAAGGTTAAACTCTGTGAGTTGAACGCACACATCACAAAGCACTTTCTGAGAATGATTCTGTCTGGTTATTATACGAAGATATTTCCTTTTCTGCAATTGTCCTCAAATCGCTTGAAATCTCCACCTGAAAATGCCACAGCAAGAGTGTTTCAAATCTGCTCTCTCTAAAGCAAGGTTCAACTCTGTGAGTTGAATACACACAACACAAAAAAGTTACTGAGAACTCTTCTTAGTCTAGCATGAAAGGAAGAAACCCGTTTGCAACGAAGGCATCAAAGAGGTCCAAATATCCACTTGCAGACATAACAAGCAGAGTGTTTCTAAACTGCTCTAAGAAAAGAAAGGTTAAACTCTGTGAGTTGAAGGCACACATCACAAAGTAGTTTCTGAGAATGATTCTGTCTAGTTTTTATTTGAAGATATTTCCTTTTCTACTGTTGGCATCAAATCGCTTGAAATCTCCACTTGCAAATTCCACAAAAAGAGTGTTTCAAATCTGCTCTGTGCAAAGGGACGTTCCACTCTGTGAGTTGAATACACACAGCACAAAGAAGTTACTGAGAATTCTTCTGTCTAGCATGAAATGAAGAAATCCCGTTTCCAACGAAGGCCTCAATGCGGTCCATATATCCACTTGCCAGACTTTACAAACAGAGTGTTTCCAAACTGCTCTATGAAAAGAAAGGTTAAACTATGTGAGTTGAACGCACACATCACAAAGAATTTTCTGAGAATGATTCTGTCTGGTTTTTATTTGAAGATATTTCCCTTTCTACTGTTGGCATCAAATGGCTAGAAATCTCCACTTGCAAATTCCATAAAAAGAGTGTTTCAAATCTGCTCTGTCTAAAGGGACGTTCCACTCTGTGAGTTGAATGCACACAACACAAAGAATTTACTGAGAATTCTTCCGTCTAGCATTCAATGAAGAAATCCCGTTTCCAACGAAGGCCTCAAACAGGTCCATATATCCACTTGCAGACTTTACAAACAGTGTGTTTCCAAACTCCTCTATGAAAAGAAAGGTTAAACTCTGTGAGTTGAACGCACACATCACAAAGCACTTTCTGAGAATGATTCTGTCTGGTTATTATACGAAGATATTTCCTTTTCTGCAATTGTCCTCAAATCGCTTGAAATCTCCACCTGAAAATGCCACAGCAAGAGTGTTTCAAATCTGCTCTCTCTAAAGCAAGGTTCAACTCTGTCAGTTGAATACACACAACACAAAAAAGTTACTGAGAACTCTTCTTAGTCTAGCATGAAAGGAAGAAACCCCGTTTGCAACGAAGGCCTCAAAGAGGTCCAAATATCCACTTGCAGACATAACAAGCAGAGTGTTTCTAAACTGCTCTAAGAAAAGAAAGGTTAAACTCTGTGAGTTGAAGGCACACATCACAAAGTAGTTTCTGAGAATGATTCTGTCTAGTTTTTATTTGAAGATATTTCCTTTTCTACTGTTGGCATCAAATCGCTTGAAATCTCCACTTGCAAATTCCACAAAAAGAGTGTTTCAAATCTGCTCTGTGCAAAGGGACGTTCCACTCTGTGAGTTGAATACACACAGCACAAAGAAGTTACTGAGAATTCTTCTGTCTAGCATGAAATGAAGAAATCCCGTTTCCAACGAAGGCCTCAATGCGGTCCATATATCCACTTGCAGACTTTACAAACAGAGTGTTTCCAAACTGCTCTATGAAAAGAAAGGTTAAATTATGTGAGTTGAACGCACACATCACAAAGAATTTTCTGAGAATGATTCTGTCTGGTTTTTATTTGAGATATTTCCCTTTCTACTGTTGGCATCAAATGGCTAGAAATCTCCACTTGCAAATTCCGCAAAAAGAGTGTTTCAAATCTGCTCTGTCTAAAGGGACGTTCCACTCTGTGAGTTGAATGCACACAACACAAAGAATTTACTGAGAATTCTTCCGTCTAGCATTCAATGAAGAAATCCCGTTTCCAACGAAGGCCTCAAACAGGTCCATATATCCACTTGCAGACTTTACAAACAGTGTGTTTCCAAACTCCTCTATGAAAAGAAAGGTTAAACTCTGTGAGTGGAACGCACACATCACAAAGCACTTTCTGAGAATGATTCTGTCTGGTTATTATACGAAGATATTTCCTTTTCTGCAATTGTCCTCAAATCGCTTGAAATCTCCACCTGAAAATGCCACAGCAAGAGTGTTTCAAATCTGCTCTCTCTAAAGCAAGGTTCAACTCTGTGAGTTGAATACACACAACACAAAAAAGTTACTGAGAACTCTTCTTAGTCTAGCATGAAAGGAAGAAACCCCGTTTGCAACGAAGGCCTCAAAGAGGTCCAAATATCCACTTGCAGACATAACAAGCAGAGTGTTTCTAAACTGCTCTAAGAAAAGAAAGGTTAAACTCTGTGAGTTGAAGGCACACATCACAAAGTAGTTTCTGAGAATGATTCTGTCTAGTTTTTATTTGAAGATATTTCCTTTTCTACTGTTGGCATCAAATCGCTTGAAATCTCCACTTGCAAACTCCACAAAAAGAGTGTTTCAAATCTGCTCTGTGCAAAGGGACGTTCCACTCTGTGAGTTGAATACACACAGCACAAAGAAGTTACTGAGAATTCTTCTGTCTAGCATGAAATGAAGAAATCCCGTTTCCAACGAAGGCCTCAATGCGGTCCATATATCCACTTGCAGACTTTACAAACAGAGTGTTTCCAAACTGCTCTATGAAAAGAAAGGTTAAACTATGTGAGTTGAACGCACACATCACAAAGAATTTTCTGAGAATGATTCTGTCTGGTTTTTATTTGAAGATATTTCCCTTTCTACTGTTGGCATCAAATGGCTAGAAATCTCCACTTGCAAATTCCGCAAAAAGAGTGTTTCAAATCTGCTCTGTCTAAAGGGACGTTCCACTCTGTGAGTTGAATGCACACAACACAAAGAATTTACTGAGAATTCTTCCGTCTAGCATTCAATGAAGAAATCCCGTTTCCAACGAAGGCCTCAAACAGGTCCATATATCCAATTGCAGACTTTACAAACAGTGTGTTTCCAAACTCCTCTATGAAAAGAAAGATTAAACTCTGTGAGTTGAACGCACACATCACAAAGCACTTTCTGAGAATGATTCTGTCTGGTTGTTATACGAAGATATTTCCTTTTCTGCAATTGTCCTCAAATCGCTTGAAATCTCCACCTGAAAATGCCACAGCAAGAGTTTTTCAAATCTGCTCTCTCTAAAGCAAGGTTCAACTCTGTGAGTTGAATACACACAACACAAAAAAGTTACTGAGAACTCTTCTTAGTCTAGCATGAAAGGAAGAAACCCCGTTTGCAACGAAGGCCTCAAAGAGGTCCAAATATCCACTTGCAGACATAACAAGCAGAGTGTTTCTAAACTGCTCTAAGAAAAGAAAGGTTAAACTCTGTGAGTTGAAGGCACACATCACAAAGTAGTTTCTGAGAATGATTCTGTCTAGTTTTTATTTGAAGATATTTCCTTTTCTACTGTTGGCATCAAATCGCTTGAAATCTCCACTTGCAAATTCCACAAAATGAGTGTTTCAAATCTGCTCTGTGTAAAGGAACGTTCCACTCTGTGAGTTGAGTACACACAGCACAAAGAAGTTACTGAGAATTCTTCTGTCTAGCATGAAATGAAGAAATCCCGTTTCCAACGAAGGCCTCAATGCGGTCCATATATCCACTTGCAGACTTTACAAACAGAGTGTTTCCAAACTGCTCTATGAAAAGAAAGGTTAAACTATGTGAGTTGAACGCACACATCACAAAGAATTTTCTGAGAATGATTCTGTCTGGTTTTTATTTGAAGATATTTCCCTTTCTACTGTTGGCATCAAATGGCTAGAAATCTCCACTTGCAAATTCCGCAAAAAGAGTGTTTCAAATCTGCTCTGTCTAAAGGGACGTTCCACTCTGTGAGTTGAATGCACACAACACAAAGAATTTACTGAGAATTCTTCCGTCTAGCATTCAATGAAGAAATCCCGTTTCCAACGAAGGCCTCAAACAGGTCCATATATCCACTTGCAGACTTTACAAACAGTGTGTTTCCAAACTCCTCTATGAAAAGAAAGGTTAAACTCTGTGAGTGGAACGCACACATCACAAAGCACTTTCTGAGAATGATTCTGTCTGGTTATTATACGAAGATATTTCCTTTTCTGCAATTGTCCTCAAATCGCTTGAAATCTCCACCTGAAAATGCCACAGCAAGAGTGTTTCAAATCTGCTCTCTCTAAAGCAAGGTTCAACTCTGTGAGTTGAATACACACAACACAAAAAAGTTACTGAGAACTCTTCTTAGTCTAGCATGAAAGGAAGAAACCCCGTTTGCAACGAAGGCCTCAAAGAGGTCCAAATATCCACTTGCAGACATAACAAGCAGAGTGTTTCTAAACTGCTCTAAGAAAAGAAAGGTTAAACTCTGTGAGTTGAAGGCACACATCACAAAGTAGTTTCTGAGAATGATTCTGTCTAGTTTTTATTTGAAGATATTTCCTTTTCTACTGTTGGCATCAAATCGCTTGAAATCTCCACTTGCAAACTCCACAAAAAGAGTGTTTCAAATCTGCTCTGTGCAAAGGGACGTTCCACTCTGTGAGTTGAATACACACAGCACAAAGAAGTTACTGAGAATTCTTCTGTCTAGCATGAAATGAAGAAATCCCGTTTCCAACGAAGGCCTCAATGCGGTCCATATATCCACTTGCAGACTTTACAAACAGAGTGTTTCCAAACTGCTCTATGAAAAGAAAGGTTAAACTATGTGAGTTGAACGCACACATCACAAAGAATTTTCTGAGAATGATTCTGTCTGGTTTTTATTTGAAGATATTTCCCTTTCTACTGTTGGCATCAAATGGCTAGAAATCTCCACTTGCAAATTCCGCAAAAAGAGTGTTTCAAATCTGCTCTGTCTAAAGGGACGTTCCACTCTGTGAGTTGAATGCACACAACACAAAGAATTTACTGAGAATTCTTCCGTCTAGCATTCAATGAAGAAATCCCGTTTCCAACGGAGGCCTCAAACAGGTCCATATATCCAATTGCAGACTTTACAAACAGTGTGTTTCCAAACTCCTCTATGAAAAGAAAGGTTAAACTCTGTGAGTTGAACGCACACATCACAAAGCACTTTCTGAGAATGATTCTGTCTGGTTATTATACGAAGATATTTCCTTTTCTGCAATTGTCCTCAAATCGCTTGAAATCTCCAACTGAAAATGCCACAGCAAGAGTGTTTCAAATCTGCTCTCTCTAAAGCAAGGTTCAACTCTGTGAGTTGAATACACACAACACAAAAAAGTTACTGAGAACTCTTCTTAGTCTAGCATGAAAGGAAGAAACCCCGTTTGCAACGAAGGCCTCAAAGAGGTCCAAATATCCACTTGCAGACATAACAAGCAGAGTGTTTCTAAACTGCTCTAAGAAAAGAAAGGTTAAACTCTGTGAGTTGAAGGCACACATCACAAAGTAGTTTCTGAGAATGATTCTGTCTAGTTTTTATTTGAAGATATTTCCTTTTCTACTGTTGGCATCAAATCGCTTGAAATCTCCACTTGCAAATTCCACAAAAAGAGTGTTTCAAATCTGCTCTGTGCAAAGGGACGTTCCACTCTGTGAGTTGAATACACACAGCACAAAGAAGTTACTGAGAATTCTTCTGTCTAGCATGAAATGAAGAAATCCCGTTTCCAACGAAGGCCTCAATGCGGTCCATATATCCACTTGCAGACTTTACAAACAGAGTGTTTCCAAACTGCTCTATGAAAAGAAAGGTTAAACTATGTGAGTTGAACGCACACATCACAAAGAATTTTCTGAGAATGATTCTGTCTGGTTTTTATTTGAAGATATTTCCCTTTCTACTGTTGGCATCAAATGGCTAGAAATCTCCACTTGCAAATTCCGCAAAAAGAGTGTTTCAAATCTGCTCTGTCTAAAGGGACGTTCCACTCTGTGAGTTGAATGCACACAACACAAAGAATTTACTGAGAATTCTTCCGTCTAGCATTCAATGAAGAAATCCCGTTTCCAACGAAGGCCTCAAACAGGTCCATATATCCACTTGCAGACTTTACAAACAGTGTGTTTCCAAACTCCTCTATGAAAAGAAAGGTTAAACTCTGTGAGTTGAACGCACACATCACAAAGCACTTTCTGAGAATGATTCTGTCTGGTTATTATACGAAGATATTTCCTTTTCTGCAATTGTCCTCAAATCGCTTGAAATCTCCACCTGAAAATGCCACAGCAAGAGTGTTTCAAATCTGCTCTCTCTAAAGCAAGGTTCAACTCTGTGAGTTGAATACACACAACACAAAAAAGTTACTGAGAACTCTTCTTAGTCTAGCATTAAAGGAAGAAACCCCGTTTGCAACGAAGGCCTCAAAGAGGTCCAAATATCAACTTGCAGACATAACAAGCAGAGTGTTTCTAAGCTGCTCTAAGAAAAGAAAGGTTAAACTCTGTTAGTTGAAGGCACACATCACAAAGTAGTTTCTGAGAATGATTCTGTCTAGTTTTTATTTGAAGATACTTCCTTTTCTACTGTTGGCATCAAATCGCTTGAAATCTCCACTTGCAAACTCCACAAAACGAGTGTTTCAAATCTGCTCTGTGTAAAGGGACGTTCCACTCTGTGAGTTGAATACACACAGCACAAAGAAGTTACTGAGAATTCTTCTGTCTAGCATGAAATGAAGAAATCCCGTTTCCAACGAAGGCCTCAATGCGGTCCATAGATCCACTTGCAGACTTTACAAACAGAGTGTTTCCAAACTGCTCTATGAAAAGAAAGGTTAAACTATGTGAGTTGAACGCACACATCACAAAGAATTTTCTGAGAATGATTCTGTCTGGTTTTTATTTGAAGATATTTCCCTTTCTACTGTTGGCATCAAATGGCTAGAAATCTCCACTTGCAAATTCCGCAAAAAGAGTGTTTCAAATCTGCTCTGTCTAAAGGGACGTTCCACTCTGTGAGTTGAATGCACACAACACAAAGAATTTACTGAGAATTCTTCTGTCTAGCATGAAATGAAGAAATCCCGTTTCCAACGAAGGTCTCAAACAGGTCCATATATCCAATTGCAGACTTTACAAACAGTGTGTTTCCAAACTCCTCTATGAAAAGAAAGGTTAAACTCTGTGAGTTGAACGCACACATCACAAAGCACTTTCTGAGAATGATTCTGTCTGGTTATTATACGAAGATATTTCCTTTTCTGCAATTGTCCTCAAATCGCTTGAAATCTCCACCTGAAAATGCCACAGCAAGAGTGTTTCAAATCTGCTCTCTCTAAAGCAAGGTTCAACTCTGTGAGTTGAATACACACAACACAAAAACGTTACTGAGAAGTCTTTCTTAGTCTAGCATGAAAGGAAGAAACCCCGTTTGCAACGAAGGCCTCAAAGAGGTCCAAATATCCACTTGCAGACATAACAAGCAGAGTGTTTCTAAACTGCTCTAAGAAAAGAAAGGTTAAACTCTGTGAGTTGAAGGCACACATCACAAAGTAGTTTCTGAGAATGATTCTGTCTAGTTTTTATTTGAAGATATTTCCTTTTCTACTGTTGGCATCAAATCGCTTGAAATCTCCACTTGCAAATTCCACAAAAAGAGTGTTTCAAATCTGCTCTGTGCAAAGGGACGTTCCACTCTGTGAGTTGAATACACACAGCACAAAGAAGTTACTGAGAATTCTTCTGTCTAGCATGAAATGAAGAAATCCCGTTTCCAACGAAGGCCTCAATGCGGTCCATATATCCACTTGCAGACTTTACAAACAGAGTGTTTCCAAACTGCTCTATGAAAAGAAAGGTTAAACTATGTGAGTTGAACGCACACATCACAAAGAATTTTCTGAGAATGATTCTGCCTGGTTTTTATTTGAAGATATTTCCCTTTCTACAGTTGGCATCAAATGGCTAGAAATCTCCACTTGCAAATTCCGCAAAAAGAGTGTTTCAAATCTGCTCTGTCTAAAGGGACGTTCCACTCTGTGAGTTGAATGCACACAACACAAAGAATTTACTGAGAATTCTTCCGTCTAGCATTCAATGAAGAAATCCCGTTTCCAACGAAGGCCTCAAACAGGTCCATATATCCACTTGCAGACTTTACAAACAGTGTGTTTCCAAACTCCTCTATGAAAAGAAAGGTTAAACTCTGTGAGTGGAACGCACACATCACAAAGCACTTTCTGAGAATGATTCTGTCTGGTTATTATACGAAGATATTTCCTTTTCTGCAATTGTCCTCAAATCGCTTGAAATCTCCACCTGAAAATGCCACAGCAAGAGTGTTTCAAATCTGCTCTCTCTAAAGCAAGGTTCAACCCTGTGAGTTGAATACACACAACACAAAAAAGTTACTGAGAACTCTTCTTAGTCTAGCATGAAAGGAAGAAACCCCGTTTGCAACGAAGGCCTCAAAGAGGTCCAAATATCCACTTGCAGACATAACAAGCAGAGTGTTTCTAAACTGCTCTAAGAAAAGAAAGGTTAAACTCTGTGAGTTGAAGGCACACATCACAAAGTAGTTTCTGAGAATGATTCTGTCTAGTTTTTATTTGAAGATATTTCCTTTTCTACTGTTGGCATCAAATCGCTTGAAATCTCCACTTGCAAACTCCACAAAAAGAGTGTTTCAAATCTGCTCTGTGTAAAGGGACGTTCCACTCTGTGAGTTGAATACACACAGCACAAAGAAGTTACTGAGAATTCTTCTGTCTAGCATGAAATGAAGAAATCCCGTTTCCAACGAAGGCCTCAATGCGGTCCATATATCCACTTGCAGACTTTACAAACAGAGTGTTTCCAAACTGCTCTATGAAAAGAAAGGTTAAACTATGTGAGTTGAACGCACACATCACAAAGAATTTTCTGAGAATGATTCTGTCTGGTTTTTATTTGAAGATATTTCCCTTTCTACTGTTGGCATCAAATGGCTAGAAATCTCCACTTGCAAATTCGGCAAAAAGAGTGTTTCAAATCTGCTCTGTCTAAAGGGACGTTCCACTCTGTGAGTTGAATGCACACAACACAAAGAATTTACTGAGAATTCTTCCGTCTAGCATTCAATGAAGAAATCCCGTTTCCAACGAAGGCCTCAAACAGGTCCATATATCCAATTGCAGACTTTACAAACAGTGTGTTTCCAAACTCCTCTATGAAAAGAAAGGTTAAACTCTGTGAGTGGAACGCACACATCACAAAGCACTTTCTGAGAATGATTCTGTCTGGTTGTTATACGAAGATATTTCCTTTTCTGCAATTGTCCTCAAATCGCTTGAAATCTCCAACTGAAAATGCCACAGCAAGAGTGTTTCAAATCTGCTCTCTCTAAAGCATGGTTCAACTCTGTGAGTTGAATACACACAACACAAAAAAGTTACTGAGAACTCTTCTTAGTCTAGCATTAAAGGAAGAAACCCCGTTTGCAACGAAGGCCTCAAAGAGGTCCAAATATCCACTTGCAGACATAACAAGCAGAGTGTTTCTAAACTGCTCTAAGAAAAGAAAGGTTAAACTACTGTGAGTTGAAGGCACACATCACAAAGTAGTTTCTGAGAATGATTCTGTCTAGTTTTTATTTGAAGAATATTTCCTTTTCTACTGTTGGCATCAAATCGCTTGAAATCTCCACTTGCAAATTCCACAAAAAGAGTGTTTCAAATCTGCTCTGTGCAAAGGGACGTTCCACTCTGTGAGTTGAATACACACAGCACAAAGAAGTTACTGAGAATTCTTCTGTCTAGCATGAAATGAAGAAATCCCGTTTCCAACGAAGGCCTCAATGCGGTCCATATATCCACTTGCAGACTTTACAAACAGAGTGTTTCCAAACTGCTCTATGAAAAGAAAGGTTAAACTATGTGAGTTGAACGCACACATCACAAAGAATTTTCTGAGAATGATTCTGTCTGGTTTTTATTTGAAGATATTTCCCTTTCTACTGTTGGCATCAAATGGCTAGAAATCTCCACTTGCAAATTCCGCAAAAAGAGTGTTTCAAATCTGCTCTGTCTAAAGGGACGTTCCACTCTGTGAGTTGAATGCACACAAGACAAAGAATTTACTGAGAATTCTTCCGTCTAGCATTCAATGAAGAAATCCCGTTTCCAACGAAGGCCTCAAACAGGTCCATATATCCACTTGCAGACATTACAAACAGTGTGTTTCCAAACTCCTCTATGAAAAGAAAGGTTAAACTCTGTGAGTTGAACGCACACATCACAAAGCACTTTCTGAGAATGATTCTGTCTGGTTATTATACGAAGATATTTCCTTTTCTGCAATTGTCCTCAAATCGCTTGAAATCTCCACCTGAAAATGCCACAGCAAGAGTGTTTCAAATCTGCTCTCTCTAAAGCAAGGTTCAACTCTGTGAGTTGAATACACACAACACAAAAAAGTTACTGAGAACTCTTCTTAGTCTAGCATGAAAGGAAGAAACCCCGTTTGCAACGAAGGCCTCAAAGAGGTCCAAATATCCACTTGCAGACATAACAAGCAGAGTGTTTCTAAACTGCTCTAAGAAAAGAAAGGTTAAACTCTGTGAGTTGAAGGCACACATCACAAAGTAGTTTCTGAGAATGATTCTGTCTAGTTTTTATTTGAAGATATTTCCTTTTCTACTGTTGGCATCAAATCGCTTGAAATCTCCACTTGCAAACTCCACAAAAAGAGTGTTTCAAATCTGCTCTGTGCAAAGGGACGTTCCACTCTGTGAGTTGAATACACACAGCACAAAGAAGTTACTGAGAATTCTTCTGTCTAGCATGAAATGAAGAAATCCCGTTTCCAACGAAGGCCTCAATGCGGTCCATATATCCACTTGCAGACTTTACAAACAGAGTGTTTCCAAACTGCTCTATGAAAAGAAAGGTTAAACTATGTGAGTTGAACGCACACATCACAAAGAATTTTCTGAGAATGATTCTGTCTGGTTTTTATTTGAAGATATTTCCCTTTCTACTGTTGGCATCAAATGGCTAGAAATCTCCACTTGCAAATTCCGCAAAAAGAGTGTTTCAAATCTGCTCTGTCTAAAGGGACGTTCCACTCTGTGAGTTGAATGCACACAACACAAAGAATTTACTGAGAATTCTTCCGTCTAGCATTCAATGAAGAAATCCCGTTTCCAACGAAGGCCTCAAACAGGTCCATATATCCACTTGCAGACTTTACAAACAGTGTGTTTCCAAACTCCTCTATGAAAAGAAAGGTTAAACTCTGTGAGTGGAACGCACACATCACAAAGCACTTTCTGAGAATGATTCTGTCTGGTTATTATACGAAGATATTTCCTTTTCTGCAATTGTCCTCAAATCGCTTGAAATCTCCACCTGAAAATGCCACAGCAAGAGTGTTTCAAATCTGCTCTCTCTAAAGCAAGGTTCAACTCTGTGAGTTGAATACACACAACACAAAAAAGTTACTGAGAACTCTTCTTAGTCTAGCATGAAAGGAAGAAACCCCGTTTGCAACGAAGGCCTCAAAGAGGTCCAAATATCCACTTGCAGACATAACAAGCAGAGTGTTTCTAAACTGCTCTAAGAAAAGAAAGGTTAAACTCTGTGAGTTGAAGGCACACATCACAAAGTAGTTTCTGAGAATGATTCTGTCTAGTTTTTATTTGAAGATATTTCCTTTTCTACTGTTGGCATCAAATCGCTTGAAATCTCCACTTGCAAATTCCACAAAAAGAGTGTTTCAAATCTGCTCTGTGCAAAGGGACGTTCCACTCTGTGAGTTGAATACACACAGCACAAAGAAGTTACTGAGAATTCTTCTGTCTAGCATGAAATGAAGAAATCCCGTTTCCAACGAAGGCCTCAATGCGGTCCATATATCCACTTGCAGACTTTACAAACAGAGTGTTTCCAAACTGCTCTATGAAAAGAAAGGCTAAACTATGTGAGTTGAACGCACACATCACAAAGAATTTTCTGAGAATGATTCTGTCTGGTTTTTATTTGAAGATATTTCCCTTTCTACTGTTGGCATCAAATGGCTAGAAATCTCCACTTGCAAATTCCGCAAAAAGAGTGTTTCAAATCTGCTCTGTCTAAAGGGACGTTCCACTCTGTGAGTTGAATGCACACAACACGAAGAATTTACTGAGAATTCTTCCGTCTAGCATTCAATGAAGAAATCCCGTTTCCAACGAAGGCCTCAAACAGGTCCATATATCCAATTGCAGACTTTACAAACAGTGTGTTTCCAAACTCCTCTATGAAAAGAAAGATTAAACTCTGTGAGTTGAACGCACACATCACAAAGCACTTTCTGAGAATGATTCTGTCTGGTTGTTATACGAAGATATTTCCTTTTCTGCAATTGTCCTCAAATCGCTTGAAATCTCCACCTGAAAATGCCACAGCAAGAGTGTTTCAAATCTGCTCTCTCTAAAGCAAGGTTCAACTCTGTGAGTTGAATACACACAACACAAAAAAGTTACTGAGAACTCTTCTTAGTCTAGCATTAAAGGAAGAAACCCCGTTTGCAACGAAGGCCTCAAAGAGGTCCAAATATCCACTTGCAGACATAACAAGCAGAGTGTTTCTAAACTGCTCTAAGAAAAGAAAGGTTAAACTCTGTGAGTTGAAGGCACACATCACAAAGTAGTTTCTGAGAATGATTCTGTCTAGTTTTTATTTGAAGATATTTCCTCTTCTACTGTTGGCATCAAATCGCTTGAAATCTCCACTTGCAAATTCCACAAAAAGAGTGTTTCAAATCTGTTCTGTGTAAAGGGACGTTGCACTCTGTGAGTTGAATACACACAGCATAAAGAAGTTACTGAGAATTCTTCTGTCTAGCATGAAATGAAGAAATCCCGTTTCCAACGAAGGCCTCAATGCGGTCCATAGATCCACTTGCAGACTTTACAAACAGAGTGTTTCCAAACTGCTCTATGAAAAGAAAGGTTAAACTATGTGAGTTGAACGCACACATCACAAAGAATTTTCTGAGAATGATTCTGTCTGGTTTTTATTTGAAGATATTTCCCTTTCTACTGTTGGCATCAAATGGCTAGAAATCTCCACTTGCAAATTCCGCAAAAAGAGTGTTTCAAATCTGCTCTGTCTAAAGGGACGTTCCACTCTGTCAGTTGAATGCACACAACACAAAGAATTTACTGAGAATTCTTCCGTCTAGCATGCAATGAAGAAATCCCGTTTCCAACGAAGGCCTCAAACAGGTCCATATATCCAATTGCAGACTTTACAAACAGTGTGTTTCCAAACTCCTCTATGAAAAGAAAGGTTAAACTCTGTGAGTTGAACGCACACATCACAAAGCACTTTCTGAGAATGATTCTGTCTGGTTGTTATACGAAGATATTTCCTTTTCTGCAATTGTCCTCAAATCGCTTGAAATCTCCACCTGAAAATGCCACAGCAAGAGTGTTTCAAATCTGCTCTCTCTAAAGCAAGGTTCAACTCTGTGAGTTGAATACACACAACACAAAAAAGTTACTGAGAACTCTTCTTAGTCTAGCATGAAAGGAAGAAACCCCGTTTGCAACGAAGGCCTCAAAGAGGTCCAAATATCCACTTGCAGACATAACAAGCAGAGTGTTTCTAAACTGCTCTAAGAAAAGAAAGGTTAAACTCTGTGAGTTGAAGGCACACATCACAAAGTAGTTTCTGAGAATGATTCTGTCTAGTTTTTATTTGAAGATATTTCCTTTTCTACTGTTGGCATCAAATCGCTTGAAATCTCCACTTGCAAACTCCACAAAAAGAGTGTTTCAAATCTTCTCTGTGTAAAGGGACGTTCCACTCTGTGAGTTGAATACACACAGCACAAAGAAGTTACTGAGAATTCTTCTGTCTAGCATGAAATGAAGAAATCCCGTTTCCAACGAAGGCCTCAATGCGGTCCATAGATCCACTTGCAGACTTTACAAACAGAGTGTTTCCAAACTGCTCTATGAAAAGAAAGGTTAAACTATGTGAGTTGAACGCACACATCACAAAGAATTTTCTGAGAATGATTCTGTCTGGTTTTTATTTGAAGATATTTCCCTTTCTACTGTTGGCATCAAATGGCTAGAAATCTCCACTTGCAAATTCCGCAAAAAGAGTGTTTCAAATCTGCTCTGTCTAAAGGGACGTTCCACTCTGTGAGTTGAATGCACACAACACAAAGAATTTACTGAGAATTCTTCCGTCTAGCATTCAATGAAGAAATCCCGTTTCCAACGAAGGCCTCAAACAGGTCCATATATCCACTTGCAGAGTTTACAAACAGTGTGTTTCCAAACTCCTCTATGAAAAGAAAGGTTAAACTCTGTGAGTGGAACGCACACATCACAAAGCACTTTCTGAGAATGATTCTGTCTGGTTATTATACGAAGATATTTCCTTTTCTGCAATTGTCCTCAAAACGCTTGAAATCTCCACCTGAAAATGCCACAGCAAGAGTGTTTCAAATCTGCTCTCTCTAAAGCAAGGTTCAACTCTGTGAGTTGAATACACACAACACAGAAAAGTTACTGAGAACTCTTCTTAGTCTAGCATGAAAGGAAGAAACCCCGTTTGCAACGAAGGCCTCAAAGAGGTCCAAATATCCACTTGCAGACATAACAAGCAGAGTGTTTCTAAACTGCTCTAAGAAAAGAAAGGTTAAACTCTGTGAGTTGAAGGCACACATCACAAAGTAGTTTCTGAGAATGATTCTGTCTAGTTTTTATTTGAAGATATTTCCTTTTCTACTGTTGGCATCAAATCGCTTGAAATCTCCACTTGCAAATTCCACAAAAAGAGTGTTTCAAATCTGCTCTGTGTAAAGGGACGTTCCACTCTGTGAGTTGAATACACACAGCACAAAGAAGTTACTGAGAATTCTTCTGTCTAGCATGAAATGAAGAAATCCCGTTTCCAACGAAGGCCTCAATGCGGTCCATATATCCACTTGCAGACTTTGCAAACAGAGTGTTTCCAAACTGCTCTATGAAAAGAAAGGTTAAACTATGTGATTTGAACGCACACATCACAAAGAATTTTCTGAGAATGATTCTGTCTGGTTTTTATTTGAAGATATTTCCCTTTCTACTGTTGGCATCAAATGGCTAGAAATCTCCACTTGCAAATTCCGCAAAAAGAGTGTTTCAAATCTGCTCTGTCTAAAGGGACGTTCCACTCTGTGAGTTGAATGCACACAACACAAAGAATTTACTGAGAATTCTTCCGTCTAGCATTCAATGAAGAAATCCCGTTTCCAACGAAGGCCTCAAACAGGTCCATATATCCACTTGCAGACTTTACAAACAGTGTGTTTCCAAACTCCTGTATGAAAAGAAAGGTTAAACTCTGTGAGTGGAACGCACACATCACAAAGCGCTTTCTGAGAATGATTCTGTCTGGTTATTATACGAAGATATTTCCTTTTCTGCAATTGTCCTCAAATCGCTTGAAATCTCCACCTGAAAATGCCACAGCAAGAGTGTTTCAAATCTGCTCTCTCTAAAGCAAGGTTCAACTCTGTGAGTTGAATACACACAACACAAAAAAGTTACTGAGAACTCTTCTTAGTCTAGCATTAAAGGAAGAAACCCCGTTTGCAACGAAGGCCTCAAAGAGGTCCAAATATCCACTTGCAGACATAACAAGCAGAGTGTTTCTAAACTGCTCTAAGAAAAGAAAGGTTAAACTCTGTGAGTTGAAGGCACACATCACAAAGTAGTTTCTGAGAATGATTCTGTCTAGTTTTTATTTGAAGATATTTCCTTTTCTACTGTTGGCATCAAATCGCTTGAAATCTCCACTTGCAAATTCCACAAAAAGAGTGTTTCAAATCTGCTCTGTGTAAAGGGACGTTCCACTCTGTGAGTTGAATACACACAGCACAAAGAAGTTACTGAGAATTCTTCTGTCTAGCATGAAATGAAGAAATCCCGTTTCCAACGAAGGCCTCAATGCGGTCTATATATCCACTTGCAGACTTTAC
This sequence comes from Homo sapiens, assembly GCF_000001405.40. Lineage (NCBI taxonomy): Eukaryota > Metazoa > Chordata > Mammalia > Primates > Hominidae > Homo > Homo sapiens. Next base: position 59,663,992 of record NC_000007.14, on the reverse strand, counting down.
AAACAGAGTGTTTCCAAACTGCTCTATGAAAAGAAAGGTTAAACTATGTGAGTTGAACGCACACATCACAAAGAATTTTCTGAGAATGATTCTGTCTGGTTTTTATTTGAAGATATTTCCCTTTCTACTGTTGGCATCAAATGGCTAGAAATCTCCACTTGCAAATTCCGCAAAAAGAGTGTTTCAAATCTGCTCTGTCTAAAGGGACGTTCCACTCTGTGAGTTGAATGCACACAACACAAAGAATTTACTGAGAATTCTTCCGTCTAGCATTCAATGAAGAAATCCCGTTTCCAACGAAGGCCTCAAAGAGGTCCATATATCCACTTGCAGACTTTAAAAACAGTGTGTTTCCAAACTCCTCTATGAAAAGAAAGGTTAAACTCTGTGAGTGGAACGCACACATCACAAAGCACTTTCTGAGAATGATTCTGTCTGGTTATTATACGAAGATATTTCCTTTTCTGCAATTGTCCTCAAATCGCTTGAAATCTCCACCTGAAAATGCCACAGCAAGAGTGTTTCAAATCTGCTCTCTCTAAAGCAAGGTTCAACTCTGTGAGTTGAATACACACAACACAAAAAAGTTACTGAGAACTCTTCTTAGTCTAGCATGAAAGGAAGAAACCCCGTTTGCAACGAAGGCCTCAAAGAGGTCCAAATATCCACTTGCAGACATAACAAGCAGAGTGTTTCTAAACTGCTCTAAGAAAAGAAAGGTTAAACTCTGTGAGTTGAAGGCACACATCACAAAGTAGTTTCTGAGAATGATTCTGTCTAGTTTTTATTTGAAGATATTTCCTTTTCTACTGTTGGCATCAAATCGCTTGAAATCTCCACTTGCAAACTCCACAAAAAGAGTGTTTAAAATCTGCTCTGTGCAAAGGGACGTTCCACTCTGTGAGTTGAATACACACAGCACAAAGAAGTTACTGAGAATTCTTCTGTCTAGCATGAAATGAAGAAATCCCGTTTCCAACGAAGGCCTCAATGCAGTCCATATATCCACTTGCAGACTTTACAAACAGAGTGTTTCCAAACTGCTCTATGAAAAGAAAGGTTAAACTATGTGAGTTGAACGCACACATCACAAAGAATTTTCTGAGAATGATTCTGTCTGGTTTTTATTTGAAGATATTTCCCTTTCTACTGTTGGCATCAAATGGCTAGAAATCTCCACTTGCAAATTCCGCAAAAAGAGTGTTTCAAATCTGCTCTGTCTAAAGGGACGTTCCACTCTGTGAGTTGAATGCACACAACACAAAGAATTTACTGAGAATTCTTCCGTCTAGCATTCAATGAAGAAATCCCGTTTCCAACAAAGGCCTCAAACAGGTCCATATATCCAATTGCAGACTTTACAAACAGTGTGTTTCCAAACTCCTCTATGAAAAGAAAGGTTAAACTCTGTGAGTTGAACGCACACATCACAAAGCACTTTCTGAGAATGATTCTCTGTCTGGTTGTTATACGAAGATATTTCCTTTCCTGAAATTGTCCTCAAATCGCTTGAAATCTCCACCTGAAAATGCCACAGCAAGAGTGTTTCAAATCTGCTCTCTCTAAAGCAAGGTTCAGCTCTGTGAGTTGAATACACACAACACAAAAAAGTTACTGAGAACTCTTCTTAGTCTAGCATGAAAGGAAGAAACCCCGTTTGCAACGAAGGCCTCAAAGAGGTCCAAATATCCACTTGCAGACATAACAAGCAGAGTGTTTTTAAACTGCTCTAAGAAAAGAAAGGTTAAACTCTGTGAGTTGAAGGCACACATCACAAAGTAGTTTCTGAGAATGATTCTGTCTAGTTTTTATTTGAAGATATTTCCTTTTCTACTGTTGGCATCAAATCGCTTGAAATCTCCACTTGCAAATTCCACAAAAAGAGTGTTTCAAATCTGCTCTGTGCAAAGGGACGTTCCACTCTGTGAGTTGAATACACACAGCCCAAGGAAGTTACTGAGAATTCTTCTGTCTAGCATGAAATGAAGAAATCCCGTTTCCAACGAAGGCCTCAATGCGGTCCATATATCCACTTGCAGACTTTACAAACAGAGTGTTTCCAAACTGCTCTATGAAAAGAAAGGTTAAACTATGTGAGTTGAACGCACACATCACAAAGAATTTTCTGAGAATGATTCTGCCTGGTTTTTATTTGAAGTATATTTCCCTTTCTACTGTTGGCATCAAATGGCTAGAAATCTCCACTTGCAAATTCCGCAAAAAGAGTGTTTCAAATCTGCTCTGTCTAAAGGGACGTTCCACTCTGTGAGTTGAATGCACACAACACAAAGAATTTACTGAGAATTCTTCCGTCTAGCATTCAATGAAGAAATCCCGTTTCCAACGGAGGCCTCAAACAGGTCCATATATCCAATTGCAGACTTTACAAACAGTGTGTTTCCAAACTCCTCTATGAAAAGAAAGGTTAAACTCTGTGAGTTGAACGCACACATCACAAAGCACTTTCTGAGAATGATTCTGTCTGGTTATTATACGAAGATATTTCCTTTTCTGCAATTGTCCTCAAATCGCTTGAAATCTCCACCTGAAAATGCCACAGCAAGAGTGTTTCAAATCTGCTCTCTCTAAAGCAAGGTTCAACTCTGTGAGTTGAATACACACAACACAAAAAAGTTACTGAGAACTCTTCTTAGTCTAGCATGAAAGGAAGAAACCCCGTTTGCAACGAAGGCCTCAAAGAGGTCCAAATATCCACTTGCAGACATAACAAGCAGAGTGTTTCTAAACTGCTCTAAGAAAAGAAAGGTTAAACTCTGTGAGTTGAAGGCACACATCACAAAGTAGTTTCTGAGAATGATTCTGTCTAGTTTTTATTTGAAGATATTTCCTTTTCTACTGCTGGCATCAAATCGCTTGAAATCTCCACTTGCAAACTCCACAAAAAGAGTGTTTCAAATCTGCTCTGTGTAAAGGGACGTTCCACTCTGTGAGTTGAATACACACAGCACAAAGAAGTTACTGAGAATTCTTCTGTCTAGCATGAAATGAAGAAATCCCGTTTCCAACGAAGGCCTCAATGCGGTCCATAGATCCACTTGCAGACTTTACAAACAGAGTGTTTCCAAACTGCTCTATGAAAAGAAAGGTTAAACTATGTGAGTTGAACGCACACATCACAAAGAATTTTCTGAGAATGATTCTGTCTGGTTTTTATTTGAAGATATTTCCCTTTCTACTGTTGGCATCAAATGGCTAGAAATCTCCACTTGCAAATTCCGCAAAAAGAGTGTTTCAAATCTGCTCTGTCTAAAGAGACGTTCCACTCTGTCAGTTGAATGCACACAACACAAAGTATTTACTGAGAATTCTTCCGTCTAGCATTCAATGAAGAAATCCCGTTTCCAACGAAGGCCTCAAACAGGTCCATATATCCACTTGCAGAGTTTACAAACAGTGTGTTTCCAAACTCCTCTATGAAAAGAAAGGTTAAACTCTGTGAGTGGAACGCACACATCACAAAGCACTTTCTGAGAATGATTCTGTCTGGTTGTTATACGAAGATATTTCCTTTTCTGCAATTGTCCTCAAATCGCTTGAAATCTCCACCTGAAAATGCCACAGCAAGAGTGTTTCAAACCTGCTCTCTCTAAAGCAAGGTTCAACTCTGTGAGTTGAATACACACAACACAAAAAAGTTACTGAGAACTCTTCTTAGTCTAGCATTAAAGGAAGAAACCCCGTTTGCAACGAAGGCCTCAAAGAGGTCCAAATATCCACTTGCAGACATAACAAGCAGAGTGTTTCTAAACTGCTCTAAGAAAAGAAAGGTTAAACTCTGTGAGTTGAAGGCACACATCACAAAGTAGTTTCTGAGAATGATTCTGTCTAGTTTTTATTTGAAGATATTTCCTTTTCTACTGTTGGCATCAAATCGCTTGAAATCTCCACTTGCAAATTCCACAAAAAGAGTGTTTCAAATCTGCTCTGTGCAAAGGGACGTTCCACTCTGTGAGTTGAATACACACAGCACAAAGAAGTTACTGAGAATTCTTCTGTCTAGCATGAAATGAAGAAATCCCGTTTCCAACGAAGGCCTCAATGCGGTCCATATATCCACTTGCAGACTTTACAAACAGAGTGTTTCCAAACTGCTCTATGAAAAGAAAGGTTAAACTATGTGAGTTGAACGCACACATCACAAAGAATTTTCTGAGAATGATTCTGCCTGGTTGTTATTTGAAGATATTTCCCTTTCTACTGTTGGCATCAAATGGCTAGAAATCTCCACTTGCAAATTCCGCAAAAAGAGTGTTTCAAATCTGCTCTGTCTAAAGGGACGTTCCACTCTGTGAGTTGAATGCACACAACACAAAGAATTTACTGAGAATTCTTCCGTCTAGCATTCAATGAAGAAATCCCGTTTCCAACGAAGGCCTCAAACAGGTCCATATATCCACTTGCAGACTTTACAAACAGTGTGTTTCCAAACTCCTCTATGAAAAGAAAGGTTAAAGTCTGTGAGTGGAACGCACACATCACAAAGCACTTTCTGAGAATGATTCTGTCTGGTTGTTATAGGAAGATATTTCCTTTTCTGCAATTGTCCTCAAAACGCTTGAAATCTCCACCTGAAAATGCCACAGGAAGAGTGTTTCAAATCTGCTCTCTCTAAAGCAAGGTTCAACTCTGTGAGTTGAATACACACAACACAAAAAAGTTACTGAGAACTCTTCTTAGTCTAGCATGAAAGGAAGAAACCCCGTTTGCAACGAAGGCCTCAAAGAGGTCCAAATATCCACTTGCAGACATAACAAGCAGAGTGTTTCTAAACTGCTCTAAGAAAAGAAAGGTTAAACTCTGTGAGTTGAAGGCACACATCACAAAGTAGTTTCTGAGAATGATTCTGTCTAGTTTTTATTTGAAGATATTTCCTTTTCTACTGTTGGCATCAAATCGCTTGAAATCTCCACTTGCAAACTCCACAAAAAGAGTGTTTCAAATCTGCTCTGTGTAAAGGGACGTTCCACTCTGTGAGTTGAATACACACAGCACAAAGAAGTTACTGAGAATTCTTCTGTCTAGCATGAAATGAAGAAATCCCGTTTCCAACGAAGGCCTCAATGCGGTCCATATATCCACTTGCAGACTTTACAAACAGAGTGTTTCCAAACTGCTCTATGAAAAGAAAGGTTAAACTATGTGAGTTGAACGCACACATCACAAAGAATTTTCTGAGAATGATTCTGTCTGGTTTTTATTTGAAGATATTTCCCTTTCTACTGTTGGCATCAAATGGCTAGAAATCTCCACTTGCAAATTCCGCAAAAAGAGTGTTTCAAATCTGCTCTGTCTAAAGGGACGTTCCACTCTGTGAGTTGAATGCACACAACACAAAGAATTTACTGAGAATTCTTCCGTCTAGCATTCAATGAAGAAATCCCGTTTCCAACGAAGGCCTCAAACAGGTCCATATATCCACTTGCAGACTTTACAAACAGTGTGTTTCCAAACTCCTCTATGAAAAGAAAGGTTAAACTCTGTGAGTTGAACGCACACATCACAAAGCACTTTCTGAGAATGATTCTGTCTGGTTATTATACGAAGATATTTCCTTTTCTGCAATTGTCCTCAAATCGCTTGAAATCTCCACCTGAAAATGCCACAGCAAGAGTGTTTCAAATCTGCTCTCTCTAAAGCAAGGTTCAACTCTGTGAGTTGAATACACACAACACAAAAAAGTTACTGAGAACTCTTCTTAGTCTAGCATGAAAGGAAGAAACCCCGTTTGCAACGAAGGCCTCAAAGAGGTCCAAATATCCACTTGCAGACATAACAAGCAGAGTGTTTCTAAACTGCTCTAAGAAAAGAAAGGTTAAACTCTGTGAGTTGAAGGCACACATCACAAAGTAGTTTCTGAGAATGATTCTGTCTAGTTTTTATTTGAAGATATTTCCTTTTCTACTGTTGGCATCAAATCGCTTGAAATCTCCACTTGCAAACTCCACAAAAAGAGTGTTTCAAATCTGCTCTGTGCAAAGGGACGTTCCACTCTGTGAGTTGAATACACACAGCACAAAGAAGTTACTGAGAATTCTTCTGTCTAGCATGAAATGAAGAAATCCCGTTTCCAACGAAGGCCTCAATGCGGTCCATATATCCACTTGCAGACTTTACAAACAGAGTGTTTCCAAACTGCTCTATGAAAAGAAAGGTTAAACTATGTGAGTTGAACGCACACATCACAAAGAATTTTCTGAGAATGATTCTGTCTGGTTTTTATTTGAAGATATTTCCCTTTCTACTGTTGGCATCAAATGGCTAGAAATCTCCACTTGCAAATTCCGCAAAAAGAGTGTTTCAAATCTGCTCTGTCTAAAGGGACGTTCCACTCTGTGAGTTGAATGCACACCACACAAAGAATTTACTGAGAATTCTTCCGTCTAGCTTTCAATGAAGAAATCCCGTTTCCAACGAAGGCCTCAAACAGGTCCATATATCCACTTGCAGACTTTACAAACAGTGTGTTTCCAAACTCCTCTATGAAAAGAAAGGTTAAACTCTGTGAGTTGAACGCACACATCACAAAGCACTTTCTGAGAATGATTCTGTCTGGTTATTATACGAAGATATTTCCTTTTCTGCAGTTGTCCTCAAATCGCTTGAAATCTCCACCTGAAAATGCCACAGCAAGAGTGTTTCAAATCTGCTCTCTCTAAAGCAAGGTTCAACTCTGTGAGTTGAATACACACAACACAAAAAAGTTACTGAGAACTCTTCTTAGTCTAGCATGAAAGGAAGAAACCCCGTTTGCAACGAAGGCCTCAAAGAGGTCCAAATATCCACTTGCAGACATAACAAGCAGAGTGTTTCTAAACTGCTCTAAGAAAAGAAAGGTTAAACTCTGTGAGTTGAAGGCACACATCACAAAGTAGTTTCTGAGAATGATTCTGTCTAGTTTTTATTTGAAGATATTTCCTTTTCTACTGTTGGCATCAAATCGCTTGAAATCTCCACTTGCAAACTCCACAAAAAGAGTGTTTCAAATCTGCTCTGTGCAAAGGGACGTTCCACTCTGTGAGTTGAATACACACAGCACAAAGGAGTTACTGAGAATTCTTCTGTCTAGCATGAAATGAAGAAATCCCGTTTCCAACGAAGGCCTCAATGCGGTCCATATATCCACTTGCAGACTTTACAAACAGAGTGTTTCCAAACTGCTCTATGAAAAGAAAGGTTAAACTATGTGAGTTGAACGCACACATCACAAAGAATTTTCTGAGAATGATTCTGTCTGGTTTTTATTTGAAGATATTTCCCTTTCTACTGTTGGCATCAAATGGCTAGAAATCTCCACTTGCAAATTCCGCAAAAAGAGTGTTTCAAATCTGCTCTGTCTAAAGGGACGTTCCACTCTGTGAGTTGAATGCACACAACACAAAGAATTTACTGAGAATTCTTCCGTCTAGCATTCAATGAAGAAATCCCGTTTCCAACGAAGGCCTCAAACAGGTCCATATATCCACTTGCAGACTTTACAAACAGTGTGTTTCCAAACTCCTCTATGAAAAGAAAGGTTAAACTCTGTGAGTTGAACGCACACATCACAAAGCACTTTCTGAGAATGATTCTGTCTGGTTATTATACGAAGATATTTCCTTTTCTGCAATTGTCCACAAATCGCTTGAAATCTCCACCTGAAAATGCCACAGCAAGAGTGTTTCAAATCTGCTCTCTCTAAAGCAAGGTTCAACTCTGTGAGTTGAATACACACAACACAAAAAAGTTACTGAGAACTCTTCTTAGTCTAGCATGAAAGGAAGAAACCCCGTTTGCAACGAAGGCCTCAAAGAGGTCCAAATATCCACTTGCAGACATAACAAGCAGAGTGTTTCTAAACTGCTCTAAGAAAAGAAAGGTTAAACTCTGTGAGTTGAAGGCACACATCACAAAGTAGTTTCTGAGAATGATTCTGTCTAGTTTTTATTTGAAGATATTTCCTTTTCTACTGTTGGCATCAAATCGCTTGAAATCTCCACTTGCAAACTCCACAAAAAGAGTGTTTCAAATCTGCTCTGTGCAAAGGGACGTTCCACTCTGTGAGTTGAATACACACAGCACAAAGAAGTTACTGAGAATTCTTCTGTCTAGCATGAAATGAAGAAATCCCGTTTCCAACGAAGGCCTCAATGCGGTCCATATATCCACTTGCAGACTTTACAAACAGAGTGTTTCCAAACTGCTCTATGAAAAGAAAGGTTAAACTATGTGAGTTGAACGCACACATCACAAAGAATTTTCTGAGAATGATTCTGTCTGGTTTTTATTTGAAGATATTTCCCTTTCTACTGTTGGCATCAAATGGCTAGAAATCTCCACTTGCAAATTCCGCAAAAAGAGTGTTTCAAATCTGCTCTGTCTAAAGGGACGTTCCACTCTGTCAGTTGAATGCACACAACACAAAGAATTTACTGAGAATTCTTCCGTCTAGCATTCAATGAAGAAATCCCGTTTCCAACGAAGGCCTCAAACAGGTCCATATATCCACTTGCAGACTTTACAAACAGTGTGTTTCCAAACTCCTCTATGAAAAGAAAGGTTAAACTCTGTGAGTGGAACGCACACATCACAAAGCACTTTCTGAGAATGATTCTGTCTGGTTATTATACGAAGATATTTCCTTTTCTGCAATTGTCCTCAAATCGCTTGAAATCTCCACCTGAAAATGCCACAGCAAGAGTGTTTCAAATCTGCTCTCTCTAAAGCAAGGTTCAACTCTGTGAGTTGAATACACACAACACAAAAAAGTTACTGAGAACTCTTCTTAGTCTAGCATGAAAGGAAGAAACCCCGTTTGCAACGAAGGCCTCAAAGAGGTCCAAATATCCACTTGCAGACATAACAAGCAGAGTGTTTCTAAACTGCTCTAAGAAAAGAAAGGTTAAACTCTGTGAGTTGAAGGCACACATCACAAAGTAGTTTCTGAGAATGATTCTGTCTAGTTTTTATTTGAAGATATTTCCTTTTCTACTGTTGGCATCAAATCGCTTGAAATCTCCACTTGCAAATTCCACAAAAAGAGTGTTTCAAATCTGCTCTGTGCAAAGGGACGTTCCACTCTGTGAGTTGAATACACACAGCACAAAGAAGTTACTGAGAATTCTTCTGTCTAGCATGAAATGAAGAAATCCCGTTTCCAACGAAGGCCTCAATGCGGTCCATATATCCACTTGCAGACTTTACAAACAGAGTGTTTCCAAACTGCTCTATGAAAAGAAAGGTTAAACTATGTGAGTTGAACGCACACATCACAAAGAATTTTCTGAGAATGATTCTGTCTGGTTTTTATTTGAAGATATTTCCCTTTCTACTGTTGGCATCAAATGGCTAGAAATCTCCACTTGCAAATTCCGCAAAAAGAGTGTTTCAAATCTGCTCTGTCTAAAGGGACGTTCCACTCTGTGAGTTGAATGCACACAACACAAAGAATTTACTGAGAATTCTTCCGTCTAGCATTCAATGAAGAAATCCCCTTTCCAACGAAGGCCTCAAACAGGTCCATATATCCAAATGCAGACTTTACAAACAGTGTGTTTCCAAACTCCTCTATGAAAAGAAAGGTTAAACTCTGTGAGTTGAACGCACACATCACAAAGCACTTTCTGAGAATGATTCTGTCTGGTTATTATACGAAGATATTTCCTTTTCTGCAATTGTCCTCAAATCGCTTGAAATCTCCACCTGAAAATGCCACAGCAAGAGTGTTTCAAATCTGCTCTCTCTAAAGCAAGGTTCAACTCTGTGAGTTGAATACACACAACACAAAAAAGTTACTGAGAACTCTTCTTAGTCTAGCATGAAAGGAAGAAACCCCGTTTGCAACGAAGGCCTCAAAGAGGTCCAAATATCCACTTGCAGACATAACAAGCAGAGTGTTTCTAAACTGCTCTAAGAAAAGAAAGGTTAAACTCTGTGAGTTGAAGGCACACATCACAAAGTAGTTTCTGAGAATGATTCTGTCTAGTTTTTATTTGAAGATATTTCCTTTTCTACTGTTGGCATCAAATCGCTTGAAATCTCCACTTGCAAACTCCACAAAAAGAGTGTTTCAAATCTGCTCTGTGTAAAGGGACGTTCCACTCTGTGAGTTGAATACACACAGCACAAAGAAGTTACTGAGAATTCTTCTGTCTAGCATGAAATGAAGAAATCCCGTTTCCAACGAAGGCCTCAATGCGGTCCATATATCCACTTGCAGACTTTACAAACAGAGTGTTTCCAAACTGCTCTATGAAAAGAAAGGTTAAACTATGTGAGTTGAACGCACACATCACAAAGAATTTTCTGAGAATGATTCTGTCTGGTTTTTATTTGAAGATATTTCCCTTTCTACTGTTGGCATCAAATGGCTAGAAATCTCCACTTGCAAATTCCGCAAAAAGAGTGTTTCAAATCTGCTCTGTCTAAAGGGACGTTCCACTCTGTGAGTTGAATGCACACAACACAAAGAATTTACTGAGAATTCTTCCGTCTAGCATTCAATGAAGAAATCCCGTTTCCAACGAAGGCCTCAAACAGGTCCATATATCCACTTGCAGAGTTTACAAACAGTGTGTTTCCAAACTCCTCTATGAAAAGAAAGGTTAAACTCTGTGAGTGGAACGCACACATCACAAAGCACTTTCTGAGAATGATTCTGTCTGGTTATTATACGAAGATATTTCCTTTTCTGCAATTGTCCTCAAATCGCTTGAAATCTCCACCTGAAAATGTCACAGCAAGAGTGTTTCAAATCTGCTCTCTCTAAAGCAAGGTTCAACTCTGTGAGTTGAATACACACAACACAGAAAAGTTACTGAGAACTCTTCTTAGTCTAGCATGAAAGGAAGAAACCCCGTTTGCAACGAAGGCCTCAAAGAGGTCCAAATATCCACTTGCAGACATAACAAGCAGAGTGTTTCTAAACTGCTCTAAGAAAAGAAAGGTTAAACTCTGTGAGTTGAAGGCACACATCACAAAGTAGTTTCTGAGAATGATTCTGTCTAGTTTTTATTTGAAGATATTTCCTTTTCTACTGTTGGCATCAAATCGCTTGAAATCTCCACTTGCAAATTCAACAAAAAGAGTGTTTCAAATCTGCTCTGTGTAAAGGGACGTTCCACTCTGTGAGTTGAATACACACAGCACAAAGAAGCTACTGAGAATTCTTCTGTCTAGCATGAAATGAAGAAATCCCGTTTCCAACGAAGGCCTCAATGCGGTCCATATATCCACTTGCAGACTTTACAAACAGAGTGTTTCCAAACTGCTCTATGAAAAGAAAGGTTAAACTATGTGAGTTGAACGCACACATCACAAAGAATTTTCTGAGAATGATTCTGTCTGGTTTTTATTTGAAGATATTTCCCTTTCTACTGTTGGCATCAAATGGCTAGAAATCTCCACTTGCAAATTCCGCAAAAAGAGTGTTTCAAATCTGCTCTGTCTAAAGGGACGTTCCACTCTGTCAGTTGAATGCACACAACACAAAGAATTTACTGAGAATTCTTCCGCCTTGCATTCAATGAAGAAATCCCGTTTCCAAAGAAGGCCTCAAACAGGTCCATATATCCAATTGCAGACTTTACAAACAGTGTGTTTCCAAACTCCTCTATGAAAAGAAAGGTTAAACTCTGTGAGTTGAACGCACACATCACAAAGCACTTTCTGAGAATGATTCTGTCTGGTTATTATACGAAGATATTTCCTTTTCTGCAATTGTCCTCAAATCGCTTGAAATCTCCACCTGAAAATGCCACAGCAAGAGTGTTTCAAATCTGCTCTCTCTAAAGCAAGGTTCAACTCTGTGAGTTGAATACACACAACACAAAAAAGTTACTGAGAACTCTTCTTAGTCTAGCATGAAAGGAAGAAACCCCGTTTGCAACGAAGGCCTCAAAGAGGTCCAAATATCCACTTGCAGACATAACAAGCAGAGTGTTTCTAAACTGCTCTAAGAAAAGAAAGGTTAAACTCTGTGAGTTGAAGGCACACCTCACAAAGTAGTTTCTGAGAATGATTCTGTCTAGTTTTTATTTGAAGATATTTCCTTTTCTACTGTTGGCATCAAATCGCTTGAAATCTCCACTTGCAAACTCCACAAAAAGAGTGTTTCAAATCTGCTCTGTGTAAAGGGACGTTCCACTCTGTGAGTTGAATACACACAGCACAAAGAAGTTACTGAGAATTCTTCTGTCTAGCATGAAATGAAGAAATCCCGTTTCCAACGAAGGCCTCAATGCGGTCCATATATCCACTTGCAGACTTTACAAACAGAGTGTTTCCAAACTGCTCTATGAAAAGAAAGGTTAAACTATGTGAGTTGAACGCACACATCACAAAGAATTTTCTGAGAATGATTCTGTCTGGTTTTTATTTGAAGATATTTCCCTTTCTACTGTTAGCATCAAATGGCTAGAAATCTCCACTTGCAAATTCCGCAAAAAGAGTGTTTCAAATCTGCTCTGTCTAAAGGGACGTTCCACTCTGTCAGTTGAATGCACACAACACAAAGAATTTACTGAGAATTCTTCCGTCTAGCATTCAATGAAGAAATCCCGTTTCCAACGAAGGCCTCAAACAGGTCCATATATCCAATTGCAGACTTTACAAACAGTGTGTTTCCACACTCCTCTATGAAAAGAAAGGTTAAACTCTGTGAGTTGAACGCACACATCACAAAGCACTTTCTGAGAATGATTCTGTCTGGTTATTATACGAAGATATTTCCTTTTCTGCAATTGTCCTCAAATCGCTTGAAATCTCCACCTGAAAATGCCACAGCAAGAGTGTTTCAAATCTGCTCTCTCTAAAGCAAGGTTCAACTCTGTGAGTTGAATACACACAACACAAAAAAGTTACTGAGAACTCTTCTTAGTCTAGCATTAAAGGAAGAAACCCCTGTTTGCAACGAAGGCCTCAAAGAGGTCCAAATATCCACTTGCAGACATAACAAGCAGAGTGTTTCTAAACTGCTCTAAGAAAAGAAAGGTTAAACTCTGTGAGTTGAAGGCACACATCACAAAGTAGTTTCTGAGAATGATTCTGTCTAGTTTTTATTTGAAGATATTTCCTTTTCTACTGTTGGCATCAAATCGCTTGAAATCTCCACTTGCAAATTCCACAAAAAGAGTGTTTCAAATCTGCTCTGTGCAAAGGGACGTTCCACTCTGTGAGTTGAATACACACAGCACAAAGAAGTTACTGAGAATTCTTCTGTCTAGCATGAAATGAAGAAATCCCGTTTCCAACGAAGGCCTCAATGCGGTCCATATATCCACTTGCAGACTTTACAAACAGAGTGTTTCCAAACTGCTCTATGAAAAGAAAGGTTAAACTATGTGAGTTGAACGCACACATCACAAAGAATTTTCTGAGAATGATTCTGTCTGGTTTTTATTTGAAGATATTTCCCTTTCTACTGTTGGCATCAAATGGCTAGAAATCTCCACTTGCAAATTCCGCAAAAAGAGTGTTTCAAATCTGCTCTGTCTAAAGGGACGTTCCACTCTGTGAGTTGAATGCACACAACACAAAGAATTTACTGAGAATTCTTCCGTCTAGCATTCAATGAAGAAATCCCGTTTCCAACGAAGGCCTCAAACAGGTCCATATATCCACTTGCAGACTTTACAAACAGTGTGTTTCCAAACTCCTCTATGAAAAGAAAGGTAAAACTCTGTGAGTTGAACGCACACATCACAAAGCACTTTCTGAGAATGATTCTGTCTGGTTATTATACGAAGATATTTCCTTTTCTGCAATTGTCCTCAAATCGCTTGAAATCTCCACCTGAAAATGCCACAGCAAGAGTGTTTCAAATCTGCTCTCTCTAAAGCAAGGTTCAACTCTGTGAGTTGAATACACACAACACAAAAAAGTTACTGAGAACACTTCTTAGTCTAGCATGAAAGGAAGAAACCCCGTTTGCAACGAAGGCCTCAAAGAGGTCCAAATATCCACTTGCAGACATAACAAGCAGAGTGTTTCTAAACTGCTCTAAGAAAAGAAAGGTTAAACTCTGTGAGTTGAAGGCACACATCACAAAGTAGTTTCTGAGAATGATTCTGTCTAGTTTTTATTTGAAGATATTTCCTTTTCTACTGTTGGCATCAAATCGCTTGAAATCTCCACTTGCAAACTCCACAAAAAGAGTGTTTCAAATCTGCTCTGTGTAAAGGGACGTTCCACTCTGTGAGTTGAATACACACAGCACAAAGAAGTTATTGAGAATTCTTCTGTCTAGCATGAAATGAAGAAATCCCGTTTCCAACGAAGGCCTCAATGCGGTCCATATATCCACTTGCAGACTTTACAAACAGAGTGTTTCCAAACTGCTCTATGAAAAGAAAGGTTAAACTATGTGAGTTGAACGCACACATCACAAAGAATTTTCTGAGAATGATTCTGTCTGGTTTTTATTTGAAGATATTTCCCTTTCTACTGTTGGCATCAAATGGCTAGAAATCTCCACTTGCAAATTCCGCAAAAAGAGTGTTTCAAATCTGCTCTGTCTAAAGGGACGTTCCACTCTGTCAGTTGAATGCACACAACACAAAGAATTTACTGAGAATTCTTCCGTCTAGCATTCAATGAAGAAATCCCGTTTCCAACGAAGGCCTCAAACAGGTCCATATATCCAATTGCAGACTTTACAAACAGTGTGTTTCCAAACTCCTCTATGAAAAGAAAGGTTAAACTCTGTGAGTGGAACGCACACATCACAAAGCACTTTCTGAGAATGATTCTGTCTGGTTGTTATACGAAGATATTTCCTTTTCTGCAATTGTCCTCAAATCGCTTGAAATCTCCACCTGAAAATGTCACAGCAAGAGTGTTTCAAATCTGCTCTCTCTAAAGCAAGGTTCAACTCTGTGAGTTGAATACACACAACACAGAAAAGTTACTGAGAACTCTTCTTAGTCTAGCATGAAAGGAAGAAACCCCGTTTGCAACGAAGGCCTCAAAGAGGTCCAAATATCCACTTGCAGACATAACAAGCAGAGTGTTTCTAAACTGCTCTAAGAAAAGAAAGGTTAAACTCTGTGAGTTGAAGGCACACATCACAAAGTAGTTTCTGAGAATGATTCTGTCTAGTTTTTATTTGAAGATATTTCCTTTTCTACTGTTGGCATCAAATCGCTTGAAATCTCCACTTGCAAACTCCACAAAAAGAGTGTTTCAAATCTGCTCTGTGTAAAGGGACGTTCCACTCTGTGAGTTGAATACACACAGCACAAAGAAGTTACTGAGAATTCTTCTGTCTAGCATGAAATGAAGAAATCCCGTTTCCAACGAAGGCCTCAATGCGGTCCATATATCCACTTGCAGACTTTACAAACAGAGTGTTTCCAAACTGCTCTATGAAAAGAAAGGTTAAACTATGTGAGTTGAACGCACACATCACAAAGAATTTTCTGAGAATGATTCTGTCTGGTTTTTATTTGAAGATATTTCCCTTTCTACTGTTGGCCATCAAATGGCTAGAAATCTCCACTTGCAAATTCCGCAAAAAGAGTGTTTCAAATCTGCTCTGTCTAAAGGGACGTTCCACTCTGTGAGTTGAATGCACACAACACAAAGAATTTACTGAGAATTCTTCCGTCTAGCATTCAATGAAGAAATCCCGTTTCCAACGAAGGCCTCAAACAGGTCCATATATCCACTTGCAGACTTTACAAACACTGTGTTTCCAAACTCCTCTATGAAAAGAAAGGTTAAACTCTGTGAGTTGAACGCACACATCACAAAGCACTTTCTGAGAATGATTCTGTCTGTTTATTATACGAAGATATTTCCTTTTCTGCAATTGTCCTCAAATCGCTTGTAATCTCCACCTGAAAATTCCACAGCGAGAGTGTTTCAAATCTGCTCTCTCTAAAGCAAGGTTCAACTCTGTGAGTTGAATACACACAACACAAAAAAGTTACTGAGAACTCTTCTTAGTCTAGCATGAAAGGAAGAAACCCCGTTTGCAACGAAGGCCTCAAAGAGGTCCAAATATCCACTTGCAGACATAACAAGCAGAGTGTTTCTAAACTGCTCTAAGAAAAGAAAGGTTAAACTCTGTGAGTTGAAGGCACACATCACAAAGTAGTTTCTGAGAATGATTCTGTCTAGTTTTTATTTGAAGATATTTCCTTTTCTACTGTTGGCATCAAATCGCTTGAAATCTCCACTTGCAAATTCAACAAAAAGAGTGTTTCAAATCTGCTCTGTGTAAAGGGACGTTCCACTCTGTGAGTTGAATACACACAGCACAAAGAAGTTACTGAGAATTCTTCTGTCTAGCATGAAATTAAGAAATTCCGTTTCCAACGAAGTCCTCAAAGCGGTCCATATATCCACTTGCAGACATTACCAACAGAGTGTTTCCAAACTGGTCTATGAAAAGAAAGGTTAAACTATGTGAGTTGAACGCACACATCACAAAGAATTTTCTGAGGATGATTCTGTCTAGTTTTTATTTGAAGATATTTCCCGTTCTACCGTTGGCATCAAATGGCTAGAAATCTCCACTTCCAAATTCCGCAAAAAGAGTGTTTCAAATCTGCTCTGTCTAAAGGGACGTTCCACTCTGTGAGTTGAATGCACACAACACAAAGAATTTACTGAGAATTCTTCCGTCTAGCATTCAATGAAGAAATCCCGTTTCCAACGAAGGCCTCAAACAGGTCCATATATCCACTTGCAGACTTTACAAACAGTGTGTTTCCAAACTCCTCTATGAAAAGAAAGGTTAAACTCTGTGAGTTGAACGCACACATCACAAAGCACTTTCTGAGAATGATTCTGTCTGGTTCTTATACGAAGATATTTCCTTTTCTGCAATTGTCCTCAAATCGCTTGAAATCTCCACCTGAAAATGCCACAGCAAGAGTGTTTCAAATCTGCTCTCTCTAAAGCAAGGTTCAACTCTGTGAGTTGAATACACACAACACAAAAAAGTTACTGAGAACTCTTCTTAGTCTAGCATGAAAGGAAGAAACCCCGTTTGCAACGAAGGCCTCAAAGAGGTCCAAATATCCACTTGCAGACATAACAAGCAGAGTGTTTCTAAACTGCTCTAAGAAAAGAAAGGTTAAACTCTGTGAGTTGAAGGCACACATCACAAAGTAGTTTCTGAGAATGATTCTGTCTAGTTTTTATTTGAAGATATTTCCTTTTCTACTGTTGGCATCAAATCGCTTGAAATCTCCACTTGCAAACTCCACAAAAAGAGTGTTTCAAATCTGCTCTGTGTAAAGGGACGTTCCACTCTGTGAGTTGAATACACACAGCACAAAGAAGTTACTGAGAATTCTTCTGTCTAGCATGAAATGAAGAAATCCCGTTTCCAACGAAGGCCTCAATGCGGTCCATATATCCACTTGCAGACTTTACAAACAGAGTGTTTCCAAACTGCTCTATGAAAAGAAAGGTTAAACTATGTGAGTTGAACGCACACATCACAAAGAATTTTCTGAGAATGATTCTGTCTGGTTTTTATTTGAAGATATTTCCCTTTCTACTGTTGGCATCAAATGGCTAGAAATCTCCACTTGCAAATTCCGCAAAAAGAGTGTTTCAAATCTGCTCTGTCTAAAGGGACGTTCCACTCTGTGAGTTGAATGCACACAACACAAAGAATTTACTGAGAATTCTTCCGTCTAGCATTCAATGAAGAAATCCCGTTTCCAACGAAGTCCTCAAACAGGTCCATATATCCACTTGCAGACTTTACAAACAGTGTGTTTCCAAACTCCTCTATGAAAAGAAAGGTTAAACTCTGTGAGTTGAACGCACACATCACAAAGCACTTTCTGAGAATGATTCTGTCTGGTTGTTATACGAAGATATTTCCTTTTCTGCAATTGTCCTCAAATCGCTTGAAATCTCCACCTGAAAATGCCACAGCAAGAGTGTTTCAAATCTGCTCTCTCTAAAGCAAGGTTCAACTCTGTGAGTTGAATACACACAACACAAAAAAGTTACTGAGAACTCTTCTTAGTCTAGCATGAAAGGAAGAAACCCCGTTTGCAACGAAGGCCTCAAAGAGGCCCAAATATCCACTTGCAGACATAACAAGCAGAGTGTTTCTAAACTGCTCTAAGAAAAGAAAGGTTAAACTCTGTGAGTTGAAGGCACACATCACAAAGTAGTTTCTGAGAATGATTCTGTCTAGTTTTTATTTGAAGATATTTCCTTTTCTACTGTTGGCATCAAATCGCTTGAAATCTCCACTTGCAAACTCCACAAAAAGAGTGTTTCAAATCTGCTCTGTGTAAAGGGACGTTCCACTCTGTGAGTTGAATACACACAGCACAAAGAAGTTACTGAGAATTCTTTTGGCTAGCATGAAATGAAGAAATCCCGTTTCCAACGAAGGCCTCAATGCGGTCCATATATCCACTTGCAGACTTTACAAACAGAGTGTTTCCAAACTGCTCTATGAAAAGAAAGGTTAAACTATGTGAGTTGAACGCACACATCACAAAGAATTTTCTGAGAATGATTCTGTCTGGTTTTTATTTGAAGATATTTCCCTTTCTACTGTTGGCATCAAATGGCTAGAAATCTCCACTTGCAAATTCCGCAAAAAGAGTGTTTCAAATCTGCTCTGTCTAAAGGGACGTTCCACTCTGTGAGTTGAATGCACACAACACAAAGAATTTACTGAGAATTCTTCCGTCTAGCATTCAATGAAGAAATCCCGTTTCCAACGAAGGCCTCAAACAGGTCCATATATCCACTTGCAGAGTTTACAAACAGTGTGTTTCCAAACTCCTCTATGAAAAGAAAGGTTAAACTACTGTGAGTGGAACGCACACATCACAAAGCACTTTCTGAGAATGATTCTGTCTGGTTATTATACGAAGATATTTCCTTTTCTGCAATTGTCCTCAAATCGCTTGAAATCTCCACCTGAAAATGCCACAGCAAGAGTGTTTCAAATCTGCTCTCTCTAAAGCAAGGTTCAACTCTGTGAGTTGAATACACACAACACAAAAAAGTTGCTGAGAACTCTTCTTAGTCTAGCATGAAAGGAAGAAACCCCGTTTGCAACGAAGGCCTCAAAGAGGTCCAAATATCCACTTGCAGACATAACAAGCAGAGTGTTTCTAAACTGCTCTAAGAAAAGAAAGGTTAAACTCTGTGAGTTGAAGGCACACATCACAAAGTAGTTTCTGAGAATGATTCTGTCTAGTTTTTATTTGAAGATATTTCCTTTTCTACTGTTGGCATCAAATCGCTTGAAATCTCCACTTGCAAACTCCACAAAAAGAGTGTTTCAAATCTGCTCTGTGTAAAGGGACGTTCCACTCTGTGAGTTGAATACACACAGCACAAAGAATTTACTGAGAATTCTTCTGTCTAGCATGAAATGAAGAAATCCCGTTTCCAACGAAGGCCTCAATGCGGTCCATATATCCACTTGCAGACTTTACAAACAGAGTGTTTCCAAACTGCTCTATGAAAAGAAAGGTTAAACTATGTGAGTTGAACGCACACATCACAAAGAATTTTCTGAGAATGATTCTGTCTGGTTTTTATTTGAAGATGTTTCCCTTTCTACTGTTGGCATCAAATGGCTAGAAATCTCCACTTGCACATTCCGCAAAAAGAGTGTTTCAAATCTGCTCTGTCTAAAGGGACGTTCCACTCTGTCAGTTGAATGCACACAACACAAAGAATTTACTGAGAATTCTTCCGTCTAGCATTCAATGAAGAAATCCCGTTTCCAACGAAGGCCTCAAACAGGTCTATATATCCAATTGCAGACTTTACAAACAGTGTGTTTCCAAACTCCTCTATGGAAAGAAAGGTTAAACTCTGTGAGTTGAACGCACACATCACAAAGCACTTTCTGAGAATGATTCTGTCTGGTTATTATACGAAGATATTTCCTTTTCTGCAATTGTCCTCAAATCGCTTGAAATCTCCACCTGAAAATGCCACAGCAAGAGTGTTTCAAATCTGCTCTCTCTAAAGCAAGGTTCAACTCTGTGAGTTGAATACACACAACACAAAAAAGTTACTGAGAACTCTTCTTAGTCTAGCATTAAAGGAAGAAACCCCGTTTGCAACGAAGGCCTCAAAGAGGTCCAAATATCCACTTGCAGACATAACAAGCAGAGTGTTTCTAAACTGCTCTAAGAAAAGAAAGGTTAAACTCTGTGAGTTGAAGGCACACATCACAAAGTAGTTTCTGAGAATGATTCTGTCTAGTTTTTATTTGAAGATATTTCCTTTTCTACTGTTGGCATCAAATCGCTTGAAATCTCCACTTGCAAATTCCACAAAAAGAGTGTTTCAAATCTGCTCTGTGTAAAGGGACGTTCCACTCTGTGAGTTGAATACACACAGCACAAAGAAGTTACTGAGAATTCTTCTGGCTAGCATGAAATGAAGAAATCCCGTTTCCAACGAAGGCCTCAATGAGGTCCATATATCCACTTGCAGACGTTACAAACAGAGTGTTTCCAAACTGCTCTATGAAAAGAAAGGTTAAATTATGTGAGTTGAACGCACACATCACAAAGAATTTTCTGAGAATGATTCTGTCTGGTTTTTATTTGAAGATATTTCCCTTTCTACTGTTGGCATCAAATGGCTAGAAATCTCCACTAGCAAATTCCGCAAAAAGAGTGTTTCAAATCTGCTCTGTCTAAAGGGACGTTCCACTCTGTGAGTTGAATGCACACAACACAAAGAATTTACTGAGAATTCTTCCGTCTAGCATTCAATGAAGAAATCCCGTTTCCAACGAAGGCCTCAAACAGGTCCATATATCCACTTGCAGACTTTACAAAAAGAGTGTTTCCAAACTGCTCTATGAAAAGAAAGGTTAAACTATGTGAGTTGAACGCACACATCACAAAGAATTTTCTGAGAATGATTCTGTCTGGTTTTTATTTGAAGATATTTCCCTTTCTACTGTTGGCATCAAATGGCTAGAAATCTCCACTTGCAAATTCCGCAAAAAGAGTGTTTCAAATCTGCTCTGTCTAAAGGGACGTTCCACTCTGTCAGTTGAATGCGCACAACACAAAGTATTTACTGAGAATTCTTCCGTCTAGCATGCAATGAAGAAATCCCGTTTCCAACGAAGGCCTCAAACAGGTCCATATATCCAATTGCAGACTTTACAAACAGTGTGTTTCCAAACTCCTCTATGAAAAGAAAGGTTAAACTCTGTGAGTTGAACGCACACATCACAAAGCACTTTCTGAGAATGATTCTGTCTGGTTATTATACGAAGATATTTCCTTTTCTGCAATTGTCCTCAAATCGCTTGAAATCTCCACCTGAAAATGCCACAGCAAGAGTGTTTCAAATCTGCTCTCTGTAAAGCAAGGTTCAACTCTGTGAGTTGAATACACACAACACAAAAAAGTTACTGAGAACTCTTCTTAGTCTAGCATGAAAGGAAGAAACCCCGTTTGCAACGAAGGCCTCAAAGAGGTCCAAATATCCACTTGCAGACATAACAAGCAGAGTGTTTCTAAACTGCTCTAAGAAAAGAAAGGTTAAACTCTGTGAGTTGAAGGCACACATCACAAAGTAGTTTCTGAGAATGATTCTGTCTAGTTTTTATTTGAAGATATTTCCTTTTCTACTGTTGGCATCAAATCGCTTGAAATCTCCACTTGCAAACTCCACAAAAAGAGTGTTTCAAATCTGCTCTGTGTAAAGGGACGTTCCACTCTGTGAGTTGAATACACACAGCACAAAGAAGTTACTGAGAATTCTTCTGTCTAGCATGAAATGAAGAAATCCCGTTTCCAACGAAGGCCTCAATGCGGTCCATATATCCACTTGCAGACTTTACAAACAGAGTGTTTCCAAACTGCTCTATGAAAAGAAAGGTTAAACTATGTGAGTTGAACGCACACATCACAAAGAATTTTCTGAGAATGATTCTGTCTGGTTTTTATTTGAAGATATTTCCCTTTCTACTGTTGGCATCAAATGGCTAGAAATCTCCACTTGCAAATTCCGCAAAAAGAGTGTTTCAAATCTGCTCTGTCTAAAGGGACGTTCCACTCTGTGAGTTGAATGCACACAACACAAAGAATTTACTGAGAATTCTTCCGTCTACCATTCAATGAAGAAATCCCGTTTCCAACGAAGGCCTCAAACAGGTCCATATATCCACTTGCAGACTTTACAAACAGTGTGTTTCCAAACTCCTCTATGAAAAGAAAGGTTAAACTCTGTGAGTTGAACGCACACATCACAAAGCACTTTCTGAGAATGATTCTGTCTGGTTATTATACGAAGATATTTCCTTTTCTGCAATTGTCCTCAAATCGCTTGAAATCTCCACCTGAAAATGCCACAGCTAGAGTGTTTCAAATCTGCTCTCTCTAAAGCAAGGTTCAACTCTGTGAGTTGAATACACACAACACAAAAAAGTTACTGAGAACTCTTTAGTCTAGCATGAAAGGAAGAAACCCCGTTTGCAACGAAGGCCTCAAAGAGGTCCAAATATCCACTTGCAGACATAACAAGCAGAGTGTTTCTAAACTGCTCTAAGAAAAGAAAGGTTAAACTCTGTGAGTTGAAGGCACACATCACAAAGTAGTTTCTGAGAATGATTCTGTCTAGTTTTTATTTGAAGATATTTCCTTTTCTACTGTTGGCATCAAATCGCTTGAAATCTCCACTTGCAAACTCCACAAAAAGAGTGTTTCAAATCTGCTCTGTGTAAAGGGACGTTCCACTCTGTGAGTTGAATACACACAGCACAAAGAAGTTACTGAGAATTCTTCTGTCTAGCATGAAATGAAGAAATCCCGTTTCCAACGAAGGCCTCAATGCGGTCCATATATCCACTTGCAGACTTTACAAACAGAGTGTTTCCAAACTGCTCTATGAAAAGAAAGGTTAAACTATGTGAGTTGAACGCACACATCACAAAGAATTTTCTGAGAATGATTCTGTCTGGTTTTTATTTGAAGATATTTCCCTTTCTACTGTTGGCATCAAATGGCTAGAAATCTCCACTTGCAAATTCCGCAAAAAGAGTGTTTCAAATCTGCTCTGTCTTAAGGGACGTTCCACTCTGTCAGTTGAATGCACACAACACAAAGAATTTACTGAGAATTCTTCCGTCTAGCATTCAATGAAGAAATCCCGTTTCCAACGAAGGCCTCAAACAGGTCCATATATCCAATTGCAGACTTTACAAACAGTGTGTTTCCAAACTCCTCAATGAAAAGAAAGGTTAAACTCTGTGAGTTGAATGCACACATCACAAAGCACTTTCTGAGAATGATTCTGTCTGGTTGTTATACGAAGATATTTCCTTTTCTGCAATTGTCCTCAAATCGCTTGAAATCTCCACCTGAAAATGCCACAGCAAGAGTGTTTCAAATCTGCTCTCTCTAAAGCAAGGTTTAACTCTGTGAGTTGAATACACACAACACAAAAAAGTTACTGAGAACTCTTCTTAGTCTAGCATGAAAGGAAGAAACCCCGTTTGCAACGAAGGCCTCAAAGAGGTCCAAATATCCACTTGCAGACATAACAAGCAGAGTGTTTCTAAACTGCTCTAAGAAAAGAAAGGTTAAACTCTGTGAGTTGAAGGCACACATCACAAAGTAGTTTCTGAGAATGATTCTGTCTAGTTTTTATTTGAAGATATTTCCTTTTCTACTGTTGGCATCAAATCGCTTGAAATCTCCACTTGCAAACTCCACAAAAAGAGTGTTTCAAATCTGCTCTGTGTAAAGGGACGTTCCACTCTGTGAGTTGAATACACACAGCACAAAGAAGTTATTGAGAATTCTTCTGTCTAGCATGAAATGAAGAAATCCCTTTTCCAACGAAGGCCTCAATGCGGTCCATATATCCACTTGCAGACTTTACAAACAGAGTGTTTCCAAACTGCTCTATGAAAAGAAAGGTTAAACTATGTGAGTTGAACGCACACATCACAAAGAATTTTCTGAGAATGATTCTGTCTGGTTTTTATTTGAAGATATTTCCCTTTCTACTGTTGGCATCAAATGGCTAGAAATCTCCACTTGCAAATTCCGCAAAAAGAGTGTTTCAAATCTGCTCTGTCTAAAGGGACGTTCCACTCTGTGAGTTGAATGCACACCACACAAAGAATTTACTGAGAATTCTTCCGTCTAGCATTCAATGAAGAAATCCCGTTTCCAACGAAGGCCTCAAACAGGTCCATATATCCAATTGCAGACTTTACAAACAGTGTGTTTCCAAACTCCTCTATGAAAAGAAAGGTTAAACTCTGTGAGTTGAACGCACACATCACAAAGCACTTTCTGAGAATGATTCTGTCTGGTTGTTATACGAAGATATTTCCTTTTCTGCAATTGTCCTCAAATCGCTTGAAATCTCCACCTGAAAATGCCACAGCAAGAGTGTTTCAAATCTGCTCTCTCTAAAGCAAGGTTCAACTCTGTGAGTTGAATACACACAACACAAAAAAGTTACTGAGAACTCTTCTTAGTCTAGCATGAAAGGAAGAAACCCCGTTTGCAACGAAGGCCTCAAAGAGGTCCAAATATCCACTTGCAGACATAACAAGCAGAGTGTTTCTAAACTGCTCTAAGAAAAGAAAGGTTAAACTATGTGAGTTGAACGCACACATCACAAAGAATTTTCTGAGAATGATTCTGTCTGGTTTTTATTTGAAGATATTTCCCTTTCTACTGTTGGCATCAAATGGCTAGAAATCTCCACTTGCAAATTCCGCAAAAAGAGTGTTTCAAATCTGCTCTGTCTAAAGGGACGTTCCACTCTGTGAGTTGAATGCACACAACACAAAGAATTTACTGAGAATTCTTCCGTCTAGCATTCAATGAAGAAATCCCGTTTCCAACGAAGGCCTCAAACAGGTCCATATATCCAATTGCAGACTTTACGAACAGTGTGTTTCCAAACTCCTCTATGAAAAGAAAGGTTAAACTCTGTGAGTGGAACGCACACATCACAAAGCACTTTCTGAGAATGATTCTGTCTGGTTATTATACGAAGATATTTCCTTTTCTGCAATTGTCCTCAAATCGCTTGAAATCTCCACCTGAAAATGCCACAGCAAG
Organism: Homo sapiens; assembly: GCF_000001405.40. Classification (NCBI taxonomy): domain Eukaryota; kingdom Metazoa; phylum Chordata; class Mammalia; order Primates; family Hominidae; genus Homo; species Homo sapiens. The sequence goes on along the minus strand of NC_000007.14, from coordinate 59,638,943 downwards.
AGTGTTTCAAATCTGCTCTCTCTAAAGCAAGGTTCAACTCTGTGAGTTGAATACACACAACACAAAAAAGTTACTGAGAACTCTTCTTAGTCTAGCATGAAAGGAAGAAACCCCGTTTGCAACGAAGGCCTCAAAGAGGTCCAAATATCCACTTGCAGACATAACAAGCAGAGTGTTTCTAAACTGCTCTAAGAAAAGAAAGGTTAAACTCTGTGAGTTGAAGGCACACATCACAAAGTAGTTTCTGAGAATGATTCTGTCTAGTTTTTATTTGAAGATATTTCCTTTTCTACTGTTGGCATCAAATCGCTTGAAATCTCCACTTGCAAACTCCACAAAAAGAGTGTTTCAAATCTGCTCTGTGCAAAGGGACGTTCCACTCTGTGAGTTGAATACACACAGCACAAAGAAGTTACTGAGAATTCTTCTGTCTAGCATGAAATGAAGAAATCCCGTTTCCAACGAAGGCCTCAATGCGGTCCATAGATCCACTTGCAGACTTTACAAACAGAGTGTTTCCAAACTGCTCTATGAAAAGAAAGGTTAAACTATGTGAGTTGAACGCACACATCACAAAGAATTTTCTGAGAATGATTCTGTCTGGTTTTTATTTGAAGATATTTCCCTTTCTACTGTTGGCATCAAATGGCTAGAAATCTCCACTTGCAAATTCCGCAAAAAGAGTGTTTCAAATCTGCTCTGTCTAAAGGGACGTTCCACTCTGTGAGTTGAATGCACACAACACAAAGAATTTACTGAGAATTCTTCCGTCTAGCATTCAATGAAGAAATCCCGTTTCCAACGAAGGCCTCAAACAGGTCCATATATCCACTTGCAGACTTTACAAACAGTGTGTTTCCAAACTCCTCTATGAAAAGAAAGGTTAAACTCTGTGAGTTGAACGCACACATCACAAAGCACTTTCTGAGAATGATTCTGTCTGGTTATTATACGAAGATATTTCCTTTTCTGCAATTGTCCTCAAATCGCTTGAAATCTCCACCTGAAAATGCCACAGCAAGAGTGTTTCAAATCTGCTCTCTCTAAAGCAAGGTTCAACTCTGTGAGTTGAATACACACAACACAAAAAAGTTACTGAGAACTCTTCTTAGTTTAGCATGAAAGGAAGAAACCCCGTTTGCAACGAAGGCCTCAAAGAGGTCCAAATATCCACTTGCAGACATAACAAGCAGAGTGTTTCTAAACTGCTCTAAGAAAAGAAAGGTTAAACTCTGTGAGTTGAAGGCACACATCACAAAGTAGTTTCTGAGAATGATTCTGTCTAGTTTTTATTTGAAGATATTTCCTTTTCTACTGTTGGCATCAAATCGCTTGAAATCTCCACTTGCAAACTCCACCAAAAAAGAGTGTTTCAAATCTGCTCTGTGCAAAGGGACGTTCCACTCTGTGAGTTGAATACACACAGCACAAAGAAGTTACTGAGAATTCTTCTGTCTAGCATGAAATGAAGAAATCCCGTTTCCAACGAAGGCCTCAATGCGGTCCATATATCCACTTGCAGACTTTACAAACAGAGTGTTTCCAAACTGCTCTATGAAAAGAAAGGTTAAACTATGTGAGTTGAACGCACACATCACAAAGAATTTTCTGAGAATGATTCTGTCTGGTTTTTATTTGAAGATATTTCCCTTTCTACTGTTGGCATCAAATGGCTAGAAATCTCCACTTGCAAATTCCGCAAAAAGAGTGTTTCAAATCTGCTCTGTCTAAAGGGACGTTCCACTCTGTCAGTTGAATGCACACAACACAAAGAATTTACTGAGAATTCTTCCGTCTAGCATGCAATGAAGAAATCCCGTTTCCAACGAAGGCCTCAAACAGGTCCATATATCCAATTGCAGACTTTACAAACAGTGTGTTTCCAAACTCCTCTATGAAAAGAAAGGTTAAACTCTGTGAGTTGAACGCACACATCACAAAGCACTTTCTGAGAATGATTCTGTCTGGTTGTTATACGAAGATATTTCCTTTTCTGCAATTGTCCTCAAATCGCTTGAAATCTCCACCTGAAAATGCCACAGCAAGAGTGTTTCAAATCTGCTCTCTCTAAAGCAAGGTTCAACTCTGTGAGTTGAATACACACAACACAAAAAAGTTACTGAGAACTCTTCTTAGTCTAGCATGAAAGGAAGAAACCCCGTTTGCAACGAAGGCCTCAAAGAGGTCCAAATATCCACTTGCAGACATAACAAGCAGAGTGTTTCTAAACTGCTCTAAGAAAAGAAAGGTTAAACTCTGTGAGTTGAAGGCACACATCACAAAGTAGTTTCTGAGAATGATTCTGTCTAGTTTTTATTTGAAGATATTTCCTTTTCTACTGTTGGCATCAAATCGCTTGAAATCTCCACTTGCAAATTCCACAAAAAGAGTGTTTCAAATCTGCTCTGTGCAAAAGGACGTTCCACTCTGTGAGTTGAATACACACAGCACAAAGAAGTTACTGAGAATTCTTCTGTCTAGCATGAAATGAAGAAATCCCGTTTCCAACGAAGGCCTCAATGCGGTCCATATATCCACTTGCAGACTTTACAAACAGAGTGTTTCCAAACTGCTCTATGAAAAGAAAGGTTAAACTATGTGAGTTGAACGCACACATCACAAAGAATTTTCTGAGAATGATTCTGTCTGGTTTTTAATTGAAGATATTTCCCTTTCTACTGTTGGCATCAAATGGCTAGAAATCTCCACTTGCAAATTCCGCAAAAAGAGTGTTTCAAATCTGCTCTGTCTAAAGGGACGTTCCACTCTGTGAGTTGAATGCACACAACACAAAGAATTTACTGAGAATTCTTCCGTCTAGCATTCAATGAAGAAATCCCGTTTCCAACGAAGGCCTCAAACAGGTCCATATATCCACTTGCAGACTTTACAAACAGTGTGTTTCCAAACTCCTCTATGAAAAGAAAGGTTAAACTCTGTGAGTGGAACGCACACATCACAAAGCACTTTCTGAGAATGATTCTGTCTGGTTATTATACGAAGATATTTCCTTTTCGGCAATTGTCCTCAAATCGCTTGAAATCTCCACCTGAAAATGCCACAGCAAGAGTGTTTCAAATCTGCTCTCTCTAAAGCAAGGTTCAACTATGTGAGTTGAATACACACAACACAAAAAAGTTACTGAGAACTCTTCTTAGTCTAGCATGAAAGGAAGAAACCCCGTTTGCAACGAAGGCCTCAAAGAGGTCCAAATATCCACTTGCAGACATAACAAGCAGAGTGTTTCTAAACTGCTCTAAGAAAAGAAAGGTTAAACTCTGTGAGTTGAAGGCACACATCACAAAGTAGTTTCTGAGAATGATTCTGTCTAGTTTTTATTTGAAGATATTTCCTTTTCTACTGTTGGCATCAAATCGCTTGAAATCTCCAATTGCAAACTCCACAAAAAGAGTGTTTCAAATCTGCTCTGTGCAAAGGGACGTTCCACTCTGTGAGTTGAATACACACAGCACAAAGAAGTTACTGAGAATTCTTCTGTCTAGCATGAAATGAAGAAATCCCGTTTCCAACGAAGGCCTCAATGCGGTCCATATATCCACTTGCAGACTTTACAAACAGAGTGTTTCCAAACTGCTCTATGAAAAGAAAGGTTAAACTATGTGAGTTGAACGCACACATCACAAAGAATTTTCTGAGAATGATTCTGTCTGGTTTTTATTTGAAGATATTTCCCTTTCTACTGTTGGCATCAAATGGCTAGAAATCTCCACTTGCAAATTCCGCAAAAAGAGTGTTTCAAATCTGCTCTGTCTAAAGGGACGTTCCACTCTGTGAGTTGAATGCACACCACACAAAGAATTTACTGAGAATTCTTCCGTCTAGCATTCAATGAAGAAATCCCGTTTCCAACGAAGGCCTCAAACAGGTCCATATATCCAATTGCAGACTTTACAAACAGTGTGTTTCCAAACTCCTCTATGAAAAGAAAGGTTAAACTCTGTGAGTTGAACGCACACATCACAAAGCACTTTCTGAGAATGATTCTGTCTGGTTGTTATACGAAGATATTTCCTTTTCTGCAATTGTCCTCAAATCGCTTGAAATCTCCACCTGAAAATGCCACAGCAAGAGTGTTTCAAATCTGCTCTCTCTAAAGCAAGGTTCAACTCTGTGAGTTGAATACACACAACACAAAAATGTTACTGAGAACTCTTCTTAGTCTAGCATGAAAGGAAGAAACCCCGTTTGCAACGAAGGCCTCAAAGAGGTCCAAATATCCACTTGCAGACATAACAAACAGAGTGTTTCTAAACTGCTCTAAGAAAAGAAAGGTTAAACTCTGTGAGTTGAAGGCACACATCACAAAGTAGTTTCTGAGAATGATTCTGTCTAGTTTTTATTTGAAGATATTTCCTTTTCTACTGTTGGCATCAAATCGCTTGAAATCTCCACTTGCAAACTCCACAAAAAGAGTGTTTCAAATCTGCTCTGTGTAAAGGGACGTTCCACTCTGTGAGTTGAATACACACAGCACAAAGAAGTTACTGAGAATTCTTCTGTCTAGCATGAAATGAAGAAATCCCGTTTCCAACGAAGGCCTCAATGCGGTCCATAGATCCACTTGCAGACTTTACAAACAGAGTGTTTCCAAACTGCTCTATGAAAAGAAAGGTTAAACTATGTGAGTTGAACGCACACATCACAAAGAATTTTCTGAGAATGATTCTGTCTGGTTTTTATTTGAAGATATTTCCCTTTCTACTGTTGGCATCAAATGGCTAGAAATCTCCACTTGCAAATTCCGCAAAAAGAGTGTTTCAAATCTGCTCTGTCTAAAGGGACGTTCCACTCTGTGAGTTGAATGCACACAACACAAAGAATTTACTGAGAATTCTTCCGTCTAGCATTCAATGAAGAAATCCCGTTTCCAACGAAGGCCTCAAACAGGTCCATATATCCACTTGCAGACTTTACAAACAGTGTGTTTCCAAACTCCTCTATGAAAAGAAAGGTTAAACTCTGTGAGTGGAACGCACACATTACAAAGCACTTTCTGAGAATGATTCTGTCTGGTTATTATACGAAGATATTTCCTTTTCTGCAATTGTCCTCAAATCGCTTGAAATCTCCACCTGAAAATGCCACATCAAGAGTGTTTCAAATCTGCTCTCTCTAAAGCAAGGTTCAACTCTGTGAGTTGAATACACACAACACAAAAAAGTTACTGAGAACTCTTCTTAGTCTAGCATGAAAGGAAGAAACCCCGTTTGCAACGAAGGCCTCAAAGAGGTCCAAATATCCACTTGCAGACATAACAAGCAGAGTGTTTCTAAACTGCTCTAAGAAAAGAAAGGTTAAACTCTGTGAGTTGAAGGCACACATCACAAAGTAGTTTCTGAGAATGATTCTGTCTAGTTTTTATTTGAAGATATTTCCTTTTCTACTGTTGGCATCAAATCGCTTGAAATCTCCACTTGCAAACTCCACAAAAAGAGTGTTTCAAATCTGCTCTGTGCAAAGGGACGTTCCACTCTGTGAGTTGAATACACACAGCACAAAGAAGTTACTGAGAATTCTTCTGTCTAGCATGAAATGAAGAAATCCCGTTTCCAACGAAGGCCTCAATGCGGTCCATATATCCACTTGCAGACTTTACAAACAGAGTGTTTCCAAACTGCTCTATGAAAAGAAAGGTTAAACTATGTGAGTTGAACGCACACATCACAAAGAATTTTCTGAGAATGATTCTGTCTGGTTTTTATTTGAAGATATTTCCCTTTCTACTGTTGGCATCAAATGGCTAGAAATCTCCACTTGCAAATTCCGCAAAAAGAGTGTTTCAAATCTGCTCTGTCTTAAGGGACGTTCCACTCTGTGAGTTGAATGCACACAACACAAAGAATTTACTGAGAATTCTTCCGTCTAGCATTCAATGAAGAAATCCCGTTTCCAACGAAGGCCTCAAACAGGTCCATATATCCAATTGCAGACTTTACAAACAGTGTGTTTCCAAACTCCTTTATGAAAAGAAAGGTTAACTCTGTGAGTTGAATGCACACATCACAAAGCACTTTCTGATAATGATTCTGTCTAGTTTTTGTTTGCAGATATTTCCTTTTCTACTGTTGGCATCAAATCGCTTGAAATCTCCACTTGCAAATTCCACAAAAAGAGTGTTTCAAATCTGCTCTGTGTAAAGGGACGTTCCAATCTGTGAGTTGAATACACACAACACAAAGAAGTTACTGAGAATTCTTCTGTCTAGCATGAAATGAAGAAATCCCGTTTCCAACGAAGGCCTCAAAGCGGTCCATATATCCACTTGCAGACATTACCAACAGAGTGTTCCCAAACTGCTCTATGAAAAGAAAGGTTAAACTATGTGAGTTGAACGCACACATCACAAAGAATTTTCTGAGAATGATTCTGTCTGGTTTTTATTTGAAGATATTTCCCTTTCTACTGTTGGCATCAAATGGCTAGAAATCTCCACTTGCAAATTCCGCAAAAAGAGTGTTTCAAATCTGCTCTGTCTAAAGGGACGTTCCACTCTGTGAGTTGAATGCACACAACACAAAGAATTTACTGAGAATTCTTCCGTCTAGCATGCAATGAAGAAATCCCGTTTCCAACGAAGGCCTCAAACAGGTCCATATATCCACTTGCAGACTTTACAAACAGTGTGTTTCCAAACTCCTCTATGAAAAGAAAGGTTAAACTCTGTGAGTTGAACGCACACATCACAAAGCACTTTCTGAGAATGATTCTGTCTGGTTATTATACGAAGATATTTCCTGTTCTGCAATTGTCCTCATATCGCTTGAAATCTCCACCTGAAAATGCCACAGCAAGAGTGTTTCAAATCTGCTCTCTCTAAAGCAAGGTTCAACTCTGTGAGTTGAATACACACAACACAAAAAAGTTACTGAGAACTCTTCTTAGTCTAGCATGAAAGGAAGAAACCCCGTTTGCAACGAAGGCCTCAAAGAGGTCCAAATATCCACTTGCAGACATAACAAGCAGAGTGTTTCTAAACTGCTCTAAGAAAAGAAAGGTTAAACTCTGTGAGTTGAAGGCACACATCACAAAGTAGTTTCTGAGAATGATTCTGTCTAGTTTTTATTTGAAGATATTTCCTTTTCTACTGTTGGCATCAAATCGCTTGAAATCTCCACTTGCAAATTCCACAAAAAGAGTGTTTCAAATCTGCTCTGTGCAAAGGGACGTTCCACTCTGTGAGTTGAATACACACAGCACAAAGAAGTTGCTGAGAATTCTTCTGTCTAGCATGAAATGAAGAAATCCCGTTTCCAACGAAGGCCTCAATGCGGTCCATATATCCACTTGCAGACTTTACAAACAGAGTGTTTCCAAACTGCTCTATGAAAAGAAAGGTTAAACTCTGTGAGTTGAAGGCACACATCACAAAGTAGTTTCTGAGAATGATTCTGTCTAGTTTTTATTTGAAGATATTTCCTTTTCTACTGTTGACATCAAATCGCTTGAAATCTCCACTTGCAAACTCCACAAAAAGAGTGTTTCAAATCTGCTCTGTGTAAAGGGACGTTCCACTCTGTGAGTTGAATACACACAGCACAAAGAAGTTACTGAGAATTCTTCTGTCTAGCATGAAATGAAGAAATCCCGTTTCCAACGAAGGCCTCAATGCGGTCCATATATCCACTTGCAGACTTTACAAACAGAGTGTTTCCAAACTGCTCTATGAAAAGAAAGGTTAAACTATGTGAGTTGAACGCACACATCACAAAGAATTTTCTGAGAATGATTCTGTCTGGTTTTTATTTGAAGATATTTCCCTTTCTACTGTTGGCATCAAATGGCTAGAAATCTCCACTTGCAAATTCCGCAAAAAGAGTGTTTCAAATCTGCTCTGTCTAAAGGGACGTTCCACTCTGTGAGTTGAATGCACACAACACAAAGAATTTACTGAGAATTCTTCCGTCTAGCATTCAATGAAGAAATCCCGTTTCCAACGAAGGCCTCAAACAGGTCCATATATCCAATTGCAGACTTTACAAACAGTGTGTTTCCAAACTCCTCTATGAAAAGAAAGGTTAAACTCTGTGAGTTGAACGCACACATCACAAAGCACTTTCTGAGAATGATTCTGTCTGGTTATTATACGAAGATATTTCCTTTTCTGCAATTGTCCTCAAATCGCTTGAAATCTCCACCTGAAAATTCCACAGCAAGAGTGTTTCAAATCTGCTCTCTCTAAAGCAAGGTTCAACTCTGTGAGTTGAATACACACAACACAAAAAAGTTACTGAGAACTCTTCTTAGTCTAGCATGAAAGGAAGAAACCCCGTTTGCAACGAAGGCCTCAAAGAGGTCCAAATATCCACTTGCAGACATAACAAGCAGAGTGTTTCTAAACTGCTCTAAGAAAAGAAAGGTTAAACTCTGTGAGTTGAAGGCACACATCACAAAGTAGTTTCTGAGAATGATTCTGTCTAGTTTTTATTTGAAGATATTTCCTTTTCTACTGTTGGCATCAAATCGCTTGAAATCTCCACTTGCAAATTCCACAAAAAGAGTGTTTCAAATCTGCTCTGTGCAAAGGGACGTTCCACTCTGTGAGTTGAAGACACACAGCACAAAGAAGTTACTGAGAATTCTTCTGTCTAGCATGAAATGAAGAAATCCCGTTTCCAACGAAGGCCTCAATGCGGTCCATATATCCACTTGCAGACTTTACAAACAGAGTGTTTCCAAACTGCTCTATGAAAAGAAAGGTTAAATTATGTGAGTTGAACGCACACATCACAAAGAATTTTCTGAGAATGATTCTGTCTGGTTTTTATTTGAAGATATTTCCCTTTCTACTGTTGGCATCAAATTGCTAGAAATCTCCACTTGCAAATTCCGTAAAAAGAGTGTTTCAAATCTGCTCTGTCTAAAGGGACGTTCCACTCTGTGAGTTGAATGCACACAACACAAAGAATTTACTGAGAATTCTTCCGTCTAGCATTCAATGAAGAAATCCCGTTTCCAACGAAGGCCTCAAAGAGGTCCATATATCCACTTGCAGACTTTACAAACAGTGTGTTTCCAAACTCCTCTATGAAAAGAAAGGTTAAACTCTGTGAGTGGAACGCACACATCACAAAGCACTTTCTGAGAATGATTCTGTCTGGTTGTTATACGAAGATATTTCCTTTTCTGCAATTGTCCTCAAATCGCTTGAAATCTCCACCTGAAAATGCCACAGCAAGAGTGTTTCAAATCTGCTCTCTCTAAAGCAAGGTTCAACTCTGTGAGTTGAATACACACAACACAAAAAAGTTACTGAGAACTCTTCTTAGTCTAGCATGAAAGGAAGAAACCCCGTTTGCAACGAAGGCCTCAAAGAGGTCCAAATATCCACTTGCAGACATAACAAGCAGAGTGTTTCTAAACTGCTCTAAGAAAAGAAAGGTTAAACTCTGTGAGTTGAAGGCACACATCACAAAGTAGTTTCTGAGAATGATTCGGTCTAGTTTTTATTTGAAGATATTTCCTTTTCTACTGTTGGCATCAAATCGCTTGAAATATCCACTTGCAAACTCCACAAAAAGAGTGTTTCAAATCTGCTCTGTGCAAAGGGACGTTCCACTCTGTGAGTTGAATACACACAGCACAAAGAAGTTACTGAGAATTCTTGTCTAGCATGAAATGAAGAAATCCCGTTTCCAACGAAGGCCTCAATGCGGTCTATATATCCACTTGCAGACATCACAAACAGAGTGTTTCCAAACTGCTCTATGAAAAGAAAGGTTAAACTATGTGAGTTGAACGCACAGATCACAAAGAATTTTCTGAGAATGATTCTGTCTGGTTTTTATTTGAAGATATTTCCCTTTCTACTGTTGGCATCAAATGGCTAGAAATCTCCACTTGCAAATTCCGCAAAAAGAGTGTTTCAAATCTGCTCTGTCTAAAGGGACGTTCCACTCTGTGAGTTGAATGCACACCACACAAAGAATTTACTGAGAATTCTTCCGTCTAGCATTCAATGAAGAAATCCCGTTTCCAACGAAGGCCTCAAACAGGTCCATATATCCAATTGCAGACTTTACAAACAGTGTGTTTCCAAACTCCTCTATGAAAAGAAAGGTTAAACTCTGTGAGTTGAACGCACACATCACAAAGCACTTTCTGAGAATGATTCTGTCTGGTTGTTATACGAAGATATTTCCTTTTCTGCAATTGTCCTCAAATCGCTTGAAATCTCCACCTGAAAATGCCACAGCAAGAGTGTTTCAAATCTGCTCTCTCTAAAGCAAGGTTCAACTCTGTGAGTTGAATACACACAACACAAAAAAGTTACTGAGAACTCTTCTTAGTCTAGCATGAAAGGAAGAAACCCCGTTTGCAACGAAGGCCTCAAAGAGGTCCAAATATCCACTTGCAGACATAACAAGCAGAGTGTTTCTAAACTGCTCTAAGAAAAGAAAGGTTAAACTCTGTGAGTTGAAGGCACACATCACAAAGTAGTTTCTGAGAATGATTCTGTCTAGTTTTTATTTGAAGATATTTCCTTTTCTACTGTTGGCATCAAATCGCTTGAAATCTCCACTTGCAAACTCCACAAAAAGAGTGTTTCAAATCTGCTCTGTGTAAAGGGACGTTCCACTCTGTGAGTTGAATACACACAGCACAAAGAAGTTACTGAGAATTCTTCTGTCTAGCATGAAATGAAGAAATCCCGTTTCCAACGAAGGCCTCAATGCGGTCCATATATCCACTTGCAGACTTTACAAACAGAGTGTTTCCAAACTGCTCTATGAAAAGAAAGGTTAAACTATGTGAGTTGAACGCACACATCACAAAGAATTTTCTGAGAATGATTCTGTCTGGTTTTTATTTGAAGATATTTCCCTTTCTACTGTTGGCATCAAATGGCTAGAAATCTCCACTTGCAAATTCCGCAAAAAGAGTGTTTCAAATCTGCTCTGTCTAAAGGGACGTTCCACTCTGTGAGTTGAATGCACACAACACAAAGAATTTACTGAGAATTCTTCCGTCTAGCATGCAATGAAGAAATCCCGTTTCCAACGAAGGCCTCAAACAGGTCCATATATCCAATTGCAGACTTTACAAACAGTGTGTTTCCAAACTCCTCTATGAAAAGAAAGGTTAAACTCTGTGAGTTGAACGCACACATCACAAAGCACTTTCTGAGAATGATTCTGTCTTGTTATTATACGAAGATATTTCCTTTTCTGCAATTGTCCTCAAATCGGTTGAAATCTCCACCTGAAAATGCCACAGCAAGAGTGTTTCAAATCTGCTCTCTCTAAAGCAAGGTTCAACTCTGTGAGTTGAATACACACAACACAAAAAAGTTACTGAGAACTCTTCTTAGTCTAGCATGAAAGGAAGAAACCCCGTTTGCAACGAAGGCCTCAAAGAGGTCCAAATATCCACTTGCAGACATAACAAGCAGAGTGTTTCTAAACTGCTCTAAGAAAAGAAAGGTTAAACTCTGTGAGTTGAAGGCACACATCACAAAGTAGTTTCTGAGAATGATTCTGTCTAGTTTTTATTTGAAGATATTTCCTTTTCTACTGTTGGCATCAAATCGCTTGAAATCTCCACTTGCAAACTCCACAAAAAGAGTGTTTCAAATCTGCTCTGTGCAAAGGGACGTTCCACTCTGTGAGTTGAATACACACAGCACAAAGAAGTTACTGAGAATTCTTCTGTCTAGCATGAAATGAAGAAATCCCGTTTCCAACGAAGGCCTCAATGCGGTCCATATATCCACTTGCAGACTTTACAAACACAGTGTTTCCAAACTGCTCTATGAAAAGAAAGGTTAAACTATGTGAGTTGAACGCACACATCACAAAGAATTTTCTGAGAATGATTCTGTCTGGTTTTTATTTGAAGATATTTCCCTTTCTACTGTTGGCATCAAATGGCTAGAAATCTCCACTTGCAAATTCCGCAAAAAGAGTGTTTCAAATCTGCTCTGTCTAAAGGGACGTTCCACTCTGTGAGTTGAATGGACACAACACAAAGAATTTACTGAGAATTCTTCCGTCTAGCATTCAATGAAGAAATCCCGTTTCCAACGAAGGCCTCAAACAGGTCCATGTATCCACCTGCAGACTTTACAAACAGTGTGTTTCCAAACTCCTCTATGAAAAGAAAGGTTAAACTCTGTGAGTTGAACGCACACATCACAAAGCACTTTCTGAGAATGATTCTGTCTGGTTATTATACGAAGATATTTCCTTTTCTGCAATTGTCCTCAAATCGCTTGAAATCTCCACCTGAAAATGCCACAGCAAGAGTGTTTCAAATCTGCTCTCTCTAAAGCAAGGTTCAACTCTGTGAGTTGAATACACACAACACAAAAAAGTTACTGAGAACTCTTCTTAGTCTAGCATGAAAGGAAGAAACCCCGTTTGCAACGAAGGCCTCAAAGAGGTCCAAATATCCACTTGCAGACATAACAAGCAGAGTGTTTCTAAACTGCTCTAAGAAAAGAAAGGTTAAACTCTGTGAGTTGAAGGCACACATCACAAAGTAGTTTCTGAGAATGATTCTGTCTAGTTTTTATTTGAAGATATTTCCTTTTCTACTGTTGGCATCAAATCGCTTGAAATCTCCACTTGCAAATTCAACAAAAAGAGTGTTTCAAATCTGCTCTGTGTAAAGGGACGTTCCACTCTGTGAGTTGAATACACACAGCACAAAGAAGTTACTGAGAATTCTTCTGTCTAGCATGAAATGAAGAAATCCCGTTTCCAACGAAGGCCTCAATGCGGTCCATATATCCACTTGCAGACTTTACAAACAGAGTGTTTCCAAACTGCTCTATGAAAAGAAAGGTTAAACTATGTGAGTTGAACGCACACATCACAAAGAATTTTCTGAGAATGATTCTGTCTGGTTTTTATTTGAAGATATTTCCCTTTCTACTGTTGGCATCAAATGGCTAGAAATCTCCACTTGCAAATTCCGCAAAAAGAGTGTTTCAAATCTGCTCTGTCTAAAGGGACGTTCCACTCTGTGAGTTGAATGCACACAACACAAAGAATTTACTGAGAATTCTTCTGTCTAGCAGTCAATGAAGAAATCCCGTTTCCAACGAAGGCCTCAAACAGGTCCATATATCCAATTGCAGACTTTACAAACAGTGTGTTTCCAAACTCCTCTATGAAAAGAAAGGTTAAACTCTGTGAGTTGAACCCACACATCACAAAGCACTTTCTGAGAATGATTCTGTCTGGTTGTTATACGAAGATATTTCCTTTTCTGCAATTGTCCTCAAATCGCTTGAAATCTCCACCTGAAAATGCCACAGCAAGAGTGTTTCAAATCTGTTCTCTCTAAAGCATGGTTCAACTCTGTGAGTTGAATACACACAACACAAAAAAGTTACTGAGAACTCTTCTTAGTCTAGCATGAAAGGAAGAAACCCCGTTTGCAACGAAGGCCTCAAAGAGGTCCAAATATCCACTTGCAGACATAACAAGCAGAGTGTTTCTAAACTGCTCTAAGAAAAGAAAGGTTAAACTATGTGAGTTGAATGCACACATCACAAAGAATTTTCTGAGAATGATTCTGTCTGGTTTTTATTTGAAGATATTTCCCTTTCTACTGTTGGCATCAAATGGCTAGAAATCTCCACTTGCAAATTCCGCAAAAAGAGTGTTTCAAATCTGCTCTGTCTAAAGGGACGTTCCACTCTGTGAGTTGAATGCACACAACACAAAGAATTTACTGAGAATTCTTCCGTCTAGCATTCAATGAAGAAATCCCGTTTCCAACGAAGGCCTCAAACAGGTCCATATATCCACTTGCAGACTTTACAAACATTGTGTTTCCAAACTCCTCTATGAAAAGAAAGGTTAAACTCTGTGAGTGGAACGCACACATCACAAAGCACTTTCTGAGAATGATTCTGTCTGGTTATTATACGAAGATATTTCCTTTTCTGCAATTGTCCTCAAATCGCTTGAAATCTCCACCTGAAAATGCCACAGCAAGAGTGTTTCAAATCTGCTCTCTCTAAAGCAAGGTTCAACTCTGTGAGTTGAATACACACAACACAAAAAAGTTACTGAGAACTCTTCTTAGTCTAGCATGAAAGGAAGAAACCCCGTTTGCAACGAAGGCCTCAAAGAGGTCCAAATATCCACTTGCAGACATAACAAGCAGAGTGTTTCTAAACTGCTCTAAGAAAAGAAAGGTTAAACTCTGTGAGTTGAAGGCACACATCACAAAGTAGTTTCTGAGAATGATTCTGTCTAGTTTTTATTTGAAGATATTTCCTTTTCTACTGTTGGCATCAAATCGCTTGAAATCTCCACTTGCAAACTCCACAAAAAGAGTGTTTCAAATCTGCTCTGTGCAAAGGGACGTTCCACTCTGTGAGTTGAATACACACAGCACAAAGAAGTTACTGAGAATTCTTCTGTCTAGCATGAAATGAAGAAATCCCGTTTCCAACGAAGGCCTCAATGCGGTCCATATATCCACTTGCAGACTTTACAAACAGAGTGTTTCCAAACTGCTCTATGAAAAGAAAGGCTATACTATGTGAGTTGAACGCACACATCACAAAGAATTTTCTGAGAATGATTCTGTCTGGTTGTTATTTGAAGATATTTCCCTTTCTACTGTTGGCATCAAATGGCTAGAAATCTCCACTTGCAAATTCCGCAAAAAGAGTGTTTCAAATCTGCTCTGTCTAAAGGGACGTTCCACTCTGTCAGTTGAATGCACACAACACAAAGTATTTACTGAGAATTCTTCCGTCTAGCATTCAATGAAGAAATCCCGTTTCCAACGAAGGCCTCAAACAGGTCCATATATCCAATTGCAGACTTTACAAACAGTGTGTTTCCAAACTCCTCTATGAAAAGAAAGGTTAAACTCTGTGAGTTGAACGCACACAACACAAAGCACTTTCTGAGAATGATTCTGTCTGGTTATTATACGAAGATATTTCCTTTTCTGCAATTGTCCTCAAAACGCTTGAAATCTCCACCTGAAAATGCCACAGCAAGAGTGTTTCAAATCTGCTCTCTCTAAAGCAAGGTTCAACTCTGTGAGTTGAATACACACAACACAAAAAAGTTACTGAGAACTCTTCTTAGTCTAGCATTAAAGGAAGAAACCCCGTTTGCAACGAAGGCCTCAAAGAGGTCCAAATATCCACTTGCAGACATAACAAGCAGAGTGTTTCTAAACTGCTCTAAGAAAAGAAAGGTTAAACTCTGTGAGTTGAAAGCACACATCACAAAGTAGTTTCTGAGAATGATTCTGTCTAGTTTTTATTTGAAGATATTTCCTTTTCTACTGTTGGCATCAAATCGCTTGAAATCTCCACTTGCAAACTCCACAAAAAGAGTGTTTCAAATCTGCTCTGTGTAAAGGGACGTTCCACTCTGTGAGTTGAATACACACAGCACAAAGAAGTTACTGAGAATTCTTCTGTCTAGCATGAAATGAAGAAATCCCGTTTCCAACGAAGGCCTCAATGCGGTCCATAGATCCACTTGCAGACTTTACAAACAGAGTGTTTCCAAACTGCTCTATGAAAAGAAAGGTTAAACTATGTGAGTTGAACGCACACATCACAAAGAATTTTCTGAGAATGATTCTGTCTGGTTTTTATTTGAAGATATTTCCCTTTCTACTGTTGGCATCAAATGGCTAGAAATCTCCACTTGCAAATTCCGCAAAAAGAGTGTTTCAAATCTGCTCTGTCTAAAGGGACGTTCCACTCTGTGAGTTGAATGCACACAACACAAAGAATTTACTGAGAATTCTTCCGTCTAGCATTCAATGAAGAAATCCCGTTTCCAACGAAGGCCTGAAACAGGTCCATATATCCACTTGCAGAGTTTACAAACAGTGTGTTTCCAAACTCCTCTATGAAAAGAAAGGTTAAACTCTGTGAGTGGAACGCACACATCACAAAGCACTTTCTGAGAATGATTCTGTCTGGTTGTTATACGAAGATATTTCCTTTTCTGCAATTGTCCTCAAATCGCTTGAAATCTCCACCTGAAAATGCCACAGCAAGAGTGTTTCAAATCTGCTCTCTCTAAAGCAAGGTTCAGCTCTGTGAGTTGAATACACACAACACAAAAAAGTTACTGAGAACTCTTCTTAGTCTAGCATTAAAGGAAGAAACCCCGTTTGCAACGAAGGCCTCAAAGAGGTCCAAATATCCACTTGCAGACATAACAAGCAGAGTGTTTCTAAACTGCTCTAAGAAAAGAAAGGTTAAACTCTGTGAGTTGAAGGCACACATCACAAAGTAGTTTCTGAGAATGATTCTGTCTAGTTTTTATTTGAAGATATTTCCTTTTCTACTGTTGGCATCAAATCGCTTGAAATCTCCACTTGCAAATTCCACAAAAAGAGTGTTTCAAATCTGCTCTGTGCAAAGGGACGTTCCACTCTGTGAGTTGAATACACACAGCACAAAGAAGTTACTGAGAATTCTTCTGTCTAGCATGAAATGAAGAAATCCCGTTTCCAACGAAGGCCTCAATGCGGTCCATATATCCACTTGCAGACTTTACAAACAGAGTGTTTCCAAACTGCTCTATGAAAAGAAAGGTTAAACTATGTGAGTTGAACGCACACATCACAAAGAATTTTCTGAGAATGATTCTGTCTGGTTTTTATTTGAAGATATTTCCCTTTCTACTGTTGGCATCAAATGGCTAGAAATCTCCACTTGCAAATTCCGCAAAAAGAGTGTTTCAAATCTGCTCTGTCTAAAGAGACGTTCCACTCTGTCAGTTGAATGCACACAACACAAAGTATTTACTGAGAATTCTTCCGTCTAGCATTCAATGAAGAAATCCCGTTTCCAACGAAGGCCTCAAACAGGTCCATATATCCAATTGCAGACTTTACAAACAGTGTGTTTCCAAACTCCTCTATGAAAAGAAAGGTTAAACTCTGTGAGTTGAACGCACACATCACAAAGCACTTTCTGAGAATGATTCTGTCTGGTTATTATACGAAGATATTTCCTTTTCTGCAATTGTCCTCAAATCGCTTGAAATCTCCACCTGAAAATGCCACAGCAAGAGTGTTTCAAATCTGCTCTCTCTAAAGCAAGGTTCAACTCTGTGAGTTGAATACACACAACACAAAAAAGTTACTGAGAACTCTTCTTAGTCTAGCATGAAAGGAAGAAACCCCGTTTGCAACGAAGGCCTCAAAGAGGTCCAAATATCCACTTGCAGACATAACAAGCAGAGTGTTTCTAAACTGCTCTAAGAAAAGAAAGGTTAAACTCTGTGAGTTGAAGGCACACATCACAAAGTAGTTTCTGAGAATGATTCTGTCTAGTTTTTATTTGAAGATATTTCCTTTTCTACTGTTGGCATCAAATCGCTTGAAATCTCCACTTGCAAACTCCACAAAAAGAGTGTTTCAAATCTGCTCTGTGTAAAGGGACGTTCCACTCTGTGAGTTGAATACACACAGCACAAAGAAGTTACTGAGAATTCTTCTGTCTAGCATGAAATGAAGAAATCCCGTTTCCAACGAAGGCCTCAATGCAGTCCATATATCCACTTGCAGACTTTACAAACAGAGTGTTTCCAAACTGCTCTATGAAAAGAAAGGTTAAACTATGTGAGTTGAATGCACACATCACAAAGAATTTTCTGAGAATGATTCTGTCTGGTTTTTATTTGAAGATATTTCCCTTTCTACTGTTGGCATCAAATGGCTAGAAATCTCCACTTGCAAATTCCGCAAAAAGAGTGTTTCAAATCTGCTCTGTCTAAAGGGACGTTCCACTCTGTGAGTTGAATGCACACAACACAAAGAATTTACTGAGAATTCTTCCGTCTAGCATTCAATGAAGAAATCCCGTTTCCAACGAAGGCCTCAAACAGGTCCATATATCCACTTGCAGACTTTACAAACAGTGTGTTTCCAAACTCCTCTATGAAAAGAAAGGTTAAACTCTGTGAGTGGAACGCACACATCACAAAGCACTTTCTGAGAATGATTCTGTCTGGTTATTATACGAAGATATTTCCTTTTCTGCAATTGTCCTCAAATCGCTTGAAATCTCCACCTGAAAATGCCACAGCAAGAGTGTTTCAAATCTGCTCTCTCTAAAGCAAGGTTCAACTCTGTGAGTTGAATACACACAACACAAAAAAGTTACTGAGAACTCTTCTTAGTCTAGCATGAAAGGAAGAAACCCCGTTTGCAACGAAGGCCTCAAAGAGGTCCAAATATCCACTTGCAGACATAACAAGCAGAGTGTTTCTAAACTGCTCTAAGAAAAGAAAGGTTAAACTCTGTGAGTTGAAGGCACACATCACAAAGTAGTTTCTGAGAATGATTCTGTCTAGTTTATATTGGAAGATATTTCCTTTTCTACTGTTGGCATCAAATCGCTTGAAATCTCCACTTGCAAACTCCACAAAAAGAGTGTTTCAAATCTGCTCTGTGTAAAGGGACGTTCCACTCTGTGAGTTGAATACACACAGCACAAAGAAGTTACTGAGAATTCTTCTGTCTAGCATGAAATGAAGAAATCCCGTTTCCAACGAAGGCCTCAATGCGGTCCATATATCCACTTGCAGACTTTACAAACAGAGTGTTTCCAAACTGCTCTATGAAAAGAAAGGTTAAACTATGTGAGTTGAACGCACACATCACAAAGAATTTTCTGAGAATGATTCTGTCTGGTTTTTATTTGAAGATATTTCCCTTTCTACTGTTGGCATCAAATGGCTAGAAATCTCCACTTGCAAATTCCGCAAAAAGAGTGTTTCAAATCTGCTCTGTCTAAAGGGACGTTCCACTCTGTGAGTTGAATGCACACAACACAAAGAATTTACTGAGAATTCTTCCGTCTAGCATTCAATGAAGAAATCCCGTTTCCAACGAAGGCCTCAAACAGGTCCATATATCCACTTGCAGAGTTTACAAACAGTGTGTTTCCAAACTCCTCTATGAAAAGAAAGGTTAAACTCTGTGAGTGGAACGCACACATCACAAAGCACTTTCTGAGAATGATTCTGTCTGGTTATTATACGAAGATATTTCCTTTTCTGCAATTGTCCTCAAAACGCTTGAAATCTCCACCTGAAAATGCCACAGCAAGAGTGTTTCAAATCTGCTCTCTCTAAAGCAAGGTTCAACTCTGTGAGTTGAATACACACAACACAAAAAAGTTACTGAGAACTCTTCTTAGTCTAGCATTAAAGGAAGAAACCCCGTTTGCAACGAAGGCCTCAAAGAGGTCCAAATATCCACTTGCAGACATAACAAGCAGAGTGTTTCTAAACTGCTCTAAGAAAAGAAAGGTTAAACTCTGTGAGTTGAAGGCACACATCACAAAGTAGTTTCTGAGAATGATTCTGTCTAGTTTTTATTTGAAGATATTTCCTTTTCTACTGTTGGCATCAAATCGCTTGAAATCTCCACTTGCAAACTCCACAAAAAGAGTGTTTCAAATCTGCTCTGTGTAAAGGGACGTTCCACTCTGTGAGTTGAATACACACAGCACAAAGAAGTTACTGAGAATTCTTCTGTCTTGCATGAAATGAAGAAATCCCGTTTCCAACGAAGGCCTCAATGCGGTCCATATATCCACTTGCAGACTTTACAAACAGAGTGTTTCCAAACTGCTCTATGAAAAGAAAGGTTAAACTATGTGAGTTGAACGCACACATCACAAAGAATTTTCTGAGAATGATTCTGTCTGGTTTTTATTTGAAGATATTTCCCTTTCTACTGTTGGCATCAAATGGCTAGAAATCTCCACTTGCAAATTCCGCAAAAAGAGTGTTTCAAATCTGCTCTGTCTAAAGGGACGTTCCACTCTGTGAGTTGAATGCACACAACACAAAGAATTTACTGAGAATTCTTCCGCCTAGCATTCAATGAAGAAATACCGTTTCCAACGAAGGCCTCAAACAGGTCCATATATCCACTTGCAGACTTTACAAACAGTGTGTTTCCAAACTCCTCTATGAAAAGAAAGGTTAAACTCTGTGAGTGGAACGCACACATCACAAAGCACTTTCTGAGAATGATTCTGTCTGGTTGTTATACGAAGATATTTCCTTTTCTGCAATTGTCCTCAAATCGCTTGAAATCTCCACCTGAAAATGCCACAGCAAGAGTGTTTCAAATCTGCTCTCTCTAAAGCAAGGTTCAACTCTGTGAGTTGAATACACACAACACAAAAATGTTACTGAGAACTCTTCTTAGTCTAGCATGAAAGGAAGAAACCCCGTTTGCAACGAAGGCCTCAAAGAGGTCCAAATATCCACTTGCAGACATAACAAGCAGAGTGTTTCTAAACTGCTCTAAGAAAAGAAAGGTTAAACTCTGTGAGTTGAAGGCACACATCACAAAGTAGTTTCTGAGAATGATTCTGTCTAGTTTTTATTTGAAGATATTTCCTTTTCTACTGTTGGCATCAAATCGCTTGAAATCTCCACTTGCAAATTCCACAAAAAGAGTGTTTCAAATCTGCTCTGTGCAAAGGGACGTTCCACTCTGTGAGTTGAATACACACAGCACAAAGAAGTTACTGAGAATTCTTCTGTCTAGCATGAAATGAAGAAATCCCGTTTCCAACGAAGGCCTCAATGCGGTCCATATATCCACTTGCAGACTTTACAAACAGAGTGTTTCCAAACTGCTCTATGAAAAGAAAGGTTAAACTATGTGAGTTGAACGCACACATCACAAAGAATTTTCTGAGAATGATTCTGTCTGGTTTTTATTTGAAGATATTTCCCTTTCTACTGTTGGCATCAAATGGCTAGAAATCTCCACTTGCAAATTCCGCAAAAAGAGTGTTTCAAATCTGCTCTGTCTAAAGGGACGTTCCACTCTGTGAGTTGAATGCACACAACACAAAGAATTTACTGAGAATTCTTCCGTCTAGCATGCAATGAAGAAATCCCGTTTCCAACGAAGGCCTCAAACAGGTCCATATATCCAATTGCAGACTTTACAAACAGTGTGTTTCCAAACTCCTCTATGAAAAGAAAGGTTAAACTCTGTGAGTTGAACGCACACATCACAAAGCACTTTCTGAGAATGATTCTGTCTGGTTATTATACGAAGATATTTCCTTTTCTGCAATTGTCCTCAAATCGCTTGAAATCTCCACCTGAAAATGCCACAGCAAGAGTGTTTCAAATCTGCTCTCTCTAAAGCAAGGTTCAACTCTGTGAGTTGAATACACACAACACAAAAAAGTTACTGAGAACTCTTCTTAGTCTAGCATGAAAGGAAGAAACCCCTTTTTGCAACGAAGGCCTCAAAGAGGTCCAAATATCCACTTGCAGACATAACAAGCAGAGTGTTTCTAAACTGCTCTAAGAAAAGAAAGGTTAAACTCTGTGAGTTGAAGGCACACATCACAAAGTAGTTTCTGAGAATGATTCTGTCTAGTTTTTATTTGAAGATATTTCCTTTTCTACTGTTGGCATCAAATCGCTTGAAATCTCCACTTGCAAACTCCACAAAAAGAGTGTTTCAAATCTGCTCTGTGCAAAGGGACGTTCCACTCTGTGAGTTGAATACACACAGCACAAAGAAGTTACTGAGAATTCTTCTGTCTAGCATGAAATGAAGAAATCCCGTTTCCAACGAAGGCCTCAATGCGGTCCATATATCCACTTGCAGACTTTACAAACAGAGTGTTTCCAAACTGCTCTATGAAAAGAAAGGTTAAACTATGTGAGTTGAACGCACACATCACAAAGAATTTTCTGAGAATGATTCTGTCTGGTTTTTATTTGAAGATATTTCCCTTTCTACTGTTGGCATCAAATGGCTAGAAATCTCCACTTGCAAATTCCGCAAAAAGAGTGTTTCAAATCTGCTCTGTCTAAAGGGACGTTCCACTCTGTCAGTTGAATGCACACAACACAGAGAATTTAC
This sequence comes from Homo sapiens, assembly GCF_000001405.40. Classification (NCBI taxonomy): domain Eukaryota; kingdom Metazoa; phylum Chordata; class Mammalia; order Primates; family Hominidae; genus Homo; species Homo sapiens. The sequence continues at coordinate 59,617,067 of NC_000007.14, read as the reverse complement.
TGAGAATTCTTCCGTCTAGCATTCAATGAAGAAATCCCGTTTCCAACGAAGGCCTCAAACAGGTCCATATATCCACTTGCAGACTTTACAAACAGTGTGTTTCCAAACTCCTCTATGAAAAGAAAGGTTAAACTCTGTGAGTTGAACGGCACACATCACAAAGCACTTTCTGAGAATGATTCTGTCTGGTTATTATACGAAGATATTTCCTTTTCTGCAATTGTCCTCAAAACGCTTGAAATCTCCACCTGAAAATGCCACAGCAAGAGTGTTTCAAATCTGCTCTCTCTAAAGCAAGGTTCAACTCTGTGAGTTGAATACACACAACACAAAAAAGTTACTGAGAACTCTTCTTAGTCTAGCATGAAAGGAAGAAACCCCGTTTGCAACGAAGGCCTCAAAGAGGTCCAAATATCCACTTGCAGACATAACAAGCAGAGTGTTTCTAAACTGCTCTAAGAAAAGAAAGGTTAAACTCTGTGAGTTGAAGGCACACATCACAAAGTAGTTTCTGAGAATGATTCTGTCTAGTTTTTATTTGAAGATATTTCCTTTTCTACTGTTGGCATCAAATCGCTTGAAATCTCCACTTGCAAACTCCACAAAAAGAGTGTTTCAAATCTGCTCTGTGTAAAGGGACGTTCCACTCTGTGAGTTGAATACACACAGCACAAAGAAGTTACTGAGAATTCTTCTGTCTAGCATGAAATGAAGAAATCCCGTTTCCAACGAAGGCCTCAATGCGGTCCATATATCCACTTGCAGACTTTACAAACAGAGTGTTTCCAAACTGCTCTATGAAAAGAAAGGTTAAACTATGTGAGTTGAACGCACACATCACAAAGAATTTTCTGAGAATGATTCTGTCTGGTTTTTATTTGAAGATATTTCCCTTTCTACTGTTGGCATCAAATGGCTAGAAATCTCCACTTGCAAATTCCGCAAAAAGAGTGTTTCAAATCTGCTCTGTCTAAAGGGACGTTCCACTCTGTCAGTTGAATGCACACAACACAAAGAATTTACTGAGAATTCTTCCGTCTAGCATTCAATGAAGAAATCCCGTTTCCAACGAAGGCCTCAAACAGGTCCATATATCCAATTGCAGACTTCACAAACAGTGTGTTTCCAAACTCCTCTATGAAAAGAAAGGTTAAACTCTGTGAGTTGAACGCACACATCACAAAACACTTTCTGAGAATGATTCTGTCTGGTTATTATACGAAGATATTTCCTTTTCTGCAATTGTCCTCAAATCGCTTGAAATCTCCACCTGAAAATGCCACAGCAAGAGTGTTTCAAATCTGCTCTCTCTAAAGCAAGGTTCAACTCTGTGAGTTGAATACACACAACACAAAAAAGTTGCTGAGAATCTGTCTAGCATGAAATGAAGAAATCCCGTTTCCAACGAAGGCCTCAATGCGGTCCATATATCCACTTGCAGACTTTACAAACAGAGTGTTTCCAAACTGCTCTATGAAAAGAAAGGTTAAACTATGTGAGTTGAAAGCACACATCACAAAGAATTTTCTGAGAATGATTCTGTCTGGTTTTTATTTGAAGATATTTCCCTTTCTACTGTTGGCATCAAATGGCTAGAAATCTCCACTTGCAAATTCCGCAAAAAGAGTGTTTCAAATCTGCTCTGTCTAAAGGGACGTTCCACTCTGTGAGTTGAATGCACACAACACAAAGAATTTACTGAGAATTCTTCCGTCTAGCATTCAATGAAGAAATCCCGTTTCCAACGAAGGCCTCAAACAGGTCCATATATCCAATTGCAGACTTTACAAACAGTGTGTTTCCAAACTCCTCTATGAAAAGAAAGGTTAAACTCTGTGAGTTGAACGCACACATCACAAAGCACTTTCTGAGAATGATTCTGTCTGGTTATTATACGAAGATATTTCCTTTTCTGCAATTGTCCTCAAATCGCTTGAAATCTCCACCTGAAAATGCCACAGCAAGAGTGTTTCAAATCTGCTCTCTCTAAAGCAAGGTTCAACTCTGTGAGTTGAATACACACAACACAAAAAAGTTACTGAGAACTCTTCTTAGTCTAGCATGAAAGGAAGAAACCCCGTTTGCAAGGAAGGCCTCAAAGAGGTCCAAATATCCACTTGCAGACATAACAAGCAGAGTGTTTCTAAACTGCTCTAAGAAAAGAAAGGTTAAACTCTGTGAGTTGAAGGCACACATCACAAAGTAGTTTCTGAGAATGATTCTGTCTAGTTTTTATTTGAAGATATTTCCTTTTCTACTGTTGGCATCAAATCGCTTGAAATCTCCACTTGCAAATTCCACAAAAAGAGTGTTTCAAATCTTCTCTGTGTAAAGGAACGTTCCACTCTGTGAGTTGAATACACACAGCACAAAGAAGTTACTGAGAATTCTTCTGTCTAGCATGAAATGAAGAAATCCCGTTTCCAACGAAGGCCTCAATGCGGTCCATATATCCACTTGCAGACTTTACAAACAGAGTGTTTCCAAACTGCTCTATGAAAAGAAAGGTTAAACTATGTGAGTTGAACGCACACATCACAAAGAATTTTCTGAGAATGATTCTGTCTGGTTTTTATTTGAAGATATTTCCCTTTCTACTGTTGGCATCAAATGGCTAGAAATCTCCACTTGCAAATTCCGCAAAAAGAGTGTTTCAAATCTGCTCTGTCTAAAGGGACGTTCCACTCTGTCAGTTGAATGCACACAACACAAAGAATTTACTGAGAATTCTTCCGTCTAGCATTCAATGAAGAAATCCCGTTTCCAACGAAGGCCTCAAACAGGTCCATATATCCACTTGCAGAGTTTACAAACAGTGTGTTTCCAAACTCCTCTATGAAAAGAAAGGTTAAACTCTGTGAGTGGAACGCACACATCACAAAGCACTTTCTGAGAATGATTCTGTCTGGTTATTATACGAAGATATTTCCTTTTCTGCAATTGTCCTCAAATCGCTTGAAATCTCCACCTGAAAATGCCACAGCAAGAGTGTTTCAAATCTGCTCTCTCTAAAGCAAGGTTCAACTCTGTGAGTTGAATACACACAACACAAAAAAGTTACTGAGAACTCTTCTTAGTCTAGCATTAAAGGAAGAAACCCCGTTTGCAACGAAGGCCTCAAAGAGGTCCAAATATCCACTTGCAGACATAACAAGCAGAGTGTTTCTAAACTGCTCTAAGAAAAGAAAGGTTAAACTCTGTGAGTTGAAGGCACACATCACAAAGTAGTTTCTGAGAATGATTCTGTCTAGTTTTTATTTGAAGATATTTCCTTTTCTACTGTTGGCATCAAATCGCTTGAAATCTCCACTTGCAAACTCCACAAAAAGAGTGTTTCAAATCTGCTCTGTGCAAAGGGACGTTCCACTCTGTGAGTTGAATACACACAGCACAAAGAAGTTACTGAGAATTCTTCTGTCTAGCATGAAATGAAGAAATCCCGTTTCCAACGAAGGCCTCAATGCGGTCCATATATCCACTTGCAGACTTTACAAACAGAGTGTTTCCAAACTGCTCTATGAAAAGAAAGGTTAAACTATGTGAGTTGAACGCACACATCACAAAGAATTTTCTGAGAATGATTCTGTCTGGTTTTTATTTGAAGATATTTCCCTTTCTACTGTTGGCATCAAATGGCTAGAAATCTCCACTTGCAAATTCCGCAAAAAGAGTGTTTCAAATCTGCTCTGTCTAAAGGGACGTTCCACTCTGTGAGTTGAATGCACACAACACAAAGAATTTACTGAGAATTCTTCCGTCTAGCATTCAATGAAGAAATCCCGTTTCCAACGAAGGCCTCAAACAGGTCCATATATCCAATTGCAGACTTTACAAACAGTGTGTTTCCAAACTCCTCTATGAAAAGAAAGGTTAAACTCTGTGAGTGGAACGCACACATCACAAAGCACTTTCTGAGAATGATTCTGTCTGGTTGTTATACGAAGATATTTCCTTTTCTGCAATTGTCCTCAAATCGCTTGAAATCTCCACCTGAAAATGCCACAGCAAGAGTGTTTCAAATCTGCTCTCTCTAAAGCAAGGTTCAACTCTGTGAGTTGAATACACACAACACAAAAAAGTTACTGAGAACTCTTCTTAGTCTAGCATGAAAGGAAGAAACCCCGTTTGCAACGAAGGCCTCAAAGAGGTCCAAATATCCACTTGCAGACATAACAAGCAGAGTGTTTCTAAACTGCTCTAAGAAAAGAAAGGTTAAACTCTGTGAGTTGAAGGCACACATCACAAAGTAGTTTCTGAGAATGATTCTGTCTAGTTTTTATTTGAAGATATTTCCTTTTCTACTGTTGGCATCAAATCGCTTGAAATCTCCACTTGCAAACTCCACAAAAAGAGTGTTTCAAATCTGCTCTGTGCAAAGGGACGTTCCACTCTGTGAGTTGAATACACACAGCACAAAGAAGTTACTGAGAATTCTTCTGTCTAGCATGAAATGAAGAAATCCCGTTTCCAACGAAGGCCTCAATGCGGTCCATATATCCACTTGCAGACTTTACAAACAGAGTGTTTCCAAACTGCTCTATGAAAAGAAAGGTTAAACTATGTGAGTTGAACGCACACATCACAAAGAATTTTCTGAGAATGATTCTGTCTGGTTTTTATTTGAAGATATTTCCCTTTCTACTGTTGGCATCAAATGGCTAGAAATCTCCACTTGCAAATTCCGCAAAAAGAGTGTTTCAAATCTGCTCTGTCTAAAGGAACGTTCCACTCTGTGAGTTGAATGCACACAACACAAAGAATTTACTGAGAATTCTTCCGTCTAGCATTCAATGAAGAAATCCCGTTTCCAACGATGGCCTCAAACAGGTCCATATATCCAATTGCAGACTTTACAAACAGTGTGTTTCCAAACTCCTTTATGAAAAGAAAGGTTAACTCTGTGAGTTGAATGCACACATCACAAAGCACTTTCTGATAATGATTCTGTCTAGTTTTTGTTTGCAGATATTTCCTTTTCTACTGTTGGCATCAAATCGCTTGAAATCTCCACTTGCAAATTCCACAAAAAGAGTGTTTCAAATCTGCTCTGTGTAAAGGGACGTTCCAATCTGTGAGTTGAATACACACAACACAAAGAAGTTACTGAGAATTCTTCTGTCTAGCATGAAATGAAGAAATCCCGTTTCCAACGAAGGCCTCAAAGCGGTCCATATATCCACTTGCAGACATTACCAACAGAGTGTTCCCAAACTGCTCTATGAAAAGAAAGGTTAAACTATGTGAGTTGAACGCACACATCACAAAGAATTTTCTGAGAATGATTCTGTCTGGTTTTTATTTGAAGATATTTCCCTTTCTACTGTTGGCATCAAATGGCTAGAAATCTCCACTTGCAAATTCCGCAAAAAGAGTGTTTCAAATCTGCTCTGTCTAAAGGGACGTTCCACTCTGTGAGTTGAATGCACACAACACAAAGAATTTACTGAGAATTCTTCCGTCTAGCATTCAATGAAGAAATCCCGTTTCCAACGAAGGCCTCAAACAGGTCCATATATCCAATTGCAGACTTTACAAACAGTGTGTTTCCAAACTCCACTATGAAAAGAAAGATTAAACTCTGAGAGTTGAACGCACACATCACAAAGCACTTTCTGAGAATGATTCTGTCTGGTTGTTATACGAAGATATTTCCTTTTCTGCAATTGTCCTCAAATCGCTTGAAATCTCCACCTGAAAATGCCACAGCAAGAGTTTTTCAAATCTGCTCTCTCTAAAGCAAGGTTCAACTCTGTGAGTTGAATACACACAACACAAAAAAGTTACTGAGAACTCTTCTTAGTCTAGCATGAAAGGAAGAAACCCCGTTTGCAACGAAGGCCTCAAAGAGGTCCAAATATCCACTTGCAGACATAACAAGCAGAGTGTTTCTAAACTGCTCTAAGAAAAGAAAGGTTAAACTCTGTGAGTTGAAGGCACACATCACAAAGTAGTTTCTGAGAATGATTCTGTCTAGTTTTTATTTGAAGATATTTCCTTTTCTACTGTTGGCATCAAATCGCTTGAAATCTCCACTTGCAAACTCCACAAAAAGAGTGTTTCAAATCTGCTCTGTGCAAAGGGACGTTCCACTCTGTGAGTTGAATACACACAGCACAAAGAAGTTACTGAGAATTCTTCTGTCTAGCATGAAATGAAGAAATCCCGTTTCCAACGAAGGCCTCAATGCGGTCCATATATCCACTTGCAGACTTTACAAACAGAGTGTTTCCAAACTGCTCTATGAAAAGAAAGGTTAAACTATGTGAGTTGAACGCACACATCACAAAGAATTTTCTGAGAATGATTCTGTCTGGTTTTTATTTGAAGATATTTCCCTTTCTACTGTTGGCATCAAATGGCTAGAAATCTCCACTTGCAAATTCCGCAAAAAGAGTGTTTCAAATCTGCTCTGTCTAAAGGGACGTTCCACTCTGTGAGTTGAATGCACACAACACAAAGAATTTACTGAGAATTCTTCCGTCTAGCATTCAATGAAGAAATCCCGTTTCCAACGAAGGCCTCAAACAGGTCCATATATCCACATGCAGACTTTACAAACAGTGTGTTTCCAAACTCCTCTATGAAAAGAAAGGTTAAACTCTGTGAGTGGAACGCACACATCACAAAGCACTTTCTGAGAATGATTCTGTCTGGTTGTTATACGAAGATATTTCCTTTTCTGCAATTGTCCTCAAATCGCTTGAAATCTCCACCTGAAAATGCCACAGCAAGAGTGTTTCAAATCTGCTCTCTCTAAAGCAAGGTTCAACTCTGTGAGTTGAATACACACAACACAAAAAAGTTACTGAGAACTCTTCTTAGTCTAGCATTAAAGGAAGAAACCCCGTTTGCAACGAAGGCCTCAAAGAGGTCCAAATATCCACTTGCAGACATAACAAGCAGAGTGTTTCTAAACTGCTCTAAGAAAAGAAAGGTTAAACTCTGTGAGTTGAAGGCACACATCACAAAGTAGTTTCTGAGAATGATTCTGTCTAGTTTTTATTTGAAGATATTTCCTTTTCTACTGTTGGCATCAAATCGCTTGAAATCTCCACTTGCAAACTCCACAAAAAGAGTGTTTCAAATCTGCTCTGTGTAAAGGGACGTTCCACTCTGTGAGTTGAATACACACAGCACAAAGAAGTTACTGAGAATTCTTCTGTCTAGCATGAAATGAAGAAATCCCGTTTCCAACGAAGGCCTCAATGCGGTCCATATATCCACTTGCAGACTTTACAAACAGAGTGTTTCCAAACTGCTCTATGAAAAGAAAGGTTAAACTATGTGAGTTGAACGCACACATCACAAAGAATTTTCTGAGAATGATTCTGTCTGGTTTTTATTTGAAGATATTTCCCTTTCTACTGTTGGCATCAAATGGCTAGAAATCTCCACTTGCAAATTCCGCAAAAAGAGTGTTTCAAATCTGCTCTGTCTAAAGGGACGTTCCACTCTGTGAGTTGAATGCACACAACACAAAGAATTTACTGAGAATTCTTCCGCCTAGCATTCAATGAAGAAATCCCGTTTCCAACGAAGGCCTCAAAGCGGTCCATATATCCACTTGCAGACTTTACAAACAGTGTGTTTCCAAACTCCTCTATGAAAAGAAAGGTTAAACTCTGTGAGTGGAACGCACACATCACAAAGCACTTTCTGAGAATGATTCTGTCTGGTTATTATACGAAGATATTTCCTTTTCTGCAATTGTCCTCAAATCGCTTGAAATCTCCACCTGAAAATGCCACAGCAAGAGTGTTTCAAATCTGCTCTCTCTAAAGCAAGGTTCAACTCTGTGAGTTGAATACACACAACACAAAAAAGTTACTGAGAACTCTTCTTAGTCTAGCATTAAAGGAAGAAACCCCGTTTGCAACGAAGGCCTCAAAGAGGTCCAAATATCCACTTGCAGACATAACAACCAGAGTGTTTCTAAACTGCTCTAAGAAAAGAAAGGTTAAACTCTGTGAGTTGAAGGCACACATCACAAAGTAGTTTCTGAGAATGATTCTGTCTAGTTTTTATTTGAAGATATTTCCTTTTCTACTGTTGGCATCAAATCGCTTGAAATCTCCACTTGCAAACTCCACAAAAAGAGTGTTTCAAATCTGCTCTGTGTAAAGGGACGTTCCACTCTGTGAGTTGAATACACACAGCACAAAGAAGTTACTGAGAATTCTTCTGTCTAGCATGAAATGAAGAAATCCCGTTTCCAACGAAGGCCTCAATGCGGTCCATATATCCACTTGCAGACTTTACAAACAGAGTGTTTCCAAACTGCTCTATGAAAAGAAAGGTTAAACTATGTGAGTTGAACGCACACATCACAAAGAATTTTCTGAGAATGATTCTGTCTGGTTTTTATTTGAAGATATTTCCCTTTCTACTGTTGGCATCAAATGGCTAGAAATCTCCACTTGCAAATTCCGCAAAAAGAGTGTTTCAAATCTGCTCTGTCTAAAGGGACGTTCCACTCTGTGAGTTGAATGCACACAACACAAAGAATTTACTGAGAATTCTTCCGTCTAGCATTCAATGAAGAAATCCCGTTTCCAACGAAGGCCTCAAACAGGTCCATATATCCAATTGCAGACTTTACAAACAGTGTGTTTCCAAACTCCTCTATGAAAAGAAAGGTTAAACTCTGTGAGTTGAACGCACACAACACAAAGCACTTTCTGAGAATGATTCTGTCTGGTTGTTATACGAAGATATTTCCTTTTCTGCAATTGTCCTCAAATCGCTTGAAATCTCCACCTGAAAATGCCACAGCAAGAGTGTTTCAAATCTGCTCTCTCTAAAGCAAGGTTCAACTCTGTGAGTTGAATACACACAACACAAAAAAGTTACTGAGAACTCTTCTTAGTCTAGCATGAAAGGAAGAAACCCCGTTTGCAACGAAGGCCTCAAAGAGGTCCAAATATCCACTTGCAGACATAACAAGCAGAGTGTTTCTAAACTGCTCTAAGAAAAGAAAGGTTAAACTCTGTGAGTTGAAGGCACACATCACAAAGTAGTTTCTGAGAATGATTCTGTCTAGTTTTTATTTGAAGATATTTCCTTTTCTACTGTTGGCATCAAATCGCTTGAAATCTCCACTTGCAAATTCCACAAAAAGAGTGTTTCAAATCTGCTCTGTGCAAAGGGACGTTCCACTCTGTGAGTTGAATACACACAGCACAAAGAAGTTACTGAGAATTCTTCTGTCTAGCATGAAATGAAGAAATCCCGTTTCCAACGAAGGCCTCAATGCGGTCCATATATCCACTTGCAGACTTTACAAACAGAGTGTTTCCAAACTGCTCTATGAAAAGAAAGGTTAAACTATGTGAGTTGAACGCACACATCACAAAGAATTTTCTGAGAATGATTCTGTCTGGTTTTTATTTGAAGATATTTCCCTTTCTACTGTTGGCATCAAATGGCTAGAAATCTCCACTTGCAAATTCCGCAAAAAGAGTGTTTCAAATCTGCTCTGTCTAAAGGGACGTTCCACTCTGTGAGTTGAATGCACACAACACAAAGAATTTACTGAGAATTCTTCCGTCTAGCATTCAATGAAGAAATCCCGTTTCCAACGAAGACCTCAAACAGGTCCATATATCCAATTGCAGACTTTACAAACAGTGTGTTTCCAAACTCCTCTATGAAAAGAAAGGTTAAACTCTGTGAGTTGAACGCACACATCACAAAGCACTTTCTGAGAATGATTCTGTCTGGTTATTATACGAAGATATTTCCTTTTCTGCAATTGTCCTCAAATCGCTTGAAATCTCCACCTGAAAATGCCACAGCAAGAGTGTTTCAAATCTGCTCTCTCTAAAGCAAGGTTCAACTCTGTGAGTTGAATACACACAACACAAAAAAGTTACTGAGAACTCTTCTTAGTCTAGCATGAAAGGAAGAAACCCCGTTTGCAACGAAGGCCTCAAAGAGGTCCAAATATCCACTTGCAGACATAACAAGCAGAGTGTTTCTAAACTGCTCTAAGAAAAGAAAGGTTAAACTCTGTGAGTTGAAGGCACACATCACAAAGTAGTTTCTGAGAATGATTCTGTCTAGTTTTTATTTGAAGATATTTCCTTTTCTACTGTTGGCATCAAATCGCTTGAAATCTCCACTTGCAAACTCCACAAAAAGAGTGTTTCAAATCTGCTCTGTGCAAAGGGACGGTTCCACTCTGTGAGTTGAATACACACAGCACAAAGAAGTTACTGAGAATTCTTCTGTCTAGCATGAAATGAAGAAATCCCGTTTCCAACGAAGGCCTCAATGCGGTCCATATATCCACTTGCAGACTTTACAAACAGAGTGTTTCCAAACTGCTCTATGAAAAGAAAGGTTAAACTATGTGAGTTGAACGCACACATCACAAAGAATTTTCTGAGAATGATTCTGTCTGGTTTTTATTTGAAGATATTTCCCTTTCTACTGTTGGCATCAAATGGCTAGAAATCTCCACTTGCAAATTCCGCAAAAAGAGTGTTTCAAATCTGCTCTGTCTAAAGGGACAGTTCCACTCTGTCAGTTGAATGCACACAACACAAAGAATTTACTGAGAATTCTTCCGTCTAGCATTCAATGAAGAAATCCCGTTTCCAACGAAGGCCTCAAACAGGTCCATATATCCAATTGCAGACTTTACAAACAGTGTGTTTCCAAACTCCTCTATGAAAAGAAAGGTTAAACTCTGTGAGTTGAACGCACACATCACAAAGCACTTTCTGAGAATGATTCTGTCTGGTTATTATACGAAGATATTTCCTTTTCTGCAATTGTCCTCAAATCGCTTGAAATCTCCACCTGAAAATGCCACAGCAAGAGTGTTTCAAATCTGCTCTCTCTAAAGCAAGGTTCAACTCTGTGAGTTGAATACACACAACACAAAAAAGTTACTGAGAACTCTTCTTAGTCTAGCATTAAAGGAAGAAACCCCGTTTGCAACGAAGGCCTCAAAGAGGTCCAAATATCCACTTGCAGACATAACAAGCAGAGTGTTTCTAAACTGCTCTAAGAAAAGAAAGGTTAAACTCTGTGAGTTGAAGGCACACATCACAAAGTAGTTTCTGAGAATGATTCTGTCTAGTTTTTATTTGAAGATATTTCCTTTTCTACTGTTGGCATCAAATCGCTTGAAATCTCCACTTGCAAATTCCACAAAAAGAGTGTTTCAAATCTGCTCTGTGCAAAGGGACGTTCCACTCTGTGAGTTGAATACACACAGCACAAAGAAGTTACTGAGAATTCTTCTGTCTAGCATGAAATGAAGAAATCCCGTTTCCAACGAAGGCCTCAATGCGGTCCATATATCCACTTGCAGACTTTACAAACAGAGTGTTTCCAAACTGCTCTATGAAAAGAAAGGTTAAACTATGTGAGTTGAACGCAGACATCACAAAGAATTTTCTGAGAATGATTCTGTCTGGTTTTTATTTGAAGATGTTTCCCTTTCTACTGTTGGCATCAAATGGCTAGAAATCTCCACTTGCAAATTCCGCAAAAAGAGTGTTTCAAATCTGCTCTGTCTAAAGGGACGTTCCACTCTGTGAGTTGAATGCACACAACACAAAGAATTTACTGAGAATTCTTCCGTCTAGCATTCAATGAAGAAATCCCGTTTCCAACGAAGGCCTCAAACAGGTCCATATATCCACTTGCAGACTTTACAAACAGTGTGTTTCCAAACTCCTCTATGAAAAGAAAGGTTAAACTCTGTGAGTTGAACGCACACATCACAAAGCACTTTCTGAGAATGATTCTGTCTGGTTATTATACGAAGATATTTCCTTTTCTGCAATTGTCCTCAAATCGCTTGAAATCTCCACCTGAAAATGCCACAGCAAGAGTGTTTCAAATCTGCTCTCTCTAAAGCAAGGTTCACCTCTGTGAGTTGAATACACACAACACAAAAAAGTTACTGAGAACTCTTCTTAGTCTAGCATGAAAGGAAGAAACCCCGTTTGCAACGAAGGCCTCAAAGAGGTCCAAATATCCACTTGCAGACATAACAAGCAGAGTGTTTCTAAAGTGCTCTAAGAAAAGAAAGGTTAAACTCTGTGAGTTGAAGGCACACATCACAAAGTAGTTTCTGAGAATGATTCTGTCTAGTTTTTATTTGAAGATATTTCCTTTTCTACTGTTGGCATCAAATCGCTTGAAATCTCCACTTGCAAATTCCACAAAAAGAGTGTTTCAAATCTGCTCTGTGCAAAGGGACGTTCCACTCTGTGAGTTGAATACACACAGCACAAAGAAGTTACTGAGAATTCTTCTGTCTAGCATGAAATGAAGAAATCCCGTTTCCAACGAAGGCCTCAATGCGGTCCATATATCCACTTGCAGACTTTACAAACAGAGTGTTTCCAAACTGCTCTATGAAAAGAAAGGTTAAACTATGTGAGTTGAACGCACACATCACAAAGAATTTTCTGAGAATGATTCTGTCTGGTTTTTATTTGAAGATATTTCCCTTTCTACTGTTGGCATCAAATGGCTAGAAATCTCCACTTGCAAATTCCGCAAAAAGAGTGTTTCAAATCTGCTCTGTCTAAAGGGACGTTCCACTCTGTGAGTTGAATGCACACAACACAAAGAATTTACTGAGAATTCTTCCGTCTAGCATGCAATGAAGAAATCCCGTTTCCAACGAAGGCCTCAAACAGGTCCATATATCCAATTGCAGACTTTACAAACAGTGTGTTTCCAAACTCCTCTATGAAAAGAAAGGTTAAACTCTGTGAGTTGAACGCACACATCACAAAGCACTTTCTGAGAATGATTCTGTCTGGTTGTTATACGAAGATATTTCCTTTTCTGCAATTGTCCTCAAATCGCTTGAAATCTCCACCTGAAAATGCCACAGCAAGAGTGTTTCAAATCTGCTCTCTCTAAAGCAAGGTTCAGCTCTGTGAGTTGAATACACACAACACAAAAAAGTTACTGAGAACTCTTCTTAGTCTAGCATTAAAGGAAGAAACCCCGTTTGCAACGAAGGCCTCAAAGAGGTCCAAATATCCACTTGCAGACATAACAAGCAGAGTGTTTCTAAACTGCTCTAAGAAAAGAAAGGTTAAACTCTGTGAGTTGAAGGCACACATCACAAAGTAGTTTCTGAGAATGATTCTGTCTAGTTTTTATTTGAAGATATTTCCTTTTCTACTGTTGGCATCAAATCGCTTGAAATCTCCACTTGCAAACTCCACAAAAAGAGTGTTTCAAATCTGCTCTGTGCAAAGGGACGTTCCACTCTGTGAGTTGAATACACACAGCACAAAGAAGTTACTGAGAATTCTTCTGTCTAGCATGAAATGAAGAAATCCCGTTTCCAACGAAGGCCTCAATGCGGTCCATATATCCACTTGCAGACTTTACAAACAGAGTGTTTCCAAACTGCTCTATGAAAAGAAAGGTTAAACTATGTGAGCTGAACGCACACATCACAAAGAATTTTCTGAGAATGATTCTGTCTGGTTTTTATTTGAAGATATTTCCCTTTCTACTGTTGGCATCAAATGGCTAGAAATCTCCACTTGCAAATTCCGCAAAAAGAGTGTTTCAAATCTGCTCTGTCTAAAGGGACGTTCCACTCTGTGAGTTGAATGCACACAACACAAAGAATTTACTGAGAATTCTTCCGTCTAGCATTCAATGAAGAAATCCCGTTTCCAACGAAGGCCTCAAACAGGTCCATATATCCACTTGCAGACTTTACGAACAGTGTGTTTCCAAACTCCTCTATGAAAAGAAAGGTTAAACTCTGTGAGTGGAACGCACACATCACAAAGCACTTTCTGAGAATGATTCTGTCTGGTTATTATACGAAGATATTTCCTTTTCTGCAATTGTCCTCAAATCGCTTGAAATCTCCACCTGAAAATGCCACAGCAAGAGTGTTTCAAATCTGCTCTCTCTAAAGCAAGGTTCAACTCTGTGAGTTGAATACACACAACACAAAAAAGTTACTGAGAACTCTTCTTAGTCTAGCATGAAAGGAAGAAACCCCGTTTGCAACGAAGGCCTCAAAGAGGTCCAAATATCCACTTGCAGACATAACAAGCAGAGTGTTTCTAAACTGCTCTAAGAAAAGAAAGGTTAAACTATGTGAGTTGAACGCACACATCACAAAGAATTTTCTGAGAATGATTCTGTCTGGTTTTTATTTGAAGATATTTCCCTTTCTACTGTTGGCATCAAATGGCTAGAAATCTCCACTTGCAAATTCCGCAAAAAGAGTGTTTCAAATCTGCTCTGTGTAAAGGGACGTTCCACTCTGTGAGTTGAATGCACACAACACAAAGAATTTACTGAGAATTCTTCCGTCTAGCATTCAATGAAGAAATCCCGTTTCCAACGAAGGCCTCAAACAGGTCCATATATCCAATTGCAGACTTTACAAACAGTGTGTTTCCAAACTCCTCAATGAAAAGAAAGGTTAAACTCTGTGAGTTGAATGCACACATCACAAAGCACTTTCTGAGAATGATTCTGTCTGGTTGTTATACGAAGATATTTCCTTTTCTGCAATTGTCCTCAAATCGCTTGAAATCTCCACCTGAAAATGCCACAGCAAGAGTGTTTCAAATCTGCTCTCTCTAAAGCAAGGTTCAACTCTGTGAGTTGAATACACACAACACAAAAAAGTTACTGAGAACTCTTCTTAGTCTAGCATGAAAGGAAGAAACCCCGTTTGCAACGAAGGCCTCAAAGAGGTCCAAATATCCACTTGCAGACATAACAAGCAGAGTGTTTCTAAACTGCTCTAAGAAAAGAAAGGTTAAACTCTGTGAGTTGAAGGCACACATCACAAAGTAGTTTCTGAGAATGATTCTGTCTAGTTTTTATTTGAAGATATTTCCTTTTCTACTGTTGGCATCAAATCAGCTTGAAATCTCCACTTGCAAATTCCACAAAAAGAGTGTTTCAAATCTGCTCTGTGTAAAGGAACGTTCCACTCTGTGAGTTGAATACACACAGCACAAAGAAGTTACTGAGAATTCTTCTGTCTAGCATGAAATGAAGAAATCCCGTTTCCAACGAAGGCCTCAATGCGGTCCATATATCCACTTGCAGACTTTACAAACAGAGTGTTTCCAAACTGCTCTATGTAAAGAAAGGTTAAACTATGTGAGTTGAACGCACACATCACAAAGAATTTTCTGAGAATGATTCTGTCTGGTTTTTATTTGAAGATATTTCCCTTTCTACTGTTGGCATCAAATGGCTAGAAATCTCCACTTGCAAATTCCGCAAAAAGAGTGTTTCAAATCTGCTCTGTCTAAAGGGACGTTCCACTCTGTGAGTTGAATGCACACAACACAAAGAATTTACTGAGAATTCTTCCGTCTAGCATTCAATGAAGAAATCCCGTTTCCAACGAAGGCCTCAAACAGGTCCATATATCCACTTGCAGACTTTACAAACAGTGTGTTTCCAAACTCCTCTATGAAAAGAAAGGTTAAACTCTGTGAGTTGAACGCACACATCACAAAGCACTTTCTGAGAATGATTCTGTCTGGTTATTATACGAAGATATTTCCTTTTCTGCAATTGTCCTCAAATCGCTTGAAATCTCCACCTGAAAATGCCACAGCAAGAGTGTTTCAAATCTGCTCTCTCTAAAGCAAGGTTCAACTCTGTGAGTTGAATACACACAACACAAAAAAGTTACTGAGAACTCTTCTTAGTCTAGCATGAAAGGAAGAAACCCCGTTTGCAACGAAGGCCTCAAAGAGGTCCAAATATCCACTTGCAGACATAACAAGCAGAGTGTTTCTAAACTGCTCTAAGAAAAGAAAGGTTAAACTCTGTGAGTTGAAGGCACACATCACAAAGTAGTTTCTGAGAATGATTCTGTCTAGTTTTTATTTGAAGATATTTCCTTTTCTACTGTTGGCATCAAATCGCTTGAAATCTCCAATTGCAAACTCCACAAAAAGAGTGTTTCAAATCTGCTCTGTGCAAAGGGACGTTCCACTCTGTGAGTTGAATACACACAGCACAAAGAAGTCACTGAGAATTCTTCTGTCTAGCATGAAATGAAGAAATCCCGTTTCCAACGAAGGCCTCAATGCGGTCCATATATCCACTTGCAGACTTTACAAACAGAGTGTTTCCAAACTGCTCTATGAAAAGAAAGGTTAAACTATGTGAGTTGAACGCACACATCACAAAGAATTTTCTGAGAATGATTCTGTCTGGTTTTTATTTGAAGATATTTCCCTTTCTACTGTTGGCATCAAATGGCTAGAAATCTCCACTTGCAAATTCCGCAAAAAGAGTGTTTCAAATCTGCTCTGTCTAAAGGGACGTTCCACTCTGTGAGTTGAATGCACACCACACAAAGAATTTACTGAGAATTCTTCCGTCTAGCATTCAATGAAGAAATCCCGTTTCCAACCAAGGCCTCAAACAGGTCCATATATCCAATTGCAGACTTTACAAACAGTGTGTTTCCAAACTCCTCTATGAAAAGAAAGGTTAAACTCTGTGAGTTGAACGCACACATCACAAAGCACTTTCCTGAGAATGATTCTGTCTGGTTGTTATACGAAGATATTTCCTTTTCTGCAATTGTCCTCAAATCGCTTGAAATCTCCACCTGAAAATGCCACAGCAAGAGTGTTTCAAATCTGCTCTCTCTAAAGCAGGGTTCAACTCTGTGAGTTGAATACACACAACACAAAAATGTTACTGAGAACTCTTCTTAGTCTAGCATGAAAGGAAGAAACCCCGTTTGCAACGAAGGCCTCAAAGAGGTCCAAATATCCACTTGCAGACATAACAAGCAGAGTGTTTCTAAACTGCTCTAAGAAAAGAAAGGTTAAACTCTGTGAGTTGAAGGCACACATCACAAAGTACTTTCTGAGAATGGTTCTGTCTAGTTTTTATTTGAAGATATTTCCTTTTCTACTGTTGGCATCAAATCGCTTGAAATCTCCACTTGCAAATTCCACAAAAAGAGTGTTTCAAATCTGCTCTGTGCAAACGGACGTTCCAGTCTGTGAGTTGAATACACACAGCACAGAGAAGTTACTGAGAATTCTTCTGTCTAGCATGAAATGAAGAAATCCCGTTTCCAACGAAGGCCTCAATGCGGTCCATATATCCACTTGCAGACTTTACAAACAGAGTGTTTCCAAACTGCTCTATGAAAAGAAAGGTTAAACTATGTGAGTTGAACGCACACATCACAAAGAATTTTCTGAGAATGATTCTGTCTGGTTTTTATTTGAAGATATTTCCCTTTCTACTGTTGGCATCAAATGGCTAGAAATCTCCACTTGCAAATTCCGCAAAAAGAGTGTTTCAAATCTGCTCTGTCTAAAGGGACGTTCCACTCTGTGAGTTGAATGCACACAACACAAAGAATTTACTGAGAATTCTTCCGTATAGCATTCAATGAAGAAATCCCGTTTCCAACGAAGGCCTCAAACAGGTCCATATATCCACTTGCAGACTTTACAAACAGTGTGTTTCCAAACTCCTCTATGAAAAGAAAGGTTAAACTCTGTGAGTTGAACGCACACATCACAAAGCACTTTCTGAGAATGATTCTGTCTGGTTATTATACGAAGATATTTCCTTTTCTGCAATTGTCCTCAAATCGCTTGAAATCTCCACCTGAAAATGCCACAGCAAGAGTGTTTCAAATCTGCTCTCTCTAAAGCAAGGTTCAACTCTGTGAGTTGAATACACACAACACAAAAAAGTTACTGAGAACTCTTCTTAGTCTAGCATTAAAGGAAGAAACCCCGTTTGCAACGAAGGCCTCAAAGAGGTCCAAATATCCACTTGCAGACATAACAAGCAGAGTGTTTCTAAGCTGCTCTAAGAAAAGAAAGGTTAAACTCTGTGAGTTGAAGGCACACATCACAAAGTAGTTTCTGAGAATGATTCTGTCTAGTTTTTATTTGAAGATATTTCCTTTTCTACTGTTGGCATAAAATCGCTTGAAATCTCCACTTGCAAACTCCACAAAAAGAGTGTTTCAAATCTGCTCTGTGTAAAGGGACGTTCCACTCTGTGAGTTGAATACACACAGCACAAAGAAGTTACTGAGAATTCTTCTGTCTAGCATGAAATGAAGAAATCCCGTTTCCAACGAAGGCCTCAATGCGGTCCATATATCCACTTGCAGACTTTACAAACAGAGTGTTTCCAAACTGCTCTATGAAAAGAAAGGTTAAACTATGTGAGTTGAACGCACACATCACAAAGAATTTTCTGAGAATGATTCTGTCTGGTTTTTATTTGAAGATATTTCCCTTTCTACTGTTGGCATCAAATGGCTAGAAATCTCCACTTGCAAATTCCGCAAAAAGAGTGTTTCAAATCTGCTCTGTCTAAAGGGACGTTCCACTCTGTGAGTTGAATGCACACAACACAAAGAATTTACTGAGAATTCTTCCGTCTAGCATTCAATGAAGAAATCCCGTTTCCAACGAAGGCCTCAAACAGGTCCATATATCCAATTGCAGACTTTACAAACAGTGTGTTTCCAAACTCCTCTATGAAAAGAAAGGTTAAACTCTGTGAGTTGAACGCACACATCACAAAGCACTTTCTGAGAATGATTCTGTCTGGTTATTATACGAAGATATTTCCTTTTCTGCAATTGTCCTCAAAACGCTTGAAATCTCCACCTGAAAATGCCACAGCAAGAGTGTTTCAAATCTGCTCTCTCTAAAGCAAGGTTCAACTCTGTGAGTTGAATACACACAACACAAAAAAGTTACTGAGAACTCTTCTTAGTCTAGCATGAAAGGAAGAAACCCCGTTTGCAACGAAGGCCTCAAAGAGGTCCAAATATCCACTTGCAGACATAACAAGCAGAGTGTTTCTAAAGTGCTCTAAGAAAAGAAAGGTTAAACTCTGTGAGTTGAAGGCACACATCACAAAGTAGTTTCTGAGAATGATTCTGTCTAGTTTTTATTTGAAGATATTTCCTTTTCTACTGTTGGCATCAAATCGCTTGAAATCTCCACTTGCAAACTCCACAAAAAGAGTGTTTCAAATCTGCTCTGTGTAAAGGGACGTTCCACTCTGTGAGTTGAATACACACAGCACAAAGAAGTTACTGAGAATTCTTCTGTCTAGCATGAAATGAAGAAATCCCGTTTCCAACGAAGGCCTCAATGCGGTCCATATATCCACTTGCAGACTTTACAAACAGAGTGTTTCCAAACTGCTCTATGAAAAGAAAGGTTAAACTATGTGAGTTGAACGCACACATCACAAAGAATTTTCTGAGAATGATTCTGTCTGGTTTTTATTTGAAGATATTTCCCTTTCTACTGTTGGCATCAAATGGCTAGAAATCTCCACTTGCAAATTCCGCAAAAAGAGTGTTTCAAATCTGCTCTGTCTAAAGGGACGTTCCACTCTGTGAGTTGAATGCACACCACACAAAGAATTTACTGAGAATTCTTCCGTCTAGCATTCAATGAAGAAATCCCGTTTCCAACGAAGGCCTCAAACAGGTCCATATATCCAATTGCAGACTTTACAAACAGTGTGTTTCCAAACTCCTCTATGAAAAGAAAGGTTAAACTCTGTGAGTTGAACGCACACATCACAAAGCACTTTCTGAGAATGATTCTGTCTGGTTGTTATACGAAGATATTTCCTTTTCTGCAATTGTCCTCAAATCGCTTGAAATCTCCACCTGAAAATGCCACAGCAAGAGTGTTTCAAATCTGCTCTCTCTAAAGCAAGGTTCAACTCTGTGAGTTGAATACACACAACACAAAAAAGTTACTGAGAACTCTTCTTAGTCTAGCATGAAAGGAAGAAACCCCGTTTGCAACGAAGGCCTCAAAGAGGTCCAAATATCCACTTGCAGACATAACAAGCAGAGTGTTTCTAAACTGCTCTAAGAAAAGAAAGGTTAAACTCTGTGAGTTGAAGGCACACATCACAAAGTAGTTTCTGAGAATGATTCTGTCTAGTTTTTATTTGAAGATATTTCCTTTTCTACTGTTGGCATCAAATCGCTTGAAATCTCCACTTGCAAACTCCACAAAAAGAGTGTTTCAAATCTGCTCTGTTCAAAGGGACGTTCCACTCTGTGAGTTGAGTACACACAGCACAAAGAAGTTACTGAGAATTCTTCTGTCTAGCATGAAATGAAGAAATCCCGTTTCCAACGAAGGCCTCAATGCGGTCCATATATCCACTTGCAGACTTTACAAACAGAGTGTTTCCAAACTGCTCTATGAAAAGAAAGGTTAAACTATGTGAGTTGAACGCACACATCACAAAGAATTTTCTGAGAATGATTCTGTCTGGTTTTTATTTGAAGATATTTCCCTTTCTACTGTTGGCATCAAATGGCTAGAAATCTCCACTTGCAAATTCCGCAAAAAGGGTGTTTCAAATCTGCTCTGTCTAAAGGGACGTTCCACTCTGTCAGTTGAATGCACACAACACAAAGAATTTACTGAGAATTCTTCCGTCTAGCATTCAATGAAGAAATCCCGTTTCCAACGAAGGCCTCAAACAGGTCCATATATCCACTTGCAGACTTTACAAACAGTGTGTTTCCAAACTCCTCTATGAAAAGAAAGGTTAAACTCTGTGAGTGGAACGCACACATCACAAAGCACTTTCTGAGAATGATTCTGTCTGGTTATTATACGAAGATATTTCCTTTTCTGCAATTGTCCTCAAAACGCTTGAAATCTCCACCTGAAAATGCCACAGCAAGAGTGTTTCAAATCTGCTCTCTCTAAAGCAAGGTTCAACTCTGTGAGTTGAATACACACAACACAAAAAAGTTACTGAGAACTCTTCTTAGTCTAGCATGAAAGGAAGAAACCCCGTTTGCAACGAAGGCCTCAAAGAGGTCCAAATATCCACTTGCAGACATAACAAGCAGAGTGTTTCTAAACTGCTCTAAGAAAAGAAAGGTTAAACTCTGTGAGTTGAAGGCACACATCACAAAGTAGTTTCTGAGAATGATTCTGTCTAGTTTTTATTTGAAGATATTTCCTTTTCTACTGTTGGCATCAAATCGCTTGAAATCTCCACTTGCAAACTCCACAAAAAGAGTGTTTCAAATCTGCTCTGTGTAAAGGGACGTTCCACTCTGTGAGTTGAATACACACAGCACAAAGAAGTTACTGAGAATTCTTCTGTCTAGCATGAAATGAAGAAATCCCGTTTCCAACGAAGGCCTCAATGCGGTCCATATATCCACTTGCAGACTTTACAAACAGAGTGTTTCCAAACTGCTCTATGAAAAGAAAGGTTAAACTATGTGAGTTGAACGCACACATCACAAAGAATTTTCTGAGAATGATTCTGTCTGGTTTTTATTTGAAGATATTTCCCTTTCTACTGTTGGCATCAAATGGCTAGAAATCTCCACTTGCAAATTCCGCAAAAAGAGTGTTTCAAATCTGCTCTGTCTAAAGGGACGTTCCACTCTGTGAGTTGAATGCACACAACACAAAGAATTTACTGAGAATTCTTCCGTCTAGCATTCAATGAAGAAATCCCGTTTCCAACGAAGGCCTCAAACAGGTCCATATATCCACTTGCAGACTTTACAAACAGTGTGTTTCCAAACTCCTCTATGAAAAGAAAGGTTAAACTCTGTGAGTTGAACGCACACATCACAAAGCACTTTCTGAGAATGATTCTGTCTGGTTATTATACGAAGATATTTCCTTTTCTGCAATTGTCCTCAAATCGCTTGAAATCTCCACCTGAAAATGCCACAGCAAGAGTGTTTCAAATCTGCTCTCTCTAAAGCAAGGTTCAACTCTGTGAGTTGAATACACACAACACAAAAAAGTTACTGAGAACTCTTCTTAGTCTAGCATGAAAGGAAGAAACCCCGTTTGCAACGAAGGCCTCAAAGAGGTCCAAATATCCACTTGCAGACATAACAAGCAGAGTGTTTCTAAACTGCTCTAAGAAAAGAAAGGTTAAACTCTGTGAGTTGAAGGCACACATCACAAAGTAGTTTCTGAGAATGATTCTGTCTAGTTTTTATTTGAAGATATTTCCTTTTCTACTGTTGGCATCAATTCGCTTGAAATCTCCACTTGCAAACTCCACAAAAAGAGTGTTTCAAATCTGCTCTGTGTAAAGGGACGTTCCACTCTGTGAGTTGAATACACACAGCACAAAGAAGTTACTGAGAATTCTTCTGTCTAGCATGAAATGAAGAAATCCCGTTTCCAACGAAGGCCTCAATGCGGTCCATATATCCACTTGCAGACTTTACAAACAGAGTGTTTCCAAACTGCTCTATGAAAAGAAAGGTTAAACTATGTGAGTTGAACGCACACATCACAAAGAATTTTCTGAGAATGATTCTGTCTGGTTTTTATTTGAAGATATTTCCCTTTCTACTGTTGGCATCAAATGGCTAGAAATCTCCACTTGCAAATTCCGCAAAAAGAGTGTTTCAAATCTGCTCTGTCTAAAGGGACGTTCCACTCTGTGAGTTGAATGCACACAACACAAAGAATTTACTGAGAATTCTTCCGTCTAGCATTCAATGAAGAAATCCCGTTTCCAACGAAGGCCTCAAACAGGTCCATATATCCAATTGCAGACTTTACAAACAGTGTGTTTCCAAACTCCTCTATGAAAAGAAAGGTTAAACTCTGTGAGTTGAACGCACACATCACAAAGCACTTTCTGAGAATGATTCTGTCTGGTTATTATACGAAGATACTTCCTTTTCTGCAGTTGTCCTCAAATCGCTTGAAATCTCCACCTGAAAATGCCACAGCAAGAGTGTTTCAAATCTGCTCTCTCTAAAGCAAGGTTCAACTCTGTGAGTTGAATACACACAACACAAAAAAGTTACTGAGAACTCTTCTTAGTCTAGCATGAAAGGAAGAAACCCCGTTTGCAACGAAGGCCTCAAAGAGGTCCAAATATCCACTTGCAGACATAACAAGCAGAGTGTTTCTAAACTGCTCTAAGAAAAGAAAGGTTAAACTCTGTGAGTTGAAGGCACACATCACAAAGTAGTTTCTGAGAATGATTCTGTCTAGTTTTTATTTGAAGATATTTCCTTTTCTACTGTTGGCATCAAATCGCTTGAAATCTCCACTTGCAAATTCCACAAAAAGAGTGTTTCAAATCTGCTCTGTGCAAAGGGACGTTCCACTCTGTGAGTTGAATACACACAGCACAAAGAAGTTACTGAGAATTCTTCTGTCTAGCATGAAATGAAGAAATCCCGTTTCCAACGAAGGCCTCAATGCGGTCCATATATCCACTTGCAGACTTTACAAACAGAGTGTTTCCAAACTGCTCTATGAAAAGAAAGGTTAAACTATGTGAGTTGAACGCACACATCACAAAGAATTTTCTGAGAATGATTCTGTCTGGTTTTTATTTGAAGATATTTCCCTTTCTACTGTTGGCATCAAATGGCTAGAAATCTCCACTTGCAAATTCCGCAAAAAGAGTGTTTCAAATCTGCTCTGTCTAAAGGGACGTTCCACTCTGTGAGTTGAATGCACACAACACAAAGAATTTACTGAGAATTCTTCCGTCTAGCATTCAATGAAGAAATCCCGTTTCCAACGAAGGCCTCAAACAGGTCCATGTATCCACCTGCAGACTTTACAAACAGTGTGTTTCCAAACTCCTCTATGAAAAGAAAGGTTAAACTCTGTGAGTTGAACGCACACATCACAAAGCACTTTCTGAGAATGATTCTGTCTGGTTATTATACGAAGATATTTCCTTTTCTGCAATTGTCCTCAAATCGCTTGAAATCTCCACCTGAAAATGCCACAGCAAGAGTGTTTCAAATCTGCTCTCTCTAAAGCAAGGTTCAACTCTGTGAGTTGAATACACACAACACAAAAAAGTTACTGAGAACACTTCTTAGTCTAGCATGAAAGGAAGAAACCCCGTTTGCAACGAAGGCCTCAAAGAGGTCCAAATATCCACTTGCAGACATAACAAGCAGAGTGTTTCTAAACTGCTCTAAGAAAAGAAAGGTTAAACTCTGTGAGTTGAAGGCACACATCACAAAGTAGTTTCTGAGAATGATTCTGTCTAGTTTTTATTTGAAGATATTTCCTTTTCAACTGTTGGCATCAAATCGCTTGAAATCTCCACTTGCAAACTCCACAAAAAGAGTGTTTCAAATCTGCTCTGTGCAAAGGGACGTTCCACTCTGTGAGTTGAATACACACAGCACAGAGAAGTTACTGAGAATTCTTCTGTCTAGCATGAAATGAAGAAATCCCGTTTCCAACGAAGGCCTCAATGCGGTCCATATATCCACTTGCAGACTTTACAAACAGAGTGTTTCCAAACTGCTCTATGAAAAGAAAGGTTAAACTATGTGAGTTGAACGCACACATCACAAAGAATTTTCTGAGAATGATTCTGTCTGGTTTTTATTTGAAGATATTTCCCTTTCTACTGTTGGCATCAAATGGCTAGAAATCTCCACTTGCAAATTCCGCAAAAAGAGTGTTTCAAATCTGCTCTGTCTAAAGGGACGTTCCACTCTGTGAGTTGAATGCACACAACACAAAGAATTTACTGAGAATTCTTCCGTCTAGCATTCAATGAAGAAATCCCGTTTCCAACGAAGGCCTCAAACACGTCCATATATCCACTTGCAGACTTTACAAACAGTGTGTTTCCAAACTCCTCTATGAAAAGAAAGGTTAAACTCTGTGAGTTGAACGCACACATCACAAAGCACTTTCTGAGAATGATTCTTTCTGGTTATTATACGAAGATATTTGCTTTTCTGCAATTGTCCTCAAATCGCTTGAAATCTCCACCTGAAAATGTCACAGCAAGAGTGTTTCAAATCTGCTCTCTCTAAAGCAAGGTTCAACTCTGTGAGTTGAATACACACAACACAAAAAAGTTACTGAGAACTCTTCTTAGTCTAGCATGAAAGGAAGAAACCCCGTTTGCAACGAAGGCCTCAAAGAGGTCCAAATATCCACTTGCAGACATAACAAGCAGAGTGTTTCTAAACTGCTCTAAGAAAAGAAAGGTTAAACTCTGTGAGTTGAAGGCACACATCACAAAGTAGTTTCTGAGAATGATTCCTGTCTAGTTTTTATTTGAAGATATTTCCTTTTCTACTGTTGGCATCAAATCGCTTGAAATCTCCAATTGCAAACTCCACAAAAAGAGTGTTTCAAATCTGCTCTGTGCAAAGGGACGTTCCACTCTGTGAGTTGAATACACACAGCACAAAGAAGTTACTGAGAATTCTTCTGTCTAGCATGAAATGAAGAAATCCCGTTTCCAACGAAGGCCTCAATGCGGTCCATATATCCACTTGCAGACTTTACAAACAGAGTGTTTCCAAACTGCTCTATGAAAAGAAAGGTTAAACTATGTGAGTTGAACGCACACATCACAAAGAATTTTCTGAGAATGATTCTGTCTGGTTTTTATTTGAAGATATTTCCCTTTCTACTGTTGGCATCAAATGGCTAGAAATCTCCACTTGCAAATTCCGCAAAAAGAGTGTTTCAAATCTGCTCTGTCTAAAGGGACGTTCCACTCTGTGAGTTGAATGCACACAACACAAAGAATTTACTGAGAATTCTTCCGTCTAGCATTCAATGAAGAAATCCCGTTTCCAACGAAGGCCTCAAACAGGTCCATATATCCACTTGCAGACTTTACAAACAGTGTGTTTCCAAACTCCTCTATGAAAAGAAAGGTTAAACTCTGTGAGTGGAACGCACACATCACAAAGCACTTTCTGAGAATGATTCTGTCTGGTTATTATACGAAGATATTTCCTTTTCTGCAATTGTCCTCAAATCGCTTGAAATCTCCACCTGAAAATGCCACAGCAAGAGTGTTTCAAATCTGCTCTCTCTAAAGCAAGGTTCAACTCTGTGAGTTGAATACACACAACACAAAAAAGTTACTGAGAACTCTTCTTAGTCTAGCATGAAAGGAAGAAACCCCGTTTGCAACGAAGGCCTCAAAGAGGTCCAAATATCCACTTGCAGACATAACAAGCAGAGTGTTTCTAAACTGCTCTAAGAAAAGAAAGGTTAAACTCTGTGAGTTGAAGGCACACATCACAAAGTAGTTTCTGAGAATGATTCTGTCTAGTTTTTATTTGAAGATATTTCCTTTTCTACTGTTGGCATCAAATCGCTTGAAATCTCCACTTGCAAACTCCACAAAAAGAGTGTTTCAAATCTGCTCTGTGTAAAGGGACGTTCCACTCTGTGAGTTGAATACACACAGCACAAAGAAGTTACTGAGAATTCTTCTGTCTAGCATGAAATGAAGAAATCCCGTTTCCAACGAAGGCCTCAATGCGGTCCATATATCCACTTGCAGACTTTACAAACAGAGTGTTTCCAAACTGCTCTATGAAAAGAAAGGTTAAACTATGTGAGTTGAACGCACACATCACAAAGAATTTTCTGAGAATGATTCTGTCTGGTTTTTATTTGAAGATATTTCCCTTTCTACTGTTGGCATCAAATGGCTAGAAATCTCCACTTGCAAATTCCGCAAAAAGAGTGTTTCAAATCTGCTCTGTCTAAAGGGACGTTCCACTCTGTGAGTTGAATGCACACAACACAAAGAATTTACTGAGAATTCTTCCGTCTAGCATTCAATGAAGAAATCCCGTTTCCAACGAAGGCCTCAAACAGGTCCATATATCCACTTGCAGAGTTTACAAACAGTGTGTTTCCAAACTCCTCTATGAAAAGAAAGGTTAAACTCTGTGAGTGGAACGCACACATCACAAAGCACTTTCTGAGAATGATTCTGTCTGGTTATTATACGAAGATATTCCCTTTTCTGCAATTTTCCTCAAATCGCTTGAAATCTCCACCTGAAAATGCCACAGCAAGAGTGTTTCAAATCTGCTCTCTCTAAAGCAAGGTTCAACTCTGTGATTTGAATACACACAGCACAAAGAAGTTACTGAGAATTCTTCTGTCTAGCATGAAATGAAGAAATCCCGTTTCCAACGAAGGGCCTCAATGCGGTCCATATATCCACTTGCAGACTTTACAAACAGAGTGTTTCCAAACTGCTCTATGAAAAGAAAGGTTAAACTATGTGAGTTGAACGCACACATCACAAAGAATTTTCTGAGAATGATTCTGTCTGGTTTTTATTTGAAGATATTTCCCTTTCTACTGTTGGCATCAAATGGCTAGAAATCTCCACTTGCAAATTCCGCAAAAAGAGTGTTTCAAATCTGCTCTGTCTAAAGGGACGTTCCACTCTGTGAGTTGAATGCACACAACACAAAGAATTTACTGAGAATTCTTCCGTCTAGCATTCAATGAAGAAATCCCGTTTCCAACGAAGGCCTCAAACAGGTCCATATATCCACTTGCAGACTTTACAAACAGTGTGTTTCCAAACTCCTCTATGAAAAGAAAGGTTAAACTCTGTGAGTTGAACGCACACATCACAAAGCACTTTCTGAGAATGATTCTTTCTGGTTATTATACGAAGATATTTCCTTTTCTGCAATTGTCCTCAAATCGCTTGAAATCTCCACCTGAAAATGTCACAGCAAGAGTGTTTCAAATCTGCTCTCTCTAAAGCAAGGTTCAACTCTGTGAGTTGAATACACACAACACAAAAAAGTTACTGAGAACTCTTCTTAGTCTAGCATGAAAGGAAGAAACCCCGTTTGCAACGAAGGCCTCAAAGAGGTCCAAATATCCACTTGCAGACATAACAAGCAGAGTGTTTCTAAACTGCTCTAAGAAAAGAAAGGTTAAACTCTGTGAGTTGAAGGCACACATCACAAAGTAGTTTCTGAGAATGATTCTGTCTAGTTTTTATTTGAAGATATTTCCTTTTCTACTGTTGGCATCAAATCGCTTGAAATCTCCACTTGCAAATTCCACAAAAAGAGTGTTTCAAATCTGCTCTGTGTAAAGGGACGTTCCACTCTGTGAGTTGAATACACACAGCACAAAGAAGTTACTGAGAATTCTTCTGTCTAGCATGAAATGAAGAAATCCCGTTTCCAACGAAGGCCTCAATGCGGTCTATATATCCACTTGCAGACTTTACAAACAGAGTGTTTCCAAACTGCTCTATGAAAAGAAAGGTTAAACTATGTGAGTTGAACGCACACATCACAAAGAATTTTCTGAGAATGATTCTGTCTGGTTTTTATTTGAAGATATTTCCCTTTCTACTGTTGGCATCAAATGGCTAGAAATCTCCACTTGCAAATTCCGCAAAAAGAGTGTTTCAAATCTGCTCTGTCTAAAGGGACGTTCCACTCTGTGAGTTGAATGCACACAACACAAAGAATTTACTGAGAATTCTTCCGCCTAGCATTCAATGAAGAAATCCCGTTTCCAACGAAGGCCTCAAACAGGTCCATATATCCAATTGCAGACTTTACAAACAGTGTGTTTCCAAACTCCTCTATGAAAAGAAAGGTTAAACTCTGTGAGTTGAACGCACACATCACAAAGCACTTTCTGAGAATGATTCTGTCTGGTTGTTATACGAAGATATTTCCTTTTCTGCAATTGTCCTCAAATCGCTTGAAATCTCCACCTGAAAATGCCACAGCAAGAGTGTTTCAAATCTGCTCTCTCTAAAGCAAGGTTCAACTCTGTGAGTTGAATACACACAACACAAAAAAGTTACTGAGAACTCTTCTTAGTCTAGCATGAAAGGAAGAAACCCCGTTTGCAACGAAGGCCTCAAAGAGGTCCAAATATCCAGTTGCAGACATAACAAGCAGAGTGTTTCTAAACTGCTCTAAGAAAAGAAAGGTTAAACTCTGTGAGTTGAAGGCACACATCACAAAGTAGTTTCTGAGAATGGTTCTGTCTAGTTTTTATTTGAAGATATTTCCTTTTCTACTGTTGGCATCAAATCGCTTGAAATCTCCACTTGCAAATTCCACAAAAAGAGTGTTTCAAATCTGCTCTGTGCAAACGGACGTTCCAGTCTGTGAGTTGAATACACACAGCACAGAGAAGTTACTGAGAATTCTTCTGTCTAGCACGAAATGAAGAAATCCCGTTTCCAACGAAGGCCTCAATGCGGTCTATATATCCACTTGCAGACTTTACAAACAGAGTGTTTCCAAACTGCTCTATGAAAAGAAAGGTTAAACTATGTGAGTTGAACGCACACATCACTAAGAATTTTCTGAGAATGATTCTGTCTGGTTTTTATTTGAAGATATTTCCCTTTCTACTGTTGGCATCAAATGGCTAGAAATCTCCACTTGCAAATTCCGCAAAAAGAGTGTTTCAAATCTGCTCTGTCTAAAGGGACGTTCCACTCTGTGAGTTGAATGCACACAACACGAAGAATTTACTGAGAATTCTTCCGTCTAGCATTCAATGAAGAAATCCCGTTTCCAACGAAGGCCTCAAACAGGTCCATATATCCAATTGCAGACTTTACAAACAGTGTGTTTCCAAACTCCTCTATGAAAAGAAAGGTTAAACTCTGTGAGTTGAACGCACACATCACAAAGCACTTTCTGAGAATGATTCCTGTCTGGTTATTATACGAAGATATTTCCTTTTCTGCAATTGTCCTCAAATCGCTTGAAATCTCCACCTGAAAATTCCACAGCGAGAGTGTTTCAAATCTGCTCTCTCTAAAGCAAGGTTCAACTCTGTGAGTTGAATACACACAACACAAAAAAGTTACTGAGAACTCTTCTTAGTCTAGCATTAAAGGAAGAAACCCCGTTTGCAACGAAGGCCTCAAAGAGGTCCAAATATCCACTTGCAGACATAACAAGCAGAGTGTTTCTAAACTGCTCTAAGAAAAGAAAGGTTAAACTCTGTGAGTTGAAGGCACACATCACAAAGTAGTTTCTGAGAATGATTCTGTCTAGTTTTTATTTGAAGATATTTCCTTTTCTACTGTTGGCATCAAATCGCTTGAAATCTCCACTTGCAAACTCCACAAAAAGAGTGTTTCAAATCTGCTCTGTGCAAAGGGACGTTCCACTCTGTGAGTTGAATACACACAGCACAAAGAAGTTACTGAGAATTCTTCTGTCTAGCATGAAATGAAGAAATCCCGTTTCCAACGAAGGCCTCAATGCGGTCCATATATCCACTTGCAGACTTTACAAACAGAGTGTTTCCAAACTGCTCTATGAAAAGAAAGGTTAAACTATGTGAGTTGAACGCACACATCACAAAGAATTTTCTGAGAATGATTCTGTCTGGTTTTTATTTGAATGATATTTCCCTTTCTACTGTTGGCATCAAATGGCTAGAAATCTCCACTTGCAAATTCCGCAAAAAGAGTGTTTCAAATCTGCTCTGTCTAAAGGGACGTTCCACTCTGTCAGTTGAATGCACACAACACAAAGAATTTACTGAGAATTCTTCCGTCTAGCATTCAATGAAGAAATCCCGTTTCCAACGAATGCCTCAAACAGGTCCATATATCCACTTGCAGAGTTTACAAACAGTGTGTTTCCAAACTCCTCTATGAAAAGAAAGGTTAAACTCTGTGAGTGGAACGCACACATCACAAAGCACTTTCTGAGAATGATTCTGTCTGGTTATTATACGAAGATATTTCCTTTTCTGCAATTGTCCTCAAATCGCTTGAAATCTCCACCTGAAAATGCCACAGCAAGAGTGTTTCAAATCTGCTCTCTCTAAAGCAAGGTTCAACTCTGTGAGTTGAATACACACAACACAAAAAAGTTACTGAGAACTCTTCTTAGTCTAGCATGAAAGGAAGAAACCCCGTTTGCAACGAAGGCCTCAAAGAGGTCCAAATATCCACTTGCAGACATAACAAGCAGAGTGTTTCTAAACTGCTCTAAGAAAAGAAAGGTTAAACTCTGTGAGTTGAAGGCACACATCACAAAGTAGTTTCTGAGAATGATTCTGTCTAGTTTTTATTTGAAGATATTTCCTTTTCTACTGTTGGCATCAAATCGCTTGAAATCTCCACTTGCAAACTCCAGAAAAAGAGTGTTTCAAATCTGCTCTGTGCAAAGGGATGTTCCACTCTGTGAGTTGAATACACACAGCACAAAGAAGTTACTGAGAATTCTTCTGTCTAGCATGAAATGAAGAAACCCCGTTTCCAACGAAGGCCTCAATGCGGTCCATATATCCACTTGCAGACTTTACAAACAGAGTGTTTCCAAACTGCTCTATGAAAAGAAAGGTTAAACTATGTGAGTTGAACGCACACATCACAAAGAATTTTCTGAGAATGATTCTGTCTGGTTTTTATTTGAAAATATTTCCCTTTCTACTGTTGGCATCAAATGGCTAGAAATCTCCACTTGCAAATTCCGCAAAAAGAGTGTTTCAAATCTGCTCTGTCTAAAGGGACGTTCCACTCTGTGAGTTGAATGCACACAACACAAAGAATTTACTGAGAATTCTTCCGTCTAGCATTCAATGAAGAAATCCCGTTTCCAACGAAGGCCTCAAACAGGTCCATATATCCACTTGCAGACTTTACAAACAGTGTGTTTCCAAACTCCTCTATGAAAAGAAAGGTTAAACTCTGTGAGTGGAACGCACACATCACAAAGCACTTTCTGAGAATGATTCTGTCTGGTTATTATACGAAGATATTTCCTTTTCTGCAATTGTCCTCAAATCGCTTGAAATCTCCACCTGAAAATGCCACAGCAAGAGTGTTTCAAATCTGCTCTCTCTAAAGCAAGGTTCAACTCTGTGAGTTGAATACACACAACACAAAAAAGTTACTGAGAACTCTTCTTAGTCTAGCATGAAAGGAAGAAACCCCGTTTGCAACGAAGGCCTCAAAGAGGTCCAAATATCCACTTGCAGACATAACAAGCAGAGTGTTTCTAAACTGCTCTAAGAAAAGAAAGGTTAAACTCTGTGAGTTGAAGGCACACATCACAAAGTAGTTTCTGAGAATGATTCTGTCTAGTTTTTATTTGAAGATATTTCCTTTTCTACTGTTGGCATCAAATCGCTTGAAATCTCCACTTGCAAACTCCACAAAAAGAGTGTTTCAAATCTGCTCTGTGCAAAGGGACGTTCCACTCTGTGAGTTGAATACACACAGCACAAAGAAGTTACTGAGAATTCTTCTGTCTAGCATGAAATGAAGAAATCCCGTTTCCAACGAAGGCCTCAATGCGGTCCATATATCCACTTGCAGACTTTACAAACAGAGTGTTTCCAAACTGCTCTATGAAAAGAAAGGTTAAACTATGTGAGTTGAACGCACACATCACAAAGAATTTTCTGAGAATGATTCTGTCTGGTTTTTATTTGAAAATATTTCCCTTTCTACTGTTGGCATCAAATGGCTAGAAATCTCCACTTGCAAATTCCGCAAAAAGAGTGTTTCAAATCTGCTCTGTCTAAAGGGACGTTCCACTCTGTGAGTTGAATGCACACAACACAAAGAATTTACTGAGAATTCTTCCGTCTAGCATTCAATGAAGAAATCCCGTTTCCAACGAAGGCCTCAAAGAGGTCCATATATCCACTTGCAGACTTTACAAACAGTGTGTTTCCAAACTCCTCTATGAAAAGAAAGGTTAAACTCTGTGAGTGGAACGCACACATCACAAAGCACTTTCTGAGAATGATTCTGTCTGGTTATTATACGAAGATATTTCCTTTTCTGCAATTGTCCTCAAATCGCTTGAAATCTCCACCTGAAAATGCCACAGCAAGAGTGTTTCAAATCTGCTCTCTCTAAAGCAAGGTTCAACTCTGTGAGTTGAATACACACAACACAAAAAAGTTACTGAGAACTCTTCTTAGTCTAGCATTAAAGGAAGAAACCCCGTTTGCAACGAAGGCCTCAAAGAGGTCCAAATATCCACTTGCAGACATAACAAGCAGAGTGTTTCTAAACTGCTCTAAGAAAAGAAAGGTTAAACTCTGTGAGTTGAAGGCACACATCACAAAGTAGTTTCTGAGAATGATTCTGTCTAGTTTTTATTTGAAGATATTTCCTTTTCTACTGTTGGCATCAAATCGCTTGAAATCTCCAATTGCAAACTCCACAAAAAGAGTGTTTCAAATCTGCTCTGTGCAAAGGGACGTTCCACTCTGTGAGTTGAATACACACAGCACAAAGAAGTTACTGAGAATTCTTCTGTCTAGCATGAAATGAAGAAATCCCATTTCCAACGAAGGCCTCAATGCGGTCCATATATCCACTTGCAGACTTTACAAACAGAGTGTTTCCAAACTGCTCTATGAAAAGAAAGGTTAAACTATGTGAGTTGAACGCACACATCACAAAGAATTTTCTGAGAATGATTCTGTCTGGTTTTTATTTGAAGATATTTCCCTTTCTACTGTTGGCATCAAATGGCTAGAAATCTCCACTTGCAAATTCCGCAAAAAGAGTGTTTCAAATCTGCTCTGTCTAAAGGGACGTTCCACTCTGTGAGTTGAATGCACACCACACAAAGAATTTACTGAGAATTCTTCCGTCTAGCATTCAATGAAGAAATCCCGTTTCCAACGAAGGCCTCAAACAGGTCCATATATCCACTTGCAGACTTTACAAACAGTGTGTTTCCAAACTCCTCTATGAAAAGAAAGGTTAAACTCTGTAAGTAGAACGCACACATCACAAAGCACTTTCTGAGAATGATTCTGTCTGGTTGTTATACGAAGATATTTCCTTTTCTGCAATTGTCCTCAAATCGCTTGAAATCTCCACCTGAAAATGCCACAGCAAGAGTGTTTCAAATCTGCTCTCTCTAAAGCAAGGTTCAACTCTGTGAGTTGAATACACACAACACAAAAATGTTACTGAGAACTCTTCTTAGTCTAGCATTAAAGGAAGAAACCCCGTTTGCAACGAAGGCCTCAAAGAGGTCCAAATATCCACTTGCAGACATAACAAGCAGAGTGTTTCTAAACTGCTCTAAGAAAAGAAAGGTTAAACTCTGTGAGTTGAAGGCACACATCACAAAGTAGTTTCTGAGAATGATTCTGTCTAGTTTTTATTTGAAGATATTTCCTTTTCTACTGTTGGCATCAAATCGCTTGAAATCTCCACTTGCAAACTCCACAAAAAGAGTGTTTCAAATCTGCTCTGTGCAAAGGGACGTTCCACTCTGTGAGTTGAATACACACAGCACAAAGAAGTTACTGAGAATTCTTCTGTCTAGCATGAAATGAAGAAATCCCGTTTCCAACGAAGGCCTCAATGCGGTCCATATATCCACTTGCAGACTTTACAAACAGAGTGTTTCCAAACTGCTCTATGAAAAGAAAGGTTAAACTATGTGAGTTGAACGCACACATCACAAAGAATTTTCTGAGAATGATTCTGTCTGGTTTTTATTTGAAGATATTTCCCTTTCTACTGTTGACATCAAATGGCTAGAAATCTCCACTTGCAAATTCCGCAAAAAGAGTGTTTCAAATCTGCTCTGTCTAAAGGGACGTTCCACTCTGTGAGTTGAATGCACACAACACAAAGAATTTACTGAGAATTCTTCCGTCTAGCATTCAATGAAGAAATCCCGTTTCCAACGGAGGCCTCAAACAGGTCCATATATCCAATTGCAGACTTTACAAACAGTGTGTTTCCAAACTCCTCTATGAAAAGAAAGGTTAAACTCTGTGAGTTGAACGCACACATCACAAAGCACTTTCTGAGAATGATTCTGTCTGGTTATTATACGAAGATATTTCCTTTTCTGCAATTGTCCTCAAAACGCTTGAAATCTCCACCTGAAAATGCCACAGCAAGAGTGTTTCAAATCTGCTCTCTCTAAAGCAAGGTTCAACTCTGTGAGTTGAATACACACAACACAAAAAAGTTACTGAGAACTCTTCTTAGTCTAGCATGAAAGGAAGAAACCCCGTTTGCAACGAAGGCCTCAAAGAGGTCCAAATATCCACTTGCAGACATAACAAGCAGAGTGTTTCTAAACTGCTCTAAGAAAAGAAAGGTTAAACTCTGAGTTGAAGGCACACATCACAAAGTAGTTTCTGAGAATGATTCTGTCTAGTTTTTATTTGAAGATATTTCCTTTTCTACGGTTGGCATCAAATCGCTTGAAATCTCCACTTGCAAACTCCACAAAAAGAGTGTTTCAAATCTGCTCTGTGTAAAGGGACGTTCCACTCTGTGAGTTGAATACACACAGCACAAAGAAGTTACTGAGTATTCTTCTGTCTAGCATGAAATGAAGAAATCCCGTTTCCAACGAAGGCCTCAATGCGGTCCATATATCCACTTGCAGACTTTACAAACAGAGTGTTTCCAAACTGCTCTATGAAAAGAAAGGTTAAACTATGTGAGTTGAACGCACACATCACAAAGAATTTTCTGAGAATGATTCTGTCTGGTTTTTATTTGAAGATATTTCCCTTTCTACTGTTGGCATCAAATGGCTAGAAATCTCCACTTGCAAATTCCGCAAAAAGAGTGTTTCAAATCTGCTCTGTCTAAAGGGACGTTCCACTCTGTCAGTTGAATGCACACAACACAAAGAATTTACTGAGAATTCTTCCGTCTAGCATTCAATGAAGAAATCCCGTTTCCAACGTAAGGCCTCAAACAGGTCCATATATCCAATTGCAGACTTTACAAACAGTGTGTTTCCAAACTCCTCTATGAAAAGAAAGGTTAAACTCTGTGAGTTGAACGCACACATCACAAAGCACTTTCTGAGAATGATTCTGTCTGGTTATTATACGAAGATATTTCCTTTTCTGCAATTGTCCTCAAATCGCTTGAAATCTCCAACTGAAAATTCCACAGCGAGAGTGTTTCAAATCTGCTCTCTCTAAAGCAAGGTTCAACTCTGTGAGTTGAATACACACAACACAAAAAAGTTACTGAGAACTGTTCTTAGTCTAGCATTAAAGGAAGAAACCCCGTTTGCAACGAAGGCCTGAAAGAGGTCCAAATATCCACTTGCAGACATAACAAGCAGAGTGTTTCTAAACTGCTCTAAGAAAAGAAAGGTTAAACTCTGTGAGTTGAAGGCACACATCACACAGTAGTTTCTGAGAATGATTCTGTCTAGTTTTTATTTGAAGATATTTCCTTTTCTACTGTTGGCATCAAATCGCTTGAAATCTCCACTTGCAAACTCCACAAAAAGAGTGTTTCAAATCTGCTCTGTGCAAAGGGACGTTCCACTCTGTGAGGTGAATACACACAGCACAAAGAAGTTACTGAGAATTCTTCTGTCTAGCATGAAATGAAGAAATCCCGTTTCCAACGAAGGCCTCAATGCGGTCCATATATCCACTTGCAGACTTTACAAACAGAGTGTTTCCAAACTGCTCTATGAAAAGAAAGGTTAAACTATGTGAGTTGAACGCACACATCACAAAGAATTTTCTGAGAATGATTCTGTCTGGTTTTTATTTGAAGATATTTCCCTTTCTACAGTTGGCATCAAATGGCTAGAAATCTCCACTTGCAAATTCCGCAAAAAGAGTGTTTCAAATCTGCTCTGTCTAAAGGGACGTTCCACTCTCTCAGTTGAATGCACACAACACGAAGAATTTACTGAGAATTCTTCCGTCTAGCATTCAATGAAGAAATCCCGTTTCCAACGAAGGCCTCAAACAGGTCCATATATCCAATTGCAGACTTTACAAACAGTGTGTTTCCAAACTCCTCTATGAAAAGAAAGGTTAAACTCTGTGAGTTGAACGCACACATCACAAAGCACTTTCTGAGAATGATTCTGTCTGGTTATTATACGAAGATATTTCCTTTTCTGCAATTGTCCTCAAATCGCTTGAAATCTCCACCTGAAAATGCCACAGCAAGAGTGTTTCAAATCTGCTCTCTCTAAAGCAAGGTTCAACTCTGTGAGTTGAATACACACAACACAAAAAAGTTACTGAGAACTCTTCTTAGTCTAGCATGAAAGGAAGAAACCCCGTTTGCAACGAAGGCCTCAAAGAGGTCCAAATATCCACTTGCAGACATAACAAGCAGAGTGTTTCTAAACTGCTCTAAGAAAAGAAAGGTTAAACTCTGTGAGTTGAAGGCACACATCACAAAGTAGTTTCTGAGAATGATTCTGTCTAGTTTTTATTTGAAGATATTTCCTTTTCTACTGTTGGCATCAAATCGCTTGAAATCTCCACTTGCAAACTCCACAAAAAGAGTGTTTCAAATCTGCTCTGTGCAAAGGGACGTTCCACTCTGTGAGTTGAATACACACAGCACAAAGAAGTTACTGAGAATTCTTCTGTCTAGCATGAAATGAAGAAATCCCGTTTCCAACGAAGGCCTCAATGCGGTCCATATATCCACTTGCAGACTTTACAAACAGAGTGTTTCCAAACTGCTCTATGAAAAGAAAGGTTAAACTATGTGAGTTGAACGCACACATCACAAAGAATTTTCTGAGAATGATTCTGTCTGGTTTTTATTTGAAGATATTTCCCTTTCTACTCTTGGCATCAAATGGCTAGAAATCTCCACTTGCAAATTCCGCAAAAAGAGTGTTTCAAATCTGCTCTGTCTAAAGGGACGTTCCACTCTGTGAGTTGAATGCACACAACACAAAGAATTTACTGAGAATTCTTCCGTCTAGCATTCAATGAAGAAATCCCGTTTCCAACGAAGGCCTCAAACAGGTCCATATATCCAATTGCAGACTTTACAAACAGTGTGTTTCCAAACTCCTCTATGAAAAGAAAGGTTAAACTCTGTGAGTGGAACGCACACATCACAAAGCACTTTCTGAGAATGATTCTGTCTGGTTATTATACGAAGATATTTCCTTTTCTGCAATTGTCCTCAAATCGCTTGAAATCTCCACCTGAAAATGCCACAGCAAGAGTGTTTCAAATCTGCTCTCTCTAAAGCAAGGTTCAACTCTGTGAGTTGAATACACACAACACAAAAAAGTTACTGAGAACTCTTCTTAGTCTAGCATGAAAGGAAGAAACCCCGTTTGCAACGAAGGCCTCAAAGAGGTCCAAATATCCACTTGCAGACATAACAAGCAGAGTGTTTCTAAACTGCTCTAAGAAAAGAAAGGTTAAACTCTGTGAGTTGAAGGCACACATCACAAAGTAGTTTCTGAGAATGATTCTGTCTAGTTTTTATTTGAAGATATTTCCTTTTCTACTGTTGGCATCAAATCGCTTGAAATCTCCACTTGCAAATTCCACAAAAAGAGTGTTTCAAATCTGCTCTGTGCAAAGGGACGTTCCACTCTGTGAGTTGAATACACACAGCACAAAGAAGTTACTGAGAATTCTTCTGTCTAGCATGAAATGAAGAAATCCCGTTTCCAACGAAGGCCTCAATGCGGTCCATATATCCACTTGCAGACTTTACAAACAGAGTGTTTCCAAACTGCTCTATGAAAAGAAAGGTTAAACTATGTGAGTTGAACGCACACATCACAAAGAATTTTCTGAGAATGATTCTGTCTGGTTTTTATTTGAAGATATTTCCCTTTCTACTGTTGGCATCAAATGGCTAGAAATCTCCACTTGCAAATTCCGCGAAAAGAGTGTTTCAAATCTGCTCTGTCTAAAGGGACGTTCCACTCTGTGAGTTGAATGCACACAACACAAAGAATTTACTGAGAATTCTTCCGTCTAGCATTCAATGAAGAAATCCCGTTTCCAACGAAGGCCTCAAACAGGTCCATATATCCACTTGCAGACTTTACAAACAGTGTGTTTCCAAACTCCTCTATGAAAAGAAAGGTTAAACTCTGTGAGTTGAACGCACACATCACAAAGCACTTTCTGAGAATGATTCTGTCTGGTTATTATACGAAGATATTTCCTTTTCTGCAATTGTCCTCAAATCGCTTGAAATCTCCACCTGAAAATGCCACAGCAAGAGTGTTTCAAATCTGCTCTCTCTAAAGCAAGGTTCAACTCTGTGAGTTGAATACACACAACACAAAAAAGTTACTGAGAACTCTTCTTAGTCTAGCATGAAAGGAAGAAACCCCGTTTGCAACGAAGGCCTCAAAGAGGTCCAAATATCCACTTGCAGACATAACAAGCAGAGTGTTTCTAAACTGCTCTAAGAAAAGAAAGGTTAAACTCTGTGAGTTGAAGGCACACATCACAAAGTAGTTTCTGAGAATGATTCTGTGCTAGTTTTTATTTGAAGATACTTCCTTTTCTACTGTTGGCATCAAATCGCTTGAAATCTCCACTTGCAAACTCCACAAAAAGAGTGTTTCAAATCTGCTCTGTGCAAAGGGACGTTCCACTCTGTGAGTTGAATACACACAGCACAAAGAAGTTACTGAGAATTCTTCTGTCTAGCATGAAATGAAGAAATCCCGTTTCCAACGAAGGCCTCAATGCGGTCCATATATCCACTTGCAGACTTTACAAACAGAGTGTTTCCAAACTGCTCTATGAAAAGAAAGGTTAAACTATGTGAGTTGAACGCACACATCACAAAGAATTTTCTGAGAATGATTCTGTCTGGTTTTTATTTGAAGATATTTCCCTTTCTACTGTTGGCATCAAATGGCTAGAAATCTCCACTTGCAAATTCCGCAAAAAGAGTGTTTCAAATCTGCTCTGTCTTAAGGGACGTTCCACTCTGTGAGTTGAATGCACACAACGCAAAGAATTTACTGAGAATTCTTCCGTCTAGCATTCAATGAAGAAATCCCGTTTCCAACGAAGGCCTCAAACAGGTCCATATATCCAATTGCAGACTTTACAAACAGTGTGTTTCCAAACTCCTTTATGAAAAGAAAGGTTAACTCTGTGAGTTGAATGCACACATCACAAAGCACTTTCTGATAATGATTCTGTCTAGTTTTTATTTGCAGATATTCCCTTTTCTACTGTTGGCATAAAATCGCTTGAAATCTCCACTTGCAAATTCCACAAAAAGAGTGTTTCAAATCTGCTCTGTGTAAAGGGACGTTCCAATCTGTGAGTTGAATACACACAACACAAAGAAGTTACTGAGAATTCTTCTGTCTAGCATGAAATGAAGAAATCCCGTTTCCAACGAAGGCCTCAAAGCGGTCCATATATCCACTTGCAGACATTACCAACAGAGTGTTCCCAAACTGCTCTATGAAAAGAAAGGTTAAACTATGTGAGTTGAACGCACACATCACAAAGAATTTTCTGAGAATGATTCTGTCTGGTTTTTATTTGAAGATATTTCCCTTTCTACTGTTGGCATCAAATGGCTAGAAATCTCCACTTGCAAATTCCGCAAAAAGAGTGTTTCAAATCTGCTCTGTCTAAAGGGACGTTCCACTCTGTGAGTTGAATGCACACAACACAAAGAATTTACTGAGAATTCTTCCGTCTAGCATTCAATGAAGAAATCCCGTTTCCAACGAAGGCCTCAAACACGTCCATATATCCACTTGCAGAGTTTACAAACAGTGTGTTTCCAAACTCCTCTATGAAAAGAAAGGTTAAACTCTGTGAGTGGAACGCACACATCACAAAGCACTTTCTGAGAATGATTCTGTCTGGTTATTATACGAAAATATTTCCTTTTCTGCAATTGTCCTCAAATCGCTTGAAATCTCCACCTGAAAATGCCACAGCAAGAGTGTTTCAAATCTGCTCTCTCTAAAGCAAGGTTCAACTCCGTGAGTTGAATACACACAACACAAAAAAGTTACTGAGAACTCTTCTTAGTCTAGCATGAAAGGAAGAAACCCCGTTTGCAACGAAGGCCTCAAAGAGGTCCAAATATCCACTTGCAGACATAACAAGCAGAGTGTTTCTAAACTGCTCTAAGAAAAGAAAGGTTAAACTCTGTGAGTTGAAGGCACACATCACAAAGTAGTTTCTGAGAATGATTCTGTCTAGTTTTTATTTGAAGATATTTCCTTTTCTACTGTTGGCATCAAATCGCTTGAAATCTCCACTTGCAAATTCCACAAAAAGAGTGTTTCAAATCTGCTCTGTGCAAAGGGACGTTCCACTCTGTGAGTTGAATACACACAGCACAAAGAAGTTACTGAGAATTCTTCTGTCTAGCATGAAATGAAGAAATCCCGTTTCCAACGAAGGCCTCAATGCGGTCCATATATCCACTTGCAGACTTTACAAACAGAGTGTTTCCAAACTGCTCTATGAAAAGAAAGGTTAAACTATGTGAGATGAACGCACACATCACAAAGAATTTTCTGAGAATGATTCTGTCTGGTTTTTATTTGAAGATGTTTCCCTTTCTACTGTTGGCATCAAATGGCTAGAAATCTCCACTTGCAAATTCCGCAAAAAGAGTGTTTCAAATCTGCTCTGTCTAAAGGGACGTTCCACTCTGTCAGTTGAATGCACACAACACAAAGAATTTACTGAGAATTCTTCCGTCTAGCATTCAATGAAGAAATCCCGTTTCCAACGAAGGCCTCAAACAGGTCCATATATCCAATTGCAGACTTTACAAACAGTGTGTTTCCAAACTCCTCTATGAAAAGAAAGGTTAAACTCTGTGAGTTGAACGCACACATCACAAAGCACTTTCTGAGAATGATTCTGTCTGGTTATTATACGAAGATATTTCCTTTTCTGCAATTGTCCTCAAATCGCTTGAAATCTCCACCTGAAAATGCCACAGCAAGAGTGTTTCAAATCTGCTCTCTCTAAAGCAAGGTTCAACTCTGTGAGTTGAATACACACAACACAAAAAAGTTACTGAGAACTCTTCTTAGTCTAGCATGAAAGGAAGAAACCCCGTTTGCAACGAAGGCCTCAAAGAGGTCCAAATATCCACTTGCAGACATAACAAGCAGAGTGTTTCTAAACTGCTCTATGAAAAGAAAGGTTAAACTCTGTGAGTTGAAGGCACACATCACAAAGTAGTTTCTGAGAATGATTCTGTCTAGTTTTTATTTGAAGATATTTCCTTTTCTACTGTTGGCATCAAATCGCTTGAAATCTCCACTTGCAAACTCCACAAAAAGAGTGTTTCAAATCTGCTCTGTGTAAAGGGACGTTCCACTCTGTGAGTTGAATACACACAGCACAAAGAAGTTACTGAGAATTCTTCTGTCTAGCATGAAATGAAGAAATCCCGTTTCCAACGAAGGCCTCAATGCGGTCCATATATCCACTTGCAGACTTTACAAACAGAGTGTTTCCAAACTGCTCTATGAAAAGAAAGGTTAAACTATGTGAGTTGAATGCACACA
Source organism: Homo sapiens (assembly GCF_000001405.40). Classification (NCBI taxonomy): domain Eukaryota; kingdom Metazoa; phylum Chordata; class Mammalia; order Primates; family Hominidae; genus Homo; species Homo sapiens. The sequence continues at coordinate 59,575,012 of NC_000007.14, read as the reverse complement.
TCACAAAGAATTTTCTGAGAATGATTCTGTCTGGTTTTTATTTGAAGATATTTCCCTTTCTACTGTTGGCATCAAATGGCTAGAAATCTCCACTTGCAAATTCCGCAAAAAGAGTGTTTCAAATCTGCTCTGTCTAAAGGGACGTTCCACTCTGTGAGTTGAATGCACACAACACAAAGAATTTACTGAGAATTCTTCCGTCTAGCATTCAATGAAGAAATCCCGTTTCCAACGAAGGGCTCAAACAGGTCCATATATCCACTTGCAGACTTTACAAACAGTGTGTTTCCAAACTCCTCTATGAAAAGAAAGGTTAAACTCTGTGAGTGGAACGCACACATCACAAAGCACTTTCTGAGAATGATTCTGTCTGGTTATTATACGAAGATATTTCCTTTTCTGCAATTGTCCTCAAATCGCTTGAAATCTCCACCTGAAAATGCCACAGCAAGAGTGTTTCAAATCTGCTCTCTCTAAAGCAAGGTTCAACTCTGTGAGTTGAATACACACAACACAAAAAAGTTACTGAGAACTCTTCTTAGTCTAGCATGAAAGGAAGAAACCCCGTTTGCAACGAAGGCCTCAAAGAGGTCCAAATATCCACTTGCAGACATAACAAGCAGAGTGTTTCTAAACTGCTCTAAGAAAAGAAAGGTTAAACTCTGTGAGTTGAAGGCACACATCACAAAGTAGTTTCTGAGAATGATTCTGTCTAGTTTTTATTTGAAGATATTTCCTTTTCTACTGTTGGCATCAAATCGCTTGAAATCTCCACTTGCAAACTCCACAAAAAGAGTGTTTCAAATCTGCTCTGTGTAAAGGGACGTTCCACTCTGTGAGTTGAATACACACAGCACAAAGAAGTTACTGAGAATTCTTCTGTCTCGCATGAAATGAAGAAATCCCGTTTCCAACGAAGGCCTCAATGCGGTCCATATATCCACTTGCAGACTTTACAAACAGAGTGTTTCCAAACTGCTCTATGAAAAGAAAGGTTAAACTATGTGAGTTGAACGCACACATCACAAAGAATTTTCTGAGAATGATTCTGTCTGGTTTTTATTTGAAGATATTTCCCTTTCTACTGTTGGCATCAAATGGCTAGAAATCTCCACTTGCAAATTCCGCAAAAAGAGTGTTTCAAATCTGCTCTGTCTAAAGGGACGTTCCACTCTGTCAGTTGAATGCACACAACACAAAGAATTTACTGAGAATTCTTCCGTCTAGCATTCAATGAAGAAATCCCGTTTCCAACGAAGGCCTCAAACAGGTCCATATATCCAATTGCAGACTTTACAAGCAGTGTGTTTCCAAACTCCTCTATGAAAAGAAAGGTTAAACTCTGTGAGTTGAACGCACACATCACAAAGCACTTTCTGAGAATGATTCTGTCTGGTTATTATACGAAGATATTTCCTTTTCTGCAATTGTCCTCAAATCGCTTGAAATCTCCACCTGAAAATGCCACAGCAAGAGTGTTTCAAATCTGCTCTCTCTAAAGCAAGGTTCAACTCTGTGAGTTGAATACACACAACACAAAAAAGTTACTGAGAACTCTTCTTAGTCTAGCATGAAAGGAAGAAACCCCGTTTCCAACGAAGGCCTCAAAGAGGTCCAAATATCCACTTGCAGACATAACAAGCAGAGTGTTTCTAAACTGCTCTAAGAAAAGAAAGGTTAAACTCTGTGAGTTGAAGGCACACATCACAAAGTAGTTTCTGAGAATGATTTCTGTCTAGTTTTTATTTGAAGATATTTCCTTTTCTACTCTTGGCATCAAATCGCTTGAAATCTCCACTTGCAAACTCCACAAAAAGAGTGTTTCAAATCTGCTCTGTGCAAAGGGACGTTCCACTCTGTGAGTTGAATACACACAGCACAAAGAAGTTACTGAGAATTCTTCTGTCTAGCATGAAATGAAGAAATCCCGTTTCCAACGAAGGCCTCAATGCGGTCCATATATCCACTTGCAGACTTACAAACAGAGTGTTTCCAAACTGCTCTATGAAAAGAAAGGTTAAACTATGTGAGTTGAACGCACACATCACAAAGAATTTTCTGAGAATGATTCTGTCTGGTTTTTATTTGAAGATATTTCCCTTTCTACTGTTGGCATCAAATGGCTAGAAATCTCCACTTGCAAATTCCGCAAAAAGAGTGTTTCAAATCTGCTCTGTCTAAAGGGACGTTCCACTCTGTGAGTTGAATGCACACCACACAAAGAATTTACTGAGAATTCTTCCGTCTAGCATTCAATGAAAAAATCCCCTTTCCAACGAAGGCCTCAAACAGGTCCATATATCCACTTGCAGACTTTACAAACAGTGTGTTTCCAAACTCCTCTATGAAAAGAAAGGTTAAACTCTGTGAGTGGAACGCACACATCACAAAGCACTTTCTGAGAATGATTCTGTCTGGTTATTATACGAAGATATTTCCTTTTCTGCAATTGTCCTCAAATCGCTTGAAATCTCCACCTGAAAATGCCACAGCAAGAGTGTTTCAAATCTGCTCTCTCTAAAGCAAGGTTCAACTCTGTGAGTTGAATACACACAACACAAAAAAGTTACTGAGAACTCTTCTTAGTCTAGCATGAAAGGAAGAAACCCCGTTTGCAACGAAGGCCTCAAAGAGGTCCAAATATCCACTTGCAGACATAACAAGCAGAGTGTTTCTAAACTGCTCTAAGAAAAGAAAGGTTAAACTCTGTGAGTTGAAGGCACACATCACAAAGTAGTTTCTGAGAATGATTCTGTCTAGTTTTTCTTTGAAGATATTTCCTTTTCTACTGTTGGCATCAAATCGCTTGAAATCTCCACTTGCAAACTCCACAAAAAGAGTGTTTCAAATCTGCTCTGTGTAAAGGGACGTTCCACTCTGTGAGTTGAATACACACAGCACAAAGAAGTTACTGAGAATTCTTCTGTCTAACATGAAATGAAGAAATCCCGTTTCCAACGAAGGCCTCAATGCGGTCCATATATCCACTTGCAGACTTTACAAACAGAGTGTTTCCAAACTGCTCTATGAAAAGAAAGGTTAAACTATGTGAGTTGAACGCACACATCACAAAGAATTTTCTGAGAATGATTCTGTCTGGTTTTTATTTGAAGATATTTCCCTTTCTACTGTTGGCATCAAATGGCTAGAAATCTCCACTTGCAAATTCCGCAAAAAGAGTGTTTCAAATCTGCTCTGTCTAAAGGGACGTTCCACTCTGTGAGTTGAATGCACACAACACAAAGAATTTACTGAGAATTCTTCCGTCTAGCATTCAATGAAGAAATCCCGTTTCCAACGAAGGCCTCAAACAGGTCCATATATCCAATTGCAGACTTTACAAACAGTGTGTTTCCAAACTCCTCTATGAAAAGAAAGGTTAAACTCTGTGAGTTGAACGCACACATCACAAAGCACTTTCTGAGAATGATTCTGTCTGGTTATTATACGAAGATATTTCCTTTTCTGCAATTGTCCTCAAATCGCTTGAAATCTCCACCTGAAAATGCCACAGCAAGAGTGTTTCAAATCTGCTCTCTCTAAAGCAAGGTTCAACTCTGTGAGTTGAATACACACAACACAAAAAAGTTACTGAGAACTCTTCTTAGTCTAGCATGAAAGGAAGAAACCCCGTTTGCAACGAAGGCCTCAAAGAGGTCCAAATATCCACTTGCAGACATAACAAGCAGAGTGTTTCTAAACTGCTCTCAGAAAAGAAAGGTTAAACTCTGTGAGTTGAAGGCACACATCACAAAGTAGTTTCTGAGAATGATTCTGTCTAGTTTTTATTTGAAGATATTTCCTTTTCTACTGTTGGCATCAAATCGCTTGAAATCTCCACTTGCAAACTCCACAAAAAGAGTGTTTCAAATCTGCTCTGTGCAAAGGGATGTTCCACTCTGTGAGTTGAATACACACAGCACAAAGAAGTTACTGAGAATTCTTCTGTCTAGTATGAAATGAAGAAATCCCGTTTCCAACGAAGGCCTCAATGCGGTCCATATATCCACTTGCAGACTTTACAAACAGAGTGTTTCCAAACTGCTCTATGAAAAGAAAGGTTAAACTATGTGAGTTGAACGCACACATCACAAAGAATTTTCTGAGAATGATTCTGTCTGGTTTTTATTTGAAGATATTTCCCTTTCTACTGTTGGCATCAAATGGCTAGAAATCTCCACTTGCAAATTCCGCAAAAAGAGTGTTTCAAATCTGCTCTGTCTAAAGGGACGTTCCACTCTGTGAGTTGAATGCACACAACACAAAGAATTTACTGAGAATTCTTCCGTCTAGCATTCAATGAAGAAATCCCGTTTCCAACGAAGGCCTCAAACAGGTCCATATATCCAATTGCAGACTTTACAAACAGTGTGTTTCCAAACTCCTCTATGAAAAGAAAGGTTAAACTCTGTGAGTTGAACGCACACAACACAAAGCACTTTCTGAGAATGATTCTGTCTAGTTTTTATTTGAAGATATTTCCTTTTCTACTGTTGGCATCAAATCGCTTGAAATCTCCACCTGAAAATGCCACAGCAAGAGTGTTTCAAATCTGCTCTCTCTAAAGCAAGGTTCAACTCTGTGAGTTGAATACACACAACACAAAAAAGTTACTGAGAACTCTTCTTAGTCTAGCATGAAAGGAAGAAACCCCGTTTGCAACGAAGGCCTCAAAGAGGTCCAAATATCCACTTGCAGACATAACAAGCAGAGTGTTTCTAAACTGCTCTAAGAAAAGAAAGGTTAAACTCTGTGAGTTGAAGGCACACATCACAAAGTAGTTTCTGAGAATGATTCTGTCTAGTTTTTATTTGAAGATATTTCCTTTTCTACTGTTGGCATCAAATCGCTTGAAATCTCCACTTGCAAACTCCACAAAAAGAGTGTTTCAAATCTGCTCTGTGCAAAGGGACGTTCCACTCTGTGAGTTGAATACACACAGCACAAAGAAGTTACTGAGAATTCTTCTGTCTAGCATGAAATGAAGAAATCCCGTTTCCAACGAAGGCCTCAATGCGGTCCATATATCCACTTGCAGACTTTACAAACAGAGTGTTTCCAAACTGCTCTATGAAAAGAAAGGTTAAACTATGTGAGTTGAACGCACACATCACAAAGAATTTTCTGAGAATGATTCTGTCTGGTTTTTATTTGAAGATATTTCCCTTTCTACTGTTGGCATCAAATGGCTAGAAATCTCCAGTTGCAAATTCCGCAAAAAGAGTGTTTCAAATCTGCTCTGTCTAAAGGGACGTTCCACTCTGTGAGTTGAATGCACACAACACAAAGAATTTACTGAGAATTCTTCCGTCTAGCATTCAATGAAGAAATCCCGTTTCCAACGAAGGCCTCAAACAGGTCCATATATCCACTTGCAGACTTTACAAACAGTGTGTTTCCAAACTCCTCTATGAAAAGAAAGGTTAAACTCTGTGAGTTGAACGCACACATCACAAAGCACTTTCTGAGAATGATTCTGTCTGGTTATTATACGAAGATATTTCCTTTTCTGCAATTGTCCTCAAATCGCTTGAAATCTCCACCTGAAAATGCCACAGCAAGAGTGTTTCAAATCTGCTCTCTCTAAAGCAAGGTTCAACTCTGTGAGTTGAATACACACAACACAAAAAAGTTACTGAGAACTCTTCTTAGTCTAGCATGAAAGGAAGAAACCCCGTTTGCAACGAAGGCCTCAAAGAGGTCCAAATATCCACTTGCAGACATAACAAGCAGAGTGTTTCTAAACTGCTCTAAGAAAAGAAAGGTTAAACTCTGTGAGTTGAAGGCACACATCACAAAGCACTTTCTGAGAATGATTCTGTCTAGTTTTTATTTGAAGATATTTCCTTTTCTACTGTTGGCATCAAATCGCTTGAAATCTCCACTTGCAAACTCCACAAAAAGAGTGTTTCAAATCTGCTCTGTGCAAAGGGACGTTCCACTCTGTGAGTTGAATACACACAGCACAAAGAAGTTACTGAGAATTCTTCTGTCTAGCATGAAATGAAGAAATCCCGTTTCCAACGAAGGCCTCAATGCGGTCCATATATCCACTTGCAGACTTTACAAACAGAGTGTTTCCAAACTGCTCTATGAAAAGAAAGGTTAAACTATGTGAGTTGAACGCACACATCACAAAGAATTTTCTGAGAATGATTCTGTCTGGTTTTTATTTGAAGATATTTCCCTTTCTACTGTTGGCATCAAATGGCTAGAAATCTCCACTTGCAAATTCCGCAAAAAGAGTGTTTCAAATCTGCTCTGTCTAAAGGGACGTTCCACTCTGTGAGTTGAATGCACACAACACAAAGAATTTACTGAGAATTCTTCCGTCTAGCATTCAATGAAGAAATCCCGTTTCCAACGAAGGCCTCAAACAGGTCCATATATCCACTTGCAGAGTTTACAAACAGTGTGTTTCCAAACTCCTCTATGAAAAGAAAGGTTAAACTCTGTGAGTGGAACGCACACATCACAAAGCACTTTCTGAGAATGATTCTGTCTGGTTATTATACGAAGATATTCCCTTTTCTGCAATTTTCCTCAAATCGCTTGAAATCTCCACCTGAAAATGCCACAGCAAGAGTGTTTCAAATCTGCTCTCTCTAAAGCAAGGTTCAACTCTCTGAGGTGAATACACACAGCACAAAGAAGTTACTGAGAATTCTTCTGTCTAGCATGAAATGAAGAAATCCCGTTTCCAACGAAGGCCTCAATGCGGTCCATATATCCACTTGCAGACTTTACAAACAGAGTGTTTCCAAACTGCTCTATGAAAAGAAAGGTTAAACTATGTGAGTTGAACGCACACATCACAAAGAATTTTCTGAGAATGATTCTGTCTGGTTTTTATTTGAAGATATTTCCCTTTCTACTGTTGGCATCAAATGGCTAGAAATCTCCACTTGCAAATTCCGCAAAAAGAGTGTTTCAAATCTGCTCTGTCTAAAGGGACGTTCCACTCTGTGAGTTGAATGCACACAACACAAAGAATTTACTGAGAATTCTTCCGTCTAGCATTCAATGAAGAAATCCCGTTTCCAACGAAGGCCTCAAACAGGTCCATATATCCAATTGCAGACTTTACAAACAGTGTGTTTCCAAACTCCTCTATGAAAAGAAAGGTTAAACTCTGTGAGTTGAACGCACACATCACAAAGCACTTTCTGAGAATGATTCTGTCTGGTTATTATACGAAGATATTTCCTTTTCTGCAATTGTCCACAAATCGCTTGAAATCTCCACCTGAAAATGCCACAGCAAGAGTGTTTCAAATCTGCTCTCTCTAAAGCAAGGTTCAACTCTGTGAGTTGAATACACACAACACAAAAAAGTTACTGAGAACTCTTCTTAGTCTAGCATGAAAGGAAGAAACCCCGTTTGCAACGAAGGCCTCAAAGAGGTCCAAATATCCACTTGCAGACATAACAAGCAGAGTGTTTCTAAACTGCTCTAAGAAAAGAAAGGTTAAACTCTGTGAGTTGAAGGCACACATCACAAAGCAGTTTCTGAGAATGATTCTGTCTAGTTTTTATTTGAAGATATTTCCTTTTCTACTGTTGGCGTCAAATCGCTTGAAATCTCCACTTGCAAATTCCACAAAAAGAGTGTTTCAAATCTGCTCTGTGCAAAGGGACGTTCCACTCTGTGAGTTGAATACACACAGCACAAAGAAGTTACTGAGAATTCTTCTGTCTAGCATGAAATGAAGAAATCCCGTTTCCAACGAAGGCCTCAATGCGGTCCATATATCCACTTGCAGACTTTACAAACAGAGTGTTTCCAAACTGCTCTATGAAAAGAAAGGTTAAACTATGTGAGTTGAACGCACACATCACAAAGAATTTTCTGAGAATGATTCTGTCTGGTTTTTATTTGAAGATATTTCCCTTTCTACTGTTGGCATCAAATGGCTAGAAATCTCCACTTGCAAATTCCGCAAAAAGAGTGTTTCAAATCTGCTCTGTCTAAAGGGACGTTCCACTCTGTGAGTTGAATGCACACAACACAAAGAATTTACTGAGAATTCTTCCGTCTAGCATTCAATGAAGAAATCCCGTTTCCAACGAAGGCCTCAAACAGGTCCATATATCCAATTGCAGACTTTACAAACAGTGTGTTTCCAAACTCCTCTATGAAAAGAAAGGTTAAACTCTGTGAGTTGAACGCACACATCACAAAGCACTTTCTGAGAATGATTCTGTCTGGTTATTATACGAAGATATTTCCTTTTCTGCAATTGTCCTCAAATCGCTTGAAATCTCCACCTGAAAATTCCACAGCAAGAGTGTTTCAAATCTGCTCTCTCTAAAGCAAGGTTCAACTCTGTGAGTTGAATACACACAACACAAAAAAGTTACTGAGAACTCTTCTTAGTCTAGCATGAAAGGAAGAAACCCCGTTTGCAACGAAGGCCTCAAAGAGGTCCAAATATCCACTTGCAGACATAACAAGCAGAGTGTTTCTAAACTGCTCTAAGAAAAGAAAGGTTAAACTCTGTGAGTTGAAGGCACACATCACAAAGTAGTTTCTGAGAATGATTCTGTCTAGTTTTTATTTGAAGATATTTCCTTTTCTACTGTTGGCATCAAATCGCTTGAAATCTCCACTTGCAAACTCCACAAAAAGAGTGTTTCAAATCTGCTCTGTGCAAAGGGACGTTCCACTCTGTGAGTTGAATACACACAGCACAAAGAAGTTACTGAGAATTCTTCTGTCTAGCATGAAATGAAGAAATCCCGTTTCCAACGAAGGCCTCAATGCGGTCCATATATCCACTTGCAGACTTTACAAACAGAGTGTTTCCAAACTGCTCTATGAAAAGAAAGGTTAAACTATGTGAGTTGAACGCACACATCACAAAGAATTTTCTGAGAATGATTCTGTCTGGTTTTTATTTGAAGATATTTCCCTTTCTACTGTTGGCATCAAATGGCTAGAAATCTCCACTTGCAAATTCCGCAAAAAGAGTGTTTCAATTCTGCTCTGTCTAAAGGGACGTTCCACTCTGTCAGTTGAATGCACACAACACAAAGAATTTACTGAGAATTCTTCCGTCTAGCATTCAATGAAGAAATCCCGTTTCCAACGAAGGCCTCAAACAGGTCCATATATCCAATTGCAGACTTTACAAACAGTGTGTTTCCAAACTCCTCTATGAAAAGAAAGGTTAAACTCTGTGAGTTGAACGCACACAACACAAAGCACTTTCTGAGAATGATTCTGTCTGGTTATTATACGAAGATATTTCCTTTTCTGCAATTGTCCTCAAATCGCTTGAAATCTCCACCTGAAAATGCCACAGCAAGAGTGTTTCAAATCTGCTCTCTCTAAAGCAAGGTTCAACTCTGTGAGTTGAATACACACAACACAAAAAAGTTACTGAGAACTCTTCTTAGTCTAGCATGAAAGGAAGAAACCCCGTTTGCAACGAAGGCCTCAAAGAGGTCCAAATATCCACTTGCAGACATAACAAGCAGAGTGTTTCTAAAGTGCTCTAAGAAAAGAAAGGTTAAACTCTGTGAGTTGAAGGCACACATCACAAAGTAGTTTCTGAGAATGATTCTGTCTAGTTTTTATTTGAAGATATTTCCTTTTCTACTGTTGGCATCAAATCGCTTGAAATCTCCACTTGCAAACTCCACAAAAAGAGTGTTTCAAATCTGCTCTGTGTAAAGGGACGTTCCACTCTGTGAGTTGAATACACACAGCACAAAGAAGTTACTGAGAATTCTTCTGTCTAGCATGAAATGAAGAAATCCCGTTTCCAACGAAGGCCTCAATGCGGTCCATATATCCACTTGCAGACTTTACAAACAGAGTGTTTCCAAACTGCTCTATGAAAAGAAAGGTTAAACTATGTGAGTTGAACGCACACATCACAAAGAATTTTCTGAGAATGATTCTGTCTGGTTTTTATTTGAAGATATTTCCCTTTCTACTGTTGGCATCAAATGGCTAGAAATCTCCACTTGCAAATTCCGCAAAAAGAGTGTTTCAAATCTGCTCTGTCTAAAGGGACGTTCCACTCTGTGAGTTGAATGCACACAACACAAAGAATTTACTGAGAATTCTTCCGTCTAGCATTCAATGAAGAAATCCCGTTTCCAACGAAGGCCTCAAACAGGTCCATATATCCACTTGCAGACTTTACAAACAGTGTGTTTCCAAACTCCTCTATGAAAAGAAAGGTTAAACTCTGTGAGTGGAACGCACACATCACAAAGCACTTTCTGAGAATGATTCTGTCTGGTTGTTATACGAAGATATTTCCTTTTCTGCAATTGTCCTCAAATCGCTTGAAATCTCCACCTGAAAATGCCACAGCAAGAGTGTTTCAAATCTGCTCTCTCTAAAGCAAGGTTCAACTCTGTGAGTTGAATACACACAACACAAAAAAGTTACTGAGAACTCTTCTTAGTCTAGCATGAAAGGAAGAAACCCCGTTTGCAACGAAGGCCTCAAAGAGGTCCAAATATCCACTTGCAGACATAACAAGCAGAGTGTTTCTAAACTGCTCTAAGAAAAGAAAGGTTAAACTCTGTGAGTTGAAGGCACACATCACAAAGTAGTTTCTGAGAATGATTCTGTCTAGTTTTTATTTGAAGATATTTCCTTTTCTACTGTTGGCATCAAATCGCTTGAAATCTCCACTTGCAAATTCCACAAAAAGAGTGTTTCAAATCTGCTCTGTGCAAAGGGACGTTCCACTCTGTGAGTTGAATACACACAGCACAAAGAAGTTACTGAGAATTCTTCTGTCTAGCATGAAATGAAGAAATCCCGTTTCCAACGAAGGCCTCAATGCGGTCCATATATCCACTTGCAGACTTTACAAACAGAGTGTTTCCAAACTGCTCTATGAAAAGAAAGGTTAAACTATGTGAGTTGAACGCACACATCACAAAGAATTTTCTGAGAATGATTCTGTCTGGTTTTTATTTGAAGATATTTCCCTTTCTACTGTTGGCATCAAATGGCTAGAAATCTCCACTTGCAAATTCCGCAAAAAGAGTGTTTCAAATCTGCTCTGTCTAAAGGGACGTTCCACTCTGTGAGTTGAATGCACACCACACAAAGAATTTACTGAGAATTCTTCCGTCTAGCATTCAATGAAGAAATCCCGTTTCCAATGAAGGCCTCAAACAGGTCCATATATCCAATTGCAGACTTTACAAACAGTGTGTTTCCAAACTCCTCTATGAAAAGAAAGGTTAAACTCTGTGAGTTGAACGCACACATCACAAAGCACTTTCTGAGAATGATTCTGTCTAGTTTTTATTTGAAGATATTTCCCTTTGTACTGTTGGCATCAAATGGCTAGAAATCTCCACTTGCAACTTCCGCAAAAAGAGTGTTTCAAATCTGCTCTGTCTAAAGGGACGTTCCACTCTGTGAGTTGAATGCACACAACACAAAAAAGTTACTGAGAACTCTTCTTAGTCTAGCATGAAAGGAAGAAACCCCGTTTGCAACGAAGGCCTCAAAGAGGTCCAAATATCCACTTGCAGACATAACAAGCAGAGTGTTTCTAAACTGCTCTAAGAAAAGAAAGGTTAAACTCTGTGAGTTGAAGGCACACATCACAAAGTAGTTTCTGAGAATGATTCTGTCTAGTTTTTATTTGAAGATATTTCCTTTTCTACTGTTGGCATCAAATCGCTTGAAATCTCCACTTGCAAACTCCACAAAAAGAGTGTTTCAAATCTGCTCTGTGCAAAGGGACGTTCCACTCTGTGAGTTGAATACACACAGCACAAAGAAGTTACTGAGAATTCTTCTGTCTAGCATGAAATGAAGAAATCCCGTTTCCAACGAAGGCCTCAATGCGGTCTATATATCCACTTGCAGACATCACAAACAGAGTGTTTCCAAACTGCTCTATGAAAAGAAAGGTTAAACTATGTGAGTTGAACGCACACATCACAAAGAATTTTCTGAGAATGATTCTGTCTGGTTTTTATTTGAAGATATTTCCCTTTCTACTGTTGGCATCAAATGGCTAGAAATCTCCACTTGCAAATTCCGCAAAAAGAGTGTTTCAAATCTGCTCTGTCTAAAGGGACGTTCCACTCTGTGAGTTGAATGCACACAACACAAAGAATTTACTGAGAATTCCTCCGTCTAGCATTCAATGAAGAAATCCCGTTTCCAACGAAGGCCTCAAACAGGTCCATATATCCACTTGCAGAGTTTACAAACAGTGTGTTTCCAAACTCCTCTATGAAAAGAAAGGTTAAACTCTGTGAGTGGAACGCACACATCACAAAGCACTTTCTGAGAATGATTCTGTCTGGTTATTATACGAAGATATTTCCTTTTCTGCAATTGTCCTCAAAACGCTTGAAATCTCCACCTGAAAATGCCACAGCAAGAGTGTTTCAAATCTGCTCTCTCTAAAGCAAGGTTCAACTCTGTGAGTTGAATACACACAACACAAAAAAGTTACTGAGAACTCTTCTTAGTCTAGCATGAAAGGAAGAAACCCCGTTTGCAACGAAGGCCTCAAAGAGGTCCAAATATCCACTTGCAGACATAAGAAGCAGAGTGTTTCTAAACTGCTCTAAGAAAAGAAAGGTTAAACTCTGTGAGTTGAAGGCACACATCACAAAGTAGTTTCTGAGAATGATTCTGTCTAGTTTTTATTTGAAGATATTTCCTTTTCTACTGTTGGCATCAAATCGCTTGAAATCTCCACTTGCAAATTCCACAAAAAGAGTGTTTCAAATCTGCTCTGTGCAAAGGGACGTTCCACTCTGTGAGTTGAATACACACAGCACAAAGAAGTTACTGAGAATTCTTCTGTCTAGCATGAAATGAAGAAATCCCGTTTCCAATGAAGGCCTCAATGCGGTCCATATATCCACTTGCAGACTTTACAAACAGAGTGTTTCCAAACTGCTCTATGAAAAGAAAGGTTAAACTATGTGAGTTGAACGCACACATCACAAAGAATTTTCTGAGAATGATTCTGTCTGGTTTTTATTTGAAGATATTTCCCTTTCTACTGTTGGCATCAAATGGCTAGAAATCTCCACTTGCAAATTCCGCAAAAAGAGTGTTTCAAATCTGCTCTGTCTAAAGGGACGTTCCACTCTGTGAGTTGAATGCACACAACACAAAGAATTTACTGAGAATTCTTCCGTCTAGCATTCAATGAAGAAATCCCGTTTCCAACGAAGGCCTCAAAGAGGTCCAAATATCCACTTGCAGACATAACAAGCAGAGTGTTTCTAAACTGCTCTAAGAAAAGAAAGGTTAAACTCTGTGAGTTGAAGGCACACATCACAAAGTAGTTTCTAAATGATTCTGTCTAGTTTTTATTTGAAGATATTTCCTTTTCTACTGTTGGCATCAAATCGCTTGAAATCTCCACTTGCAAATTCCACAAAGAGTGTTTCAAATCTGCTCTGTGCAAAGGGACGTTCCACTCTGTGAGTTGAATACACACAGCACAAAGAAGTTACTGAGAATTCTTCTGTCTAGCATGAAATGAAGAAATCCCGTTTCCAACGAAGGCCTCAATGCGGTCCATATATCCACTTGCAGACTTTACAAACAGAGTGTTTCCAAACTGCTCTATGAAAAGAAAGGTTAAACTATGTGAGTTGAACGCACACATCACAAAGAATTTTCTGAGAATGATTCTGTCTGGTTTTTATTTGAAGATATTTCCCTTTCTACTGTTGGCATCAAATGGCTAGAAATCTCCACTTGCAAATTCCCCAAAAAGAGTGTTTCAAATCTGCTCTGTCTAAAGGGACGTTCCACTCTGTGAGTTGAATGCACACAACACAAAGAATTTACTGAGATTTCTTCCGTCTAGCATTCAATGAAGAAATCCCGTTTCCAACGAAGGCCTCAAACAGGTCCATATATCCAATTGCAGACTTTACAAACAGTGTGTTTCCAAACTCCTCTATGAAAAGAAAGGTTAAACTCTGTGAGTTGAACGCACACATCACAAAGCACTTTCTGAGAATGATTCTGTCTGGTTATTATACGAAGATATTTCCTTTTCTGCAATTGTCCTCAAATCGCTTGAAATCTCCACCTGAAAATGCCACAGCAAGAGTGTTTCAAATCTGCTCTCTCTAAAGCAAGGTTCAACTCTGTGAGTTGAATACACACAACACAAAAAAGTTACTGAGAACTCTTCTTAGTCTAGCATGAAAGGAAGAAACCCCGTTTGCAACGAAGGCCTCAAAGAGGTCCAAATATCCACTTGCAGACATAACAAGCAGAGTGTTTCTAAACTGCTCTAAGAAAAGAAAGGTTAAACTCTGTGAGTTGAAGGCACACATCACAAAGTAGTTTCTGAGAATGATTCTGTCTAGTTTTTATTTGAAGATATTTCCTTTTCTACTGTTGGCATCAAATCGCTTGAAATCTCCACTTGCAAACTCCACAAAAAGAGTGTTTCAAATCTGCTCTGTGCAAAGGGACGTTCCACTCTGTGAGTTGAATACACACAGCACAAAGAAGTTACTGAGAATTCTTCTGTCTAGCATGAAATGAAGAAATCCCGTTTCCAACGAAGGCCTCAATGCGGTCTATATATCCACTTGCAGACTTCACAAACAGAGTGTTTCCAAACTGCTCTATGAAAAGAAAGGTTAAACTATGTGAGTTGAACGCACACATCACAAAGAATTTTCTGAGAATGATTCTGTCTGGTTTTTATTTGAAGATATTTCCCTTTCTACTGTTGGCATCAAATGGCTAGAAATCTCCACTTACAAATTCCGCAAAAAGAGTGTTTCAAATCTGCTCTGTCTAAAGGGACGTTCCACTCTGTGAGTTGAATGCACACAACACAAAGAATTTACTGAGAATTCTTCCGTCTAGCATTCAATGAAGAAATCCCGTTTCCAACGAAGGCCTCAAACACGTCCATATATCCAATTGCAGACTTTACAAACAGTGTGTTTCCAAACTCCTCAATGAAAAGAAAGGTTAAACTCTGTGAGTTGAACGCACACATCACAAAGCACTTTCTGAGAATGATTCTGTCTGGTTGTTATACGAAGATATTTCCTTTTCTGCAATTGTCCTCAAATCGCTTGAAATCTCCACCTGAAAATGCCACAGCAAGAGTGTTTCAAATCTGCTCTCTCTAAAGCAAGGTTCAACTCTGTGAGTTGAATACACACAACACAAAAAAGTTACTGAGAACTCTTCTTAGTCTAGCATGAAAGGAAGAAACCCCGTTTGCAACGAAGGCCTCAAAGAGGTCCAAATATCCACTTGCAGACATAACAAGCAGAGTGTTTCTAAACTGCTCTAAGAAAAGAAAGGTTAAACTCTGTGAGTTGAAGGCACACATCACAAAGTAGTTTCTGAGAATGATTCTGTCTAGTTTTTATTTGAAGATATTTCCTTTTCTACTGTTGGCATCAAATCGCTTGAAATCTCCAATTGCAAACTCCACAAAAAGAGTGTTTCAAATCTGCTCTGTGTAAAGGGACGTTCCACTCTGTGAGTTGAATACACACAGCACAAAGAAGTTACTGAGAATTCTTCTGTCTAGCATGAAATGAAGAAATCCCGTTTCCAACGAAGGCCTCAATGCGGTCCATATATCCACTTGCAGACTTTACAAACAGAGTGTTTCCAAACTGCTCTATGAAAAGAAAGGTTAAACTATGTGAGTTGAACGCACACATCACAAAGAATTTTCTGAGAATGATTCTGTCTGGTTTTTATTTGAAGATATTTCCCTTTCTACTGTTGGCATCAAATGGCTAGAAATCTCCACTTGCAAATTCCGCAAAAAGAGTGTTTCAAATCTGCTCTGTCTAAAGGGACGTTCCACTCTGTGAGTTGAATGCACACAACACAAAGAATTTACTGAGAATTCTTCCGTCTAGCATTCAATGAAGAAATCCCGTTTCCAACGAAGGCCTCAAACAGGTCCATATATCCACTTGCAGACTTTACAAACAGTGTGTTTCCAAACTCCTCTATGAAAAGAAAGGTTAAACTCTGTGAGTGGAACGCACACATCACAAAGCACTTTCTGAGAATGATTCTGTCTGGTTATTATACGAAGATATTTCCTTTTCTGCAATTGTCCTCAAATCGCTTGAAATCTCCACCTGAAAATGCCACAGCAAGAGTGTTTCAAATCTGCTCTCTCTAAAGCAAGGTTCAACTCTGTGAGTTGAATACACACAACACAAAAAAGTTACTGAGAACTCTTCTTAGTCTAGCATGAAAGGAAGAAACCCCGTTTGCAACGAAGGCCTCAAAGAGGTCCAAATATCCACTTGCAGACATAACAAGCAGAGTGTTTCTAAACTGCTCTAAGAAAAGAAAGGTTAAACTCTGTGAGTTGAAGGCACACATCACAAAGTAGTTTCTGAGAATGATTCTGTCTAGTTTTTATTTGAAGATATTTCCTTTTCTACTGTTGGCATCAAATCGCTTGAAATCTCCACTTGCAAATTCCACAAAAAAGAGTGTTTCAAATCTGCTCTGTGCAAAGGGACGTTCCACTCTGTGAGTTGAATACACACAGCCCAAGGAAGTTACTGAGAATTCTTCTGTCTAGCATGAAATGAAGAAATCCCGTTTCCAACGAAGGCCTCAATGCGGTCCATATATCCACTTGCAGACTTTACAAACAGAGTGTTTCCAAACTGCTCTATGAAAAGAAAGGTTAAACTATGTGAGTTGAATGCACACATCAGAAAGAATTTTCTGAGAATGATTCTGTCTGGTTTTTATTTGAAGATATTTCCCTTTCTACTGTTGGCATCAAATGGCTAGAAATCTCCACTTGCAAATTCCGCAAAAAGAGTGTTTCAAATCTGCTCTGTCTAAAGGGACGTTCCACTCTGTGAGTTGAATGCACACAACACAAAGAATTTACTGAGAATTCTTCCGTCTAGCATTCAATGAAGAAATCCCGTTTCCAACGAAGGCCTCAAACAGGTCCATATATCCAATTGCAGACTTTACAAACAGTGTGTTTCCAAACTCCTCTATGAAAAGAAAGGTTAAACTCTGTGAGTGGAACGCACACATCACAAAGCACTTTCTGAGAATGATTCTGTCTGGTTGTTATACGAAGATATTTCCTTTTCTGCAATTGTCCTCAAATCGCTTGAAATCTCCACCTGAAAATGTCACAGCAAGAGTGTTTCAAATCTGCTCTCTCTAAAGCAAGGTTCAACTCTGTGAGTTGAATACACACAACACAGAAAAGTTACTGAGAACTCTTCTTAGTCTAGCATGAAAGGAAGAAACCCCGTTTGCAACGAAGGCCTCAAAGAGGTCCAAATATCCACTTGCAGACATAACAAGCAGAGTGTTTCTAAACTGCTCTAAGAAAAGAAAGGTTAAACTCTGTGAGTTGAAGGCACACATCACAAAGTAGTTTCTGAGAATGATTCTGTCTAGTTTTTATTTGAAGATATTTCCTTTTCTACTGTTGGCATCAAATCGCTTGAAATCTCCACTTGCAAACTCCACAAAAAGAGTGTTTCAAATCTGCTCTGTGTAAAGGGACGTTCCACTCTGTGAGTTGAATACACACAGCACAAAGAAGTTACTGAGAATTCTTCTGTCTAGCATGAAATGAAGAAATCCCGTTTCCAACGAAGGCCTCAATGCGGTCCATATATCCACTTGCAGACTTTACAAACAGAGTGTTTCCAAACTGCTCTATGAAAAGAAAGGTTAAACTATGTGAGTTGAACGCACACATCACAAAGAATTTTCTGAGAATGATTCTGTCTGGTTTTTATTTGAAGATATTTCCCTTTCTACAGTTGGCATCAAATGGCTAGAAATCTCCACTTGCAAATTCCGCAAAAAGAGTGTTTCAAATCTGCTCTGTCTAAAGGGACGTTCCACTCTGTCAGTTGAATGCACACAACACAGAGAATTTACTGAGAATTCTTCCGTCTAGCATTCAATGAAGAAATCCCGTTTCCAACGAAGGCCTCAAACAGGTCCATATATCCACTTGCAGACTTTACAAACAGTGTGTTTCCAAACTCCTCTATGAAAAGAAAGGTTAAACTCTGTGAGTTGAACGCACACATCACAAAGCACTTTCTGAGAATGATTCTGTCTGGTTATTATACGAAGATATTTCCTTTTCTGCAATTGTCCTCAAATCGTTTGAAATCTCCACCTGAAAATGCCACAGCGAGAGTGTTTCAAATCTGCTCTCTCTAAAGCAAGGTTCAACTCTGTGAGTTGAATACACACAACACAAAAAAGTTACTGAGAACTCTTCTTAGTCTAGCATTAAAGGAAGAAACCCCGTTTGCAACGAAGGCCTCAAAGAGGTCCAAATATCCACTTGCAGACATAACAAGCAGAGTGTTTCTAAGCTGCTCTAAGAAAAGAAAGGTTAAACTCTGTGAGTTGAAGGCACACATCACAAAGTAGTTTCTGAGAATGATTCTGTCTAGTTTTTATTTGAAGATACTTCCTTTTCTACTGTTGGCATCAAATCGCTTGAAATCTCCACTTGCAAACTCCACAAAAAGAGTGTTTCAAATCTGCTCTGTGCAAAGGGACGTTCCACTCTGTGAGTTGAATACACACAGCACAAAGAAGTTACTGAGAATTCTTCTGTCTAGCATGAAATGAAGAAATCCCGTTTCCAACGAAGGCCTCAATGCGGTCCATAGATCCACTTGCAGACTTTACAAACAGAGTGTTTCCAAACTGCTCTATGAAAAGAAAGGTTAAACTATGTGAGTTGAACGCACACATCACAAAGAATTTTCTGAGAATGATTCTGTCTGGTTTTTATTTGAAGATATTTCCCTTTCTACTGTTGGCATCAAATGGCTAGAAATCTCCACTTGCAAATTCCGCAAAAAGAGTGTTTCAAATCTGCTCTGTCTAAAGGAACGTTCCACTCTGTGAGTTGAATGCACACAACGCAAAGAATTTACTGAGAATTCTTCCGTCTAGCATTCAATGAAGAAATCCCGTTTCCAACGAAGGCCTCAAACAGGTCCATATATCCAATTGCAGACTTTACAAACAGTGTGTTTCCAAACTCCTTTATGAAAAGAAAGGTTAACTCTGTGAGTTGAATGCACACATCACAAAGCACTTTCTGATAATGATTCTGTCTAGTTTTTGTTTGCAGATATTTCCTTTTCTACTGTTGGCATCAAATCGCTTGAAATCTCCACTTGCAAATTCCACAAAAAGAGTGTTTCAAATCTGCTCTGTGTAAAGGGACGTTCCAATCTGTGAGTTGAATACACACAACACAAAGAAGTTACTGAGAATTCTTCTGTCTAGCATGAAATGAAGAAATCCCGTTTCCAACGAAGGCCTCAAAGCGGTCCATATATCCACTTGCAGACATTACCAACAGAGTGTTCCCAAACTGCTCTATGAAAAGAAAGGTTAAACTATGTGAGTTGAACGCACACATCACAAAGAATTTTCTGAGAATGATTCTGTCTGGTTTTTATTTGAAGATATTTCCCTTTCTACTGTTGGCATCAAATGGCTAGAAATCTCCACTTGCAAATTCCGCAAAAAGAGTGTTTCAAATCTGCTCTGTCTAAAGGGACGTTCCACTCTGTGAGTTGAATGCACACAACACAAAGAATTTACTGAGAATTCTTCCGCCTAGCATTCAATGAAGAAATCCCGTTTCCAACGAAGGCCTCAAACAGGTCCATATATCCAATTGCAGACTTTACAAACAGTGTGTTTCCAAACTCCTCTATGAAAAGAAAGGTTAAACTCTGTGAGTTGAACGCACACATCACAAAGCACTTTCTGAGAATGATTCTGTCTGGTTATTATACGAAGATATTTCCTTTTCTGCAATTGTCCTCAAATCGCTTGAAATCTCCACCTGAAAATGCCACAGCAAGAGTGTTTCAAATCTGCTCTCTCTAAAGCAAGGTTCAACTCTGTGAGTTGAATACACACAACACAAAAAAGTTACTGAGAACTCTTCTTAGTCTAGCATGAAAGGAAGAAACCCCGTTTGCAACGAAGGCCTCAAAGAGGTCCAAATATCCACTTGCAGACATAACAAGCAGAGTGTTTCTAAACTGCTCTAAGAAAAGAAAGGTTAAACTCTGTGAGTTGAAGGCACACATCACAAAGTAGTTTCTGAGAATGATTCTGTCTAGTTTTTATTTGAAGATATTTCCTTTTCTACTGTTGGCATCAAATCGCTTGAAATCTCCACTTGCAAATTCCACAAAAAGAGTGTTTCAAATCTGCTCTGTGCAAAGGGACGTTCCACTCTGTGAGTTGAATACACACAGCACAAAGAAGTTACTGAGAATTCTTCTGTCTAGCATGAAATGAAGAAATCCCGTTTCCAACGAAGGCCTCAATGCGGTCCATATATCCACTTGCAGACTTTACAAACAGAGTGTTTCCAAACTGTTCTATGAAAAGAAAGGTTAAACTATGTGAGTTGAACGCACACATCACAAAGAATTTTCTGAGAATGATTCTGTCTGGTTTTTATTTGAAGATATTTCCCTTTCTACTGTTGGCATCAAATGGCTAGAAATCTCCACTTGCAAATTCCGCAAAAAGAGTGTTTCAAATCTGCTCTGTCTAAAGGGACGTTCCACTCTGTGAGTTGAATACACACAGCACAAAGAAGTTACTGAGAATTCTTCCGTCTAGCATTCAATGAAGAAATCCCGTTTCCAACGAAGGCCTCAAACAGGTGCATATATCCAATTGCAGACTTTACAAACAGTGTGTTTCCAAACTCCTCTATGAAAAGAAAGGTTAAACTCTGTGAGTTGAACGAACACATCACAAAGCACTTTCTGAGAATGATTCTGTCTGGTTGTTATACAAAGATATTTCCTTTTCTGCAATTGTCCTCAAATCGCTTGAAATCTCCACCTGAAAATGCCACAGCAAGAGTGTTTCAAATCTGCTCTCTCTAAAGCAAGGTTCAACTCTGTGAGTTGAATACACACAACACAAAAAAGTTACTGAGAACTCTTCTTAGTCTAGCATGAAAGGAAGAAACCCCGTTTGCAACGAAGGCCTCAAAGAGGTCCAAATATCCACTTGCAGACATAACAAGCAGAGTGTTTCTAAACTGCTCTAAGAAAAGAAAGGTTAAACTCTGTGAGTTGAAGGCACACATCACAAAGTAGTTTCTGAGAATGATTCTGTCTAGTTTTTATTTGAAGATATTTCCTTTTCTACTGTTGGCATAAAATCGCTTGAAATCTCCACTTGCAAACTCCACAAAAAGAGTGTTTCAAATCTGCTCTGTGTAAAGGGACGTTGCACTCTGTGAGTTGAATACACACAGCACAAAGAAGTTACTGAGAATTCTTCTGTCTAGCATGAAATGAAGAAATCCCGTTTCCAACGAAGGCCTCAATGCGGTCCATATATCCACTTGCAGACTTTACAAACAGAGTGTTTCCAAACTGCTCTATGAAAAGAAAGGTTAAACTATGTGAGTTGAACGCACACATCACAAAGAATTTTCTGAGAATGATTCTGTCTGGTTTTTATTTGAAGATATTTCCCTTTCTACTGTTGGCATCAAATGGCTAGAAATCTCCACTTGCAAATTCCGCAAAAAGAGTGTTTCAAATCTGCTCTGTCTAAAGGGACGTTCCACTCTGTGAGTTGAATGCACACAACACAAAGAATTTACTGAGAATTCTTCCGTCTAGCATTCAATGAAGAAATCCCGTTTCCAACGAAGGCCTCAAACAGGTCCATATATCCACTTGCAGACTTTACAAACAGTGTGTTTCCAAACTCCTCTATGAAAAGAAAGGTTAAACTCTGTGAGTTGAACGCACACATCACAAAGCACTTTCTGAGAATGATTCTGTCTGGTTATTATACGAAGATATTTCCTTTTCTGCAATTGTCCTCAAATCGCTTGA
This sequence comes from Homo sapiens, assembly GCF_000001405.40. Lineage (NCBI taxonomy): Eukaryota > Metazoa > Chordata > Mammalia > Primates > Hominidae > Homo > Homo sapiens. The sequence goes on along the minus strand of NC_000007.14, from coordinate 59,553,134 downwards.
AATCTCCACCTGAAAATGCCACAGCAAGAGTGTTTCAAATCTGCTCTCTCTAAAGCAAGGTTCAACTCTGTGAGTTGAATACACACAACACAAAAAAGTTACTGAGAACTCTTCTTAGTCTAGCATGAAAGGAAGAAACCCCGTTTGCAACGAAGGCCTCAAAGAGGTCCAAATATCCACTTGCAGACATAACAAGCAGAGTGTTTCTAAACTGCTCTAAGAAAAGAAAGGTTAAACTCTGTGAGTTGAAGGCACACATCACAAAGTAGTTTCTGAGAATGATTTCTGTCTAGTTTTTATTTGAAGATATTTCCTTTTCTACTGTTGGCATCAAATCGCTTGAAATCTCCACTTGCAAATTCCACAAAAAGAGTGTTTCAAATCTGCTCTGTGCAAAGGGACGTTCCACTCTGTGAGTTGAATACACACAGCACAAAAAAGTTACTGAGAATTGTTCTGTCTAGCATGAAATGAAGAAATCCCGTTTCAAACGAAGGCCTCAATGCGGTCCATATATCCACTTGCAGACTTTACAAACAGAGTGTTTCCAAACTGCTCTATGAAAAGAAAGGTTAAACTATGTGAGTTGAACGCACACATCACAAAGAATTTTCTGAGAATGATTCTGTCTGGTTTCTATTTGAAGATATTTCCCTTTCTACTGTTGGCATCAAATGGCTAGAAATCTCCACTTGCAAATTCCGCAAAAAGAGTGTTTCAAATCTGCTCTGTCTAAAGGGACGTTCCACTCTGTGAGTTGAATGCACACAACACAAAGAATTTACTGAGAATTCTTCCGTCTAGCATTCAATGAAGAAATCCCGTTTCCAACGAAGGCCTCAAACAGGTCCATATATCCACTTGCAGACTTTACAAACAGTGTGTTTCCAAACTCCTCTATGAAAAGAAAGGTTAAACTCTGTGAGTTGAACGCACACATCACAAAGCACTTTCTGAGAATGATTCTGTCTGGTTATTATACGAAGATATTTCCTTTTCTGCAATTGTCCTCAAATCGCTTGAAATCTCCACCTGAAAATGCCACAGCAAGAGTGTTTCAAATCTGCTCTCTCTAAAGCAAGGTTCAACTCTGTGAGTTGAATACACACAACACAAAAAAGTTACTGAGAACTCTTCTTAGTCTAGCATGAAAGGAAGAAACCCCGTTTGCAACGAAGGCCTCAAAGAGGTCCAAATATCCACTTGCAGACATAACAAGCAGAGTGTTTCTAAACTGCTCTAAGAAAAGAAAGGTTAAACTCTGTGAGTTGAAGGCACACATCACAAAGTAGTTTCTGAGAATGATTCTGTCTAGTTTTTTGTTGAAGATATTTCCTTTTCTACTGTTGGCATCAAATCGCTTGAAATCTCCACTTTCAAATTCCACAAAAAGAGTGTTTCAAATCTGCTCTGTGCAAAGGGACGATCCACTCTGTGAGTTGAATACACACAGCACAAAGAAGTTACTGAGAATTCTTCTGTCTAGCATGAAATGAAGAAATCCCGTTTCCAACGAAGACCTCAATGCGGTCCATATATCCACTTGCAGACTTTACAAACAGAGTGTTTCCAAACTGCTCTATGAAAAGAAAGGTTAAACTATGTGAGTTGAACGCACACATCACAAAGAATTTTCTGAGGATGATTCTGTCTAGTTTTTATTTGAAGATATTTCCCTTTCTACTGTTGGCATCAAATGGCTAGAAATCTCCACTTGCAAATTCCGCAAAAAGAGTGTTTCAACTCTGCTCTCTCTAAAGGGACGTTCCACTCTGTGAGTTGAATGCACACAACACAAAGAATTTACTGAGAATTCTTCCGTCTAGCATTATATGATAAAATCCCGTTTCCAACGAAGGCCTCAAACAGGTCCATATATCCACTTGCAGACTTTACAAACAGTGTGTTTCCAAACTCCTCTATGAAAAGAAAGGTTAAACTCTGTGAGTTGAACGCACACATCACAAAGCACTTTCTGAGAATGATTCTGTCTGGTTATTATACGAAGATATTTCCTTTTCTGCAATTGTCCTGAAATCACTTGAAATCTCCATCTGAAAATTCCACAGGAAGAGTGTTTCAAATCTGCTCTCTCTAAAGCCAGGTTCAACTCTGTGAGTTGAATACACACAACACAAAAAAGTTACTGAGAACTCTTCTTAGTCTAGCATGAAAGGAAGAAACCCCGTTTGCAACGAAGGCCTCAAAGAGGTCCAAATATCCACTTGCAGACATAACAAGCAGAGTGTTTCTAAACTGCTCTAAGAAAAGAAAGGTTAAACTCTGTGAGTTGAAGGCACACATCACAAAGTAGTTTCTGAGAATGATTCTGTCTAGTTTTTATTTGAAGATATTTCCTTTTCTACTGCTGGCATCAAATCGCTTGAAATCTCCACTTGCAAACTCCACAAAAAGAGTGTTTCAAATCTGCTCTGTGTAAAGGGACGTTCCACTCTGTGAGTTGAATACACACAGCACAAAGAAGTTACTGAGAATTCTTCTGTCTAGCATGAAATGAAGAAATCCCGTTTCCAACGAAGGCCTCAATGCGGTCCATATATCCACTTGCAGACTTTACAAACAGAGTGTTTCCAAACTGCTCTATGAAAAGAAAGGTTAAACTATGTGAGTTGAACGCACACATCACAAAGAATTTTCTGAGAATGATTCTGTCTGGTTTTTATTTGAAGATATTTCCCTTTCTACTGTTGGCATCAAATGGCTAGAAATCTCCACTTGCAAATTCCGCAAAAAGAGTGTTTCAAATCTGCTCTGTCTAAAGGGACGTTCCACTCTGTGAGTTGAATGCACACAACACAAAGAATTTACTGAGAATTCTTCCGTCTAGCATTCAATGAAGAAATCCCGTTTCCAACGAAGGCCTCAAACAGGTCCATATATCCAATTGCAGACTTTACAAACAGTGTGTTTCCAAACTCCTCTATGAAAAGAAAGGTTAAACTCTGTGAGTTGAACGCACACATCACAAAGCACTTTCTGAGAATGATTCTGTCTGGTTATTATACCAAGATATTTCCTTTTCTGCAATTGTCCTCAAATCGCTTGAAATCTCCACCTGAAAATGCCACAGCAAGAGTGTTTCAAATCTGCTCTCTCTAAAGCAAGGTTCAACTCTGTGAGTTGAATACACACAACACAAAAAAGTTACTGAGAACTCTTCTTAGTCTAGCATGAAAGGAAGAAACCCCGTTTGCAACGAAGGCCTCAAAGAGGTCCAAATATCCACTTGCAGACATAACAAGCAGAGTGTTTCTAAACTGCTCTAAGAAAAGAAAGGTTAAACTCTGTGAGTTGAAGGCACACATCACAAAGTAGTTTCTGAGAATGATTCTGTCTAGTTTTTATTTGAAGATATTTCCTTTTCTACTGTTGGCATCAAATCGCTTGAAATCTCCACTTGCAAACTCCACAAAAAGAGTGTTTCAAATCTTCTCTGTGTAAAGGGACGTTCCACTCTGTGAGTTGAATACACACAGCACAAAGAAGTTACTGAGAATTCTTCTGTCTCGCATGAAATGAAGAAATCCCGTTTCCAACGAAGGCCTCAATGCGGTCCATATATCCACTTGCAGACTTTACAAACAGAGTGTTTCCAAACTGCTCTATGAAAAGAAAGGTTAAACTATGTGAGTTGAACCCACACATCACAAAGAATTTTCTGAGAATGATTCTGTCTGGTTTTTATTTGAAGATATTTCCCTTTCTACTGTTGGCATCAAATGGCTAGAAATCTCCACTTGCAAATTCCGCAAAAAGAGTGTTTCAAATCTGCTCTGTCTAAAGGGACGTTCCACTCTGTGAGTTGAATGCACACAACACAAAGAATTTACTGAGAATTCTTCCGTCTAGCATTCAATGAAGAAATCCCGTTTCCAACGAAGGCCTCAAACAGGTCCATATATCCACTTGCAGACTTTACAAACAGTGTGTTTCCAAACTCCTCTATGAAAAGAAAGGTTAAACTCTGTGAGTTGAACGCACACATCACAAAGCACTTTCTGAGAATGATTCTGTCTGGTTATTATACGAAGATATTTCCTTTTCTGCAATTGTCCTCAAATCGCTTGAAATCTCCACCTGAAAATGCCACAGCAAGAGTGTTTCAAATCTGCTCTCTCTAAAGCAAGGTTCAACTCTGTGAGTTGAATACACACAACACAAAAAAGTTACTGAGAACTCTTCTTAGTCTAGCATGAAAGGAAGAAACCCCGTTTGCAACGAAGGCCTCAAAGAGGTCCAAATATCCACTTGCAGACATAACAAGCAGAGTGTTTCTAAACTGCTCTAAGAAAAGAAAGGTTAAACTCTGTGAGTTGAAGGCACACATCACAAAGTAGTTTCTGAGAATGATTCTGTCTAGTTTTTATTTGAAGATATTTCCTTTTCTACTGTTGGCATCAAATCGCTTGAAATCTCCACTTGCAAACTCCACAAAAAGAGTGTTTCAAATCTGCTCTGTGCAAAGGGACGTTCCACTCTGTGAGTTGAATACACACAGCACAAAGAAGTTACTGAGAATTCTTCTGTCTAGCATGAAATGAAGAAATCCCGTTTCCAACGAAGGCCTCAATGCGGTCCATATATCCACTTGCAGACTTTACAAACAGAGTGTTTCCAAACTGCTCTATGAAAAGAAAGGTTAAACTATGTGAGTTGAACGCACACATCACAAAGAATTTTCTGAGAATGATTCTGTCTGGTTTTTATTTGAAGATATTTCCCTTTCTACTGTTGGCATCAAATGGCTAGAAATCTCCACTTGCAAATTCCGCAAAAAGAGTGTTTCAAATCTGCTCTGTCTAAAGGGACGTTCCACTCTGTGAGTTGAATGCACACCACACAAAGAATTTACTGAGAATTCTTCCGTCTAGCATTCAATGAAGAAATCCCGTTTCCAACGAAGGCCTCAAACAGGTCCATATATCCAATTGCAGACTTTACAAACAGTGTGTTTCCAAACTCCTCTATGAAAAGAAAGGTTAAACTCTGTGAGTTGAACGCACACATCACAAAGCACTTTCTGAGAATGATTCTGTCTGGTTGTTATACGAAGATATTTCCTTTTCTGCAATTGTCCTCAAATCGCTTGAAATCTCCACCTGAAAATGCCACAGCAAGAGTGTTTCAAATCTGCTCTCTCTAAAGCAAGGTTCAACTCTGTGAGTTGAATACACACAACACAAAAATGTTACTGAGAACTCTTTTTAGTCTAGCATGAAAGGAAGAAACCCCGTTTGCAACGAAGGCCTCAAAGAGGTCCAAATATCCACTTGCAGACATAAGAAGCAGAGTGTTTCTAAACTGCTCTAAGAAAAGAAAGGTTAAACTCTGTGAGTTGAAGGCACACATCACAAAGTAGTTTCTGAGAATGATTCTGTCTAGTTTTTATTTGAAGATATTTCCTTTTCTACTGTTGGCATCAAATCGCTTGAAATCTCCACTTGCAAACTCCACAAAAAGAGTGTTTCAAATCTGCTCTGTGTAAAGGGACGTTCCACTCTGTGAGTTGAATACACACAGCACAAAGAAGTTACTGAGAATTCTTCTGTGCTAGCATGAAATGAAGAAATCCCGTTTCCAACGAAGGCCTCAATGCGGTCCATATATCCACTTGCAGACTTTACAAACAGAGTGTTTCCAAACTGCTCTATGAAAAGAAAGGTTAAACTATGTGAGTTGAACGCACACATCACAAAGAATTTTCTGAGAATGATTCTGTCTGGTTTTTATTTGAAGATATTTCCCTTTCTACTGTTGGCATCAAATGGCTAGAAATCTCCACTTGCAAATTCCGCAAAAAGAGTGTTTCAAATCTGCTCTGTCTAAAGGGACGTTCCACTCTGTGAGTTGAATGCACACAACACAAAGAATTTACTGAGAATTCTTCCGTCTAGCATTCAATGAAGAAATCCCGTTTCCAACGAAGGCCTCAAACAGGTCCATATATCCACTTGCAGAGTTTACAAACAGTTTGTTTCCAAACTCCTCTATGAAAAGAAAGGTTAAACTCTGTGAGTGGAACGCACACATCACAAAGCACTTTCTGAGAATGATTCTGTCTGGTTGTTATACGAAGATATTTCCTTTTCTGCAATTGTCCTCAAATCGCTTGAAATCTCCACCTGAAAATGCCACAGCAAGAGTGTTTCAAATCTGCTCTCTCTAAAGCAAGGTTCAACTCTGTGAGTTGAATACACACAACACAAAAAAGTTACTGAGAACTCTTCTTAGTCTAGCATGAAAGGAAGAAACCCCGTTTGCAACGAAGGCCTCAAAGAGGTCCAAATATCCACTTGCAGACATAACAAGCAGAGTGTTTCTAAAGTGCTCTAAGAAAAGAAAGGTTAAACTCTGTGAGTTGAAGGCACACATCACAAAGTAGTTTCTGAGAATGATTCTGTCTAGTTTTTATTTGAAGATATTTCCTTTTCTACTGTTGGCATCAAATCGCTTGAAATCTCCACTTGCAAACTCCACAAAAAGAGTGTTTCAAATCTGCTCTGTGTAAAGGGACGTTCCACTCTGTGAGTTGAATACACACAGCACAAAGAAGTTACTGAGAATTCTTCTGTCTAGCATGAAATGAAGAAATCCCGTTTCCAACGAAGGCCTCAATGCGGTCCATATATCCACTTGCAGACTTTACAAACAGAGTGTTTCCAAACTGCTCTATGAAAAGAAAGGTTAAACTATGTGAGTTGAACGCACACATCACAAAGAATTTTCTGAGAATGATTCTGTCTGGTTTTTATTTGAAGATATTTCCCTCTACTGTTGGCATCAAATGGCTAGAAATCTCCACTTGCAAATTCCGCAAAAAGAGTGTTTCAAATCTGCTCTGTCTAAAGGGACGTTCCACTCTGTGAGTTGAATGCACACAACACAAAGAATTTACTGAGAATTCTTCCGTCTAGCATTCAATGAAGAAATCCCGTTTCCAACGAAGGCCTCAAAGAGGTCCATATATCCACTTGCAGACTTTACAAACAGTGTGTTTCCAAACTCCTCTATGAAAAGAAAGGTTAAACTCTGTGAGTGGAACGCACACATCACAAAGCACTTTCTGAGAATGATTCTGTCTGGTTATTATACGAAGATATTTCCTTTTCTGCAATTGTCCTCAAAACGATTGAAATCTCCACCTGAAAATGCCACAGCAAGAGTGTTTCAAATCTGCTCTCTCTAAAGCAAGGTTCAACTCTGTGAGTTGAATACACACAACACAGAAATGTTACTGAGAACTCTTCTTAGTCTAGCATGAAAGGAAGAAACCCCGTTTGCAACGAAGGCCTCAAAGAGGTCCAAATATCCACTTGCAGACATAACAAGCAGAGTGTTTCTAAACTGCTCTAAGAAAAGAAAGGTTAAACTCTGTGAGTTGAAGGCACACATCACGAAGTAGTTTCTGAGAATGATTCTGTCTAGTTTTTATTTGAAGATATTTCCTTTTCTACTGTTGGCATCAAATCGCTTGAAATCTCCACTTGCAAACTCCACAAAAAGAGTGTTTCAAATCTGCTCTGTGCAAAGGGACGTTCCACTCTGTGAGTTGAATACACACAGCACAAAGAAGTTACTGAGAATTCTTCTGTCTAGCATGAAATGAAGAAATCCCGTTTCCAACGAAGGCCTCAATGCGGTCCATATATCCACTTGCAGACTTTACAAACAGATTGTTTCCAAACTGCTCTATGAAAAGAAAGGTTAAACTATGTGAGTTGAACGCACACATCACAAAGAATTTTCTGAGAATGATTCTGTCTGGTTTTTATTTGAAGATATTTCCCTTTCTACTGTTGGCATCAAATGGCTAGAAATCTCCACTTGCAAATTCCGCAAAAAGAGTGTTTCAAATCTGCTCTGTCTAAAGGGACGTTCCACTCTGTGAGTTGAATGCACACAACACAAAGAATTTACTGAGAATTCTTCCGTCTAGCATTCAATGAAGAAATCCCGTTTCCAACGAAGGCCTCAAAGAGGTCCATATATCCACTTGCAGACTTTACAAACAGTGTGTTTCCAAACTCCTCTATGAAAAGAAAGGTTAAACTCTGTGAGTGGAACGCACACATCACAAAGCACTTTCTGAGAATGATTCTGTCTGGTTATTATACGAAGATATTTCCTTTTCTGCAATTGTCCTCAAATCGCTTGAAATCTCCACCTGAAAATGCCACAGCAAGAGTGTTTCAAATCTGCTCTCTCTAAAGCAAGGTTCAACTCTGTGAGTTGAATACACACAACACAAAAAAGTTACTGAGAACTCTTCTTAGTCTAGCATGAAAGGAAGAAACCCCGTTTGCAACGAAGGCCTCAAAGAGGTCCAAATATCCACTTGCAGACATAACAAGCAGAGTGTTTCTAAAGTGCTCTAAGAAAAGAAAGGTTAAACTCTGTGAGTTGAAGGCACACATCACAAAGTAGTTTCTGAGAATGATTCTGTCTAGTTTTTATTTGAAGATATTTCCTTTTCTACTGTTGGCATCAAATCGCTTGAAATCTCCACTTGCAAACTCCACAAAAAGAGTGTTTAAAATCTGCTCTGTGCAAAGGGACGTTCCACTCTGTGAGTTGAATACACACAGCACAAAGAAGTTACTGAGAATTCTTCTGTCTAGCATGAAATGAAGAAATCCCGTTTCCAACGAAGGCCTCAATGCGGTCCATATATCCACTTGCAGACTTTACAAACAGAGTGTTTCCAAACTGCTCTATGAAAAGAAAGGTTAAACTATGTGAGTTGAACGCACACATCACAAAGAATTTTCTGAGAATGATTCTGTCTGGTTTTTATTTGAAGATATTTCCCTTTCTACTGTTGGCATCAAATGGCTAGAAATCTCCACTTGCAAATTCCGCAAAAAGAGTGTTTCAAATCTGCTCTGTCTAAAGGGACGTTCCACTCTGTGAGTTGAATGCACACAACACAAAGAATTTACTGAGAATTCTTCCGTCTAGCATTCAATGAAGAAATCCCGTTTCCAACGAAGGCCTCAAACAGGTCCATATATCCAATTGCAGACTTTACAAACAGTGTGTTTCCAAACTCCTCTATGAAAAGAAAGGTTAAACTCTGTGAGTTGAACGCACACATCACAAAGCACTTTCTGAGAATGATTCTGTCTGGTTATTATACGAAGATATTTCCTTTTCTGCAATTGTCCTCAAATCGCTTGAAATCTCCACCTGAAAATGCCACAGCAAGAGTGTTTCAAATCTGCTCTCTCTAAAGCAAGGTTCAACTCTGTGAGTTGAATACACACAACACAAAAAAGTTACTGAGAACTCTTCTTAGTCTAGCATGAAAGGAAGAAACCCCGTTTGCAACCGAAGGCCTCAAAGAGGTCCAAATATCCACTTGCAGACATAACAAGCAGAGTGTTTCTAAACTGCTCTAAGAAAAGAAAGGTTAAACTCTGTGAGTTGAAGGCACACATCACAAAGTAGTTTTTGAGAATAATTCTGTCTAGTTTTTATTTGAAGATATTTCCTTTTCTACTGTTGGCATCAAATCGCTTGAAATCTCCACTTGCAAACTCCACAAAAAGAGTGTTTCAAATCCGCTCTGTGCAAAGGGACGTTCCACTCTGTGAGTTGAATACACACAGCACAAAGAAGTTACTGAGAATTCTTCTGTCTAGCATGAAATGAAGAAATCCCGTTTCCAACGAAGGCCTCAATGCGGTCCATATATCCACTTGCAGACTTTACAAACAGAGTGTTTCCAAACTGCTCTATGAAAAGAAAGGTTAAACTATGTGAGTTGAACGCACACATCACAAAGAATTTTCTGAGAATGATTCTGTCTGGTTTTTATTTGAAGATATTTCCCTTTCTACTGTTGGCATCAAATGGCTAGAAATCTCCACTTGCAAATTCCGCAAAAAGGGTGTTTCAAATCTGCTCTGTCTAAAGGGACGTTCCACTCTGTCAGTTGAATGCACACAACACAAAGAATTTACTGAGAATTCTTCCGTCTAGCATTCAATGAAGAAATCCCGTTTCCAACGAAGGCCTCAAACAGGTCCATATATCCAATTGCAGACTTTACAAACAGTGTGTTTCCAAACTCCTCTATGAAAAGAAAGGTTAAACTCTGTGAGTTGAACGCACACATCACAAAGCACTTTCTGAGAATGATTCTGTCTGGTTGTTATACGAAGATATTTCCTTTTCTGCAATTGTCCTCAAATCGATTGAAATCTCCACCTGAAAATGCCACAGCAAGAGTGTTTCAAATCTGCTCTCTCTAAAGCAAGGTTCAACTCTGTGAGTTGAATACACACAACACAAAAAAGTTACTGAGAACTCTTCTTAGTCTAGCATTAAAGGAAGAAACCCCGTTTGCAACGAAGGCCTCAAAGAGGTCCAAATATCCACTTGCAGACATAACAAGCAGAGTGTTTCTAAGCTGCTCTAAGAAAAGAAAGGTTAAACTCTGTGAGTTGAAGGCACACATCACAAAGTAGTTTCTGAGAATGATTCTGTCTAGTTTTTATTTGAAGATATTTCCTTTTCTACTGTTGGCATCAAATCGCTTGAAATCTCCACTTGCAAACTCCACAAAAAGAGTGTTTCAAATCTGCTCTGTGTAAAGGGACGTTCCACTCTGTGAGTTGAATACACACAGCACAAAGAAGTTACTGAGAATTCTTCTGTCTAGCATGAAATGAAGAAATCCCGTTTCCAACGAAGGCCTCAATGCGGTCCATATATCCACTTGCAGACTTTACAAACAGAGTGTTTCCAAACTGCTCTATGAAAAGAAAGGTGAAACTATGTGAGTTGAACGCACACATCACACAGAATTTTCTGAGAATGATTCTGTCTGGTTTTTATTTGAAGATATTTCCCTTTCTACTGTTGGCATCAAATGGCTAGAAATCTCCACTTGCAAATTCCGCAAAAAGAGTGTTTCAAATCTGCTCTGTCTAAAGGGACGTTCCACTCTGTGAGTTGAATGCACACCACACAAAGAATTTACTGAGAATTCTTCCGTCTAGCATTCAATGAAGAAATCCCGTTTCCAACGAAGGCCTCAAACAGGTCCATATATCCAATTGCAGACTTTACAAACAGTGTGTTTCCAAACTCCTCTATGAAAAGAAAGGTTAAACTCTGTGAGTTGAACGCACACATCACAAAGCACTTTCTGAGAATGATTCTGTCTGGTTGTTATACGAAGATATTTCCTTTTCTGCAATTGTCCTCAAATCGCTTGAAATCTCCACCTGAAAATGCCACATCAAGAGTGTTTCAAATCTGCTCTCTCTAAAGCAAGGTTCAACTCTGTGAGTTGAATACACACAACACAAAAATGTTACTGAGAACTCTTCTTAGTCTAGCATGAAAGGAAGAAACCCCGTTTGCAACGAAGGCCTCAAAGAGGTCCAAATATCCACTTGCAGACATAACAAGCAGAGTGTTTCTAAACTGCTCTAAGAAAAGAAAGGTTAAACTCTGTGAGTTGAAGGCACACATCACAAAGTAGTTTCTGAGAATGATTCTGTCTAGTTTTTATTTGAAGATATTTCCTTTTCTACTGCTGGCATCAAATCGCTTGAAATCTCCACTTGCAAACTCCACAAAAAGAGTGTTTCAAATCTGCTCTGTGTAAAGGGACGTTCCACTCTGTGAGTTGAATACACACAGCACAAAGAAGTTACTGAGAATTCTTCTGTCTCGCATGAAATGAAGAAATCCCGTTTCCAACGAAGGCCTCAATGCGGTCCATATATCCACTTGCAGACTTTACAAACAGAGTGTTTCCAAACTGCTCTATGAAAAGAAAGGTTAAACTATGTGAGTTGAACGCACACATCACAAAGAATTTTCTGAGAATGATTCTGTCTGGTTTTTATTTGAAGATATTTCCCTTTCTACTGTTGGCATCAAATGGCTAGAAATCTCCACTTGCAAATTCCGCAAAAAGAGTGTTTCAAATCTGCTCTGTCTAAAGGGACGTTCCACTCTGTGAGTTGAATGCACACAACACAAAGAATTTACTGAGAATTCTTCCGTCTAGCATTCAATGAAGAAATCCCGTTTCCAACGAAGGCCTCAAACAGGTCCATATATCCAATTGCAGACTTTACAAACAGTGTGTTTCCAAACTCCTCTATGAAAAGAAAGGTTAAACTCTGTGAGTTGAACGCACACATCACAAAGCACTTTCTGAGAATGATTCTGTCTGGTTGTTATACGAAGATATTTCCTTTTCTGCAATTGTCCTCAAATCGCTTGAAATCTCCACCTGAAAATACCACAGCAAGAGTGTTTCAAATCTGCTCTCTCTAAAGCAAGGTTCAACTCTGTGAGTTGAATACACACAACACAAAAAAGTTACTGAGAACTCTTCTTAGTCTAGCGTGAAAGGAAGAAACCCCGTTTGCAACGAAGGCCTCAAAGAGGTCCAAATATCCACTTGCAGACATAACAAGGAGAGTGTTTCTAAACTGCTCTAAGAAAAGAAAGGTTAAACTCTGTGAGTTGAAGGCACACATCACAAAGTAGTTTCTGAGAATGATTCTGTCTAGTTTTTATTTGAAGATATTTCCTTTTCTACTGTTGGCATCAAATCGCTTGAAATCTCCACTTGCAAACTCCACAAAAAGAGTGTTTCAAATCTGCTCTGTGCAAAGGGACGTTCCACTCTGTGAGTTGAATACACACAGCACAAAGAAGTTACTGAGAATTCTTCTGTCTAGCATGAAATGAAGAAATCCCGTTTCCAACGAAGGCCTCAATGCGGTCCATATATCCACTTGCAGACTTTACAAACAGAGTGTTTCCAAACTGCTCTATGAAAAGAAAGGTTAAACTATGTGAGTTGAACGCACACATCACAAAGAATTTTCTGAGAATGATTCTGTCTGGTTTTTATTTGAAGATATTTCCCTTTCTACTGTTGACATCAAATGGCTAGAAATCTCCACTTGCAAATTCCGCAAAAAGAGTGTTTCAAATCTGCTCTGTCTAAAGGGACGTTCCACTCTGTGAGTTGAATGCACACAACACAAAGAATTTACTGAGAATTCTTCCGTCTAGCATTCAATGAAGAAATCCCGTTTCCAACGGAGGCCTCAAACAGGTCCATATATCCAATTGCAGACTTTACAAACAGTGTGTTTCCAAGCTCCTCTATGAAAAGAAAGGTTAAACTCTGTGAGTTGAACGCACACATCACAAAGCACTTTCTGAGAATGATTCTGTCTGGTTATTATACGAAGATATTTCCTTTTCTGCAATTGTCCTCAAATCGCTTGAAATCTCCACCTGAAAATGCCACAGCAAGAGTGTTTCAAATCTGCTCTCTCTAAAGCAAGGTTCAACTCTGTGAGTTGAATACACACAACACAAAAAAGTTACTGAGAACTCTTCTTAGTCTAGCATGAAAGGAAGAAACCCCGTTTGCAACGAAGGCCTCAAAGAGGTCCAAATATCCACTTGCAGACATAACAAGCAGAGTGTTTCTAAACTGCTCTAAGAAAAGAAAGGTTAAACTCTGTGAGTTGAAGGCACACATCACAAAGTAGTTTCTGAGAATGATTCTGTCTAGTTTTTATTTGAAGATATTTCCTTTTCTACTGTTGGCATCAAATCGCTTGAAATCTCCACTTGCAAACTCCACAAAAAGAGTGTTTCAAATCTGCTCTGTGCAAAGGGACGTTCCACTCTGTGAGTTGAATACACACAGCACAAAGAAGTTACTGAGAATTCTTCTGTCTAGCATGAAATGAAGAAATCCCGTTTCCAACGAAGGCCTCAATGCGGTCCATATATCCACTTGCAGACTTTACAAACAGAGTGTTTCCAAACTGCTCTATGAAAAGAAAGGTTAAACTATGTGAGTTGAACGCACACATCACAAAGAATTTTCTGAGAATGATTCTGTCTGGTTTTTATTTGAAGATATTTCCCTTTCTACTGTTGGCATCAAATGGCTAGAAATCTCCACTTGCAAATTCCGCAAAAAGAGTGTTTCAAATCTGCTCTGTCTAAAGGGACGTTCCACTCTGTGAGTTGAATGCACACAACACAAAGAATTTACTGAGAATTCTTCCGTCTAGCATTCAATGAAGAAATCCCGTTTCCAATGGAGGCCTCAAACAGGTCCATATATCCAATTGCAGACTTTACAAACAGTGTGTTTCCAAACTCCTCTATGAAAAGAAAGGTTAAACTCTGTGAGTTGAACGCACACATCACAAAGCACTTTCTGAGAATGATTCTGTCTGGTTATTATACGAAGATATTTCCTTTTCTGCAATTGTCCTCAAATCGCTTGAAATCTCCACCTGAAAATGCCACAGCAAGAGTGTTTCAAATCTGCTCTCTCTAAAGCAAGGTTCAACTCTGTGAGTTGAATACACACAACACAAAAAAGTTACTGAGAACTCTTCTTAGTCTAGCATGAAAGGAAGAAACCCCGTTTGCAACGAAGGCCTCAAAGAGGTCCAAATATCCACTTGCAGACATAACAAGCAGAGTGTTTCTAAAGTGCTCTAAGAAAAGAAAGGTTAAACTCTGTGAGTTGAAGGCACACATCACAAAGTAGTTTCTGAGAATGATTCTGTCTAGTTTTTATTTGAAGATATTTCCTTTTCTACTGTTGGCATCAAATCGCTTGAAATCTCCACTTGCAAACTCCACAAAAAGAGTGTTTCAAATCTGCTCTGTGTAAAGGGACGTTCCACTCTGTGAGTTGAATACACACAGCACAAAGAAGTTACTGAGAATTCTTCTGTCTAGCATGAAATGAAGAAATCCCGTTTCCAACGAAGGCCTCAATGCGGTCCATATATCCACTTGCAGACTTTACAAACAGAGTGTTTCCAAACTGCTCTATGAAAAGAAAGGTTAAACTATGTGAGTTGAACGCACACATCACAAAGAATTTTCTGAGAATGATTCTGTCTGGTTTTCATTTGAAGATATTTCCCTTTCTACTGTTGGCATCAAATGGCTAGAAATCTCCACTTGCAAATTCCGCAAAAAGAGTGTTTCAAATCTGCTCTGTCTAAAGGGACGTTCCACTCTGTGAGTTGAATGCACACAACACAAAGAATTTACTGAGAATTCTTCCGTCTAGCATTCAATGAAGAAATCCCGTTTCCAACGAAGGCCTCAAACAGGTCCATATATCCACTTGCAGAGTTTACAAACAGTTTGTTTCCAAACTCCTCTATGAAAAGAAAGGTTAAACTCTGTGAGTGGAACGCACACATCACAAAGCACTTTCTGAGAATGATTCTGTCTGGTTGTTATACGAAGATATTTCCTTTTCTGCAATTGTCCTCAAATCGCTTGAAATCTCCACCTGAAAATGCCACAGCAAGAGTGTTTCAAATCTGCTCTCTCTAAAGCAAGGTTCAACTCTGTGAGTTGAATACACACAACACAAAAAATTTACTGAGAACTCTTCTTAGTCTAGCATGAAAGGAAGAAACCCCGTTTGCAACGAAGGCCTCAAAGAAGGTCCAAATATCCACTTGCAGACATAACAAGCAGAGTGTTTCTAAACTGCTCTAAGAAAAGAAAGGTTAAACTCTGTGAGTTGAAGGCACACATCACAAAGTAGTTTCTGAGAATGACTCTGTCTAGTTTTTATTTGAAGATATTTCCTTTTCTACTGTTGGCATCAAATCGCTTGAAATCTCCACTTGCAAATTCCACAAAAAGAGTGTTTCAAATCTGCTCTGTGCAAACGGACGTTCCAGTCTGTGAGTTGAATACACACAGCACAGAGAAGTTACTGAGAATTCTTCTGTCTAGCATGAAATGAAGAAATCCCGTTTCCAACGAAGGCCTCAATGCGGTCCATATATCCACTTGCAGACTTTACAAACAGAGTGTTTCCAAACTGCTCTATGAAAAGAAAGGTTAAACTATGTGAGTTGAACGCACACATCACAAAGAATTTTCTGAGAATGATTCTGTCTGGTTTTTATTTGAAGATATTTCCCTTTCTACTGTTGGCATCAAATGGCTAGAAATCTCCACTTGCAAATTCCGCAAAAAGAGTGTTTCAAATCTGCTCTGTCTAAAGGGACGTTCCACTCTGTGAGTTGAATGCACACCACACAAAGAATTTACTGAGAATTCTTCCGTCTAGCATTCAATGAAGAAATCCCGTTTCCAACGAAGGCCTCAAACAGGTCCATATATCCAATTGCAGACTTTACAAACAGTGTGTTTCCAAACTCCTCTATGAAAAGAAAGGTTAAACTCTGTGAGTTGAACGCACACATCACAAAGCACTTTCTGAGAATGATTCTGTCTGGTTGTTATACGAAGATATTTCCTTTTCTGCAATTGTCCTCAAATCGCTTGAAATCTCCACCTGAAAATGCCACAGCAAGAGTGTTTCAAATCTGCTCTCTCTAAAGCAAGGTTCAACTCTGTGAGTTGAATACACACAACACAAAAATGTTACTGAGAACTCTTCTTAGTCTAGCATGAAAGGAAGACTCCCCGTTTGCAACGAAGGCCTCAAAGAGGTCCAAATAACCACTTGCAGACATAACAAGCAGAGTGTTTCTAAACTGCTCTAAGAAAAGAAAGGTTAAACTCTGTGAGTTGAAGGCACACATCACAAAGTAGTTTCTGAGAATGATTCTGTCTAGTTTTTATTTGAAGATATTTCCTTTTCTACTGTTGGCATCAAATCGCTTGAAATCTCCACTTGCAAATTCCACAAAAAGAGTGTTTCAAATCTGCTCTGTGCAAAGGGACGTTCCACTCTGTGAGTTGAATACACACAGCACAAAGAAGTTACTGAGAATTCTTCTGTCTAGCATGAAATGAAGAAATCCCGTTTCCAACGAAGGCCTCAATGCGGTCCATATATCCACTTGCAGACTTTACAAACAGAGTGTTTCCAAAATGCTCTATGAAAAGAAAGGTTAAACTATGTGAGTTGAACGCACACATCACAAAGAATTTTCTGAGAATGATTCTGTCTGGTTTTTATTTGAAGATATTTCCCTTTCTACTGTTGGCATCAAATGGCTAGAAATCTCCACTTGCAAATTCCGCAAAAAGAGTGTTTCAAATCTGCTCTGTCTAAAGGGACGTTCCACTCTGTGAGTTGAATGCACACAACACAAAGAATTTACTGAGAATTCTTCCGTCTAGCATTCAATGAAGAAATCCCGTTTCCAAAGAAGGCCTCAAACAGGTCCATATATCCAATTGCAGACTTTACAAACAGTGTGTTTCCAAACTCCTCTATGAAAAGAAAGGTTAAACTCTGTGAGTTGAACGCACACATCACAAAGAATTTTCTGAGAATGATTCTGTCTGGTTTTTATTTGAAGATATTTCCCTTTCTACTGTTGGCATCAAATGGCTAGAAATCTCCACTTGCAAATTCCGCAAAAAGAGTGTTTCAAATCTGCTCTGTCTAAAGGGACGTTCCACTCTGTGAGTTGAATGCACACAACACAAAGAATTTACTGAGAATTCTTCCGTCTAGCATTCAATGAAGAAATCCCGTTTCCAACGAAGGCCTCAAACAGGTCCATATATCCACTTGCAGACTTTACAAACAGTGTGTTTCCAAACTCCTCTATGAAAAGAAAGGTTAAACTCTGTGAGTTGAACGCACACATCACAAAGCACTTTCTGAGAATGATTCTGTCTGGTTATTATACGAAGATATTTCCTTTTCTGCAATTGTCCTCAAATCGCTTGAAATCTCCACCTGAAAATGCCACAGCAAGAGTGTTTCAAATCTGCTCTCTCTAAAGCAAGGTTCAACTCTGTGAGTTGAATACACACAACACAAAAAAGTTACTGAGAACTCTTCTTAGTCTAGCATGAAAGGAAGAATCCCCGTTTGCAACGAAGGCCTCAAAGAGGTCCAAATATCCACTTGCAGACATAACAAGCAGAGTGTTTCTAAACTGCTCTAAGAAAAGAAAGGTTAAACTCTGTGAGTTGAAGGCACACATCACAAAGTAGTTTCTGAGAATGATTCTGTCTAGTTTTTATTTGAAGATATTTCCTTTTCTACTGTTGGCATCAAATCGCTTGAAATCTCCACTTGCAAATTCCACAAAAAGAGTGTTTCAAATCTGCTCTGTGCAAAGGGACGTTCCACTCTGTGAGTTGAATACACACAGCACAAAGAAGTTACTGAGAATTCTTCTGTCTAGCATGAAATGAAGAAATCCCGTTTCCAACGAAGGCCTCAATGCGGTCCATATATCCACTTGCAGACTTTACAAACAGAGTGTTTCCAAACTGCTCTATGAAAAGAAAGGTTAAACTATGTGAGTTGAACGCACACATCACAAAGAATTTTCTGAGAATGATTCTGTCTGGTTTTTATTTGAAGATATTTCCCTTTCTACTGTTGGCATCAAATGGCTAGAAATCTCCACTTGCAAATTCCGCAAAAAGAGTGTTTCAAATCTGCTCTGTCTAAAGGGACGTTCCACTCTGTGAGTTGAATGCACACAACACAAAGAATTTACTGAGAATTCTTCCGTCTAGCATTCAATGAAGAAATCCCGTTTCCAACGAAGGCCTCAAACAGGTCCATATATCCACTTGCAGAGTTTACAAACAGTGTGTTTCCAAACTCCTCTATGAAAAGAAAGGTTAAACTCTGTGAGTGGAACGCACACATCACAAAGCACTTTCTGAGAATGATTCTGTCTTGTTATTATACGAAGATATTTCCTTTTCTGCAATTGTCCTCAAATCGCTTGAAATCTCCACCTGAAAATGCCACAGCAAGAGTGTTTCAAATCTGCTCTCTCTAAAGCAAGGTTCAACTCTGTGAGTTGAATACACACAACACAAAAAAGTTACTGAGAACTCTTCTTAGTCTAGCATTAAAGGAAGAAACCCCGTTTGCAACGAAGGCCTCAAAGAGGTCCAAATATCCACTTGCAGACATACCAAGCAGAGTGTTTCTAAACTGCTCTAAGAAAAGAAAGGTTAAACTCTGTGAGTTGAAGGCACACATCACAAAGTAGTTTCTGAGAATGATTCTGTCTAGTTTTTATTTGAAGATATTTCCTTTTCTACTGTTGGCATCAGATCGCTTGAAATCTCCACTTGCAAATTCCACAAAAAGAGTGTTTCAAATCTGCTCTGTGCAAAGGGACGTTCCACTCTGTGAGTTCAATACACACAGCACAAAGAAGTTACTGAGAATTCTTCTGTCTAGCATGAAATGAAGAAATCCCGTTTCCAACGAAGGCCTCAATGCGGTCCATATATCCACTTGCAGACTTTACAAACAGAGTGTTTCCAAACTGCTCTATGAAAAGAAAGGTTAAACTATGTGAGTTGAACGCACACATCACAAAGAATTTTCTGAGAATGATTCTGTCTGGTTTTTATTTGAAGATATTTCCCTTTCTACTGTTGGCATCAAATGGCTAGAAATCTCCACTTGCAAATTCCGCAAAAAGAGTGTTTCAAATCTGCTCTGTCTAAAGGGACGTTCCACTCTGTGAGTTGAATGCACACAACACAAAGAATTTACTGAGAATTCTTCCGTCTAGCATTCAATGAAGAAATCCCGTTTCCAACGGAGGCCTCAAACAGGTCTATATATCCAATTGCAGACTTTACAAACAGTGTGTTTCCAAACTCCTCTATGAAAAGAAAGGTTAAACTCTGTGAGTTGAACGCACACATCACAAAGCACTTTCTGAGAATGATTCTGTCTGGTTATTATACGAAGATATTTCCTTTTCTGCAATTGTCCTCAAATCGCTTGAAATCTCCACCTGAAAATGCCACAGCAAGAGTGTTTCAAATCTGCTCTCTCTAAAGCAAGGTTCAACTCTGTGGGTTGAATACACACAACACAAAAAAGTTACTGAGAACTCTTCTTAGTCTAGCATGAAAGGAAGAAACCCCGTTTGCAACGAAGGCCTCAAAGAGGTCCAAATATCCACTTGCAGACATAACAAGCAGAGTGTTTCTAAACTGCTCTAAGAAAAGAAAGGTTAAACTCTGTGAGTTGAAGGCACACATCACAAAGTAGTTTCTGAGAATGATTCTGTCTAGTTTTTATTTGAAGATATTTCCTTTTCTACTGTTGGCATCAAATCGCTTGAAATCTCCACTTGCAAATTCCACAAAAAGAGTGTTTCAAATCTGCTCTGTGTAAAGGGACGTTCCACTCTGTGAGTTGAATACACACAGCACAAAGAAGTTACTGAGAATTCTTCTGTCTAGCATGAAATGAAGAAATCCCGTTTCCAACGAAGGCCTCAATGCGGTCTATATATCCACTTGCAGACTTTACAAACAGAGTGTTTCCAAACTGCTCTATGAAAAGAAAGGTTAAACTATGTGAGTTGAACGCACACATCACAAAGAATTTTCTGAGAATGATTCTGTCTGGTTTTTATTTGAAGATATTTCCCTTTCTACTGTTGGCAACAAATGGCTAGAAATCTCCACTTGCAAATTCCGCAAAAAGAGTGTTTCAAATCTGCTCTGTCTAAAGGGACGTTCCACTCTGTGAGTTGAATGCACACAACACAAAGAATTTACTGAGAATTCTTCCGTCTAGCATTCAATGAAGAAATCCCGTTTCCAAAGAAGGCCTCAAACAGGTCCATATATCCAATTGCAGACTTTACAAACAGTGTGTTTCCAAACTCCTCTATGAAAAGAAAGGTTAAACTCTGTGAGTTGAACGCACACATCACAAAGCACTTTCTGAGAATGATTTTGTCTGGTTATTATACGAAGATATTTCCTTTTCTGCAATTGTCCTCAAATCGCTTGAAATCTCCACCTGAAAATGCCACAGCAAGAGTGTTTCAAATCTGCTCTCTCTAAAGCAAGGTTCAACTCTGTGAGTTGAATACACACAACACAAAAAAGTTACTGAGAACTCTTCTTAGTCTAGCATGAAAGGAAGAAACCCCGTTTGCAACGAAGGCCTCAAAGAGGTCCAAATATCCACTTGCAGACATAACAAGCAGAGTGTTTCTAAACTGCTCTAAGAAAAGAAAGGTAAAACTCTGTGAGTTGAAGGCACACATCACAAAGTAGTTTCTGAGAATGATTCTGTCTAGTTTTTATTTGAAGATATTTCCTTTTCTACTGTTGGCATCAAATCGCTTGAAATCTCCACTTGCAAATTCCACAAAAAGAGTGTTTCAAATCTGCTCTGTGCAAAGGGACGTTCCACTCTGTGAGTTGAATACACACAGCACAAAGAAGTTACTGAGAATTCTTCTGTCTAGCATGAAATGAAGAAATCCCGTTTCCAACGAAGGCCTCAATGCGGTCCATATATCCACTTGCAGACTTTACAAACAGAGTGTTTCCAAACTGCTCTATGAAAAGAAAGGTTAAACTATGTGAGTTGAACGCACACATCACAAAGAATTTTCTGAGAATGATTCTGTCTGGTTTTTATTTGAAGATATTTCCCTTTCTACTGTTGGCATCAAATGGCTAGAAATCTCCACTTGCAAATTCCGCAAAAAGAGTGTTTCAAATCTGCTCTGTCTAAAGGGACGTTCCACTCTGTGAGTTGAATGCACACAACACAAAGAATTTACTGAGAATTCTTCCGTCTAGCATTCAATGAAGAAATCCCGTTTCCAACGAAGGCCTCAAACAGGTCCATATATCCACTTGCAGACTTTACAAACAGTGTGTTTCCAAACTCCTCTATGAAAAGAAAGGTTAAACTCTGTGAGTGGAACGCACACATCACAAAGCACTTTCTGAGAATGATTCTGTCTGGTTGTTATACGAAGATATTTCCTTTTCTGCAATTGTCCTCAAATCGCTTGAAATCTCCACCTGAAAATGCCACAGCAAGAGTGTTTCAAATCTGCTCTCTCTAAAGCAAGGTTCAACTCTGTGAGTTGAATACACACAACACAAAAAAGTTACTGAGAACTCTTCTTAGTCTAGCATTAAAGGAAGAAACCCCGTTTGCAACGAAGGCCTCAAAGAGGTCCAAATATCCACTTGCAGACATAACAAGCAGAGTGTTTCTAAACTGCTCTAAGAAAAGAAAGGTTAAACTCTGTGAGTTGAAGGCACACATCACAAAGTAGTTTCTGAGAATGATTCTGTCTAGTTTTTATTTGAAGATATTTCCTTTTCTACTGTTGGCATCAAATCGCTTGAAATCTCCACTTGCAAACTCCACAAATAGAGTGTTTCAAATCTGCTCTGTGTAAAGGGACGTTCCACTCTGTGAGTTGAATACACACAGCACAAAGAAGTTACTGAGAATTCTTCTGTCTAGCATGAAATGAAGAAATCCCGTTTCCAACGAAGGCCTCAATGCGGTCCATATATCCACTTGCAGACTTTACAAACAGAGTGTTTCCAAACTGCTCTATGAAAAGAAAGGTTAAACTATGTGAGTTGAACGCACACATCACAAAGAATTTTCTGAGAATGATTCTGTCTGGTTTTTATTTGAAGATATTTCCCTTTCTACTGTTGGCATCAAATGGCTAGAAATCTCCACTTGCAAATTCCGCAAAAAGAGTGTTTCAAATCTGCTCTGTCTAAAGGGACGTTCCACTCTGTCAGTTGAATGCACACAACACAAAGAATTTACTGAGAATTCTTCCGTCTAGCATTCAATGAAGAAATCCCGTTTCCAACGAAGGCCTCAAACAGGTCCATATATCCAATTGCAGACTTTACAAACAGTGTGTTTCCAAACTCCTCTATGGAAAGAAAGGTTGAACTCTGTGAGTTGAACGCACACATCACAAAGCACTTTCTGAGAATGATTCTGTCTGGTTATTATACGAAGATATTTCCTTTTCTGCAATTGTCCTCAAATCGCTTGAAATCTCCACCTGAAAATGCCACAGCAAGAGTGTTTCAAATCTGCTCTCTCTAAAGCAAGGTTCAACTCTGTGAGTTGAATACACACAACACAAAAAAGTTACTGAGAACTCTTCTTAGTCTAGCATGAAAGGAAGAATCCCCGTTTGCAACGAAGGCCACAAAGAGGTCCAAATATCCACTTGCAGACATAACAAGCAGAGTGTTTCTAAACTGCTCTAAGAAAAGAAAGGTTAAACTCTGTGAGTTGAAGGCACACATCACAAAGTAGTTTCTGAGAATGATTCTGTCTAGTTTTTATTTGAAGATATTTCCTTTTCTACTGTTGGCATCAAATCGCTTGAAATCTCCACTTGCAAACTCCACAAAAAGAGTGTTTCAAATCTGCTCTGTGCAAAGGGACGTTCCACTCTGTGAGTTGAATACACACAGCACAAAGAAGTTACTGAGAATTCTTCTGTCTAGCATGAAATGAAGAAATCCCGTTTCCAACGAAGGCCTCAATGCGGTCCATATATCCACTTGCAGACTTTACAAACAGAGTGTTTCCAAACTGCTCTATGAAAAGAAAGGTTAAACTATGTGAGTTGAACGCACACATCACAAAGAATTTTCTGAGAATGATTCTGTCTGGTTTTTATTTGAAGATATTTCCCTTTCTACTGTTGGCATCAAATGGCTAGAAATCTCCACTTGCAAATTCCGCAAAAAGAGTGTTTCAAATCTGCTCTGTCTAAAGGGACGTTCCACTCTGTGAGTTGAATGCACACCACACAAAGAATTTACTGAGAATTCTTCCGTCTAGCATTCAATGAAGAAATCCCGTTTCCAACGAAGGCCTCAAACAGGTCCATATATCCAATTGCAGACTTTACAAACAGTGTGTTTCCAAACTCCTCTATGAAAAGAAAGGTTAAACTCTGTGAGTTGAACGCACACATCACAAAGCACTTTCTGAGAATGATTCTGTCTAGTTTTTATTTGAAGATATTTCCCTTTGTACTGTTGGCATCAAATGGCTAGAAATCTCCACTTGCAACTTCCGCAAAAAGAGTGTTTCAAATCTGCTCTGTCTAAAGGGACGTTCCACTGTGTGAGTTGAATGCACACAACAGAAAGAATTTACTGAGAATTCTTCCGTCTAGCATTCAATGAAGAAATCCCGTTTCCAACGAAGGCCTCAAACAGGTCCATATATCCACTTGCAGACTTTACAAACAGTGTGTTTCCAAACTCCTCTATGAAAAGAAAGGTTAAACTCTGTGAGTTGAACGCACACATCACAAAGCACTTTCTGAGAATGATTCTGTCTAGTTATTATACGAAGATATTTCCTTTTCTGCCTTTGTCCTCAAATCGCTTGAAATCTCCACCTGAAAATGCCACAGCAAGAGTGTTTCAAATCTGCTCTCTCTAAAGCAAGGTTCAACTCTGTGAGTTGAATACACACAACACAAAAAAGTTACTGAGAACACTTCTTAGTCTAGCATGAAAGGAAGAAACCCCGTTTGCAACGAAGGCCTCAAAGAGGTCCAAATATCCACTTGCAGACATAACAAGCAGAGTGTTTCTAAACTGCTCTAAGAAAAGAAAGGTTAAACTCTGTGAGTTAAAGGCACACATCACAAAGTAGTTTCTGAGAATGATTCTGTCTAGTTTTTATTTGAAGATATTTCCTTTTCTACTGTTGGCATCAAATCGCTTGAAATCTCCACTTGCAAACTCCACAAAAAGAGTGTTTCAAATCTGCTCTGTGTAAAGGGACGTTCCACTCTGTGAGTTGAATACACACAGCACAAAGAAGTTACTGAGAATTCTTCTGTCTAGCATGAAATGAAGAAATCCCGTTTCCAACGAAGGCCTCAATGCGGTCCATATATCCACTTGCAGACTTTACAAACAGAGTGTTTCCAAACTGCTCTATGAAAAGAAAGGTTAAACTATGTGAGTTGAACGCACACATCACAAAGAATTTTCTGAGAATGATTCTGTCTGGTTTTTATTTAAAGATATTTCCCTTTCTACTGTTGGCATCAAATGGCTAGAAATCTCCACTTGCAAATTCCGCCAAAAGAGTGTTTCAAATCTGCTCTGTCTAAAGGGACGTTCCACTCTGTGAGTTGAATGCACACAACACAAAGAATTTACTGAGAATTCTTCCGTCTAGCATTCAATGAAGAAATCCCGTTTCCAACGAAGGCCTCAAACAGGTCCATATATCCACTTGCAGACTTTACAAACAGTGTGTTTCCAAACTCCTCTATGAAAAGAAAGGTTAAACTCTGTGAGTGGAACGCACACATCACAAAGCACTTTCTGAGAATGATTCTGTCTGGTTATTATTTGAAGATATTTCCTTTTCTGCAATTGTCCTCAAATCGCTTGAAATCTCCACCTGAAAATGCCACAGCAAGAGTGTTTCAAATCTGCTCTCTCTAAAGCAAGGTTCAACTCTGTGAGTTGAATACACACAGCACAAAGAAGTTACTGAGAATTCTTCTGTCTAGCATGAAAGGAAGAAACCCCGTTTGCAACGAAGGCCTCAATGCGGTCCATATATCCACTTGCAGACTTTACAAACAGAGTGTTTCCAAACTGCTCTATGAAAAGAAAGGTTAAACTATGTGAGTTGAACGCACACATCACAAAGAATTTTCTGAGAATGATTCTGTCTGGTTTTTATTTGAAGATATTTCCCTTTCTACTGTTGGCATCAAATGGCTAGAAATCTCCACTTGCAAATTCCGCAAAAAGAGTGTTTCAAATCTGCTCTGTCTAAAGGGACGTTCCACTCTGTGAGTTGAATGCACACAACACAAAGAATTTACTGAGAATTCTTCCGTCTAGCATTCAATGAAGAAATCCCGTTTCCAACGAAGGCCTCAAACAGGTCCATATATCCACTTGCAGACTTTACAAACAGTGTGTTTCCAAACTCCTCTATGAAAAGAAAGGTTAAACTCTGTGAGTGGAACGCACACATCACAAAGCACTTTCTGAGAATGATTCTGTCTGGTTGTTATACGAAGATATTTCCTTTTCTGCAATTGTCCTCAAATCGCTTGAAATCTCCACCTGAAAATGCCACAGCAAGAGTGTTTCAAATCTGCGCTCTCTAAAGCAAGGTTCAGCTCTGTGAGTTGAATACACACAACACAAAAAAGTTACTGAGAACTCTTCTCTTAGTCTAGCATGAAAGGAAGAAACCCCGTTTGCAACGAAGGCCTCAAAGAGGTCCAAATATCCACTTGCAGACATAACAAGCAGAGTGTTTCTAAACTGCTCTAAGAAAAGAAAGGTTAAACTCTGTGAGTTGAAGGCACACATCACAAAGTAGTTTCTGAGAATGATTCTGTCTAGTTTTTATTTGAAGATATTTCCTTTTCTACTGTTGGCATGAAATCGCTTGAAATCTCCACTTGCAAACTCCACAAAAAGAGTGTTTCAAATCTGCTCTGTGCAAAGGGACGTTCCACTCTGTGAGTTGAATACACACAGCACAAAGAAGTTACTGAGAATTCTTCTGTCTAGCATGAAATGAAGAAATCCCGTTTCCAACGAAGGCCTCAATGCGGTCCATATATCCACTTGCAGACTTTACAAACAGAGTGTTTCCAAACTGCTCTATGAAAAGAAAGGTTAAACTATGTGAGTTGAACGCACACATCACAAAGAATTTTCTGAGAATGATTCTGTCTGGTTTTTATTTGAAGATATTTCCCTTTCTACTGTTGGCATCAAATGGCTAGAAATCTCCACTTGCAAATTCCGCAAAAAGAGTGTTTCAAATCTGCTCTGTCTAAAGGGACGTTCCACTCTGTGAGTTGAATGCACACAACACAAAGAATTTACTGAGAATTCTTCCGTCTAGCATTCAATGAAGAAATCCCGTTTCCAACGAAGGCCTCAAACAGGTCCATATATCCACTTGCAGACTTTACAAACAGTGTGTTTCCAAACTCCTCTATGAAAAGAAAGGTTAAACTCTGTGAGTGGAACGCACACATCACAAAGCACTTTCTGAGAATGATTCTGTCTGGTTATTATACGAAGATATTTCCTTTTCTGCAATTGTCCTCAAATCGCTTGAAATCTCCACCTGAAAATGCCACAGCAAGAGTGTTTCAAATCTGCTCTCTCTAAAGCAAGGTTCAACTCTGTGAGTTGAATACACACAACACAAAAAAGTTACTGAGAACTCTTCTTAGTCTAGCATGAAAGGAAGAAACCCCGTTTGCAACGAAGGCCTCAAAGAGGTCCAAATATCCACTTGCAGACATAACAAGCAGAGTGTTTCTAAACTGCTCTAAGAAAAGAAAGGTTAAACTCTGTGAGTTGAAGGCACACATCACAAAGTAGTTTCTGAGAATGATTCTGTCTAGTTTTTATTTGAAGATATTTCCTTTTCTACTGTTGGCATCAAATCGCTTGAAATCTCCACTTGCAAACTCCACAAAAAGAGTGTTTCAAATCTGCTCTGTGTAAAGGGACGTTCCACTCTGTGAGTTGAATACACACAGCACAAAGAAGTTACTGAGAATTCTTCTGTCTAGCATGAAATGAAGAAATCCCGTTTCCAACGAAGGCCTCAATGCGGTCCATATATCCACTTGCAGACTTTACAAACAGAGTGTTTCCAAACTGCTCTATGAAAAGAAAGGTTAAACTATGTGAGATGAACGCACACATCACAAAGAATTTTCTGAGAATGATTCTGTCTGGTTTTTATTTGAAGATATTTCCCTTTCTACTGTTGGCATCAAATGGCTAGAAATCTCCACTTGCAAATTCCGCAAAAAGAGTGTTTCAAATCTGCTCTGTCTAAAGGGACGTTCCACTCTGTCAGTTGAATGCACACAACACAAAGAATTTACTGAGAATTCTTCCGTCTAGCATTCAATGAAGAAATCCCGTTTCCAACGAAGGCCTCAAACAGGTCCATATATCCAATTGCAGACTTTACAAACAGTGTGTTTCCAAACTCCTCTATGAAAAGAAAGGTTAAACTCTGTGAGTTGAACGCACACATCACAAAGCACTTTCTGAGAATGATTCTGTCTGGTTGTTATACGAAGATATTTCCTTTTCTGCAATTGTCCTCAAATCGCTTGAAATCTCCACCTGAAAATGCCACAGCAAGAGTGTTTCAAATCTGCTCTCTCTAAAGCAAGGTTCAACTCTGTGAGTTGAATACACACAACACAAAAAAGTTACTGAGAACTCTTCTTAGTCTAGCATGAAAGGAAGAAACCCCGTTTGCAACGAAGGCCTCAAAGAGGTCCAAATATCCACTTGCAGACATAACAAGCAGAGTGTTTCTAAACTGCTCTAAGAAAAGAAAGGTTAAACTCTGTGAGTTGAAGGCACACATCACAAAGTAGTTTCTGAGAATGATTCTGTCTAGTTTTTATTTGAAGATATTTCCTTTTCTACTGTTGGCATCAAATCGCTTGAAATCTCCACTTGCAAATTCCACAAAAAGAGTGTTTCAAATCTGCTCTGTGCAAAGGGACGTTGACTCTGTGAGTTGAATACACACAGCACAAAGAAGTTACTGAGAATTCTTCTGTCTAGCATGAAATGAAAGAAATCCCGTTTCCAACGAAGGCCTCAATGCGGTCCATATATCCACTTGCAGACTTTACAAACAGAGTGTTTCCAAACTGCTCTATGAAAAGAAAGGTTAAACTATGTGAGTTGAACGCACACATCACAAAGAATTTTCTGAGAATGATTCTGTCTGCTTTTTATTTGAAGATATTTCCCTTTCTACTGTTGGCATCAAATGGCTAGAAATCTCCACTTGCAAATTCCGCCAAAAAGTGTTTCAAATCTGCTCTGTCTAAAGGGACGTTCCACTCTGTGAGTTGAATGCACACAACACAAAGAATTTACTGAGAATTCTTCCGTCTAGCATTCAATGAAGAAATCCCGTTTCCAACGAAGGCCTCAAACAGGTCCATATATCCAATTGCAGACTTTACAAACAGTGTGTTTCCAAACTCCTCTATGAAAAGAAAGGTTAAACTCTGTGAGTTGAACGCACACATCACAAAGCACTTTCTGAGAATGATTCTGTCTGGTTATTATACGAAGATATTTCCTTTTCTGCAATTGTCCTCAAATCGCTTGAAATCTCCACCTGAAAATGCCACAGCAAGAGTGTTTCAAATCTGCTCTCTCTAAAGCAAGGTTCAACTCTGTGAGTTGAATACACACAACACAAAAAAGTTACTGAGAACTCTTCTTAGTCTAGCATTAAAGGAAGAAACCCCGTTTGCAACGAAGGCCTCAAAGAGGTCCAAATATGCACTTGCAGACATAACAAGCAGAGTGTTTCTAAACTGCTCTAAGAAAAGAAAGGTTAAACTCTGTGAGTTGAAGGCACACATCACAAAGTAGTTTCTGAGAATGATTCTGTCTAGTTTTTATTTGAAGATATTTCCTTTTCTACTGTTGGCATCAAATCGCTTGAAATCTCCACTTGCAAATTCCACAAAAAGAGTGTTTCAAATCTGCTCTGTGTAAAGGGACGTTCCACTCTGTGAGTTGAATACACACAGCACAAAGAAGTTACTGAGAATTCTTCTGTCTAGCATGAAATGAAGAAATCCCGTTTCCAACGAAGGCCTCAATGCGGTCCATATATCCACTTGCAGACTTTACAAACAGAGTGTTTCCAAACTGCTCTATGAAAAGAAAGGTTAAACTATGTGAGTTGAACGCACACATCACAAAGAATTTTCTGAGAATGATTCTGTCTGGTTTTTATTTGAAGATATTTCCCTTTCTACTGTTGGCATCAAATGGCTAGAAATCTCCACTTGCAAATTCCGCAAAAAGAGTGTTTCAAATCTGCTCTGTCTAAAGGGACGTTCCACTCTGTCAGTTGAATGCACACAACACAAAGAATTTACTGAGAATTCTTCCGTCTAGCATTCAATGAAGAAATCCCGTTTCCAACGAAGGCCTCAAACAGGTCCATATATCCAATTGCAGACTTTACAAACAGTGTGTTTCCAAACTCCTCTATGAAAAGAAAGGTTAAACTCTGTGAGTTGAACGCACACATCACAAAGCACTTTCTGAGAATGATTCTGTCTGGTTATTATACGAAGATATTTCCTTTTCTGCAATTGTCCTCAAATCGCTTGAAATCTCCACCTGAAAATTCCACAGCAAGAGTGTTTCAAATCTGCTCTCTCTAAAGCAAGGTTCAACTCTGTGAGTTGAATACACACTACACAAAAAAGTTACTGAGAACTCTTCTTAGTCTAGCATTAAAGGAAGAAACCCCGTTTGCAACGAAGGCCTCAAAGAGGTCCAAATATCCACTTGCAGACATAACAAGCAGAGTGTTTCTAAACTGCTCTAAGAAAAGAAAGGTTAAACTCTGTGAGTTGAAGGCACACATCACAAAGTAGTTTCTGAGAATGATTCTGTCTAGTTTTTATTTGAAGATATTTCCTTTTCTACTGTTGGCATCAAATCGCTTGAAATCTCCACTTGCAAACTCCACAAAAAGAGTGTTTCAAATCTGCTCTGTGCAAAGGGACGTTCCACTCTGTGAGTTGAATACACACAGCACAAAGAAGTTACTGAGAATTCTTCTGTCTAGCATGAAATGAAGAAATCCCGTTTCCAACGAAGGCCTCAATGCGGTCCATATATCCACTTGCAGACTTTACAGAGTGTTTCCAAACTGCTCTATGAAAAGAAAGGTTAAACTATGTGAGTTGAACGCACACATCACAAAGAATTTTCTGAGAATGATTCTGTCTGGTTTTTATTTGAAGATATTTCCCTTTCTACTGTTGGCATCAAATGGCTAGAAATCTCCACTTGCAAATTCCGCAAAAAGAGTGTTTCAAATCTGCTCTGTCTAAAGGGACGTTCCACTCTGTGAGTTGAATGCACACAACACAAAGAATTTACTGAGAATTCTTCCGTCTAGCATTCAATGAAGAAATCCCGTTTCCAAAGAAGGCCTCAAACAGGTCCATATATCCAATTGCAGACTTTACAAACAGTGTGTTTCCAAACTCCTCTATGAAAAGAAAGGTTAAACTCTGTGAGTTGAACGCACACATCACAAAGCACTTTCTGAGAATGATTCTGTCTGGTTATTATACGAAGATATTTCCTTTTCTGCAATTGTCCTCAAATCGCTTGAAATCTCCACCTGAAAATGCCACAGCAAGAGTGTTTCAAATCTGCTCTCTCTAAAGCAAGGTTCAACTTCTGTGAGTTGAATACACACAACACAAAAAAGTTACTGAGAACTCTTCTTAGTCTAGCATGAAAGGAAGAAACCCCGTTTGCAACGAAGGCCTCAAAGAGGTCCAAATATCCACTTGCAGACATAACAAGCAGAGTGTTTCTAAACTGCTCTAAGAAAAGAAAGGTTAAACTCTGTGAGTTGAAGGCACACATCACAAAGTAGTTTCTGAGAATGATTCTGTCTAGTTTTTATTTGAAGATATTTCCTTTTCTACTGTTGGCATCAAATCGCTTGAAATCTCCACTTGCAAATTCCACAAAAAGAGTGTTTCAAATCTGCTCTGTGCAAAGGGACGTTCCACTCTGTGAGTTGAATACACACAGCACACAGAAGTTACTGAGAATTCTTCTGTCTAGCATGAAATGAAGAAATCCCGTTTCCAACGAAGGCCTCAATGCGGTCCATATATCCACTTGCAGACTTTACAAACAGAGTGTTTCCAAACTGCTCTATGAAAAGAAAGGTTAAATTATGTGAGTTGAACGCACACATCACAAAGAATTTTCTGAGAATGATTCTGTCTGGTTTTTATTTGAAGATATTTCCCTTTCTACTGTTGGCATCAAATTGCTAGAAATCTCCACTTGCAAATTCCGTAAAAAGAGTGTTTCAAATCTGCTCTGTCTAAAGGGACGTTCCACTCTGTGAGTTGAATGCACACAACACAAAGAATTTACTGAGAATTCTTCCGTCTAGCATTCAATGAAGAAATACCGTTTCCAACGAAGGCCTCAAACTGGTCCATATATCCACTTGCAGACTTTACAAACAGTGTGTTTCCAAACTCCTCTATGAAAAGAAAGGTTAAACTCTGTGAGTTGAACGCACACATCACAAAGCACTTTCTGAGAATGATTCTGTCTGGTTATTATACGAAGATATTTCCTTTTCTGCAATTGTCCTCAAATCGCTTGAAATCTCCACCTGAAAATGCCACAGCAAGAGTGTTTCAAATCTGCTCTCTCTAAAGCAAGGTTCAACTCTGTGAGTTGAATACACACAACACAAAAAAGTTACTGAGAACTCTTCTTAGTCTAGCATGAAAGGAAGAAACCCCGTTTGCAACGAAGGCCTCAAAGAGGTCCAAATATCCACTTGCAGACATAACAAGCAGAGTGTTTCTAAACTGCTCTAAGAAAAGAAAGGTTAAACTCTGTGAGTTGAAGGCACACATCACAAAGTAGTTTCTGAGAATGATTCTGTCTAGTTTTTATTTGAAGATATTTCCTTTTCTACTGTTGGCATCAAATCGCTTGAAATCTCCACTTGCAAACTCCACAAAAAGAGTGTTTCAAATCTGCTCTGTGCAAAGGGACGTTCCACTCTGTGAGTTGAATACACACAGCACAAAGAAGTTACTGAGAATTCTTCTGTCTAGCATGAAATGAAGAAATCCCGTTTCCAACGAAGGCCTCAATGCGGTCCATATATCCACTTGCAGACTTTACAAACAGAGTGTTTCCAAACTGCTCTATGAAAAGAAAGGTTAAACTATGTGAGTTGAACGCACACATCACAAAGAATTTTCTGAGAATGATTCTGTCTGGTTTTTATTTGAAGATATTTCCCTTTCTACTGTTGGCATCAAATGGCTAGAAATCTCCACTTGCAAATTCCGCAAAAAGAGTGTTTCAAATCTGCTCTGTCTAAAGGGACGTTCCACTCTGTGAGTTGAATGCACACAACACAAAGAATTTACTGAGAATTCCTCCGTCTAGCATTCAATGAAGAAATCCCGTTTCCAACGAAGGCCTCAAACAGGTCCATATATCCACTTGCAGAGTTTACAAACAGTGTGTTTCCAAACTCCTCTATGAAAAGAAAGGTTAAACTCTGTGAGTGGAACGCACACATCACAAAGCACTTTCTGAGAATGATTCTGTCTGGTTATTATACGAAGATATTTCCTTTTCTGCAATTGTCCTCAAAACGCTTGAAATCTCCACCTGAAAATGCCACAGCAAGAGTGTTTCAAATCTGCTCTCTCTAAAGCAAGGTTCAACTCTGTGAGTTGAATACACACAACACAAAAAAGTTACTGAGAACTCTTCTTAGTCTAGCATTAAAGGAAGAAACCCCGTTTGCAACGAAGGCCTCAAAGAGGTCCAAATATCCACTTGCAGACATAACAAGCAGAGTGTTTCTAAACTGCTCTAAGAAAAGAAAGGTTAAACTCTGTGAGTTGAAGGCACACATCACAAAGTAGTTTCTGAGAATGATTCTGTCTAGTTTTTATTTGAAGATATTTCCTTTTCTACTGTTGGCATCAAATCGCTTGAAATATCCACTTGCAAACTCCACAAAAAGAGTGTTTCAAATCTGCTCTGTGCAAAGGGACGTTCCACTCTGTGAGTTGAATACACACAGCACAAAGAAGTTACTGAGAATTCTTCTGTCTAGCATGAAATGAAGAAATCCCGTTTCCAACGAAGGCCTCAATGCGGTCCATATATCCACTTGCAGA
The DNA here is from genome assembly GCF_000001405.40 of Homo sapiens. Classification (NCBI taxonomy): domain Eukaryota; kingdom Metazoa; phylum Chordata; class Mammalia; order Primates; family Hominidae; genus Homo; species Homo sapiens. The sequence goes on along the minus strand of NC_000007.14, from coordinate 59,519,565 downwards.
CTTTACAAACAGAGTGTTTCCAAACTGCTCTATGAAAAGAAAGGTTAAACTATGTGAGTTGAACGCACACATCACAAAGAATTTTCTGAGAATGATTCTGTCTGGTTTTTATTTGAAGATATTTCCCTTTCTACTGTTGGCATCAAATGGCTAGAAATCTCCACTTGCAAATTCCGCAAAAAGAGTGTTTCAAATCTGCTCTGTCTAAAGGGACGTTCCACTCTGTGAGTTGAATGCACACAACACAAAGAATTTACTGAGAATTCTTCCGTCTAGCATTCAATGAAGAAATCCCGTTTCCAACGAAGGCCTCAAACAGGTCCATATATCCACTTGCAGAGTTTGCAAACAGTGTGTTTCCAAACTCCTCTATGAAAAGAAAGGTTAAACTCTGTGAGTGGAACGCACACATCACAAAGCACTTTCTGAGAATGATTCTGTCTGGTTATTATACGAAGATATTTCCTTTTCTGCAATTGTCCTCAAATCGCTTGAAATCTCCACCTGAAAATACCACAGCAAGAGTGTTTCAAATCTGCTCTCTCTAAAGCAAGGTTCAACTCTGTGAGTTGAATACACACAACACAAAAAAGTTACTGAGAACTCTTCTTAGTCTAGCATTAAAGGAAGAAACCCTGTTTGCAACGAAGGCCTCAAAGAGGTCCAAATATCCACTTGCAGACATAACAAGCAGAGTGTTTCTAAGCTGCTCTAAGAAAAGAAAGGTTAAACTCTGTGAGTTGAAGGCACACATCACAAAGTAGTTTCTGAGAATGATTCTGTCTAGTTTTTATTTGAAGCATATTTCCTTTTCTACTGTTGGCATCAAATCGCTTGAAATCTCCACTTGCAAACTCCACAAAAAGAGTGTTTCAAATCTGCTCTGTGTAAAGGGACGTTCCACTCTGTGAGTTGAATACACACAGCACAAAGAAGTTACTGAGAATTCTTCTGTCTAGCATGAAATGAAGAAATCCCGTTTCCAACGAAGGCCTCAATGCGGTCCATATATCCACTTGCAGACTTTACAAACAGAGTGTTTCCAAACTGCTCTATGAAAAGAAAGGTTAAACTATGTGAGTTGAACGCACACATCACAAAGAATTTTCTGAGAATGATTCTGTCTGGTTTTTATTTGAAGATATTTCCCTTTCTACTGTTGGCATCAAATGGCTAGAAATCTCCACTTGCAAATTCCGCAAAAAGAGTGTTTCAAATCTGCTCTGTCTAAAGGGACGTTCCACTCTGTGAGTTGAATGCACACAACACAAAGAATTTACTGAGAATTCTTCCGTCTAGCATTCAATGAAGAAATCCCGTTTCCAACGAAGGCCTCAAACAGGTCCATATATCCACTTGCAGAGTTTACAAACAGTGTGTTTCCAAACTCCTCTATGAAAAGAAAGGTTAAACTCTGTGAGTGGAACGCACACATCACAAAGCACTTTCTGAGAATGATTCTGTCTGGTTATTATACGAAGATATTTCCTTTTCTGCAATTGTCCTCAAATCGCTTGAAATCTCCACCTGAAAATGCCACAGCAAGAGTGTTTCAAATCTGCTCTCTCTAAAGCAAGGTTCAACTCTGTGAGTTGAATACACACAACACAAAAAAGTTACTGAGAACTCTTCTTAGTCTAGCATGAAAGGAAGAAACCCCGTTTGCAACGAAGGCCTCAAAGAGGTCCAAATATCCACTTGCAGACATAACAAGCAGAGTGTTTCTAAACTGCTCTAAGAAAAGAAAGGTTAAACTCTGTGAGTTGAAGGCACACATCACAAAGTAGTTTCTGAGAATGATTCTGTCTAGTTTTTATTTGAAGATATTTCCTTTTCTACTGTTGGCATCAAATCGCTTGAAATCTCCACTTGCAAACTCCACAAAAAGAGTGTTTCAAATCTGCTCTGTGTAAAGGGACGTTCCACTTTGTGAGTTGAATACACACAGCACAAAGAAGTTACTGAGAATTCTTCTGTCTAGCATGAAATGAAGAAATCCCGTTTCCAACGAAGGCCTCAATGCGGTACATATATCCACTTGCAGACTTTACAAACAGAGTGTTTCCAAACTGCTCTATGAAAAGAAAGGTTAAACTATGTGAGTTGAACGCACACATCACAAAGAATTTTCTGAGAATGATTCTGTCTGGTTTTTATTTGAAGATATTTCCCTTTCTACTGTTGGCATCAAATGGCTAGAAATCTCCACTTGCAAATTCCGCAAAAAGAGTGTTTCAAATCTGCTCTGTCTAAAGGGACGTTCCACTCTGTGAGTTGAATGCACACAACACAAAGAATTTACTGAGAATTCTTCCGTCTAGCATTCAATGAAGAAATCCCGTTTCCAACGAAGGCCTCAAACAGGTCCATATATCCACTTGCAGACTTTACAAACAGTGTGTTTCCAAACTCCTCTATGAAAAGAAAGGTTAAACTCTGTGAGTGGAACGCACACATCACAAAGCACTTTCTGAGAATGATTCTGTCTGGTTATTATACGAAGATATTTCCTTTTCTGCAATTGTCCTCAAATCGCTTGAAATCTCCACCTGAAAATGCCACAGCAAGAGTGTTTCAAATCTGCTCTCTCTAAAGCAAGGTTCAACTCTGTGAGTTGAATACACACAACACAAAAAAGTTACTGAGAACTCTTCTTAGTCTAGCATGAAAGGAAGAAACCCCGTTTGCAACGAAGGCCTCAAAGAGGTCCAAATATCCACTTGCAGACATAACAAGCAGAGTGTTTCTAAACTGCTCTAAGAAAAGAAAGGTTAAACTCTGTGAGTTGAAGGCACACATCACAAAGTAGTTTCTGAGAATGATTCTGTCTAGTTTTTATTTGAAGATATTTCCTTTTCTACTGTTGGCATCAAATCGCTTGAAATCTCCACTTGCAAATTCCACAAAAAGAGTGTTTCAAATCTGCTCTGTGCAAAGGGACGTTCCACTCTGTGAGTTGAATACACACAGCACAAAGAAGTTACTGAGAATTCTTCTGTCTAGCATGAAATGAAGAAATCCCGTTTCCAACGAAGGCCTCAATGCGGTCCATATATCCACTTGCAGACTTTACAAACAGAGTGTTTCCAAACTGCTCTATGAAAAGAAAGGTTAAACTATGTGAGTTGAACGCACACATCACAAAGAATTTTCTGAGAATGATTCTGTCTGGTTTTTATTTGAAGATATTTCCCTTTCTACTGTTGACATCAAATGGCTAGAAATCTCCACTTGCAAATTCCGCAAAAAGAGTGTTTCAAATCTGCTCTGTCTAAAGGGACGTTCCACTCTGTGAGTTCAATACACACAACACAAAGAATTTACTGAGAATTCTTCCGTCTAGCATTCAATGAAGAAATCCCGTTTCCAACGGAGGCCTCAAACAGGTCTGTATATCCAATTGCAGACTTTACAAACAGTGTGTTTCCAAGCTCCTCTATGAAAAGAAAGGTTAAACTCTGTGAGTTGAACGCACACATCACAAAGCACTTTCTGAGAATGATTCTGTCTGGTTATTATACGAAGATATTTCCTTTTCTGCAATTGTCCTCAAATCGCTTGAAATCTCCACCTGAAAATGCCACAGCAAGAGTGTTTCAAATCTGCTCTCTCTAAAGCATGGTTCAACTCTGTGAGTTGAATACACACAACACAAAAAAGTTACTGAGAACTCTTCTTAGTCTAGCATTAAAGGAAGAAACCCCGTTTGCAACGAAGGCCTCAAAGAGGTCCAAATATCCACTTGCAGACATAACAAGCAGAGTGTTTCTAAACTGCTCTAAGAAAAGAAAGGTTAAACTCTGTGAGTTGAAGGCACACATCACAAAGTAGTTTCTGAGAATGATTCTGTCTAGTTTTTATTTGAAGATATTTCCTTTTCTACTGTTGGCATCAAATCGCTTGAAATCTCCACTTGCAAACTCCACAAAAAGAGTGTTTCAAATCTGCTCTGTGCAAAGGGACGTTCCACTCTGTGAGTTGAATACACGCAGCACAAAGAAGTTACTGAGAATTCTTCTGTCTAGCATGAAATGAAGAAATCCCGTTTCCAACGAAGGCCTCAATGCGGTCCATATATCCACTTGCAGACTTTACAAACAGAGTGTTTCCAAACTGCTCTATGAAAAGAAAGGTTAAACTATGTGAGTTGAACGCACACATCACAAAGAATTTTCTGAGAATGATTCTGTCTGGTTTTTATTTGAAGATATTTCCCTTTCTACTGTTGGCATCAAATGGCTAGAAATCTCCACTTGCAAATTCCGCAAAAAGAGTGTTTCAAATCTGCTCTGTCTAAAGGGACAGTTCCACTCTGTCAGTTGAATGCACACAACACAAAGAATTTACTGAGAATTCTTCCGTCTAGCATTCAATGAAGAAATCCCGTTTCCAACGAAGGCCTCAAACAGGTCCATATATCCACTTGCAGAGTTTACAAACAGTGTGTTTCCAAACTCCTCTATGAAAAGAAAGGTTAAACTCTGTGAGTGGAACGCACACATCACAAAGCACTTTCTGAGAATGATTCTGTCTGGTTATTATACGAAGATATTCCCTTTTCTGCAATTTTCCTCAAATCGCTTGAAATCTCCACCTGGAAATGCCACAGCAAGAGTGTTTCAAATCTGCTCTCTCTAAAGCAAGGTTCAACTCTGTGAGTTGAATACACACAGCACAAAGAAGTTACTGAGAATTCTTCTGTCTAGCATGAAATGAAGAAATCCCGTTTCCAACGAAGGCCTCAATGCGGTCCATATATCCACTTGCAGACTTTACAAACAGAGTGTTTCCAAACTGCTCTATGAAAAGAAAGGTTAAACTATGTGAGTTGAACGCACACATCACAAAGAATTTTCTGAGAATGATTCTGTCTGGTTTTTATTTGAAGATATTTCCCTTTCTACTGTTGGCATCAAATGGCTAGAAATCTCCACTTGCAAATTCCGCAAAAAGAGTGTTTCAAATCTGCTCTGTCTAAAGGGACGTTCCACTCTGTGAGTTGAATGCACACAACACAAAGAATTTACTGAGAATTCTTCCGTCTAGCATTCAATGAAGAAATCCCGTTTCCAACGAAGGCCTCAAAGAGGTCCATATATCCACTTGCAGACTTTACAAACAGTGTGTTTCCAAACTCCTCTATGAAAAGAAAGGTTAAACTCTGTGAGTTGAACGCACACATCACAAAGCACTTTCTGAGAATGATTCTGTCTGGTTATTATACGAAGATATTTCCTTTTCTGCAATTGTCCTCAAATCGCTTGAAATCTCCACCTGAAAATGCCACAGCAAGAGTGTTTCAAATCTGCTCTCTCTAAAGCAAGGTTCAACTCTGTGAGTTGAATACACACAACACAAAAAAGTTACTGAGAACTCTTCTTAGTCTAGCATGAAAGGAAGAAACCCCGTTTGCAACGAAGGCCTCAAAGAGGTCCAAATATCCACTTGCAGACATAACAAGCAGAGTGTTTCTAAACTGCTCTAAGAAAAGAAAGGTTAAACTCTGTGAGTTGAAGGCACACATCACAAAGTAGTTTCTGAGAATGATTCTGTCTAGTTTTTATTTGAAGATATTTCCTTTTCTACTGTTGGCATCAAATCGCTTGAAATCTCCACTTGCAAACTCCACAAATAGAGTGTTTCAAATCTGCTCTGTGTAAAGGGACGTTCCACTCTGTGAGTTGAATACACACAGCACAAAGAAGTTACTGAGAATTCTTCTGTCTAGCATGAAATGAAGAAATCCCGTTTCCAACGAAGGCCTCAATGCGGTCCATAGATCCACTTGCAGACTTTACAAACAGAGTGTTTCCAAACTGCTCTATGAAAAGAAAGGTTAAACTATGTGAGTTGAACGCACACATCACAAAGAATTTTCTGAGAATGATTCTGTCTAGTTTTTATTTGAAGATATTTCCCTTTGTACTGTTGGCATCAAATGGCTAGAAATCTCCACTTGCAACTTCCGCAAAAAGAGTGTTTCAAATCTGCTCTGTCTAAAGGGACGTTCCACTCTGTGAGTTGAATGCACACAACACAAAAAAGTTACTGAGAACTCTTCTTAGTCTAGCATTAAAGGAAGAAACCCCGTTTGCAACGAAGGCCTCAAAGAGGTCCAAATATCCACTTGCAGACATAACAAGCAGAGTGTTTCTAAACTGCTCTAAGAAAAGAAAGGTTAAACTCTGTGAGTTGAAGGCACACATCACAAAGTAGTTTCTGAGAATGATTCTGTCTAGTTTTTATTTGAAGATATTTCCTTTTCTACTGTTGGCATCAAATCGCTTGAAATCTCCACTTGCAAACTCCACAAAAAGAGTGTTTCAAATCTGCTCTGTGTAAAGGGACGTTCCACTCTGTGAGTTGAATACACACAGCACAAAGAAGTTACTGAGAATTCTTCTGTCTAGCATGAAATGAAGAAATCCCGTTTCCAACGAAGGCCTCAATGCGGTCCATATATCCACTTGCAGACTTTACAAACAGAGTGTTTCCAAACTGCTCTATGAAAAGAAAGGTTAAACTATGTGAGTTGAACGCACACATCACAAAGAATTTTCTGAGAATGATTCTGTCTGGTTTTTATTTGAAGATATTTCCCTTTCTACTGTTGGCATCAAATGGCTAGAAATCTCCACTTGCAAATTCCGCAAAAAGAGTGTTTCAAATCTGCTCTGTCTAAAGGGACGTTCCACTCTGTGAGTTGAATGCACACAACACAAAGAATTTACTGAGAATTCTTCCGTCTAGCATTCAATGAAGAAATCCCATTTCCAACGAAGGCCTCAAACAGGTCCATATATCCAATTGCAGACTTTACAAACAGTGTGTTTCCAAACTCCTTTATGAAAAGAAAGGTTAACTCTGTGAGTTGAATGCACACATCACAAAGCACTTTCTGATAATGATTCTGTCTAGTTTTTATTTGAAGATATTTCCTTTTCTACTGTTGGCATCAAATCGCTTGAAATCTCCACTTGCAAACTCCACAAAAAGAGTGTTTCAAATCTGCTCTGTGCAAAGGGACGTTCCACTCTGTGAGTTGAATACACACAGCACAAAGAAGTTACTGAGAATTCTTCTGTCTAGCATGAAATGAAGAAATCCCGTTTCCAACGAAGGCCTCAATGCGGTCCATATATCCACTTGCAGACTTTACAAACAGAGTGTTTCCAAACTGCTCTATGAAAAGAAAGGTTAAACTATGTGAGTTGAACGCACACATCACAAAGAATTTTCTGAGAATGATTCTGTCTGGTTTTTATTTGAAGATATTTCCCTTTCTACTGTTGGCATCAAATGGCTAGAAATCTCCACTTGCAAATTCCGCAAAAAGAGTGTTTCAAATCTGCTCTGTCTAAAGGGACGTTCCACTCTGTGAGTTGAATGCACACAACACAAAGAATTTACTGAGAATTCTTCCGTCTAGCATTCAATGAAGAAATCCCGTTTCCAACGGAGGCCTCAAACAGGTCCATATATCCAATTGCAGACTTTACAAACAGTGTGTTTCCAAACTCCTCTATGAAAAGAAAGGTTAAACTCTGTGAGTTGAACGCACACATCACAAAGCACTTTCTGAGAATGATTCTGTCTGGTTATTATACGAAGATATTTCCTTTTCTGCAATTGTCCTCAAATCGCTTGAAATCTCCACCTGAAAATGCCACAGCAAGAGTGTTTCAAATCTGCTCTCTCTAAAGCAAGGTTCAACTCTGTGAGTTGAATACACACAACACAAAAAAGTTACTGAGAACTCTTCTTAGTCTAGCATTAAAGGAAGAAAACCCGTTTGCAACGAAGGCCTCAAAGAGGTCCAAATATCCACTTGCAGACATAACAAGCAGAGTGTTTCTAAACTGCTCTAAGAAAAGAAAGGTTAAACTCTGTGAGTTAAAGGCACACATCACAAAGTAGTTTCTGAGAATGATTCTGTCTAGTTTTTATTTGAAGATATTTCCTTTTCTACTGTTGGCATCAAATCGCTTGAAATCTCCACTTGCAAACTCCACAAAAAGAGTGTTTCAAATCTGCTCTGTACAAAGGGACGTTCCACTCTGTGAGTTGAATACACACAGCACAAAGAAGTTACTGAAAATTCTTCTGTCTAGCATGAAATGAAGAAATCCCGTTTCCAACGAAGGCCTCAATGCGGTCCATATATCCACTTGCAGACTTTACAAACAGAGTGTTTCCAAACTGCTCTATGAAAAGAAAGGTTAAACTATGTGAGTTGAACGCACACATCACAAAGAATTTTCTGAGAATGATTCTGTCTGGTTTTTATTTGAAGATATTTCCCTTTCTACTGTTGGCATCAAATGGCTAGAAATCTCCACTTGCAAATTCCGCAAAAAGAGTGTTTCAAATCTGCTCTGTCTAAAGGGACGTTCCACTCTGTGAGTTGAATGCACACAACACAAAGAATTTACTGAGAATTCTTCCGTCTAGCATTCAATGAAGAAATCCCGTTTCCAACGAAGGCCTCAAACAGGTCCATATATCCAATTGCAGACTTTACAAACAGTGTGTTTCCAAACTCCTCTAAGAAAAAAAAGGTTAAACACTGTGAGTTGAACGCACACATCACAAAGCACTTTCTGAGAATGATTGTGTCTAGTTTTTATTTGAAGATATTTCCTTTTCTACTGTTGGCATCAAATCGCTTGAAATCTCCACTTGCAAATTCCACAAAAAGAGTGTTTCAAATCTGCTCTGTGTAAAGGGACGTTCCAAACTGTAAGTTGAATACACACAACACAAAGAAGTTACTGAGAATTCTTCTGGCTAGCATGAAATGAAGAAATCCCGTTTCCAACGAAGGCCTCAATGAGGTCCATATATCCACTTGCAGACTTTACAAACAGAGTGTTTCCAAACTGCTCTATGAAAAGAAAGGTTAAATTATGTGAGTTGAACGCACACATCACAAAGAATTTTCTGAGAATGATTCTGTCTGGTTTTTATTTGAAGATATTTCCCTTTCTACTGTTGGCATCAAATGGCTAGAAATCTCCACTAGCAAATTCCGCAAAAAGAGTGTTTCAAATCTGCTCTGTCTAAAGGGACGTTCCACTCTGTGAGTTGAATGCACACAACACAAAGAATTTACTGAGAATTCTTCCGTCTAGCATTCAATGAAGAAATCCCGTTTCCAACGAAGGCCTCAAACAGGTCCATATATCCACTTGCAGACTTTACAAAAAGAGTGTTTCCAAACTGCTCTATGAAAAGAAAGGTTAAACTATGTGAGTTGAACGCACACATCACAAAGAATTTTCTGAGAATGATTCTGTCTGGTTTTTATTTGAAGATATTTCCCTTTCTACTGTTGGCATCAAATGGCTAGAAATCTCCACTTGCAAATTCCGCAAAAAGAGTGTTTCAAATCTGCTCTGTCTAAAGGGACGTTCCACTCTGTCAGTTGAATGCGCACAACACAAAGTATTTACTGAGAATTCTTCCGTCTAGCATGCAATGAAGAAATCCCGTTTCCAACGAAGGCCTCAAACAGGTCCATATATCCAATTGCAGACTTTACAAACAGTGTGTTTCCAAACTCCTCTATGAAAAGAAAGGTTAAACTCTGTGAGTTGAACGCACACATCACAAAGCACTTTCTGAGAATGATTCTGTCTGGTTGTTATACGAAGATATTTCCTTTTCTGCAATTGTCCTCAAATCGCTTGAAATCTCCACCTGAAAATGCCACAGCAAGAGTGTTTCAAATCTGCTCTCTCTAAAGCAAGGTTCAGCTCTGTGAGTTGAATACACACAACACAAAAAAGTTACTGAGAACTCTTCTTAGTCTAGCATTAAAGGAAGAAACCCTGTTTGCAACGAAGGCCTCAAAGAGGTCCAAATATCCACTTGCAGACATAACAAGCAGAGTGTTTCTAAGCTGCTCTAAGAAAAGAAAGGTTAAACTCTGTGAGTTGAAGGCACACATCACAAAGTAGTTTCTGAGAATGATTGAAGAATTCTCAGTAACTTATTTGTGCTGCGTGCCCCCACCCAACACACGCCCCAGTGTGTGATGTTCCCCTTCCTGTGTCCATGTGTTCTCATTGTTCAATTCCCACCTATGAGTGAGAACATGTGGTGTTTGGTTTTTTGTCCTTTCGACAGTTTGCTGATCCCATTACTGGGTATATACCCAAAGGATTATAAATCATGCACACGTATGTTTATTGCGGCAGTATTCACAATAGCAAAGACTTGGAACCAAGCCAAATGCCCAACAATGAC